>NC_000007.14:32115242-32740242 GCF_000001405.40 Homo sapiens | reverse complement strand
TAAAGACACTTAAAGTGGCCAATAATATTAAATATTCTTAATTTTAGTTATTCTGTTTTAAAGAAACTAATGGCAATCCTCCAAAGAACTCTGTGTATGGTAAGGTGGAGGAAGAGTGGACAAAAGGAGTTATTAAGGAACTGACATTTCAAGGTGACCAGATATGCTGTTTTTGAAGAAGTGCTATGATAGGAAATATGGAGAATTACAAATCAAGACTTCAGGGCTGTCAGACTGAAGGGTGCTGAAGCACCAGCAAAGCAGTGAATTGCTTTAGTAAATGCCAAGTCATCCAGGTTGCCTGAGATGTAGTAAATCATGTAACTAAAAAAAATCTAAGTTTTTCAGCCTCTGCCCTGAAGCAGCAGCACACACTTAATGAAAACACTGACCTACCTTATCAACCATCCTTCCAACCATCTCCAACCGCCCACAAAACACACTCACATTGATAACACTTTGTAACACATTCAAATGGTTATAAAAGAGCTATAAGCACAGTATAATTTTACTTCTAAGGCAATTTTATAACTGTCTCCATTTGTATAATCTACATTATACCTATTTGGTTCAAAAATTAATTTACCTATATTTACATTATACAAATAAAAACATAGCCTACCACTTCCTTCTAGAGCAATACATTTTTATACATAATTTAAACACAGCAATAATTCTGATAATAATCATCTTACAACATAATAGTGTAGTTATCAAATACATTTTGGGAAACATTCAATATTTACAAAGTTTTTACCATGTGTTTGGCATAGTAAATGTGCTGAAAAACTCAATTCAAATGTTCAGGGGAGAATTTTGTAAATATAAGAAAGATACATTCTAAAAATAATGAAAACTGGATTGTTTTTGCAAAGTCTGATCAGTTGGGAAGAGAAAGGAATACGGTATCAGAGTAAAGCACATGGTCATTCTGAGGAGGGTGAGACTGGAAATGCGGCATAAATCTTGGATGTTTTAATTTTTTCATTCATTGAAGAGGTTCCTTCAATAGTTAAAAGCATAAAGGTATGAAGTATGTGGACTACTTTAACCCTCATAATACTACAAAAGCAGGTTTTTGTTTTGTTTTGAGACAGAGTCTCATTCCGTCGCCCAGGCTGGAGTGCAGTGGTGCAATCCTGGCTAACCGCAACCTCAGCCTCCTAGGTTCAAGTGATCCTCCTGCTTCAGCCTCTGGAGTAGCTGGGACTACAGGCATGCACCACCACACCTGGCTAATTTTCATATTTTTGCTAGAACCTGGGTTTCACCATGTTGCCCAGGCTGACCTCAAATTCCTGAGCTCAAGCAATCGCCCCCCTTGGGCCTCCTAGAGTGCTGGGGTTACAGGTGCAAGCCAATGCACCTGGCCTGATTCTAGAGATGAGAAAATGGGGGTACAGAGGAACTAAGAAACTTGCTTAAGGTCAGCCCAAGAAACATGACTTGAAGACTTAAACTCTTCCCCACAATAACAGAATACAGCCTGGACATAAAGTGCATCCCATTTCTGCTTTCGTTAATTTATGGACAGACGCAGAACTCAAACTGAGCTAATCTGAGTCCTTTCTGCTGGAGGTAGAGAAAGGTACTCCTTTCAGGCCTGTAAGACTGCATGTAGTTGGAAGTACAGAGAGTCTCAAGGCCCCAGCTTAAAGAAGGCCCATACTGGGGCCTGGGGGCAGTAGCTGACAGCTGTAATCCCAGACACACACAGACACAAAGACACACACACACACACACTCTCTCTCTCTCTCTCTCTCTCGCTCTCTCTCCCTCCCTCCCTCTCTCCCTGTCCAAATTTCAGCTCCAGGGGCCTTGGTTCCTGCATTTGTTCCTTCAATTCTCTAAGTTACCCTAGGATCCTTTTCAATAATTTGAAACAATATATAGTGTTTCCACCTAATGCTATTTTGAGTTATGCTTCTATCCTTTACAACTGAAAGACTTAAGATTCTCTGACCATGGTGCAATACTTTTATATTTTTTGAGACGGGGTCTTGCTCTGTCACCCAGGCTGGAGTACAGTGGTGCGATCTCGGCTCACTGCAACCTCCGCCTCCCGGGTTCAAGCAATTCTCCCGTCTCAGTACCCCCCTAATAAGCTGGGATTACAGGCACCTGCCACCATGCCTGGCTGATTTTTGTATTTTTAGTAGAGATGGGGTTTCACCATGTTGGCCAGGCTGGCCTCGAACTCCTGACCTCAGATGATCCACCCACCTCGGCCTCGCAAAGTGCTGGGATTACGGGCGTGAGCCACAGTGCCGAGCCACGGTGCAATATTTCTAAATTAACACTAGAAGTAACGATAGGGTAGTAGTAAGGATAACCACAATAAAGCCACACTTTAAAATAACTTTCAAGTAAAAGAAAATATCAAAATGCAGTTAACATGATTATTCCTCGATAGAACTGACTTTTAAAAGATAAAAAATGTGTACTCAATGACAATGAAAACGGTAAGTATCCAAAGCTATGGGAAGTGACTACATGTTAACGAGAAGTAAACAGCCTTAAACGCTTTTATCATTAAAAAATGATAAATAAAAAATAAAAGAACTAAGAAGCTAGGAGAAAGAACAAAATTAACTTTACAAAATGAGACAGAACACAACAGAGGTAACAGTAGAAAAAAATTAAAAACCAACAAAAATAGAAAAATTTATTGTTCAACTGAGCACTGGCTCTCTGAAACATATTACACATAATAAATAACCCATTATGTATATATGGCTTCTTTGTTCTTTTTTTTCCTCAGCTCATATGTAAATAGGTAAATTAAAGAACTATTACACACTAATCACAATTCAAGCAAAAATTAGGATATTCCACATGGTCAGAACTTATGAAATTCAAATGACTGAATATACCTATAATTTTCTGACACACTAAATCTTTTCGTTGCTAAAAAAAAAGAGCCCTGAATGAAATAATGACTCTGACAGGTGATATTACTCGAAATATATCTACCAATCTGCACTTATAAATATCAAAAACCTCACAAGCTTTTATTGGTTAAAAAATTTTTCATAGTCCTAAAGAGTATACCTTGCTAGAAGCTGTTTCCATTTCTAATGAGCAATTTGGCAATAAAGATCAAATGCCTTGAACAAAAGCATATCTTTGTTTCTGGCAATCCCATGTCGCTGATAAATTTCTAAAAACTGGCCGGGCACTCAGGCCTGTAATCCCAGCACTTTGGGAGGCTGAGGTGGGCGAATCACTTGAGGCCAAGAGTTTGAGAGTAGCCTGGCCAACATGGCGAAACCCAGTCTCTATTAAAAATACAAAAATTAGCCAGGCATGGTGGTGCACACCTGTAATCACAGCTACTTGGGAGGCTGAGGCACAAGAATCACTTGAACCTGGGAGGCAGAGGTTTCAGTGAGTCAAGATCGCACTACTGCACTCTAGCCTGGGCGACAGAGCGAGACTCCATCCAAAAAAAAAAAAAAAAAACTGTAAAAATTTGCTTACCAAGGTGTTCATGGCAACAGTATTTTATTATAACTGTACCAAACAAACTAAATGCTCAGCTATAAGGAACAACCAGGTAAATCCTAGACTCTTCATTTTCTCTCATACCTCCACATCTAATCCAGGTGGCTCTATCTTCAAAACACGGGATATCCAGAATCTGGCCACTGCTTAGCACCTCCAGCACTGCCACCCAGTCCAAACCACTGTTATCTTTCATCTGGATTTTTGCCTCCTTGCTGACTCTTGACACCTCACACAATAGCCAGAGTGATCCTTTAAAACCCAAGTCAGATTATGTCTATCCTCTGCACGAAAATACTCCAGTGTCTCCCCATCCCTCTTTAAAACAAAAGCCGCAAACCACAGGTCAGTGGTTATGAGGCAGTTTATGATTCTGTCCCAACCTCATGCCACCCCACTATGCTCTCATCTTGTATACCCCTCTGCACTCCAGCTGTAGTAAACCTACATATCAGGTACACTCATGCCTCAGGGCTTTTACAGTTACTGCTCCCTGTGCCTGAATATGTTTTTCCCCCAGAGATCCTCATGGCTTGCTCCTTCACTTTCTGCTTGAATTGTCACCTTGTCAGTGAGGTCATCCTTAAAACCCGATTTAAAATAGCAACTATAGATAGGCCTCCACCCCATAATCTCTATCAGCCTTTGCACTCCATTTTTTTCCATTACACTCAATGCCCTAACACACTATGTATTTTACTTGTTTGTTTACTATCTCTCCCAAATAGAATAATAAGGCCCCTAAAAGCAGGGATTTTTATCTTATTTCTTCACTGCTGTATTCCCAGAATAGTGTTTGGAAGAGCGGGTCCTCATTAAACATTTGAGTGATTTTTGGAATACTGGGTAATAATTAAAAATTATGTTATAAAAAATTTTAATGTGATGTTAGAAACTGGTGGAAATGGAAAGAGCACGTTATCAAAGAATATGTAACCCATGGATCAAGAAGAAATCATATGGGAAATTAAAATACATTTTTCACTGAATGTTAACAAGAACTCTTCAAAATCAGTGGGATTCAGGTAAAGCAATTCTTGGAGGAAAATGTGTAGCTTTAAAACTTCGTATTAGAACATCAGAAAGGTTAAAATCAAAACAATATAAAAATGAATGTTCCAAATTTTGTGTCTAAAACAAATACATATATAAAAGACATTAACACTTTTTTCTGGTTATTTCTAGTGGTAAGATTACAAGCAATTTGCGATTTTTTTTTTTTTGAGACGGAGTCTCACTCTGTGGGTCAGGCTGGAGTGCAGTGGCGCGATCTCAGCTTACTGCAAGCTCCACCTCCCAGGTTCATGCCATTCTCCTGCCTCAGCCTCCGGAGTAGCTGGGACTACAGGCGCCCATCACCACGCCTGGCTACTTTTTTGTATTTTTAGTAGAGATGGGGTTTCACCGTGTTAGCCAGGATGGTCTAGATCTCCTGACCTCATGATCCACCCGCCTCGGCCTCCCAAAGTGCTGGGATTACAGGCGTGAGCCACTGCTTTTCTGTATGTCAGTTTTTCTCTAGTGAACAGGTATTATTTTTATAATTAAAAAAAAAAGGTTTTAAAAAACTTCCTTTCCCTCTGGTTGAATTCTAACTGCTGGCCTCTTCCTCTGCCTGTCTCTTAAAATACTTGCTCCTCTGGATTCCATCCTTGTCCTTCGTCAATCTATATTCATCCCTTAGTAATCTTATCCACTTTCTGGAATCATTTATATCCTGCAATTTGATTTCTCAGTTTTTTGTAATATCCTGAATTAGAGACTCATGTTTCCAGCCACTTAAAGGATACTTCTATCCAGATGGAAATCCTATAGCCACTCAAATTTAACAGGCCTAAAAGGAACTCATTATCATTTCCTAAAACTTGTTATTTTCATCTTTAATACTGGTTAAAGACATCACTGTGTACCCAGGTTCTCAATTCTATCAGTTCTACCTTAGAAATCTCAATCAAATCTAACTTTTCTTCTCCCTCACCAATGCCATCTTTTCAACGTAGGCATCTTCTATCAGTTATATTCTAAAAGAATCCTAACTTATCCTCCTGCTATCACACTCTCCTCCTTAAGAACTGAATCCTGATCAGGGTTGCTGCATACAGCCTGAAGTCTGCACCACTAGAGAAGGTTGCCATCCATGTAAACTACGAATGTTAATTGTGCCCAATGGCCTAATCATGATACTCCCCCTGCTTTCAAACTTCATTAGATAAAACAAACCTACAGCACTATAAAATCCTTCAACTGGCTCCACTTTCTATTTTTCTAGCTTCAGGTGCTCATCATTCCTCTATGCACCCTACAGTCCAGACATATTTAACTTTTCAGTATGCCCTATCAAAACCCAAGCTTTTGTGGATTTTTCTTTAGTCTACAGTGCCCTCTCTCCATAAAACTTCTAAATCCTTCAAACTACAGTTCAAATGTACCCTCCTCTGTGAAGCATTTTTTGACTAGCCTAGACAAAGATACTTCACGAAGCATTTTGTTAACAGTTCTATTACTGAATTTGTTGCACTGTATAATGATCACACATATCCATCTCTCAAATTCAATGGAGAGTTGAGCAGTGCATAAAGAAGCCCCACATTTAAACCCTGAATATCTACAATGCCCAGCCCCTAAAAGGGGCTCAATTCATGTTTATTAATACTATACTTACCATATGCATTAGTACAACTTTTTAAAAGTAAATAAAAACTGAGTTTTAAAAAAAAGTTGCATGTTCAGCTGTCAATCTAAGTCTATAATCCATGTGGCAGACAGAATTGATGTGACTATTCTTGATTCCTACACTTCCTGGTGTTTAAACCTTTGTATAATTCCCTCCCCTTGCACGTGAACTGGACCTATGACTTGCTTCTAATCAATGAAATACAGCAAAGGCAATGGGTTGTATGTGATTACATGTACACGATTATGTAAGAACATAGCACCAGTTCACCTTTGATAGACTCTCTTCCTTTGCTGACTTTGAAGAAGCAAGCTGCTCTGAACCAAACAGACACAAGGAAATAAATTCAGCCAATAACCCAAGGAAGTCTGGGGGCAGACCTTTCCCCAGTTGAGTCTCTACATAACAACCCAGCCCTGGCCAACACTTTGACTGCAGTCTTACAGAGGACACAGCTAAGTTGTGCCCAGCCTCTTGACCCATAGAAATTGCGAGGTAATAAATGTGTTGCTTAGAACAGCTAAATTTGTAGTTATTTGTGAACAAGCAGCTTAGAACATGAATAAAATAAAAAAAAAAAGAAAATGAATAAAATCAGAACCTAAGGTATTTCTGAACTCTTTGTTCACAAAAAGGCCTATGTTTTGTCCAATTTCTAAACAAATAAATGTCATGTATATGCAAAATTAAAACACAGACTAACATTTCAAATAAACAATAGTTCTTAAGAATATTCACATAAGGTAAAACTTAGGAAGTAATCTGCTACATAAAGCAGTTCCTACACTCTCTTTTAACACATTTGCCAGTATACCCAATTGTACATAATACTTAGTACATGTAATAAGTTTAATATTAGGGCAATTCTCCTTACAAACCCAAATAATAATAAATAGTTTAAAAGTTGATATCTAATTAATGATATTTGGTAATCAAAAGAACTTACTTACTGGTCACCAGGCAAAGCAATCAAATTGGAGGAGAGCAAGAGACTCGCTGGAGATGTGCCTGAGGGAGTAAGACACTATCTGACAACAACAGGGCTCTTACTCCCTCAGGCACTGCACCAGCCAGCAAAGCATCAAAATACCAGGTTCTTAGGTCACGCTGCTCTCAGATCAGGTGATGCCCTGTGCAACTCACCAATCCTCCCCACCTTGCAGTCAAGAATAGTTCCAAAAAATCCCCAAAGCAGAAACGTCCATGACACAGGCCACACTTACACACAGCAAAACATATAACACGAAGGTATGAAATTACAAGTGAGAAACAATAACCACCAAAATTCTTATTACTTCAGGAGTGGCAGGGGTTGTGGTTAGAAGGCTCATTTTTCTTAGAAAGAGGCAAACATTCCTCTTTGGCCACTCCCCATAAAAGCCTTCAATGGCACAAAATAACATTCAGGAATAGGAAGTAGATTAATTAGAGTATCCCAAATTCAAACATTTTGGCACTTGATATTGGTAAGAAGAGATAACTGAGACCAATTCCATAATGGTTAATTGATGAAGACAACCTAACAGCATAAAACTTCACATCTGCTTAAAAATTAAGAGAAATCGTCCTAGAAATACAGGTCTTATTCAACATATTCAGTTTTAAGAGATAACCCACACTCCTTCAATATAAGAAAACATGTTGCACAAGTAACAAGGCACCTGAGTTACAATCAGACTACTGAAATACTCATGAGCAAGCCACACCCAAAAAAGCTCAAGAAAATCAGGAGGCCAAAAGCAACCCAGCACCACTAGTTGTCTTAGATTAAGTCATTTTACATTTTCACTTCCGGACTCAAAGATACATTATAGAAGTCCACACGATGTCTCTGGAAATAATCTCCATGTATTGGTATATTTCTATAGCCCAATTCATCTACCCCATCCTTGCTGCATCATTAAAGGCTATTTGACCACTCATGTTATGCTCTTATGAACAATAGCTACTTGACAGTGGAAAAAAAAACGTAGACGTAAATTAAAGCCAAACAAACCCTAAAATACCGTCAAGATTTTTAAATATTAGGAAATACCCTTAAGACCTTTTTTAAAACAAAGGTGATGGACGACACTAGCAGTAGTCAAGAAAGCGTCTGTTCACTTTAACACTCCTCAGTCTGAAAAGAATAATAAGGACAAGATTTACTTCACCTAAGAACTCCTAAATATAATCACATTCTGATGTCCGGCAACTCAATTCTAGGAAATTTCTACACACTGAAATATCTGGATTAGGCATTTTTCTTCCAGTTCTCTAGAGAGAATAAGAGTGTATATAGCGAAAATAGATGTCCAAAAGACAGCAAAACATAAAACCAACACAGAAAACTTCCTCGTTCAATGTGGCAATTCATTATGAGGGAACTACTAACAATTCCACTTGCTAGACTCTTAAGTGTTAAAAATAAAAGGGGGGGGGACTGTTTTTCATTTTCTATAAATTACATGAGACCTCACAAGAGAATAATTTTGAATCTTATTAGTACCACATTTTCTTATTAGGAGACGTTAATAATATAAACAACAATTAAAACAACAGTTTTACAAAAATCAATATGAACTTTCCATTAATTCTGAAATAATCCTTTTATCAATTTTCAGATGGAGTTATTTGTATATAACCATTTATACAATTTGTAACTGAATAAACACAATAATGCTATAATAGATACTAAAAAATTAAGTAAATGTGAAGTACAGTCAAGTCTAACTTTTTTAATTATAAGATTCTTCATCTAGCTCCCTAAATCTCAAGATGATGAGAAACATGCTTCTATTGTTTTCCTAATAACCCATCCACTAAAATATAGGTAAAAATCTCAGTAAGGCAATGCCACTAAGATGGGTTTTTACATAAGTGTATTCCATCTCCCTGCCTCAACAGAGATTTCAGGATGTGGCACTTTCATCCGATCCTGTCATATAATAAGAACAGGTAATTTCTCTGATCCCTTTCCAGCAATTCTCAACTGAGGTTCCTCATCTGAATCACCAAACATAGGAAATTATTTCAGTGACTTTTCTCAATTGTTCCAAGAATGATACATAACTAAAACCGTCCTAAATGCACTGGTGCTGAAAGTTAAAATTCATTGCACACTACGGCACAATTGTCTCCAGAAAGCCGGGTGAGAAAGGCTGCTATAAGTTCCTCAGAAAGTGTCACTGTACTACTAGGCCCCAGTCACCCAACCCCAACAGCACTAAAAGAACTATAATGAGTGCACAAATCTAGAACTTAGATAAGAAAAAAGATAAATGCTTTATCTCCAACTTTAAGCAACTAGGTATTTTTACTTACTAGGAATAGCATGGGGCTCAACTGTCTCTTGCTCTGAATAGAATGCATTTACTTAACAAAATAAACCCATAGAACTATAATGTTTCTCAAAGGGAATGATCAGCTCTTAGAAAGTGAATTTTTAAAAATCAGCATATTAAATATTAACTTGACAAGGCTTTTCCTATTGACCCTTCTTTAGCAAACAAATATTCATCTTTTGATAACTGCTAAATGCAAATTTTCACTTTAAAAAGATAAATATTAAAAACCAGTTTGCTCTTCATTTTCGCAGTAATCACCAATTCTCAGAAACTGCCTTTTATATTCTTCAGTGCGGACTACAGCAACTTCAACTGCTGTGTTAGTTGTGATCAAATCACTTTAAAGACACCAGTGGAGTTCTTTTACTCAAAAGCTAATGACTTTTAAAAATGGCCCAATTTTAAGAGGGATGAATATTTTTAAGAAGCAAAAATTACTTTAAAACAAGGTAGCTAATTAAAAGTCAAGCGTCGTTCCATATTGAATGTACAAAGCGTTACTAAAAAGATGGGAAAAACTAAACATGACATTCCTATTTTTAATTTATGCTGGCGTGTGTGCTGATAGCACAGAACATCACAACAGATAAATTACTACGTATTCCACTTTACTAAGTCTCCACTCACAGTTCCTACGTTTACAAATATGTAAGTAAAAGAGGCACAAAAATGTAGGGGATGGTGTTTTCGTTGCTCATCTGTGCTCAGTTGCGAATTCTTCTAATATCAGATACATAATGCGATGAAATGGGAATGCTTATCTTCTATACTTCTATTTATTTTCATAAAGCGGGAAGGGGAGGTGGTCTTGATTCATTTAATATTAGCGTTTTGCAATAAAGTAGAGCAGCATAAAACATAACTGAAGAATTCATTTTCCCCAGGATAATGCACCCTTCCTCCTGTTTCTACAGTAAAGCACATCATTTTGCTATTAAAAATGTCCATTTTTCACAACTGACTTTTCCTTAACTCTAGTCAACACTGCTCTTCAAAAGAACCTAGCCAATTACTGTACCTTGTAGGCAGAGTTGCAAAATTTTTACTTCCCTAAGAAACTTTTCCATTTTTTAAATGCTTTCCAAATTAAGCAGGACTCACATTAACTGTGATCTTAAGTAGCAGTTTAGTGAGGTTTGAAAACAAACTTTTCATTAACGCATTCATCCAATTAAAGTGACATAGTAAGTGGGACTACTGACACAGATTTAAGGATTACAGCTTTATATTAAAAGTCGGTCCAAAGATGGTAACTCAGAGTTCATTTGAGACCCTCTGACTTTTGGCTTTTAAAAATTGTGCCCCACTCGAGTCCCCAGATAGAACTACATTTAGCAACCGTCTCCTCCTGACTTCCTGGTACTAAAAGCCACAACCACAAGGGCTATTTCGTGGGTTTGCTGTAAAACAACATTTGCTCCAGTCAACTCACTGGAAAATAGACTATCTCTACTGAGTACCCGCTGAGGTGTGGGTGCTCACGATGTTTAAAAACAAAACCACGTGTCTACGCGGCAGCGACACCGCAGGTGTTACGTGCCGGGTTTCTTCCCAGGATGGAGACCGGCGCGGGCTGGGCCGGGAAGCAGCCCCTGGCGGGCTGGGCCGGGAAGCAGCCCCCGGCGCCCCGGCGGAAGGAGAAAAGGAGAACGGTAAAAATAGCCGGCGGCCACGGCCCACGTGCAGCCGCGGGAGAACCGAGCGCGGGCGCGTGGAGAGGGGTCCGTACCTCCAAACATGCGCGGTGAGAGGTGAGCTGGTAAGGAGCCGATCACCAGGCGCGGCCCGCCGGGGCTCCCGCCCACCGGCCGGTGCTGGCCGCCGCCGCCGCCATCCTCAGGGCTGCTGTGCACCGAGTCCTGCGAGTCCTGCGGACCGCTGCTGCTGTTCGGGATGCTGAAGGAGGACTGCGCCGCGCGGGCCCCCGACGCCACGCCCCCCAGGAAACAGCTGCGCGGGGCTGCCGGGGCCACCGCGGCGCCGCCCGAGGCGCTGGGCTGGTGAGCGCTGGGCACCTGAGCCGGGAACCTCCCCGCGGCGGCGGCCCCCCGGCCCCCAGCCCTGGTCCCGGTCCCATTGGCCACTCCGCTGCTACTGGAAGGTAGATCCGAGCCGAGTACGCGCGCGTGCGCCGTTAGCGGCGGCCAGGCCGCTCTGCCTGGCGCTCCTGTCCGCCCTGCTCCGGACCGGGCCGCGCGCTGTGCCCCGAGAGCCAAGAGGGTAGGAGCGAACGCGGGAGCTAGAGGGCAGGGCCGAGGCGCCGCGGCCGGCCCAGAGAGGCCCCCGCACGTCCAGGGCCGCCGCTCGGCGCCCCGAGGGGCAGTCGGCGCCCGGCGCGCTCTTCTCGGGGCGGTGGGCAAGGCTGGCGGCCTGACGCGGGCGCGGGAGACGAGGAGACGCGGAGAGGAAGGTGTCCCGGCTGCAGGCACCCCTCGCTGGCTCCAGCAGGAAGGGGCGACTCAGGTGGCCGTGCGACTGCCGCTGGTTTCGGTGCGCCATGACGGGCCGCTGCCGCTTTCTGCCGTCGCGCTTGGCGCCCCGGGCCTCCCCACCGCCTCCTCTCCGGCGGCCGCTGTTACCGCCGCCATCCTCCGGCTCCCACGGCGACTGGCGGCTGAGTGGGAGGCGCCCGCCCAGACTCCGCCGGAGCCACCTTCCCTCCTCCCCCAGCCACCCAGCCGTTATTAACGGAGAAAGAGGAAAAACGGGTGGCGCGCGAGGGGAGGACGAAGAATGAGAGGGAGGGAGGGGTGGCCCGCGCTTCCCGGCAACCGTGGCTTCGCTCCCCCGCAACCGTGGCTTCGCTCCCCCTGCGAGATTAATTTCACAGGGGATTAATTTCTCATTTACAAATAAAAATGTAAGTTTAGAACAGAATGTTTTAAAAAGGTAAAAGCATTCACTGCATACTATATGCCAGCACTATACTTAGGACATACAGGACATATACGACTGTATATGTGAGCGCTTATCTCACTTCTCTTGTAGAATGGTTATTATTAAACTTATTTGAGAGGTGAAGTGATTGACAGCCGTTGAAGGATTACTTGAGACCATGGAAACTATAACTTGCAGAGTCAGAATTTGAGTTCAATTCTGATATCAAAGCTATGCTTTTCCTACTATGTTAACCTGCCTAATAAAACTACGCTTCTGAGACGAGGAAAGATGTTTCTGATGTTTAGTGATGTATATTACATTAACGTTGATAATATGATCTCATTAGGTAGTATTGAATAACTCTAATTTCATGTTTTAAATGCCTAGGGGGAGGACTGGAAAGATAATCACCAACTTTTTTTTTTTTTTTGAGTTGGAGTTTCGCTCTTGTGGCCCAGGCCAGAGTGCAGTCCTGTGATCTTGGCTCACTGCAGCCTCTGCCTTCCGATTTCCAGCCTCTGCCTTCCGATTTCAGGTGATTCTCCTGCCTCAACCTTCTGAGTAGCTGGCATCACAGGCGCCTGCCACCACGCCCAGCTAATTTTTGTATTTTTAGTAGAGATGGGGTTTCACTGTGTTGGCCAGGCTGGTCTCGAACTCCTGACGTCATGACCCGCCCGCCTTGGCCTCCCAAAGTGCTGGGATTACAGGCGTGAGCCACCGCACCAATCACCAAAATATTAAAAATGGTTAGCTCTAAGAGGTGCTTACTTTCTCTTTTCAACTCTTTATTTTTTGACATTCTCCCCCCAGTGATTTCACATTAGTTTCCCAGAATGTATAGTGTTATTTTTAAAAAACCTCTGAGACATGAACATTCTGTTGGAAATTTTTTTCTGTTATTTTTTCTTTGTCTTTGAACTTTTAAAAATAGCTTGCAGTTTGGAAACAATTGGTCAATTAAATCTTCTGCTTGATTAAAATTGTAATGGGTACAGGTGCTATTATTCCATTCTGTTCCAGTTTTTATAATATATTTTATATATTTTATGAAGGAATAAATTCAAGGATCTAAATGAAGTGAATTATGAAATGTTTCTATAAATCTTTGTATTTTTCTATTAATCACCGTATTTTAATTATATACTTTTATATTGACTTACTATTATTTATATTACAGAATTGGCTATCACATATATAATATTTTTCTATATAGAGGCATAATGTGTAATTTTGAAGTGACTGATTCCTAAGTGAAATGATCTAAATAAATTTGTCAGAATTTATAATGTCTAAGGCAACCATCACAAAATGGTATTTTGGAAAGATTATTATTATGAAGAGAATATATTTTCCTCCATTATCTCTTTGTTTTTATCTTTTTAAAGGTAATCATAGCCTCCTGGTGTCGCACATCCATGGGAATAATGAATTTATTTGGACTAGAAACTAAGACCTGCTGGAATGTCACCAGAATAGAACCTCTTAATGAAGTTCAAAGCTGTGAAGGCATGTTTCTTCCAAAAATGCTGTCATTTGTAAACATTCATAAACATTTAATAATATTATGATTCACTTTTAAGAATTATTGTAAAATACTGTTGTTGATTTAAAAAAAAATTAGAACTGGCTCACCTCAATGAGTATTTTACGTTTTAAAGTAGTTTTCTGAGAAGGCTGTGTACTTACAAATTTGAGTATAAATTTTGGAATTTGAGTATTAACATATCCCATTGTAAGGCAATCTTGACTATAAGTTAGTCTTCTGTTTCAGAATGCGAAGATACAGAAAGATGTTTTTTGGGGTAGCTTCAATATATAAATTTTGAGGATAGATTAAACAGTCAAATATCTATTTGTAATAGCTAATGTATAAATTTAATTATGCATACATATTTAAAAATCGGATATGCAATAATAGATTGATTTAGAAACATTACTTTTTTATATATGCTCATAGTATTAATAAAACTCTTCCTATTTATCTTCCACATTGGTTTCTTTGTCAAAGAACCACTTTTGGAGTCATCCAACAGCTTTCCAGGATACATAGTGGTCACTTCCATTTAAGATGTTTGCATTTCAGCACTTTTATAATTCAAATATGGTGCTGTCCCTTGAGACTTGTTGAGAGCCACATGTATCTCTTTTTATAACACTAACACTGTTGTTTTTTCTGCATTTCTTCAAATTCTTAACAACATGACTTATTATATTTTATGAATAAATTTTTAGACTTGTTTGTAACAACATTCAACTCTTGGAATATAAACTAAATCTATTTTCCTTACATTTTTTACTGATTGCCTCAGTAAAAATAGAATTGATGAGGATGTTTGAGGGGCAATTATATTTTTTTGTGTACAATGTAAAGGATTGGAGAAAATGCCTCATAAAATGAGATACTTTGCAATGATTCAATCAGCTAGAAGGTGTGACCCTGTCTGAGTGGTGAAAATGATCACCTAAATATGGTATTAATTACCTTCCCAATAAGTGATAAGTTACTGTTTGGCACTTGGGACACAGAGATGAACCAGCTAGACATGGGGCCTTACCCTCATAGAGTTTATGCTGTAAGGGGTCTGTTAGCAGTTACAACTGTGAGGGATACTACAAATAAGAAAATAAGATTACCAACATGAGGAGTAAGAGGATAAGTATTTTAAGAATAGGGAATAACATATTCAAATATCCTGAAGCAAGAGGGAACTGAAAGAAGGCTAGAATTCCTGGAAATGATGGAGAAGAAAAATGATGTGAAATGGTGCTGGGAATATAAGCGAGGATCAGATCATGAAAGGCGTGCACTGGTGAAGGATTTTATACTTTATCCATTGAAGAATTTTAACAGAGTTTCATTTTAAAACATTATTTAATCAATGGTATGGAAAGAATATTAGTAAAGGGACAAAAGTAGGTTCAGGGAGGCCAGGTAGAAGACTATTATATTCTCAGCAAGTGATTGCAGGAAAGATAATGTGGATATGCAGGAAAGATAATGTGGATAATGTGGGTTTGAGAGAGATTTTGGAAGTAGAATGGACAAGACCCTGTCTTGGTAATTGTTTGGTAAGAGAGGGGAAGGTGAGTGAAGAATCATGTGAAACAGTTTGGTTTCTAGCTTAAGTAACTGAGCTTTGAATGGTAGGAAACATTTGAACAGTAGCAGGTTTGTATTGTTATGTTTCATTGTGTATGCATGAATTTGAGGTACTTGAGAGACCTCAGAGTGGGGACATCAAGTGGCTATCTGGGTATAAGAATAAGGAGAAAGTTCTGGATTAAATGTAGAGTTGGAGTCATCTGTATATAGATCATTGGAGCCATGGATGTGGAAGAATTTCTTTATGGAGAATGCGCAGATAGAGAAATGAAGGGGGCATATGACAGAGCCTAAGGTGGTCCAGTATTAAAGAGTGGTACATAAAACAAGAGAAATTACTGGAACTGATTGAAAGGAGTGACCAGAGAGGCAGGGGGAATCAGAAGGCCAGCCTTCAGACTTTGGCTCCAGCCAGTTAAAGTGAAATAACCTTTGACAAGTTGAATATTCTATGTTCTGTTTTCTTAATCATAAGAAAAGTATTTTTATATCAGCTAATACCATAAACTTGTTCTGAGAAAAATGTGGGATGATTGTAAAGTACATATTGCCACACACACGCACGATCTTCTATATGGAATATACTAAGATTCTAGCTATACATAATAATGGATCAAATGACTGGATCATTTCATATAGACTAAAGCTGTACCCTGAAGTCAAAATCATATCTTAACTCTTCCTAGAGCCTAGCAAAAGATAAAAATAATGCAATGGATTTTCTTTTGTATTCATTAAGTGGTTCTACAGACAGTTCCAGACACTGAACACTAGCAGCATCACCTAAATAAATGTGAATCCCCAACAAATCATTACAGTATAATAGTAATTCATTAGAGGAAAGTACAAATGCAATTATAAAAAGTATAAAGTGTAACTATATAATACCTCATTAAGGGTGAGCTTACATATGTGTATGTGTATATATACACACATATATACACACATACATATATGTGTTTGCATACACACACACACACACACAAACTCTTATAAGGGTAAAGAATTAAACACAGCGGCAATCTGGAAAGCAAATGCTTTCAGCAAATTCATAAGCTCTTGATTGCAAAGCACTGAGATAATTATGCCCAATTGCTTTCGAGTCATATATTCATTAAACACTGCTTATCTGTATCTTTTCAAAGGATTGGGAGATCCTGCTTGCTTTTATGTTGGTGTAGTCTTTATTTTGAATGGACTAATGATGAGATTGTTCTTCGTGTATGGAGCATAACCTGAGGTAAGACTACTACTGAATTAAGAGACCTTTCAGTGGGCTTATACAGACTGGCTGATATTTTTTGATTGAATGAAAAGGAAAATTAACGAGATTAGATTCATATCAGGAAAGTTTGTGGATTTATTTGATTTTTTCAGAAGCTTAACCAATATCATGTAACCAGAAACTGGAGATGTCACTAAAATTCTATCCCAAAGGCATCCCTTTTATCCCTTAAGGATTTTTTTTTGACTAATTAAGATTTCCTAACAAAGGCTTTAATGGAATATCTCCTAGTTCATGTGTAAAATTAAGAAAACATTGGAGGAGATCTTTGGTTAGCAGTAATAGCAGCTTATTTCTAATTGTATTCTCTAAGGATGAAATTAAGAAAGCAGTAGGAAAAACTGTATCACATGTGGCAGGCACTTACATCTACTAGCCTGCCTATCTTGATAAGAGTACCACGATGAAGAAGCAGTGAGACCGGTCTCAGGTGATAAGTTGAAATTAATTTCAGCGGTCATGTGTTTTGCTCCCACACTTAATTGCTCCCTGAGATAGCCAAATCAGCGAGTTTTTGTCAATGAAAACTAAGGTGAAGTCAGTTTTGGTTACATCTAGGAAAGTATCTGCCTTTCTCACAAAAGGACAGACTTAGCTGCCCCTTCTCTGTTTCTTCCTGCTTTTACTACACTAGGATGTCATGCCCAGAGCTGTAGCGGTCATCTTGTGACCATAAGGGAAAGGCCATAAAAATAGCAGATATATCTGGCCTACCATCCTTCTGCTGCTGAACCAATGCCAACAGGTACTTATCTTTCATTTTCTTGTTGAATGATATATTAAACAACATCCATATTGTGTAAGCTACTTTTGTTAGGTTTTCTGTTTCTTTCAGTGGAACATATTCCTAGCTGAATCATCAGATTTCTTTACAATGTTATTCTTGTCGTGTAAAACATTTAAAATTAAAATTAATTAATAGCTTTACTCTTTCAACAAATATTTGTTGAGTTTTCATAGGGCTTATGTCAATATAGAGATTAGTAAATATACACACTCTTTGTTTTAGGAAGTTTTCAGCATAAAAAAGACTAGCATAGAATCAATGAAAACTAGTGACATAGTGTTGTACCAGGGATACTATCCAGCATGGTACGTAAAAAGAAAATTAGTAATAAGTATAAGGATTGGAAAACTTGAAAAAAAAGAAATGTGTTCTTAAAAGTAGATAACATCGTATATCTAGAAAAATTTTACAAGCTTATGGATACAGTATTTGCAATAAGAAAATATACAGTGTTACTAGATGTAAACATTAATATTAAAATTCAAAATTATAAATTTTATACTTTAGGATCAAATAGAAAATGAAATTTTGAAAGGATGCTGTTTAGAATAGCATTAAAAGCATGACGTTCCTCAGAATAAATCCAACAAAAAATATATATGACAGCTATGGGAAAATGATTAAAACATTCCTGAGATATGTCTAGGAAAATCTAAGTGGAGAGCTATTCCACATTGATTGATTGAAGACTTGATATTAAAAAGCTTTATAGATTCAATGCTCTACCAGTCAAAATTCCAACATATTTTTTGTTGACTTTGATGAGCTGATTTAAAAGTTACTCAGAAATGCAAAGCGCCAAATACAGTCAAGGTATTCTTGAAAAAGGAGGATTTGCACTATCAACTGTTGCTATATTATAAAGCTAATGTAAAAAGATGCTGTGATATTGGCACAGGAATAGACAAATAGATAACCGAAATAGAGTACAGCCCAGAAGCAGAAATGTACATTTAAAGGCATTTGATATATGGAAGAGCAGGTATTGCAGATTGGTGGGTAAGGACAGGCATTTTAAAAAATAGTGCTGGAATACTTGGGAGATCATATGGAACAAAGAGAACTTGGAACTATATAAATAATACTCCAAGCTGGATTAATCACTCAAATATGAAAGACAGGTTTATAAAAGTGTTCAGCATATAATATAGAAAAAGTCACTTGGAATAAGAAATGATAAACAAGATACAAAAATCCAGCCATGAAGAGAAACTGATAAATTTGATGAGTTTATCAATTTTACCTCAAAAGAACTGTAGGATTAAAAAAACCTGAAAGTGAGTGAAGATATTTACAAAGTTTATGCCCCACCTACTATCCAGAAATTCCATTCATTAATTTGATAAATATTTATTGAAAGCCTGTTGTGACCAGGAGCACTGTTCTAGGTGCTTGGAATACAGAAGAGAAATCTCTGTCCTTGTGAAGTTTATATTAGAGTGGGAAGATAAAGACAAAGAAGAAAGACAACTTGATAGAAAAATGGACAAAATGTTTATGAACTGATATTTCCCAGAAGAACACCACATGGTCAATAAACATATGTAAAGTTGACCACCATCATTTGTTATAAAGAAAATATAAATTCAAACCATAGTGAAATACCAACTCACATCTAATAGATTGATAAAGGAGCTTTCGTCCACCACAGGTGGACATATAAATTGGTACAACTATTTTGGTAAACAGTGTATATTATCTGGTAAAGTTGAAGGTATGGATACCTTATAACTCAGCAATTGTAATTTAACATACATATTCCCAAAAAAGTATTGCACATGTGTACTAGGAAGTACATACAATAATATGGTAGCATTATTTGCAATAGCTTCAAACTGGAAAGAACCCAAATATCCATTAACAGAGAAATGAATACATTTTGGTTTATTAACATGGTGGAACAGTATACAATAATGAGAATGAATGAACTATGCAGCTACACACAACATGGTTGAATCTTACAAATATAATTTTGAATGAGTGAATCCAGGTACAAAATTTAAAAAAATGCTGCATTCTTCCATTTGTATGTTGTTTAAAAACAGATTAAAGTAAATCATAGTTTGATATGTGTATAGAAAGAGTTATGTTGATAATCTCAAAAATCAGGTCAGTAGCTGATTCTTATCTTGGAGGCTGGCAAGTGAAGACAGTATAATCATTTCTCTATTTCAATTAATTATATGGTGACTACATGGACGTTCCCTTTACAGTTCTATAATCTAGAAATTTTATGCACTTTTCTATATGCCGTGTAGAAAAATATAAGCTCATTAAAGTACTTTGAGGGAAAAGGATTGCTTTGAGATTGTTTGGGCAGGTTTAAAAATATTCTATTTTTTTAAAAAAAGTTCTGTTTTTGGGCCAGGCGCAGTGGCTCACGCCTGTAATCCCAGCACTTTGGGAGGCCGAGGCGGGCGGATCATGAGGTCAGGAGATCGAGACCATCCTGGCTAACATGGTGAAACCCCGTCTCTACTAAAAATACAAAAAAAAAAAAAAATTAGCCGGGCATGGTGGCAGGCGCCTGTAATCCCAGCTACTCGGGAGGCTGAGGCAGAAGAGTCGGCTTGAACTGGGGAGGCAGAGGTTGCAGTTAGCTGAGATCGCTCCACTGCACTCCAGCCTGCGTGACAGAGCGAGACTCCTTCTCAAACAAACAAAAAAACAAAAAGACAACAACAAAAGAAATGGTTTTTATCTTTCATCTGATTTTTGTATTCGGCATTATTGCTTGTCTGGGACTCAAGTAAAGAATATTTGCAGTAGTTTAGACAGTTCTAAGTTAATGCTACATGAAACTGTTTGAATCTTGTCTTCATTTCTCAATCCCTTAAAGCCAATTTCAAAAATAAGAATTTGCCTTTATTCAGGTTATTCAAAGGATGTGATCTAGACTCTAAAGTGCTAGCCTGTTTCTTAAAAATTACTTTATGCGGTGGGGCGCGGTGGCTCATGCCTGTAATCCCAGCACTTTGGGAGGCCGAGGCGAGTGGATCACGAGGTCAGGAGTTTGAGACCAGCTTGGCCAACATGGTGAATCCCCATCTCTACTAAAAGTAAAAAAATTAGCCGGGCATAGTGGCACACGCTTGTAATCCCAGCTCCTTGGGAACCTGAGGCAGGAGAATATTTGGAACCCAGGAGGTGGAGGTTGCAGTGAGTCGAGATTTCGCCACTGCACTCCAGCCTGTGCGACAGAGCAAGACCCCATCTCAAAAAAAATTTATGTTCACACCTTATGTATTTTATTTAGAAAGTATTTTAGCTATGATAAATTATAAAATTGAGATTAATTTATATGTACACTTTTTACGATTGTACATTCAGGATTTAAGCATCAACCACATGGGTATGGTTTAGTACTATTATGTTTTAAATATGATTTAAACTATGGTTTAAAATTCTGAGGTAATTTTGTGAAAAACTCACTGTATTTTACATGAATTTTGATTGTATACTCTGTTATTATTATTATTTTTTACAGTGGGACTCAACTAGGAGGTCTTATTACAGTACTGTGCTGCTTTTTCAACCATGGAGAGGTTTGTTTTCTAGAAAGCAATTTTTAAGAAATAGAAGGGGTTATAGAGGAACAAAGAAATATACTCATCGAAACAATATATAATTGTATACTACTTATGACTTCACAATATTTTAAAGACCCTTGTGTTATAAGTTGATATTTTAATCATGCTGATCAAAATGTTTAAATAGCTAGAATTTCAAACATGAAATCTCTTGCCTTATTTTTAGTAAATATATACATATACATATATTCTGTAGAGAAAAGGAAATACTGTACTTGTTGAGTTGAATCACGTCATGCACATTATCTGATTTATTCCCACTAAACTTTTTTTGTGGGTGGTGGTAGCCTCACCATACAAGTTATGAAATTTAAATTTAGAGAAAATTAAGTTACTTATCCACATTCCACATTTACTACATGATGAAGCTGGATTTCCCATTCTATGTCTGGTCTGCCATTTAAAACCTCACATATATATTAATTTATATTTTATTAATTATAAAATTATAGTTATATTTTATAAAAACTTTTATATATTTTATATGTATAACATATATATTCAACTTTTTTATTGTGGTAAGAATAAGTAACATGAGATCTGCCCTCTTAACAGATTTGTAAGTGTACAATACAGTGTTAACAGAATGTTGTATAGCAGATCTCTAGAACTTATTTATCTTGCCTAACTGAAACTTTGTATGCATTGCACTCCCCTTAACAACAATGAAAGAGGCCTCAGGCCTGACAGCAGGGACACGGTTAAGACACTGCCACCTGCTCCCTCACTTCTTTGTGTTACGTCATGCTGTCTGTTCAGTAATGCAAAATGCTGAATTCAAAATAGACATTAACTTACTAATTCAGCCCAATGAAACATAGTCCACCTAAAAAAGAGCTCATAGAAGCTTATTTCAAATACGATGGATACATTCAACAAAATATTGGTATATACCATGTCCATACTCTGTTAGATGCTGAGGATATGGCAATGAAAAAGAGAGAGATTCTGACTCCTAGCTCTTGGGAGCAAAATATTTAATAAGTTATGACACAGGTTTCATAGGGTAGAAGTATTTTTTTTTCAAGATGGAGTCTTGCTCTGCCGCCCAGGCTGGAGTGCCGTGGCATGATCTTGGCTCACTGCAACCTCTGCCTCGTGGGTTCAAGCAGTTCTCCTGCCTCAGCCTCCTGAGTAGCTGGGATTACAGGCATGTGCCACCATGCTCAGCTAAATTTTTGTATTTTTAGTGGAGATGGGGTTTTACCATGTTGGCCAGGCTGGTCTCGAACTCCTGACCTCGTGATCCACCCGCCTTGGCCTCCCAAAGTACTGGGGATTACAGGTGTGAGCCACCATGCCCGGCCGGGGTAGAGGTACTTTTATCCATTGCTGTTGGGTTAATTTTTAAAAATCAGTTAGATAAAGGAATCATAAAAATTATACATAAAAGCCATATATATTATTTTAAAGCAAACAAATGCATTGACATTCAACAATGTGCTGATTTAAAGACAAAGCTTTTTCTTTGAGTGTGCCAGACAACTGTTGGTATAAGTTGACTTTTATGTATCATAATTCCTCTTCCAACATTTACAATTTTGGTATCTTGGAAGAGGAGCAATAACTTCTAAGACTCTTGCAAAGTAATAAGAGTTCACATTCTTTCTAGAATTTCAGAATTTTTGATGGAAAATTTTTCTAATACTCTGACCCATACGTCTTAGAAATAATTTTAAAGTTTGCGTGAAAATTTAATACTTTTCGTTACATGCATCACATTTGTAGTTCCCAAATACTTCTAGTTGTTTTTAAAATATATACTTAACTTTTTTAAGGTACATTTTACAAAATCTGAGGCAATCTTAGCTATTCAAAGTGTGTATTTATATTCGTTCATACTTGTTACATAGAAACTCTCATGGTGCTTGCGAATGACCTAGGTGACATTTGTTTAGGTGTTTGTCTCGGCATGCATATATCCCAAAGCCTCGGATGCCAGGATCATGTGCCAGGATCATACTGCAGGGCTGGCCTATGGATCTAGTTGGTCAGTCCCAGAATTCTCACAACTCTTATACGTACAATCTTGTTTGTCCGTTGGGTTTCATTTTGCTCGGTCTGATACATCTGTTGCTGGTTTCTGGACATGGTAGTTAATTGCTCTCTACTTAATGGCCTCATGCGTTAAGAGAGCTTCAAAAACTGAGAAGCTATGCCAGACACTCAGAAATGGGATCTAGTGAGCCTGGTATTGAAATTACTAAAAAAACCTCACCCCTGGTTTTTAAATGTTTGTTGTAGTAAACATGATGTAAAGTGGGCATTTTGTTGATTTCAGGTCACCCGTGTGATGTGGACACAACCTCTCCGTGAAAGTTTTTCCTATCCATTCCTTGTACTTCAGATGTATATTTTAACTTTGATTCTCAGGTAACTTCGATTTATAAAACAAAGGCAAATAAATTATAATTTAAGTGTCTTAAAATATGCTTCAGTTCAGCACTTTGGGAGGCTGAGGTGGGCGGATCACTTGAGGTCAGGAGTTTGAGACCAGCCTGGCCAACATGGTGAAACCTTGTCTCTTCTAAAATACAAAAGTTAGCCAGGCATGGTGGTGTGCATCTGTAATCCCAGCTACTTGGGAGGCTGAGGCAGGAGAATTGCTTGAACCCGGGAGGCAGAGGTTGCAGTGAGCCAAGATTGTGCCACTACACTCCAGCGTGGGCAACAGAGCGAGACTCCCTCTAAAAAAAAAATATGTAAATATATATATTATATATATATACTTCAACCTATGAAGTTGTAATTACCAAATTGACCATTTTTTAGTTATTTTAAAAGTAAATTGAGTATAGAGTTAAGAAAATAATTCAAAATTGCTACGTAAAAATTGCTCTCCATTTAAGAGTGTAGGCTACAGGTTTTAGATAACTACATTATATTTTAATAAACCAAAAGGTATGTGTTTGTATATAGTTTGCCAAGATTCAGAAGTTTTTGAGAAACAATTACATTTTCTCTTCAAAGTTTAGGTACTCTGACATTCTTTTCTAACCTGTGGTTTTGATGAATGTGCCATGAAAAAAGTGTTCTGTGTGGAAACGAATTTGGGAAATGCAGAGTTAGATGGATAAAGAGTACATATATTCACATATTTATGAAGCATTTCTGAACAACTAATGTTTCTAACAGGACAACCAGTTTCATTTCAAACTTTTTTTTTGGATACACTTTTTTTGTAGGGATTACATTTATAAGCATTTTAGATATATAAAAGGTCTGAGAAATGAACAAAAAAAACCTTATGTGGTAGAATAGTATAAATAGCCTTATCAGAGAAATAAATTTGATAGAATACTAATGAGAACTCTCACTGAATGAAATAATGATCACTATCTCCTCCAAACTCCCAGAGGACCCCATTCTTCACCTACTAGTCCCTGGCAGATTCTGCCTTATATAAAAATCATTTGTTTTTCTTCCTTGTTTTTTGAAACAGTAAATTTATGAATCATCCACACATACACAAATTTTTATTTGTTTATTTCTTTAGGGATGAAGTCTTGCTCTGTCACCCAGGCTGGAGTGCAGTGGCATGATCGGCTCACTGCAACCTCTGCTTCCCGGGTTCAAGTGATTCTCCTGCCTCAGCCTCCCAAGTAGCTGGGATTACAGGTGCACACCACCACCCCCAGCTAGTTTTTGTATTTTTGGTAGAGGCAGGGTTTTGCCATGTTGTCCAGGCTGGTCTTGAACTCCTGACCTCAAGTGATCCGCCCGCTTCGGCCTCCCAAAGTGCTGGGATTACAGGCGTGAGCCACTGTGCCCAGCCAATTATATGTATTTAAAAGTACCACTGGAAACAGGGACCATGCCATATTTATCTCTTTAACCACAGAACACTGCACATGTCCATGCAAATATTTGTGGCACTCAGATAAAGCTAATTGAAGAGTGGTAAATAGTAGTGTACTGGAGTGGCACAAACCTTGAGAATGGAGCAGGCTAACTTCTGATTTCTTACCAACCTGACAAGTATATTCTGGGGTTGAATTTGGATTTAGGAACCTCCTCCTCATTCAGATTTCTGTATCTTTGCTCTACACTTTGCCTTCTCTCAAAGATTAGGTGATGGAAGCTGACCATTCTTCATCACCCCTTGCTATTCATTCCCAGTTTAATTCCTAGGAAGGTGGGTTATTTTTATTTTTTTGAGGTGATATCAGTCTGGTCAGTCACGGCTTTCATGGAATAAAATGTCTTAATGAGCACATTTAGGGTTGTATCATTGAGTGCATGTGCTATACTCTGTATCTTAGTCAGAACTAATTTTTGTTTGAAAAATGTAAGATTACAAAGTACATAATGAGTATTTTATGATAACATTAATAAACAATATGAACATTTAGAATTTTGTTCTTGAAAATTTATATACGATTATACAAAGATTCATCAAAATCCAATATAGCATTTATAAAAGGAGCAGTTACAGTTTTATTATTCAGGTAAAATGTTTGTGTTTCTTTTTTCTTATCTAAAAGTTACTATAATTCTCTGTGGTAAAAGGTATTGGTTCCCAATACATCTCAGTAATGCAGAATGGACAATTTAAACTTCCACATGCTTCAGCTGAATTCTAGAATGATTTTTTAATTTTTTAAGATTCTTTTCCCTTAAATTTTTCCCATAGTTGTTAACTTATTACTTTGGCAGCACTTACATTTCTCTTCAATGTTTTTTGAAACAGAAAAGTGGTGGTATATAAAAGTTGTTGCTACACATACAGGAGAAGCATATTGAGGTGTGCAGGGGCAGCGCCCTGTCCTATTTTCTGACCTCCTTGCTGGAGTATTAAATTTCTAATGTCATGCAGATGTAGAGGAAAACGAGCTTTTGTATTTAGAATATTTAATGGTAAATTACAATCTTTTTTTTTTTTCACGTAACAGTAGCATTTTTATTTTCTATTTTTTTAAATTATTATTATACTTTTAAGTTTTAGGGTACATGTGCACAATGTGCAGGTTAGTTACATATGTATACATGTGCCATGCTGGTGTGCTGCACCCATTAACTTGTCATGCAGCATTAGGTATATCTCCTAATGCTATCCCTCCCCACTCCCCCAACCCCACAACAGTCCCCAGAGTGTGATGTTCCCCTTCCTGTGTCCATGTGTTCTCATTGTTCAATTCCTATCTATGAGTGTGAACATGCGGTGTTTGGTTTTTTTGTCGTTTCGATAGTTTATTGAGGAGGATGATTTCCATTTTCATCCGTGTCCCTACAAAGGACATGAACTCATCATTTTTTATGGCTGCATAGTATTCCATGGTGTATATGTGCCACATTTTCTTAATCCAGTCTATCATTGTTGGACTTTTGGGTTGGTTCCAAGTCTTCGCTATTGTGAATAGTACCGCAATAAACATACGTGTGCATGTGTCTTTATAGCAGCATGATTTATAGTCCTTTGGGTATATACCCAGTAATGGGATGGCTGGGTCAAATGGTATTTCTAGTTCTAGATCCCTGAGGAATCGCCACACTGACTTCCACAATGGTTGAACTAGTTGACAGTCCCACCAACAGTGTAAAAGTGTTCCTATTTCTCCACATCCTCTCCAGCACCTGTTGTTTCCTGACTTTTTAATGATTGCCATTCTAACTGGTGTGAGATGGTATCTCATTGTGGTTTTGATTTGCATTTGTCTGATGGCCAGTGATGATGAGCATTTTTTCATGTGTCTTTTGGCTGCATAAATGTCTTCTTTTGAGAAGTGTCTGTTAATATCCTTTGCCCACTTTTTGATGGGGTTGTTTGTTTTTTTCTTGTAAATTTGTTTGAGTTCATTGTAGATTCTGGATATTAGCCCTTTGTCAGATGAGTAGGTTGCGAAAATTTTCTCCCATTTTGTAGGTTGCCTGTTCATTCTGATGGTAGTTTCTTTTGCTGTGCAGAAGCTCTTTAGTTTAATTAGATCCCATTTGTCACTTTTGGCTTTTGTTGCCATTGCTTTTGGTGTTTTAGACCTGAAGTCCTTGCCCATGCCTATGTCCTGAATGGTAATGCCTAGGTTTTCTTCTAGGGTTTTTATGGTTTTGGGTCTAACGTTTAAGTCTTTAATCCATCTTGAATTAATTTTTGTGTAAGGTGTAAGGAAGGGATTCAGTTTCAGCTTTCTACATAAGGCTAGCCAGTTTTCCCAGCACCATTTATTAAATAGGGAATCCTTTCCCCATTGCTTGTTTTTCTCAGGTTTGTCAAAGATCAGATAGTTGTAGATATGCGGCATTATTTCTGAGGGCTCTGTTCTGTTCCATTGATCTATATCTCTGTTTTGGTACCAGTACCATGCTGTTTTGGTTACTGTAGCCTTATAGTATAGTTTGAAGTCAGGTAGCGTGATGCCTCCAGCTTTGTTCTTTTGGCTTAGGATTGACTTGGCGATGCGGGCTCTTTTTTGGTTCCATATGAACTTTAAAGTAGTTTTTTCCAATTCTGTGAAGAAAGTCATTGGTAGCTTGATGGGGATGGCACTGAATCTATAAATTACCTTGGGCAGTATGGCCATTTTCACGATATAGATTCTTTCTACCCATGAGCATGGAATGTTCTTCCATTTGTTTGTATCCTCTTTTATTTCCTTGAGCCGTGGTTTGTAGTTCTGCTTGAAGAGGTCCTTCACATCCCTTGTAAGTTGGATTCCTAGGTATTTTATTCTCTTTGAAGCAATTGTGAATGGGAGTTCACTCATGATTTGGCTCTCTGTTTGTCTGTTATTGGTGTATAAGAATGCTTGTGATTTTTGTACATTGATTTTGTATCCTGAGACTTTGCTGAAGTTGCTTATCAGCTTAAGGAGGTTTTGGGCTGAGACAATGGGGTTTTCTAGATATACAATCATGTCATCTGCAAACAGGGACAATTTGATTTCCTCTTTTCCTAATTGAATACCCTTTATTTCCTTCTCCTGCCTAATTGCCCTGGCCAGAACTTCCAACACTATGTTGAATAGGAGTGGTGATAGAGGTTTCAAAGTTTTCCTTTGAAAACTGTCTTGTGCCAGTTTTTCAAAGGGAATGCTTCCAGTTTTTGCCCATTCAGTATGATATTGGCTGTGGGTTTGTCATAGATAGCTCTTATTAATTTGAGATACGTCCCATCAATACCTAATTTATTGAGAGTTTTTAGTATGAAGCGTTGTTGAATTTTGTCAAAGGCCTTTTCTGCATCTATTGAGATAATCGTGTGGTTTTTGTCTTTGGTTCTGTTTATATGCTGGATTACATTTATTGATTTGTGTATATTGAACCAGCCTTGCATCCCAGGGATGAAGCCCACTTGATCATGGTGGATAAGCTTTTTGATGTGCTGCTGGATTCGGTTTGCCAGTATTTTATTGAGGATTTTTGCATCAATGTTCATCAAGGATATTGGTCTAAAATTCTCTTTTTTGGTTGTGTCTCTGCCTGGCTTTTATATCAGCATGATGCTGGCCTCAGAAAATGAGTTAGGGAGGATTCCCTCTTTTTCTATTGCTTGGAATAGTTTCAGAAGGAATGGTACCAGTTCCTCCTTGTACCTCTGGTAGAATTCGGCTGTGAATCCATCTGGTCCTGGACTCTTTTTGGTTGGTAAGCTATTGATTATTGCCACAATTTCAGAGCCTGTTATTGGTCTATTCAGAGATTCAACTTCTTCCTGGTTTAGTCTTGGGAGGGTGTATGTGTCCAGGAATTTATCCATTTCTTCTAGATTTTCTAGGTTATTTGTGTAGATGTTTGTAGTATTCTCTGATGGTAGTTTGTATTTCCATGGGATCGGTGGTGATATCCCCTTTATCATTTTTTGTTGCGTCTATTTGATTCTTCTCTCTTTTCTTATTAGTCTTGCTAGCGGTGTATCAATTTTGTTGATCCTTTCAAAAAACCAGCTCCTGGATTCATTAATTTTTTGAAGGGCTTGTTATGTCTCTATTTCCTTCATTTCTGCTCTGATTTTAGTTATTTCTTGCCTCCTGCTAGCTTTTGAATGTGTTTGCTCTTGCTTTTCTAGTTCTTTTAATTGTGATGCTAGGGTGTCAATTTTGGATCTTTCCTGCTTTCTCTTGTGGGCATTTAGTGCTATAAATTTCCCTCTACACACTGCCTTGAATGTGTCCCAGAGATTCTGGTATGTTGTGTCTTTGTTCTCGTTGGTTTCAAAGAACATCTTTATTTCTGCCTTCATTTCGTTATGTACCCAGTAGTCATTCAGGAGCAGATTGTTCAGTTTCCATGTAGTTGGGTGGTTTTGAGTGAGTTTCTTAATCCTGAGTTCTAGTTTGATTGCACTGTGGTCTGAGAGACAGTTTGTTATAATTTCTGTTATTTTACATTTTTTGAGGAGAGCTTTACTTGCAACTATGTGGTCAATTTTGGAATAGGTGTGGTGTGGTGCTGGAAAAAAATGTATATTCTGTTGATTTGGGGTGGAGAGTTCTGTAGATATCTATTAGGTCCGCTTGGTGCAGAGCTGAGTTCAATTCCTGGGTATCCTTGTTGACTTTCTGTCTCGTTGATCTGTCTAATGTTGACAGTGGGGCGTTAAAGTCTCCCATTATTATTGTGTGGGAGTCTAAGTCTCTTTGTAGGTCACTCAGGACTTGCTTTATGAATCTGGGTGCTCCTGTATTGGGTGCATATATATTTAGGAGAGTTAGCTCTTCGTGTTGAATTGATCCCTTTACCATTATGTAATGGCCTTCTTTGTCTCTTTTGATCTTTGTTGGTTTAAAGTCTGTTTTATCAGAGACTAGGATTGCAACCCCTGCCTTTTTTTGTTTTCCATTTGCTTGGTAGATCTTCCTCCATCCTTTTATTTTGAGCCTATGTGTATCTCTGCACGTGAGATGGGTTTCCTGAATACAGCACACTGATGGGTCTTGACTCTTTATCCAATTTGCCAGTCTGTGTCTTTTAATTGGAGCATTTAGTCCATTTACATTTAAAGTTAATATTGTTATGTGTGAATTTGATCCTGTCATTATGATGTTAGCTGGTTATTTTGCTCTTTAGTTGAGGCAATTTCTTCCTAGCCTTGATGGTCTTTAGAATTTGGCATGATTTTGCAGCAGCTAGTACCGGTTGTTCCTTTCCATGTTTAGTGCTTCCTTCAGGAGCTCTTTTAGGGCAGGCCTGGTGGTGACAAAATCTCTCAGCATTTGCTTGTCTGTAAAGTTTTTTATTTCTTCTTCACTTATGAAGCTTAGTTTGGCTGGATATGAAATTCTGGGTTGAAAATTATTTTCTTTAAGAATGTTGAATATTGGCCCCCACTCTCTTCTGGCTTTTAGAGTTTCTGCCGAGAGATCTGCTGTTAGTCTGATGGGCTTCCCTTTGAGGGTAACCCGACCTTTCTCTCTGGCTGCCCTTAACATTTTTTCCTTCATTTCAACTTTGGTGAATCTGACAATTAGGTATCTTGGAGTTGCTCTTCTCGAGGAGTATCTTTGTGGCATTCTCTGTATTGCCTGAATCTGAATGTTGGCCAGCCTTGCTAGATTGGGGAAGTTCTCCTGGATAATATCCTGCAGAGTGTTTTCCAACTTGGTTCCATTCTCCCCATCACTTTCAGGTACACCAATCAGATGTAGATTTGGTCTTTTCACATGGTCCCATATTTCTTGGAGACTTTGTTCTTTTCTTTTTATTCTTTTTTCTCTAAACTTCCCTTCTCGCTTCATTTCATTCATTTCATCTTCCATCACTGATACCCTTTCTTCCAGTTGATCGCATTGGCTCCTGAGGCTTCTGCATTCTTCACGTAGTTCTTGAGCCTTGGCTTTCAGCTCCATCAGCTCCTTTAAGCACTTCTCTGTATTGGTTATTCTAGTTACACATTCGTCTAAATTTTTTGCAAAGTTTTTAACTTCTTTGCCTTTGGTTTGAATTTCCTCCTGTAGCTCGGAGTAGTTTGATCGTCTGAAGCCTTCTTCTCTCAACTCGTCAAAGTCATTCTCCGTCCAGCTTTGTTCCATTGCTGGTGAGGAACTGCGTTCCTTTGGAGGAGGAGAGGCGCTCTGCTTTTTAGAGTTTCTAGTTTTTCTGCTCTGTTTTTTCCCCATCTTTGTGGTTTTATCTACTTTTGGTCTTTGATGATGAGTGATGTACAGATGGGTTTTTGGTGTGGATGTCCTTGCTGTTTGTTAGTTTTCCTCCTAACAGACAGGACCCGCAGCTGCTTGTCTGTTGGAGTTTGCTAGAGGTCCACTCCAGACTCTGTTTGCCTGGATAGCAGCAGCAGTGGCTGCAGAACAGTGGATTTTCATGAACCGCGAATGCTGCTGTCTGATCGTTCCTCTGGAATTTTTGTCTCAGAGGAGTACCTGGCCGTGTGAGGTGTCAGTCTGTCCCTCTTGGGGGGTGCCTCCCAGTTAGGCTGCTCGGGTCAGGGGTCAGGGACCCACTTGAGGAGGCAGTCTGCCCGTTCTCAGATCTCCAGCTGTGTGCTGGGAGAACCACTGCTCTCTTCAAAGCTGTCAGACAGGGATATTTAAGTCTGCAGAGGTTACTGCTGTCTTTTTGTTTGTCTGTGCCCTGCCCCCAGAGGTGGAGCCTATAGAGGCAGGCAGGCCTCCTTGAGCTGTGGTGGGCTCCACCCAGTTCGAGCTTCCCGGCTGCTTTGTTTACCTAAGCAAGCCTGGGCAATGGCGGGCGCCCCTCCCCCAGCCTTGCTGCTGCCTTGCAGTTTGATCTCAGACTGCTGTGCTAGCAATCAGCGAGACTCCGTGGGCGTAGGACCCTCCGAGCCAGGTGCGGGATGTAATCTCGTGGTGCACCGTTTTTTAAGCCCGTCGGCAAAGCGCAGTATTAGGGTGGGAGTGACCTGATTTTCCAGGTGCCATCTGTCACCCCTTTCTTTGACTAGGAAAGGGAACTCTCTGACCCCTTGCGCTTCCCGAGTGAGGCAAGGCCTCGCCCTGCTTCGGCTCGCGCACGGTATGCTGCACCCACTGTCCTGCGCCCACTGTCTGGCACTCCCTAGTGAGATGAACCCAGTACCTCAGATGGAAATGCAGAACTCACCCGTCTTCTGCGTCGCTCACGCTGGGAGCTGTAGACCGGAGCTGTTCCTATTCGGCCATCTTCCAACTTTAGAGTCTATTACTTTTGTCCTTTTAACATTTTCCTTACAGTCTCCCAGCCCCTTCTAATTTGAACTCAGCCACAACCTAATCTTTGTTTGGCTTCTTCCCTAATATGCAGATGGATGGCCCATATTACCTCCATGGTTTCCTAGTAAAATAAGTTATTAGGCAGGTAGTGCAACTCTTAAATTATCTTAATATGAGACAGTTGATATTCTTTTTCTCTGGTCTGTGATGTACTTCTATTAAAAAATAAACCCTGGGCCACACACAGTGGTTCACGCCTGTAATCACTGCACTTTGGGAGGCCAACACGAACAGAGAGCTTCAGCCCAGGAGTTTGAGACCAGCCTGGGCAACATGGCAAAACCCCGTCTCTACAAAAAATAGAAAAACTAGTTGGGCATGGTGGCATGAGCCTGTGATCCCAACTACTCAGGAGGCTGAGATGGGAGGATTGCTTGAGCCCGGGAAGGTTACAGTGAGCCATGATCACCCCACTGCACTCCACCCTGGGTGACGGAAGAAATGAACTGTATGTTTTCATGTTATATATTGAGAGGATAAGTCTGGAAATGTTACAAGTTGAGGAGGTAGGTTCCTACCCACAATACAAGAGAACAAAATGTAAGGAGTTGCTATTTTCTTCTTGTTGGAGGCATTCTCCCATCCTTTATGGTGAAAATATAGAAAGATTTGTCCAGTAAGTTGTTGAATGAATGACATGATGCTTTTTTTGTCTTTTTATTATTCTTTATTGGTTCTACCAATTTGACTCTTTACCCAGGCCACCTGTTGTTAGGCATGCAGGCTTTGTAGAAATTCACATATCGACATTACACTTGTAATATATAATTCTTTCACTTCAGAAAAATTGAGCAATTTAATACAACTCAAAAGAAGGTCAGAATTTCAGTTGCAAACTATTGAAAAATGACAGTAAGTAGAAGAGTGTCCATAAACATCAAAAAAATTCTGCCAAGGCTGCACTCAAAGGAAAATTTACTGTCTTCATTTTCAAGAATATTTTCAGTAGTAGACTGGAAAGAACATGAATTGACTAAGTTTTAAATTCAAGAATATCAAAGAAACAAAAAATCTAAGGAGAGAAAAGTTGAGATTTAACCAAATGTTCAGCTTACATGTTTTTTAAGCCTTCCTAGGTATTATTTTCTGTTTCTAGCTCTGTATGTCTTTGGCAAAGGTAAGTATTTATTACACACAACCTGCACAAGGTATTTTTAGATCTAAGTGATTCAGTTTAGAGTTTAACATCAATAGAAGCAAATTCACTGTTTAATGGGAGACTCCAGTTTTTGGTGGCAAGGTAATTATTGAATTGAGCTCATATGAAATTTACAAAGGGGAACTTTGTGTGTGCCATGAGGCATAAGAATCATTACAAGAAGGGAAATGGAACCTCCAAGATAATCTAAAGCTCAGTACTAAGGCCAGATGAGGATAGTTTGAGAAAGGATATTCTTATTTGTGAGCATAGATTCAAAATTTCACCTAGATTAAAAGCATTCCTTACACACAAAAGTATAAAAGATTAGTAACTCAAGAACAGCCATATATATGATAAAGATAATCCACTTGTGATAAATCTGGCTTATTCTAGGAATCCAAAGACATTTCTGGAAAATCCAAAAATGTAAGTTATCACACTAACAGATTAAAAGAGAAAAAATCTTATGATCATCCCATTAGATGCAGAAAATAAAATTGATAAAATTGAACATCCATTTATAATGAAAACATGTAACACAATAGAAATAACAGTTTTCTCAACCCAGTAAAATTCTTCAGCAGTCATTAGTCTTACTGATAATAAAGTATTTAGAGTGTTCTGTTTAAAATCAAGATAAAGATAAATGTGCTTTTTCACATTTTATTAAAGTCCAGGCCGGGTGCGGTGGCTCACGCCTGTAATCCCAGCACTTTGGGAGGCCGAGGCGGGTGGATCATGAGGTCAGGAGATCGAGACCATCCTGGCTAACAAGGTGAAACCCCGTCTCTACTAAAAATACAAAAAATTAGCCGGGCGCGGTGGTGGGCGCCTGTAGTCCCAGCTACTCGGGAGGCTGAGGCAGGAGAATGGCGTGAACCCGGGAAGCGGAGCTTGCAGTGAGCCGAGATTGCGCCACTGCAGTCCGCAGTCCGCAGTCCGGCCTGGGCGACAGAGCGAGACTCCGTCTCAAAAGAAAAAAATAAAAAATAAAAAAAAATAAAGTCCAAACTAGCCTAGTAATGCAAGAAAAGTAAATAATAGGAAAAGGAAAGAAACAGAAAGAAGGAAAATTTATTATAGTATCAATATTTACCTAGAAAGAATAAAATAATTGACAACTTATTAGGAATTAGAAGAATTCAATACCATGGCTAGATATGTTTAATATTCAAAAATCAATTGCATTTTTATTCTTTGGCAACAAACAGAAAACATATTTTTTAAAAATATGCCTTATGTATTAGGAAGAAAAATGCATAGGATCTGAATGAATCTAACAAAATACATATAGTATTTGTATGAAAATTTATTTTAATAATTCTAAGACATAAATAGAAAAATAAAACACATTTATGTGTATGAAGTTTCATGTAATGCAGTTCTCCCCAGCTGATGTTCAGATTCAAAGCAATTTCAGCAAGATTGTCTTGCAGGTCACTTTTCACTAAATGATGCTGGAATAGTCTATCTATATGAGAAAAACCATATGTTATACACAAATATCAGTTCTGGGCCTAGCCGTTTTGAATGTTCCTAAGCTGGATGTCTCTTTGACATGTCTTTATAAATTTATAATGCTCCAGGCTTTTCTTGATTTTCCTTGTGCTAGCCTTGGAATCAGCCATTTTTTCCAAGGAGCCCTGGTTCCTTTTAGAGGAGAATGGTATTTGGAAACCAAGACCTGAGTGGTATGTGCACTTATTACTACCAGTGTGTCCTTGTTTCTAGGCCCTTTCACTGCACGTATGTGCACACGTGTGTGTGTGTATGAAATCATGATTTCATAACTGTAGCTCCAATCCCAGCCCAATGCTATATAGAAAGGCAGACTAGTTAGGTACCTCAGAACTCACAGAAAAACACCACAGGCTGCCACCTCCTGAAACTCCATCCAGTGGCAGAAGACAATCAGAAAGAGGGTCCAGGGAAATGCTCTCCATCCTGTGGGTCTGGTATCTACTATTCCCTCCAGGGAGGCTGCCCATGCAGGTAGCAGCAGCGGAGATCTAACAGGTGCCCTGCTAGGACTAGGCACCCTAGGAAAGAGCCCTCTGCCCTCTGCCAACCCCCTACCCCACAGTCTGGTGTCTCTCACCCTCTATCCCATGGCAACAGGACATGGGAAATACATTCTTCCTGCATCGGCAGCATGATTTGGGGTGGAGACGGAGCACCAGGGCACCAGATGAATCAAGCTGACCACAATAGCACTAGCATTGCAAAGACTCTGAAAACTAAACTGTCATTGTAACTATAGCACACAGAAGTAGGCCAGGACTTGCGTGATAAACCTAAAAACAAAATGACTGTCTGCTGAAATAGAAATTTAAGATAGGATCCACAGTCTCTAACATAATATAAAAAATGTACTGGACACAATAGAAAAACCACTCATCATAGCAAGAATGGAGAAAACAACTTGAATGAGAAAAGACAACAAATGTCAACACTGAGATGAATAGGATGTGGGGATTATTCGACAAGGGTTTTAAAGCAGTCATCATAAAAACACTTCAATGAGCAGTTTTAAATACTCTGGAAGCAAATGAAAAGGCTATAAAATCTCACCACAGAATTTTTTTTTTTTTTAAAGAACAACTTGGTGATTATAGAACTGAAAAATACAATAACTAAAATTAAAATTCAGTAAATGGACTTGGTAGCGGAGTGAATATTACTGAGGAAGCAGTCACTGCTCTTGCAGATAGAACAATAGAAATCTCCCAATGTAAATTGAGAGAAAATCACAGGAAAAAGGACAGAGCCTCCGGGACCTATGGTGTAGTAACAAAAGATTTAATATTTGTATCATCAAAATTTCAGAAGGAATGGAAAAAGAGAGTGGGGCTGAATAGTATTTTAAGAAGTAATTGCTAAAAACTCCCCAAATTTGGTGAAAGACACACCTGCAGAGTGAAGACACTGAGCCATTCCCAAGTAAGACAAACCCAGAGAAATCCATGCCAAGATACATTATAAGTTAACTTTTAAAACGAAAAGAAAAAATCTTGAAAGCAGGTACGGAGAAATGACACATCACCTACAGGCAAAACTGACTTGAATTGTAGCAGACTTCTCATGTGAAATTAAGGAGGCCAGAAGGTTGTGGCAGAACATTGTCAAGATGAATTACATATCCAGTGGATGTTTCCCTTAGGAATGAAGGGGAAATAGACATTCTCCAATCAAGGAAAATTAAAATAATTTGTGGCTAGCAGAGAACCTTAAAGAATGGTTAAGGGGGAGGAGCCAAGATGGCCGAATAGGAACAGCTCCAGTCTACAGCTCCCAGCGTGAGCGACGCAGAAGACGGGTGATTTCTGCATTTCCATCTGAGGTACCGAGTGCATCTCACTAGGGAGTGCCAGACAGTGGGCGCAGGACAGTGGGTGCAGCATACCGTGCGCGAGCCGAAGCAGGGCGAGGCCTTGCCTCACTCGGGAAGCGCAAGGGGTCAGAGAGTTCCCTTTCCTAGTCAAAGAAAGGGGTGACAGATGGCACCTGGAAAATCAGGTCACTCCCACCCTAATACTGCGCTTTGCCGACGGGCTAAAAAAACGGTGCACCACGAGATTACATCCCGCACCTGGCTCGGAGGGTCCTACGCCCACGGAGTCTCGCTGATTGCTAGCACAGCAGTCTGAGATCAAACTGCAAGGCAGCAGCGAGGCTGGGGGAGGGGCGCCCGCCATTGCCCAGGCTTGCTTAGGTAAACAAAGCAGCCGGGAAGCTCGAACTGGGTGGAGCCCACCACAGCTCAAGGAGGCCTGCCTGCCTCTATAGGCTCCACCTCTGGGGGCAGGGCACAGACAAACAAAAAGACAGCAGTAACCTCTGCAGACTTAAATATCCCTGTCTGACAGCTTTGAAGAGAGCAGTGGTTCTCCCAGCACGCAGCTGGAGATCTGAGAAGAGGCAGACTGCCTCCTCAAGTGGGTCCCTGACCACCCAGCAACCTAACTGGGAGGCACCCCCAGCAGGGGCACACTGACACCTCACACAGCAGGTTATTCCAACAGACCTGCAGCTGAGGGTCCTGTCTGTTAGAAGGAAAACTAACAAAGAGAAAGGACATCCACACTGAAAACCCATCTGTACATCACCATCATCAAAGACCAAAAGTAGATAAAACCACAAAGATGGGGAAAAAACAGAACAGAAAAACTGGAAACTCTAAAACGCAGAGCGTCTCTCCTCCTCCAAAGGAACGCAGTTCCTCACCAGCAACAGAACAAAGCTGGATGGAGAATGACTTTGACGAGCTGAGAGAAGAAGGCTTCAGACGATCAAATTACTCTGAGCTACGGGAGGACATTCAAACCAAAGGCAAAGAAGTTGAAAACTTTGAACAAAATTTAGAAGAATGTATAACTAGAATAACCAATACAGAGAAGTGCTTAAAGGAGCTGATGGAGCTGAAAACCAAGGCTCGAGAACTACGTGAAGAATGCAGAAGCCTCAGGAGCTGATGTGATCAACTGGAAGAAAGGATATAAGCAATGGAAGATGAAATGAATGAAATGAAACGAGAAGGGAAGTTTAGAGAAAAAAGAATAAAAAGAAATGAGCAAAACCTCCAAGAAATATGGGACTATGTGAAAAGACCAAATCTACGTCTGATTGGTGTACCTGAAAGTGATGAGGAGAATGGAACCAAGTTGGAAAACACTCTGCAGGATATTATCCAGGAGAACTTCCCCAATCTAGCAAGGCAGGCCAACGTTCAGATTCAGGAAAGACAGAGAATGCCACAAAGATACTCCTCAAGAAGAGCAACTCCAAGACACATAATTGTCAGATTCACCAAAGTTGAAATGAAGGAAAAAATGTTAAGGGCAGCCAGAGAGAAAGGTCCGGTTACCCTCAAAGGGAAGCCCATCAGACTAACAGTGGATCTCTCGGCAGAAACCCTACAAGCCAGAAGAGAGTGGGGGCCAATATTCAACATTCTTAAAGAAAAGAATTTTCAACCCAGAATTTCATATCCAGTGAAACTAAGCTTCATAAGTGAAGGAGAAATAAAATACTTTACAGACAAGCAAATGCTGACCGATTTTGTCACCACCAGGCCTGCCCTAAAAGAGCTCCTGAAGGAAGCGCTAAACATGGAAAGGAACAACCGGTACCAGCAGCTGCAAAATCATGCCAAAATTTAAAGACCATCGAGACTAGGAAGAAACTGCATCAACTAACGAGCAAAATCCCCAGCTATCATCATAATGAGAGGATCAAATTCACACATAACAATATTAACTAAATATAAATGGACTAAATTCTCCAATTAAAAGACACAGACTGGCAAATTGGATAAAGAGTCAAGATCCATCAGTGTGCTGTATTCAGGAAACCCATCTCACGTGCAGAGACACACATAGGCTCAAAATAAAAGGATGGAGGAAGATCTACCAAGCAAATGGAAAACAAAAAAAGGCAGGGGTTGCAATCCTAGTCTCTGATAAAACAGACTTTAAACCAACAAAGATCAAAAGAGACAAGGCCATTACATAATGGTAAAGGGATCAATTCAACAAGAAGAGCTAACTATCCTAAATATATATGCACCCAATACAGGAGCACCCAGATTCATAAAGCAAGTCCTGAGTGACCTACAAAGAGACTTAGACTCCCACACAATAATAATGGGAGACTTTAACACCCCACTGTCAACATTAGATCAATGAGACAGAAAGTCAACAAGGATACCCAGGAATTGAACTCAGCTCTGCACCAAGCAGACCTAATAGACATCTACAGAACTCTCCACCCCAAATCAACAGAATATACATTTTTTTCAGCACCACACCACACCTATTCCAAAATTGACCACATAGTTGGAAGTAAAGCTCTCCTCAGCAAATGTAAAATAACAGAAATTATAACAAACTATCTCTCAGACCACAGTGCAATCAAACTAGAACTCAGGATTAAGAATCCCACTCAAAGCCGCTCAACTACATGGAAACTGAACAACCTGCCCCTGAATGACTACTGGGTACATAACGAAATGAAGGCAGAAATAAAGATGTTCTTTGAAACCAACGAGAACAAAGACACAACATACCAGAATCTCTGGGACACATTCAAAGCAGTGTGTAGAGGGAAATTTATAGCACTAAATGCCCACAAGAGAAAGCAGGAAAGATCCAAAATTGACACCCTAACATCACAATTAAAAGAACTAGAAAAGCAAGAGCAAACACATTCAAAAGCTAGCAGGAGGCAAGAAATAACTAAAATCAGAGCAGAACTGAAGGAAATAGAGACACAAAAAACCCTTCAAAAAATCAATGAATCCAGGAGCTGGTTTTTTGAAAGGATCAACAAAATTGATAGACCGCTAGCAAGACTAATAAAGAAAAAAAGAGAGAAGAATCAAATAGACACGATAAAAAATGATAAAGGGGATATCACCACTGATCCCACAGAAATACAAACTACCATCAGAGAATACTACAAACACCTCTACGCAAATAAACTAGAAAATCTAGAAGAAATGGATAAATTCCTCGACACATACACCCTCCCAAGACTAAACCAGGAAGAAGTTGAATCTCTGAATAGACCAATAACAGGAGCTGAAGTTGTGGCAATAATCAATAGTTTACCAACCAAAAAGAGTCCAGGACCAGGTGGATTCACAGCCGAATCCTACCACAGGTACAAGGAGGAACTGGTACCATTCCTTCTGAAACTATTCCAATCAATAGAAAAAGAGGGAATCCTCCCTAACTCATTTTCTGAGGCCAGCATCATTCTGATACCAAAGCCGGGCTGAGTCACAACCAAAAAAGAGAATTTTAGACCAATATCCTTGATGAACATTGATGCAAAAATCCTCAATAAAATACTGGGAGCCAAAGACAAAAACCACATGATTATCTCAATAGATGCAGAAAAAGCCTTTGACAAAATTCAACAACCCTTCATGCTAAAAACTCTCAATAAATTAGGTATTGATGGGACGTATTTCAAAATAATAAGAGCTATCTATGACCAACCCACAGCCAATATCATACTGAATGGGCAAAAACTGGAAGCATTCCCTTTGAAAACTGGCACAAGACAGGGATGCCCTCTCTCACCACTCCTATTCAACATAGTGTTGGAAGTTCTGGCCAGGGCAATTAGGCAGGAGAAGGAAATAAAGAGTATTCAATTAGGAAAAGAGGAAGCGAAATTGTCCCTGTTTGCAGACAAAATGATTGTATATCTAGAAAACCCCATTGTCTCAGCCCAAAATCTCCTTAAGCTGATAAGCAACTTCAGCAAAGTCTCAGGATACAAAATCAATGTACAAAAATCACAAGCATTCTTATACACCAACAACAGACAAACAGAGAGCCAAATCATGAGTGAACTCCCATTCACAATTGCTTCAAAGAGAATAAAATACCTAGGAATCCAACTTACAAGGGATGTGAAGGACCTCTTCAAGCAGAACTACAAACCACTGCTCAAGGAAATAAAAGAGGATACAAACAAATGGAAGAATATTCCATGCTCATGGGTAGGAAGAATCAATATCGTGAAAATGGCCATACTGCCCAAGGTAATTTACAGATTCAATGCCATCCCCATCAAGCTACCAATGCCTTTCTTCACAGAATTGGAAAAAACTACTTTAAAGTTCATATGGAACCAAAAAAGAGCCCGCATCGCCAAGTCAATCCTAAGCCAAAAGAACAAAGCTGGAGGCATCACACTACCTGACTTCAAACTATACTACAAGGCTACAGTAACCAAAACAGCATGGTACTGGTACCAAAACAGAGATATAGATCAATGGAACAGAACAGAGCCCTCAGAAATAATGCCGCATATCTACAGCTATCTGATCTTTGACAAACCTGAGAAAAACAAGCAATGGGGAAAGGATTCCCTATTTAATAAATGGTGCTGGGAAAACTGGCTAGCCTTATGTAGAAAGCTGAAACTGGATCCCTTCCTTACACCTTATACAAAAATCAATTCAAGATGGATTAAAGACTTAAACGTTAGACCTAAAACCATAAAAACCCTAGAAGAAAACCTAGGCATCACCATTCAGGACCTAGGCATGGGCAAGGACTTCATGTCCAAAACACCAAAAGCAATGGCAACAAAAGACACAATTGACAAATGGGATCTAATTAAACTAAAGAGCTTCTGCACAGCAAAAGAAACTACCATCAGAATGAACAGGCAACCTACAAAATGGGAGAAAATTTTCACAAGCTACTCATCTGACAAAGGGCTAATATCCAGAATCTACAATGAACTCAAACAAATTTACAAGAAAAAAACAAACAACCCCATCAAAAAGTGAGCAAAGGACATGAACAGACACTTCTCAAAAGAAGACATTTATGCAGCCAAAAAACACATGAAAAAATGCTCATCATCACTGGCCATCAGAGAAATGCAAATCAAAACCACTGTGAGATACCATCTCACACCAGTTAGAATGGCAATCATTAAAAAGTCAGGAAACAACAGGTGCTGGAGAGGATGTGGAGAAATAGGAATACTTTTACACTGTTGGTGGGACTGTAAACTAGTTCAACCATTGTGGAAGTCAGTGTGGCAATTCCTCAGGGATCTAGAACTAGAAATACCATTTGACCCAGCCATCCCATTACTGGGTATATACCCAAAGGACTATAAATCATGCTGCTCTAAAGACACATGCACACGTATGTTTATTGCCGCATTATTCACAATAGCAAAGACTTGGAACCAACCCAAATGTCCAACAATGATAGACTGGATTAAGAAAATGTGGCACATATACACCATGGAATACTATGCAGCCATAAAAAATGATGAATTCATGTCCTTTGTAGGGACATGGATGAAATTGGAAATCATCATTCTCAGTAAACTATCGCAAGAACAAAAAACCAAACACTGCATATTCTCACTCATAGGTGGGAATTGAATAATGAGATCACATGGACACAGGAAGGGGAATATCACACTCTGGGGACTGTTGTGGGGTGGGGGGAGGGGGGAGGGATAGCATTGGGAGATATACCTAATGCTAGATGACGAGTTAGTGGGTGCAGTGCACCAGCATGGCACATGTATACATATGTAACTAACCTGCACAATGTGCACATGTACCCTAAAACTTAAAGTATAATAACAAACAAGCAAACAAAAAAAAGAATGGTTAATTGAAGTTCTTTTGTCAGGTTTCTTGAAGACCAGATGGTCGTAGATATGTGGTTTTATTTCTGAGTTCTCTATTCTGTTCCATTGGTCAATATGCCTGTTTTTTACCATGACCATGCTGTTTTTGTTATTGTAGCCTTGTAATATAGTTTGAAGTCAGGTAGGCTGAGGCCTCTAGCTTTGTTCTTTTTGCTTAGGATTGTCTTGGCTGTATGAGCTCTTTTTTGATAGCGTGGAAGCAACCCAAATGCCCATGAGTGATAGACTGGATAAAGAAAATATGGTACATATATACCATGGAATATTTTGCAGTCATAAAAAGAAATGAGATCATGTCCTTGGCAGGGACGTGGATGGAGCTGGAAGCCATTATCCTCAGTAAACTAATGCAGGAACAGAAAACCAAACACTGCATGTTCTCACTTACAAGTGGGAGCTGAACAGTGAGAACACACGGACACTGGGAGGGGAACAAAACACACTGGGGCTTGTCAGGGGAGGGTATGGGGAGGGAGAGCATCAGGAAAAATAGCTAATGTATGCTGGGCTTAATACCTAGGTAATAAGTTGTTAGGTGCAGCAAACCACCATGGTACGCGTTTACCTATGTAACAAACATGCACATCCTGCACATGTATCCCTGAACTTAAAATTTAAAAATTCTGAAAACAAAAAGGAAATGAAAGAAGGAATCCTAGAATATAGAGAAGAAATATAAAACGCAAAATAGATACACAGAGGGGTAGATATAATAGACTATTCTTCTCATGAGTATTTCCTTTAGTATACTTTTTTTGCTTTATTTTGTTATTTATTTAGATTTTTAAGTCAAGAATTTAATTCATTTATTTTCACTCTTTCATTTTTATTGATAAAGCTTTTGAGGCCATGAATTTGCTTCTTATCCTTGCTTTAAATGTCTTCCTTAGTTTGCATATGGAAATGGTATTGCCTGCCATGCTGATGCCATCATTCTATTTTTCACCTTTCTGAATCTGTTTGTATTTGTCTTCCCTGTGTAGCATAAGTTGAGTCTGTCTTTGCTTTGTGAGATAATGTGAGAACCTTTGTTGTAAGTTTTATGTGTATTTGACTATATTTGCTTTGTTTCTGTATATGATTCTCTTTTAAACTTTTTGTATTTGAGAAGGTTACTATTATTTCCTCAATTATTGCATATTTGAAACTTTTTTTATAACATCTATACTTGAATGACAGATTGGCTAGATATAAAATCCTTGGTTCTCCCTTTTTTTTTTGAGATGGAGTCTTGCTCTGTCGCCCAGGCTGGAGTTCAGTGGCACGATCTTGGCTCACTGCAGCCATAAAAAATGATGAGTTCATGTCCTTTGTAGGGACATGGATGAAACTGGAAACCATCATTCTCAGCAAACTATCACAAAGACCAAAAACCAAACACGGCATGTTCTCACTCATAGGTGGGAATTGAACAATGAGAACACATGGACGTGGGAAGGGGAACATCACACACCGGGGACTGTTGTGGAGTGAGGGGAGGGGGGAGGGATAGCATTAGGAGATACACCTAATGCTAAATGACGAGTTAATGGGTGCAGCATGCCAACATGGCACATGTATACATATGTAACAGACCTGCACGTTGTGCACATGTACCCTAAAACTTAAAGTATAATAATAATAAAAAGAAAATAAGTCGTTATTACCTAATAAGTTTTAAGGTATATAGTGTCTGCAATTTATAGTTTCACCCTAAAGAAATATTGGTACAAATATACCAAGGAAACCAATTACATGAATCTTCATGGAAGCATTATTTGTACCTGAGAAAAAAAAGCTGAAAACAACTCAAAGGCCCACCAACAGAATGGATAAAATGAATATTTCCATACAAAGTAATATTGTAAATGAGTGAATGTGATCTACAGTCAAAAGTGTCAGCGGGAACCAATGTCAAATAGACTGTTAAAGATAAAAAACTAAGTCATCAAAGGGGATGAGTGTGCATGTCAATATATATGCCATTTACATATGCCCTAAAAACAAACAAGACAACAATATTATAGAAGATATAGTGTGGCAAAACAGCGAAAGCATAGGCATAGTTAATTCAAAACAGGCTGGTGATCACTTCTAGGAAAGAATGCAATACAGGAGAAGCCCTGGGTGCTTCAATGTTAATATTCAATTTCTTGGTGTTAAGTATACAAGTGTTCATTTTATAATTCTTTAAAATATGTGTGTATATATGTATATAATGCTTATATATTTATACTCTTCAAAGTAGGGCTTTGATTCCTCATCAGTGGTTCTTAAACCTCATGTTCTCTTTAGGTAGCTCTGGGTGCTTAAATAAGCACCAAGAATTGTTCTGATGACACGTCTAGCTATTCAAATACATGTTCAAATTGTAGATTTTATTGTTTCCATTTGTGCAATGAATTTTTTTCCTTCCAACTTCTATTTTAGGTTCAGGGGTACATTTGCAGGTTTGTTATATAGGTAAATCACATGTCATGGGGTTTGGTGTACAGATTATTTTGTCACCCAGGTAATAAGCATAGTACCTGATAGGTATTTTCTCAGTCCTCACTCTCCTCCCACCCTCCACCCTCAAGTAGGCCCTGGTGCCTGTTATTCCCTTCTTTTTGTCCATGTGTGCTCAATGTTTAGCTCGTACTTATAAGGAGCACATACAGTATTTGGTTTTCTGTTCTGTGTTAGTTCACTTAGGAAACTGGCCTCCAGCTCCATCTGTGTTGCTACAGAGGACATGATCTCATTCTTTTTATATGGCTGTATAGTATTCCATGGTATATATGTACCATATTTTCTTTATCCATTCCGCCGTTGATGGGCATTTAGGTTGATTCCATGTCTTTGCTATTGTGAATAATGCTGCAATGAACATACGTGTATATGTGTTTTTATGGTAGAACAATTTATATTCCTTTGGGTATATATCCAGTAATGGGATTGCTGGGTTGAATGATAGCTCCATTTTAAATTCTTTGAAAAATCTCCAAACTGCTTTCCACGGTGGCCAAACTGGTTTACATTTCTACCAGCAGTGTATAAGTGTTCTCTTTTCTCCAAAACTTCACCAGCATCTTTTTTTTTTTAAACTTTTTCATCATAGCCATTCTGACTGGTGTGAGATGGCATCTTACTGTGGTTTTGATTTGCATTTCTCTAATGATTAGTGATGGTGAACATTTTTTCATATGCTTGTTGCCTACATGCATGTCTCCTTTTGATAAGTGTCTGTTCACATTTTTTGCCCATTTTTAATGAGGCCGTTTGTTTTTGCTTGTTGGTTTAAGTTCCTTTTAGGTACTGGATATTAGACCTTTGTCAGATGTGTAGTTTGCAGGTGTTTTCCCCCATTCTGTAGGCTGTGTGTTTACTCTGTTGTTAGTTTCTTTTACTGTGCAGAACCTCTTAGTTTTGTTAGATCCCATTTGTCAATTTTTGTTTTTGCTGCAATTGCTTTTGGCATTTTCATCATGAAGTCTTTGCCAAGGCCTATGTCCATGGCCTTTCCTATTTTCTTCTAGGTTTTTTATAGTTTTCAAGTCTTTCATCCATCTTGAGTTGATTTTTGTATATTGTGTAAGGAAGGAGTGGTATAGCTTCTTAAAAATTACTGGATTGTGTTTCATAGGGTTTTGAAAAAAAGATGTCATTCATAGAAATTGCATTAAAATTGACATATCTCAGGATGTGTTTCTTCATCTGTACATAGGTGATAATAACTACCTCATAGAATTATGAGGATCAAGCAAGGTGTTCCAAGTCAATGTGCATTATTAAGGGCTACACATGTGATCCATTTTAATACCACCAGACAATAGACCAACTTTGAATTGGATGTTAATAAAAAAGCTATGATGTATTCGTAATCCAGAAGAGCAATAGGATTATTTATATTTGACTTCGAATAATTTTTTGAGGAGCTTTTGCAGCTACTGACTTCCTTAGTATGCTTGCCTGAGATTAAAATATATACTGACTTCCTTATTATGCTTTTCTGAGATTAAAATTCTTTTATATCCTTTGAGCACATATAGATAATGGCCTTTACTTTTAAAATTTTCATCCAAGAGATACATATAACTCATATATAAATATCGAGATTATTCAGATGAAGCTGCAAAGCCAGTTCATGGAATATACTGGATTGAATCATATCCAAGAACGTATGAATTTTATTTAAAAAGCACCTCAGCTATTGAAAAGAGCAAGCCTGTTTACACAGCTTCACACAGACCTAAGAAATACAATGGGGATCATACATATGAGAGTTATTTCTTTAATAAGGATGGTGTGGCAGCCACAAAAGTACACAACCTCTAGGGTATTCCTCTGAGAACCTGCTGCCCAGCTGCAGGGAACAGAGTTAACTGACAGCCTTCAACTGTAGAGCCATCAGCATCTGCATGGCATTCACGCTGGACCACATTCTTCTTCCTAGGCAACCCCCAGCCAATGACTGAGCAAGGAAGATATACTAGTCTGTTCTCACATTGCTCTAAGGAAATACCCAAGACTGGGTAATTTATAAAGGAAAGAGGCTTAATTGACTCACAGTTCAGCATGACTGGGGAGGCCTCAGGAAACTTACAATCATGGCAAAAGGTTAAGGGGAAGCAAGCCACCTTCTTCACAAGGTGGCAGGAAGGAGAAATGAACGCAGGAGAAACTACCAAACACTTACAAAATCATCAGCTCTCGTGAGAACTCACTATCAGGAGAACAGCATGGGAGAAAACACCCCCATGATTCAATTATATCCACCTGGTCTCTCCCTTGACTTGTGGGGATTATGGGGATTACAATTGAAGATGAGATTTTGGGTGGGGACAGAGCCAAACCAGATTAGAAGGGTACTGTAGGGCCTGGCTGTTTCAGCCCAATGCTGAACTGCTTCATCAGGCAATCTTTGCTCTGAAGCTGCTCACTGAGCAAGCCAAGCCCTGGTCAGCTGTCCTTTGCAGCTGGAGGCTCTCCTGCTTTCTTCCTCTTTCATAGATGTCAACAGGCCTCACAGCTGAAGGCTTTACCCACCCAATCCTGTTCCCCCTCTTCTAACAGCTATGAAACCTTCCTAGTTTCACCCCTTCACCCGTTCCAGTTTTACATAAGTTTTCCTCACTACACAGAGATGGTGTGGTGCCACCAAGATCATTATTCATTTTACAACCTTACTGGGATCCCCTGATGAAATCCCTCTGAGACTACAGCACAGTAGCCCCTGGCAGAAGAGAGGACCCTGTACCTACAAGATGCCTTGCCTATCTCAGAGATCCAGACCATTGTCAGATTTTAGAGTTCCTAGTATGGAGAAAAGTCCCTTGAGAACAGTAGAGCCTGGATTGAACTCTTTTAAAATAAGTAGGAGGTAGGCGCTTGTGGTCCCAGCTACTCGGGAAGCTGAGGCAGGAGGATCGCTGGAGCCCATGATGCAGAGAGACACGATTGCGCCACTGCACTGCAGCGTGGGCAACAGAGTGAGACTGTCTCAAGAGAAAAAAAAAAAAAGTGACAGTGTGCAAAATGTTCATTTTATGTATACTTAGTGCCATCTGCTGGCTATGAAATATGATAGCATTTGTCATGAAATTACAAAAAGTGTTAAGGTGCTAGTTTGCACATGTTTTAATAGAAAATGGGAGAAAGCAAGAGAACTCAAGGGACATGTATTACACTTGTTTTAGTTTTGTTTGAGTTGTGATGATCTCAGTGGCTCTTCTCTCCCTCACCCACCCACCTCTCCTGTTTGTTCAATCTCTCTCCCTCCTCTGGTGCCTTAAAAGGGTCTCCATGCTTTGCATCCCACCTCCGCTCCAGGATCAGGGACCCACCTGACATCACACCTTTTGCTTCAGCAACAATAAATTGCTGGAAATTTCCAGCAACTCTTTTTCCTGCCAGTGCTCCCACTGTACCCTTGTCTGTTAAGGTCTTAACCTGTCTTCCTCCCACACCTCTGCCTCTCACCTGCTCAGATGTCCCCTCCTGCCAGCAGCCAGTCCCGAACATCCCCTCTGTGATCTGCTAATGCCACTCCACCTGTCACACAGTTTGATCATTTAAAAATGATCTGTTTTCCTTTGAAGTCTTTTATTGAACTCTGAATTACTTAATAAAAGGGTTTGTATATTATTTATTCCTGTTTTCCACCCGACACAGTACCTGGAACATAGCAGATGCTCAGCAAACATTGCACCAAAGAATAAGGTGGAAAATAAATGGTTAAAATATACAAACATTTTAAAGATAGGGTATTTGGGTCACTTTTACTGCTTTCTGTCCCTACAATATGGCTGAATCATCCCCCATATGGCTCAACATTTTATTAATTCTTTTTAAAGTACCCAACACTATATTGAGTGCTCTGGGGATCAAAATAATAGTATATATATTAAGAGTGGGTTTGAATCCCTGCTCTACCATTTACTAGCTGGGCAATTTATTTAACATTTTAAAATTTCATCATCTGTAAAGTGGAAATATTAAAGGTATCTTCTTCAAAAGTGACATTTGGAAGAAAAAAATAAAGTAATACATGTAAAGCATATGAGATTCAGTAAGCACTCGGTTAGTGGTGAGTTGTTTTTGTGGTTATTGCTAAGACCCAGGAACTCATTGTTTGAAGATCAGCATAGAGCACTTACTGGTTGGGTGGGATTTCTGTTCTCTACTCAATGGTTTGTTTATTCTTTAGAGACTGTCCGTCCCCTCTAGAGTCTATTAGTAATATTTTGTTATGCCAATTTAGGGGAGTTTTACTATCATGCTGTTTCTCTAATAATAGCTAATTTATATCTTTAATTTTTAAAAGCCATTATGCTGGAAACAGAACATTCATACAAACAATACATGAATGAATGTAGGTTAACAAAATAGCTGGTTACTATAATGTAGTGGTATTCCATGGCTTTAAGTTTAAAAATAACTTTGCATTTACTACAGTGGACTTACCCTCCAGGCATAAAATTTTAAAACCCAACAACTCCAGGCCTCCAGAGTCTTTACTTCCCACTAACTTCTCACCAGTGAAGGCGAAGCTAATGAAAAAGGATAGATGACTGCTTCTCAATTGGAAATGGATCCAAATACCATCAAGGGAATTGGTGTTTGGTGTACAGATTTTACCTACTGTCACAGCCTGGTTGGGTGGAGGATGGGGAAGGTGGTGGTATCTGTCTACTTTTAGAGTTTGTAAATGTTTCTCTGAATTCCTGTTTTTATAGCAGATAATTTTGAGAAAATTTTGCCTTGAAAAAGAGTCTGAAACCAAAAAGCTAAACAGAGGCAAAGGTTTGTGGCTTGGATCTTTAATATTAATAAGTTTATTGCTTTTTCCTACCTCCCACTCCTGCTACCTGAAGAAGGTGAGTAGGAGGGGAGGGATGGTGAAAGATGAGGGATGTGGAGGGAAAAGGACGTAAGTGGGGGTTGGGTAGATGACAGATAGTGGCTGTCTGCCTGCCACCCATCTAGGTATGCCCCAAAGGGTGGTCTCTGCTTTTGCCCACAGGGGACTCATTCACACAGAAAGGAAGATGACAGACAATTGGCCAGAACATAGAGCACTGAAGTGAAACACAAAGGCCACTCTTGGGCCTCTGTTAGTTTCTTCTGGGATCTTTCTTCTTGATCTGCAGATGAGTGTTTTCTCCCTGTGTCTTCACATGATCTTTCCTCTGTGCCTGTTGTGTCCTAATCTCCTTTTCATATAAATTCACAATTGAGCACAAAACTCCTATTTAATACCATATGTTGGAATAAAAAGCCTTATAGCAATGCATAGTGATAGAAATTCTTTTCTTTAAAACTTAGTTTGACTATTTTGCAGTAATGAAAAATGGTCCTGACATACAGAATGCCATCTAGCTTACAACTGCATGGGGCATGCAGAAGAAAGAGATGAACAATCTTTACCTGAAAAGAGACCACCCTCTCCTTTAATGGGAGTGGAAATTAAAGAATAATGCTCATAGTTTGCTGCAAACACTATTGCTCAATTTAATACTCTAATGGAATTCACACATTTCTTTTTCTACAGTGTGTGTCCAATCATTGTTAACTATACCTTTATTATCTTTATAATGTTGAGGTAAAGAGCTTTCTGCTATTATGCATTAATAACTCCATCCCTAATGCCATCATGGTTCTCGTGTCTAGGGAAGGAGTCTGTATTTGTCCGTTTTCACACTGCTATAAAGAATACCATTAGGCCAGGCGCAGTGGCTCACGCCTGTAATCCCAGCACTTTGGGAGGCCGAGGCGGGCGGATCACGAGGTCAGGAGATCGAGACCATCCTGGCTAACACAAGTGAAATCCCGTCTCTACTAAAAATACAAAAAAATTAGCCAGGCATGGTGGCGGGTGCCTGTAGTCCCAGCTACTCGGGAGGCTGAGGCAGGAGAACGGCGTGAATCCAGGAGGCGGGGCTTGCAGTGAACTGAGATTGCGCCACTGCACTCCAGCCTGGGCAACAGAGTGAGAGTCTTACCTCAAAAAAAAAAATACCACCAGAGACTGGGTAATTTATAAAGAAAGGAGATTTAATTGACTCACAGTTCTGCATGGCTGGGAAGGCCTCAGGAAATTCACAATCATTGTGGAAGACAAAGGGGAAGCAAGGCACATCTTATATAGCAGCAGGTGAGACAGAGAGAGAGAGAGAGAGAGAGAACGAACCAGGAAGTGCCACACTTTAAAACCATCAGCTCTCATGAGAACTCACTCACTATCATGAGAACCGCATGGGGGAAACCACCTCCATGATGCACTCAATTCCCACCAGGTTCCTCCCTTGACACCTGAGGATTACAATTCGAGAGGAGATTTTGGTGGGGACACAGAGACAAACCATATTATTTCAAAGTTCCACAGGTCTCTAGACCAGGTGCAAAATGCTGCCAGTCGGAGGAGCCAAGATGGCCGAATAGGAACAGCTCCGGTCTACAGCTCCCAGCGTGAGCGACGCAGAAGACGGGTGATTTCTGCATTTCCATCTGAGGTACCGGGTTCATCTCACTAGGGAGTGCCAGACAGTGGGCGCAGGTCAGTGGGTGCGTGCACCATGCGCGAGCCGAAGCAGGGCGAGGCATTGCCTCACTTGGGAAGCGCAAGGGGTCAGGGGGTTCCCTTTCTGAGTCAAAGAAAGGGGTGACGGACGGCACCTGGAAAATCGAGTCACTGCCACCCTAATACTGCGCTTTTCCGACGGGCTTAAAAAACGGCCCACCACGAGATTATATCCCCCACCTGGCTCGGAGGGTCCTTACCCCACGGAGTCTCACTGATTGCTAGCACAGCAGTCTGAGATCAAACTGCCAGGCAGCAGCGAGGCTGGGGGAGGGGCGCCCGCCATTGCCCAGGCTTGCTTAGGTAAACAAAGCAGCCAGGAAGCTCCAACTGGGTGGAGCCCACCACAGCTCAAGGAGGCCTGCCTGCCTCTATAGGCTCCACCTCTGGGGGCAGGGCACAGACAAACAAAAAGACAGCAGTAACCTCTGCAGAGTTAAATGTCCCTGTCTGACAGCTTTGAAGAGAGCAGTGGTTCTCCCAGCACACAGCTGGAGATCTGAGAACGGGCAGACTGCCTCCTCAAGTGGGTCCCTGACCCCTGACCCCCGAGCAGCCTAACTGGGAGGCACCCCCCAGCAGAGGCACACTGACACCTCACATGGCAGGGTACTCCAACAGACCTGCAGCTGAGGGTCCTGTCTGTTAGAAGGAAAACTAACAAACAGAAAGGACATCCACACCAAAAACCCATCTGTACATCACCATCATCAAAGACCAAAAGTAGATAAAACCACAAAGATGGGGAAAAAACAGAACAGAAAAACTGGAAACTCTAAAAAGTAGAGCGCCTCTCCTCCTCCAAAGGAACGCAGTTCCTCACCAGCAATGGAACAAAGCTGGATGGAGAATGACTTTGAGGAGCTGAGAGAAGAAGGCTTCAGACGATCAAATTACTCTGAGCTACGGGAGGACATTCAAACCAAAGGCAAAGAAGTTGAAAACTTTGAACAAAATTTAGAAGAATGTATAACTAGAATAACCAATACAGAGAAGTGCTTAAAGGAGCTGATGGAGCTGAAAACCAAGGCTCGAGATCTACGTGAAGAATGCAGAAGCCTCAGGAGCCGATGTGATCAACTGGAAGAAAGGATATCAGTGATGGAAGATGAAATGAATGAAATGAAGCGAGAAGGGAAGTCTAGAGAAAAAAGAATAAAAAGAAATGAGCAAAGCCTCCAAGAAATATGGGACTATGTGAAAAGACCAAATCTACGTCTGATTGGTGTACCTGAAAGTGATGGGGAGAATGGAACCAAGTTGGAAAACACTCTGCAGCATATTATCCAGGAGAACTTCCCCAATCTAGCAAGGCAGGCCAACGTTCAGATTCAGGAAATTCAGAGAACGCCACAAAGATACTCCTCGAGAATAGCAATTCCAAGACACATAATTGTCAGATTCACCAAAGTTGAAATGAAGGAAAAAATGTTAAGGGCAGCCAGAGAGAAAGGTTGGGTTACCCTCAAAGGGAAGCCCATCAGACTAACAGCGGATCTCTCGGCAGAAACCCTACAAGCCAGAAGAGAGTGGGGGCCAATATTCAACATTCTTAAAGAAAATAATTTTCAACCCAGAATTTCATATCCAGCCAAACTAAGCTTCATAAGTGAAGAAGAAATAAAATACCTTACAGACAAGCAAATGCTGAGAGATTTTGTCACCACCAGGCCTGCCCTAAAAGAGCTCCTGAAGGAAGCACTAAACATGGAAAGGAACAACCGGTACCAGCTGCTGCAAAATCATGCCAAATTCTAAAGACCATCAAGGCTAGGAAGAAATTGCATCAACTAAAGAGCAAAATAACCAGCTAACATCATAATGACAGGATCAAATTCACACATAACAATATTAACTTTAAATGTAAATGGACTAAATGCTCCAATTAAAAGACACAGACTGGCAAATTGGATAAAGAGTCAAGACCCATCAGTGTGCTGTATTCAGGAAACCCATCTCACGTGCAGAGACACACATAGGCTCAAAATAAAAGGATGGAGGAAGATCTACCAAGCAAATGGAAAACAAAAAAAGGCAGGGGTTGCAATCCTAGTCTCTGATAAAACAGACTTTAAACCAACAAAGATCAAAAGAGACAAAGAAGGCCATTACATAATGGTAAAGGGATCAATTCAACACGAAGTGCTAACTATCCTAAATATATATGCACCCAATACAGGAGCACCCAGATTCATAAAGCAAGTCCTGAGTGACCTACAAAGAGACTTAGACTCCCACACATTAATAATGGGAGACTTTAACACCCCACTGTCAACATTAGACAGATCAATGAGACAGAAAGTTAACAAGGATACCCAGGAATTGAACTCAGCTCTGCACCAAGCGGACCTAATAGACATCTACAGAACTCTCCACCCCAAATCAACAGAATATACATTTTTTTTCGGCACCACACCACACCTATTCCAAAATTGACCACATAGTTGGAAGTAAAGCTCTCCTCAGCAAATGTAAAATAATAGAAATTATAACAAACTATCTCTCAGACCACAGTGCAATCAAACTAGAACTCAGCATTAAGAATCTCACTCAAAACCGCTCAACTACATAGAAACTGAACAACCTGCTCCTGAATGACTACTGGGTACATAACGAAATGAAGGCAGAAATAAAGATGTTCTTTGAAACCAACGAGAACAAAGACACAACATACCAGAATCTCTGGGACGCATTCAAAGCAGTGTGTAGAGGGAAACTTATAGCACTAAATGCCCACAAGAGAAAGCAGGAAAGATCCAAAATTGACACCCTAACATCACAATTAAAAGAACTAGAAAAGCAAGAGCAAACACATTCAAAAGCTAGCAGGAGGCAAGAAATAACTAAAATTAGAGCAGAACTGAAGGAAATAGAGACACAAAAAACCCTTCAAAAAATCAATGAATCCAGGAGCTGGTTTTTTGAAAGGATCAACAAAATTGATACACCGCTAGCAAGACTAGTAAGAAAAGAGAGAAGAATCAAATAGACGCAACAAAAAATGATAAAGGGGATATCACCACCGATCCCATGGAAATACAAACTACCATCAGAGAATACTACAAACATCTACACAAATAACCTAGAAAATCTAGAAGAAATGGATAAATTCCTTGACACATACACCCTCCCAAGACTAAACCAGGAAGAAGTTGAATCTCTGAATAGACCAATAACAGGCTCTGAAATTGTGGCAATAATCAATAGCTTACCAACCAAAAAGAGTCCAGGACCAGATGGATTCACAGCCGAATTCTACCAGAGGTACAAGGAGGAACTGGTACCATTCCTTCTGAAACTATTCCAAGCAATAGAAAAAGAGGGAATCCTCCCTAACTCATTTTCTGAGGCCAGCATCATGCTGATATAAAAGCCAGGCAGAGACACAACCAAAAAGAATTTTAGACCAATATCCTTGATGAACATTGATGCAAAAATCCTCAATAAAATACTGGCAAACCGAATCCAGCAGCACATCAAAAAGCTTATCCACCATGATCAAGTGGGCTTCATCCCTGGGATGCAAGGCTGGTTCAATATACACAAATCAATAAATGTAATCCAGCATATAAACAGAATCAAAGACAAAAACCACACGATTATCTCAATAGATGCAGAAAAGGCCTTTGACAAAATTCAACAACGCTTCATACTAAAAACTCTCAATAAATTAGGTATTGATGGGACGTATCTCAAATTAATAAGAGCTATCTATGACAAACCCACAGCCAATATCATACTGAATGGGCAAAAACTGGAAGCATTCCCTTTGAAAAACTGGCACAAGACAGTTTTCAAAGGAAAACTTTGAAACCTCTATCACCACTCCTATTCAACATAGTGTTGGAAGTTCTGGCCAGGGCAATTAGGCAGGAGAAGGAAATAAAGGGTATTCAATTAGGAAAAGAGGAAATCAAATTGTCCCTGTTTGCAGATGACATGATTGTATATCTAGAAAACCCCATTGTCTCAGCCCAAAACCTCCTTAAGCTGATAAGCAACTTCAGCAAAGTCTCAGGATACAAAATCAATGTACAAAAATCACAAGCATTCTTATACACCAATAACAGACAAACAGAGAGCCAAATCATGAGTGAACTCCCATTCACAATTGCTTCAAAGAGAATAAAATACCTAGGAATCCAACTTACAAGGGATGTGAAGGACCTCTTCAAGCAGAACTACAAACCACGGCTCAAGGAAATAAAAGAGGATACAAACAAATGGAAGAACATTCCATGCTCATGGGTAGAAAGAATCTATATCGTGAAAATGGCCATACTGCCCAAGGTAATTTATAGATTCAGTGCCATCCCCATCAAGCTACCAATGACTTTCTTCACAGAATTGGAAAAAACTACTTTAAAGTTCATATGGAACCAAAAAAGAGCCCGCATCGCCAAGTCAATCCTAAGCCAAAAGAACAAAGCTGGAGGCATCACGCTACCTGACTTCAAACTATACTATAAGGATACAGTAACCAAAACAGCATGGTACTGGTACCAAAACAGAGATATAGATCAATGGAACAGAACAGAGCCCTCAGAAATAATGCTGCATATCTACAACTATCTGATCTTTGACAAACCTGAGAAAAACAAGCAATGGGGAAAGGATTCCCTATTTAATAAATGGTGCTGGGAAAACTGGCTAGCCTTATGTAGAAAGCTGAAACTGAATCCCTTCCTTACACCTTACACAAAAATTAATTCAAGATGGATTAAAGACTTAAACGTTAGACCCAAAACCATAAAAACCCTAGAAGAAAACCTAGGCATTACCATTCAGGACATAGGCATGGGCAAGGACTTCAGGTCTAAAACACCAAAAGCAATGGCAACAAAAGCCAAAAGTGACAAATGGGATCTAATTAAACTAAAGAGCTTCTGCACAGCAAAAGAAACTACCATCAGAATGAACAGGCAACCTACAAAATGGGAGAAAATTTTCGCAACCTACTCATCTGACAAAGGGCTAATATCCAGAACCTACAATGAACTCAAACAAATTTACAAGAAAAAAACAAACAACCCCATCAAAAAGTGGGCAAAGGATATTAACAGACACTTCTCAAAAGAAGACATTTATGCAGCCAAAAGACACATGAAAAAATGCTCATCATCACTGGCCATCAGACAAATGCAAATCAAAACCACAATGAGATACCATCTCACACCAGTTAGAATGGCAATCATTAAAAAGTCAGGAAACAACAGGTGCTGGAGAGGATGTGGAGAAATAGGAACACTTTTACACTGTTGGTGGGACTGTCAACTAGTTCAACCATTGTGGAAGTCAGTGTGGCGATTCCTCAGGGATCTAGAACTGGAAATACCATTTGACCCAGCCATCCCATTACTGGGTATATACCCAAAGGACTATAAATCATGCTGCTATAAAGACACATGCACACGTATGTTTATTGCGGTACTATTCACAATAGCGAAGACTTGGAACCAACCCAAATGTCCAACAATGATAGACTGGATTAAGAAAATGTGGCACATATACACCATGGAATACTATGCAGCCATAAAAAATGATGAGTTCGTGTCCTTTGTAGGGACATGGATGAAATTGGAAATCATCCTTCTCAGTAAACTATCGCAAGAACAAAAAACCAAACACCGCATATTCTCACTCATAGGTGGGAACTGAACAATGAGATCACATGGACACAGGTAGGGGAATATCACACTCTGGGGACTGTTGTGGGGTGGGGGGAGGGGGGAGGGATAGCATCGGGAGATATACCTAATGCTAGATGACGAGTTAGTGGGTGCAGCACACCAGCATGGCAGATGTATACTTATGTAACTAACCTGCACAATTTGCACATGTACCCTAAAACTGAAAGTATATAAAAAAAAGAAAAAAATGCTGCCAGTCTCTTTGCTAAAGCATAGTAAGAGTGACCTTTACTCCAGTTCCCAATAGGTTACTCATCTCCATCTGAGACCATCTCAGCCTGGACTTCATTATTTATATCACTATCAGCATTTTGGTCGAAACCATTCAACAAGTCTCTAGGAAGTTCCAAACTTTCATTCATCCTCTTGTATTCGTGTGAGCCTTCCAAACTGTTCCACCCTCTGCCTGTTACCCATTTCCAAAGTTGCTTCCACATTCTTATAGCAGTGCCCCACTACCTCGGTACCAATTCTCTGTATTAGTCTGTTTTCACACTGCTATGAAGAATACCACCAGAGACTGAGTATTTATAAAGAAAGGAGGTTTAATTGACTCATAGTTCTGCATGGCTGGGGAGGCCTCAGGAAACTTACAATCATGGTGGAAGGTGAAGGGGAAGCAAGGCACTTCTTACATGGGGCAGGCAAGAGAGAGAGAGAGAGAGAGAGAGCACCAGAAAGTACAACACTTTAAAACCATCAGCTCTCGTGAGAACTCACTCACTATCATGAGAATAGCATGGGGGAAACCGCCCCCATGATCCAATCACCTCCCACCAGGTTCTTCCCTTGACACCTGAGGATTACAATTCAAGATGAGATTTCAGTGGGGACACAAAGCCAAACCATATCAGAGTCTTCCTCTTAAAATTCATGGAAAGGTCATCTCTGTCTAATGTCTCTCTGATGCTTCTTTTGACAGTACCACTAAAGAAATTTCCATCCCAGAGAGTACATGTGGAGGACATCAGATTCAAAGACAAAAAATTATTTGTCATTGGTTTCAACCACAAAACCATTTACTGTGGTTTTAATATTGTGAATATCTGTTCTGATCCCAAGAAATCATCAGTCAAGTAGAGAAAAATAGAACAATCTATTTCTAGAGTGTCTAAAGCATTCATTCTATCATTTTAGTAGATGATATATATGAACATCAACATCCAGTCATTTCCTGAATAATACAAGACATTATAATTTACCTTAGAGTGAAGCTGTTCTCACAGAATTTACATTGTGCAATTTTGCTTTTTCACATGAATAAATTAGGGGCTCAGGAAGTAGAAGGACAAATAAGGCAGAGAACAAGCAGGAAAAATAATTGAGGTAGGACCAGCAATCCATGGAGTATCCCAAGTTCAGGTGAAAGTGTAGAATATATCTGAATGTGAGAGTAGGGCCAAAGATAGACTCATTTTGGCCATGGACTCACTGACGTGTGATCAAAGAAAAATAAGTCTGAAGAGCATTGGAAACCCGGGCAATGGTCATGGAATAAATGGATAGTCAAATACTACTAAAAATAATAATAATAGCCATCATTTATGTGATTACTGAAAAGAGTTTAAGATTTTCGTGCAGTTTGGTTCTTCACAGGGCAACCCCCAGAATTGGGGTTGAGCCCAGGAGGCCATGTGGGTTCTTGGCTTTGGGCAGGAAGGAATTCAAGAATGCTCCAACAGAGTGAAGTGAAAAGAAGTTTACCTTAAGAAAGTAAAGGGATGAAAGGGTGGCTACTCCACAGGCAGAGCAGCTGTGAGGGCTGCTGGTTGATTGTTTTTAAGGTTATTTCTTCATCATATGCTAAACAAGAGGTGGATTATTCATGAGTTTTCTGGGAACAGGGAGGGGAATTCCTGGAACTGAGGGTGTCTCCCGCTTTCAAACCATATAGGGTAACTTCCAGAGGTTGCTATGGCATTTGTAAACTGTCATGCTGCTGGTGGGAGTTTCCTTTAGTATGCTAATATATTATAATGAGCAATAAGGATGACCAGAGGTCACTTTAGTTGTCATCTTGGTTTTGGCGGGTTTTGGCCGGCTTCTTTACCACATCCTGTATTATCAGCAGGGTCTTTGTGACCTGTAACTTGTGAAACCAGTCGTGCCAGATTCCTGGGCTCCATTTTAACCTTAGGATATAGTCCACTAGGGATATACAGTAAAATTACAGTATCTTAATGTTATTTGAAATCTTCTCCCAAGTTGATAAATAGTTCATTCCTTTCTTTCATTTTTATTTTGATATTTAGGGATTTTTAAATTTTTGATATGTTTCCAAAAGCAAACCTACAAAAGAAGGAAGGTATAGTGTCCTAGGGCTGTCATAAAGAAGTACAACAAGCTAGGTGGCTTAAAACAGCAGAAATGTATTCTCTCACAGTTGCAGAGACTTGCAGTGGGACGTTAAGGTGTTGATGGGCATCTTGTCTCTGAAGGCTGGAGGGGAGAGTCCTTCCTTGCCTCCTCTCAGCCTCTGATGGCTGCTGGCCATCCTTGGAATTCCTTGGCATGCTGATGCCTCACCGCAGTCTCTGATCCATCTTCACACAGCCTTTTCCCCTGTGTGCCTGTAGCTTTGAGGCCAAATATTCCTCTTTATTTAGATTTACCAGTTGTGTTGGGTTTAGAGTCCACCTTAATCCAATATGACCTCATCTTGATCACGTCTGCAAGAATCCTATTTCCAAATAAGATCAATCCACAGGGTCTGGTGGACATGAAATTTTAGGGGACAGTATCCAAATCAGTTCACAAGGAAACATAATTTTAAAAATAGTGATATCAGAGCTAATACATCAGAGTATCAAGACCATTTTTTTCTTTTTCAGTAAATTTCTGGGTAGGCATCTCACTTTTGTATTTGTGAGTCTTAAACCCGGTTTAAACTTTGGCAGCTACTGGTACTGGCTACCAGGGCAGCTCCAGACAAAACTGAAGATGCAAATACAAGACGTAGATTTATCTTGTGTTTCTCTGTCTTCCCTCATACTGCCGCTTAGACTCTCCGTTAGGCTTCTAGTGTTTTCTTGTTTTGTCTCACGTAATTTTCCACCCTTGCTATCTTTCCAAAGCAGTGTGCCAAGCTAAAAAACTCTTTTCTTCAAAATAGGACCACTCCCCACCCTCATCCCCAGTCACGCAGGGTTCTTACCTTATGCTGACTTGATAGGAGGGAAAATAATCTGCAAAATTAGGTGGCACCCGAGTGAAATTCATATGTAATAATACATCAGTGAGTAGCCTTCTCAACACATTTGCATTTTTCCATGTAAATCCGGAGGAAAAATGATTGATAGTGTCATTTTGGGGATTAACATAAGCAGTTAGAGGAGCATTTTTGGCTTAAGATTTCTTGGTTAATGATAAATTTTAGTTCCGTAAGAAACCACTCACTCTATTCATAAGATAGCATTTTCTAACAGTTATATTAGTGTGGGTAATAGGATTTTCTAAGTTGAAGTATGCTGAGTCATATTATTTTTTAAATGCTGAAACTATTGTTGAAGCTATTTTGCATTCAGTTATTTCAATTAAGACAAGTTTATGTGAAAATACGTAGTTTTTTCGCAACTTTAGGATTTATCAATGGTCAGAAACCTGTGAAATTCATTGTCTTAATAGCTATTAGTTGCTTAATTGCTTTGTTTTTCAAAAACAGTATATTTACTTCGAAGAGGCATCATAATTATGTACCTTTTGTTATTTTAACTGAGCATATCCTTATTTCAGGGACTGTATTATTCCTATTTCAAGACTATTGTGGAAACACCCTCATTTTTGAATGGAGTATGGATGATTATGAATGATAAACTGACTGAATACCCCCTTGTTATTAATACATTAAAAAGATTCAATCTTTACCCTGAGGTAAGGTACTTTTTCCAATTGTGATTTTTCACTTTTGTAAAACTTTTTTGAATTAAATGCTGATTCTAACTCTAAGGTATAATTCAATATATTAAATTGTATTTAATTTTTTAAAAGAAAATATGTATCTTGGGGAGGAATATGTAAAAAACATCATTACTGATTTTGAGGAGGGGGCTTTAATTCTGTGGGGAACTGTTGTTGTGACTGCATTGTTTAAAAAATACAAAAACTAGATTTGGTGTGCTTACAAGGATTATACTAAGGGAGCTCTGTTACTTTTATATGTCATTTGTTAAATGTTTTCTTCCTTATCCTCATTTAATTAAGTGCACTTTCTTGAGTGGGAGTGGAGGGAAGGTGAGCCCGATCCAGCAAGTGGAGATGGCATTTGGCCTTTCCTTTATCCTCCTTGCAAAACTATAAATTTGTTGATGTGGAACTCTAGTTCAGTAGAATATATACTTTAATGATTTTGTCAGAAGACCTTCCGGATAGATATTCAACTATCCACCAGGAGTGTTTTCGAAACTATTTATTTACCTGCATCTTTGTTGATTGGATAGACAAAGAAATTGAAGTCACATGATGTATTTCATTCATTGATTATAGATATATTTCAGTGTTCTTTATATATGTATGTATAACACACATACATATACATATAATGCATTTTTACTTTTAAAATTAATTACCAATTCATGCTTTTCATCTATATTTCTATTAAAATTTTATATACTGGATATTAATATAATGCTATATAATAAAACATTTTTCCCAGTTGTTTGCCCTTTAGCTTTGTGTATGATGTCTGTGTATTTTTTTATACAGAAATATATCTATGAATCTTTTTGTCTTTTATACATACATGTAAAAAACTTCATTTTTATAATTATAACTTTTTTTAAATTTACATTTTTAATTTATCTGGAATTGGTTTTGATGCATAGTGTGGGGTAGGAATCTAACCTTGAATTTTTCTTTGAAAATAGTATTGTGTGTAACCTAACACTGATGAGGTGTCCATCCTCTCTCCACTGATTTGAAGTAAGCTTTCTTCTTTATGTGCAAAATTGTTATACATACGTGCTTTCATGTGTTTCTGGATTTTGTGCTCAGTATTTCTTAGGTTGAGGTCATGGGAAGTGGACTTTGAGATGGAGATTTGCATGCAGGAAGTAGTTGAGGGAGTGTCCTTAGGGTCAACACTTGAAGAGGGATGAATGAAGCAGAATAGGCAGGAGGAAGAGGAGAGCTTTGATGCAGTCACTGTGAAGGCCTCATCCAGTCCCTGGGCAGCTCTGGATCTGGGATGGCCTTGCAGAGTTGTCCTACCTTGACATAAGGGCCCCTGGTATCTTTCCCTATTGACTTGTCCGTCATTGGATGCAGATTGCCCTTGGGTAGGGGGTGTCACTTTGAGTGAATTTAATTTCTTCCCAGGGAGGGACACAGCTTCGAGCTCTCAGGCACCAGTCTTCCAACTAGCTGGAGGAATGATTGCCTCAGCCTGGAAGAGGGCATCTGGGGTGGCTTATCACCACCTGTACTATGGCTACATTGATCTGTCTAGCCATTCTTGTGCCAGTATCACACTATTTTAATTATTAAAGGTGATAAGACTTAATATCTGTTAAAACATTCCCTTTAGTTTTCTTGTTAGTTTTCTAGATACATTTTAGGCACTTGGAATTTTGATTAGAATTATTTTATGTTTATCAATTAATTTGAGGGAGAATTCAAATCTTAAATAATTTGGTCTATTCCAGTAGACCCAGTATCTTTTACTTGAGCAAATCCTCTTTTGTATCTCTTAGTAGAGTTGTATAGTTTTTGAAAAACATAAACTTAGCACTTTTTTTTGGCCCATATTTTGTCCTTACCCATGGATGAACAATTGAAAACTGACCAGTGAAGAATCTGCCTAGGAGATTCTGAGCCTCGTTTTACTAGATTTAAAGGGAGCCAAGTGGATGGTACAGAAAGGGAAAATATGGCAATTGTCACAATATCTCAAAAGTATTCTAGTAATGAAAATTGTTTGGTATATTTTCTTAAGATACCACTATATTTTTTAAAAATAGGTAATTTTGGCCAGCTGGTACTGGATTTATACCAAAATAATGGACTTCATTGCAATTCAAACCAAGATATGTCGGACGGTTACCAGAGGAGAAGGACTCAGTCCTACTGAAAGCTGTGAAGGTAAGTTTCGTTCTGTAATATTGTCCAGTTATCTGTTGTAACGTAATAAACTTATCCAGCATAATAAACTTAACACTGTAAACTTAGTGGTGTAAGCAACACCCATTTTATTATGCATATGGATTCTGCAAGTCCAGAATTTGGGCAGGCTTTAGCGGGGCTGGTTTATCTCCATGATTTCAGGGACCTCTGCTACTAAGACTCAAATGTCTGGGAAGGCTGGAGTTAACTGAGAGGCTGCATTGCTCACATTTTGGCTCCTGGGCATGGAGGACTGTGAGGCTGAGCTCAACTGGAACTGTCAGCTGGGACACCTACACGTGGCCTTTCTGGGTGACTTGGGCTTTATGATAGCAAAGTACCTCAGAGTAGTAGTAAGGCTTTTCCTATGGCAGCTGAAGGCTCCAAGCTGGACACTGTGTGACCTCTTATGACCTAGCCTCAGAAGTCACTAGTGTTGCTTCTGCCGTACTCTGTTGAGTCACAAGCCCACTGAAACTCAAAAATGGGGGCTGTAGACCCCATACCTCCAGAGGAGACGTATCCGTGAATTTGCAGCCCTGTTTTAAAACCATCATTGCTAATTGCCCTGATCTCATCTGTGTTCTGCAGCAGTGTTGGGTTTTCATGTGGGAACCAAGGCAACTACTTAATGTATCTGGCAACCATTTTCAAAATGAACACAATTTAATATAAATTGCTAGACACATAAGGTAATTTGGGTTAATGTGATTAGAACATATGTTTTGTTTATTTTTAAAGGATTGGGAGATCTTGCTTGCTTCTATGTTGCTGTAATTTTTATTTTAAATGGACTAATGATGGCATTATTCTTCATATATGGCACATATTTAAGGTAAGAATATTTTAGTATGTGTTTATAAGATATACTAAAATAAAATAGTTGATAAGTTAATAGTTAATCATTGATTAATTTATAGTTCAGTTTTATGAAAATATCCTAAAATATCTTATTATCATAAAATCATTCATTATTTGCATGATTTCACCACTGCCATGGCCCATCACACTTAAGATAGTTTTAGAGATGTAAATAGAATTGGGAATACTTGATAAATTTAATTACTATTTTTTTTGAGACAGGGTCTCACTCTGTCACCCAGGCTGGAGTGCAGTAGTGTGATCTCTGCTCACTGCAACCTCCACCTCTTGGGTTCAAGCGATCCTCCCATTTCAGCCTCCTGAGTAGCTGGGACCATAGGTGCATGCCACCAAACTCAGCTAATTTTTTGTATTTTTTGTAGAGACAGGGTTTTGCTATGTTGCCCAGACTAGTCTCAATTTCCTGGGCTTGAGTGATCTGCCCATCTCAGCCTCCCAAAGTGCTGGGATTACAGGCATGAGCCACAGTGCCTGGCATAAATTTTAAATATTCATAGGCATTTGAACATAAGCAATATATATTCCATATATTGTTATGGAATATCTAATATATTGTTATGGAACAATATAATCCATTTGTTGTATGTACATGTGTATGTGTGTGTGCTGAGATGTGTGAAGTCTTACTTCTTACTGTAGTTTTGGTGTAAAAAAAGTCCGTAGACTACTGCTTAAGGTAGCATGAGGGAGCAGCTTTTACCTTAGAGCATTTGGGTCTTTCCAGATGTGGTTCTTCTTCCAATGTCAATGGCTGTAGATTGTTTCAGCTCCATCCAGTATATATTGTTTACATAAAATATAAGGGAAAAGACCACTCATTATCAAATGATATTAATAGCTCTTTACTAATGTTAAAATAGAAGTATCTTCTATGCAATATTTAGAAGTGTCTTCTCTGCAATATTTAATATCTGACCTGATTTACTTTACAGTTGAGCAGCATTCCTAAAACTAAAAGACTAATTTTTTCAGGCTTTTTATGTTTACTTTTCTTCTTTCTTATTTGTTTTGCCAATTTATTATACTGTATGTATGTTTGAAGTATTTTGCCTTGAGATTATCTTTAGAATTTTCTTCCTTGCTGCTTATTGATTCTTTGTAGTACAGAATTATGAGAATTGTATATGATTTTCAATTCGGGATAATGAGTTTGAATTTGCTATTATCCCATTATCTCCTTTCCTTTGGAAGTGTGGTATTTTCAGTTTAGTACCTCAAAGATGTGTTGAGTTTCTAGCCCACCATTTGAGTATCTAGCAGTTACTTGATAAGCATTTATCAAATGAGGAAGCTGTTAGAAGATTGATGTAAAATATATTTGTATATAGATTTAAGACACTTTGAAGTTAATGTTTCTGACTTAGGTCTAAGAAAATTCTTTTGTTTAATTGGGGAGACTAAAATAAAAATGCATGATTAAAAGATGATGTGAAAGATTTTGTTTTTGAAACAAGATGCAGGGAAATAAGTTAAACCAAAAGAATATGGTAATGAGAAAAGGAGGCTGACTTGAGGGAAAGTGGGCCTGTGTGCTTGCATCGTAATGAGCCAGAGGGAGAGAAACTTGGTGGTGTCTGTTCATTTTGCTAAGTACTGCCCGTCTGTCTATGGGTAGCTTTATTACATTTGGGAGATTAGATTTTACATAAGAGAAGTTGAAATATGAAACATGGCATTATTGCTAAGCTGCTAATCTGCACTTATGCTACCTTTTTTAAAAAAAATATGGGGTCTTGCTATATTGTTGCCCAGACTGGAGTCCAGTGACTATTCACAGTGCACTATAGCCTCAAACCACTGGCTTCAAGCAGTCCTCCTGCCTCAGCCTCCCAAGTAGCTGGAACTACAAGTGTGTGCCACCATGCCTGGCTACTTTTTTAATTGAAAGAAGAATTTGTAAACATCTGTTAAAGAAAGCATTCATATTTTCTTGTAATGCTTGTTGTAACTGTTTTTTCAAAGGCAGAAGGCACAACATCTACTGAGGAGAATAGAAGGTTCTGGTTTCGATTGAGGGGTTTTTGGTGGTTTTGGCCCTGACCTGATCTTTCTCAGTGTTTAACCCCTGTGGTGCCTGGTAGGCAGTTTTTTGTATTCAGTTGTTCAGTCAACACAAACAATTCATACCAAGTAGTTTCTTAAGACTGTTTGGGCTCTGAGAGCATGGGAGTGCGGCAGGGTGTGTGTGAATGGAAGATAGAAAGGAAGGAAAAATAAAGTGCTTAGAACTCCAGAGGCAGGAGAAATTTGTTCTTCATGGAGGGGCTACTTTAGTGTGACCTTGTAGAATCAGAGGTATTTGGATAGGTGGAAATAAACCATGAGGATAAAAGCATACCAGGGAGAGGCAAAGGCCAAAATCTAGTATGTGGAAAGCAGGTAGTAAGCAGATCAGTAAGCATGTTCTTCAGGGAGTGTTGTGGGGGATTCAGATTGGAACAGTGGTTGTGCTGGATGATGAAAGGCCTTGGTAACTGACTGAGTTGAAACCTATTCCAAAGCAAGTGAAATAAATACAAAAATTGACCAGTATAAGAACAGGATTCAAGCTGAAGTATGATCTCATGGAACACTTGACTTTCCCCAGTCCCCAAAGTCAAGCAGTGACTACTTCAGCACAGTGTTTGTCAAATTGCAGGTTATCACTTATTTGAGAGTTTTAAAATTGATTCAGTGGGTTGAGCCCATTTCATTTTAGATGAGAAAAAAAATACTACAAAGTAAATAATATCATCTACCAGACTAGTAAGGATAGATACTACTTAGAGAAACTTCCATTTGCTGTGTGTATGTATATACACACACACACACACACACACACATATGTATGTGTGCTGAGTTGTGTAAAGTCTTCTTACTGTAGTTTTGGTGTAAAAAAGTCTGTAGACTACTGCTTAAGGTGGCATGAGGGCAGCTTTTACCTTAGAGCATTTGGGTCTTTCCAGATGGCTGTCTCTGGTTCTTCCAGTGTCAGTGGCTATAGCTTGTTTCACTCTGCCCACTTGACTGCTTTGTGCTTTAGCTGGCCCCTTCTGTGTTACCCAACTCTTGGACCCCATGGTGGTCTGCACTAGCAGCACATGTTTTCATTTTTCCAGCTTTCCTTTTGCTGTTTGTGGGCTTTTTCTTAACCCGGAACCATCTCTTTAGCTCTATTCAAAGGCATCCTAAACTGAAGGTTCTTCCCACAATTGATCCTGATGTATATTATTTTGAATAGAGTCTCTTATCACTTCTTTTCTATCAGTGTTTTTCATTGCATTTTTGTATGTTTTTTGACCTGAAGTACATTTAGAGGTTTCAAATTACTAGTTAGTTCTTAATATTTTCTTCCTTGATGGTTAGTCACCCTTGTAATTTTATGAGAGGGATAAAGCTGCAGACTTCTTAAAATATGGGTTAAAAATAAAGAGGAGGATATCTAAAGTTGTTTTTAGGATTGAAAAAATAAATTGTATTATATACTGAGAAATAAAAGTTGAGATTTGTCTAGCAGATTAGAAATTTGCGGGCAGATTGACTGTGACATCTTAAATTCAGAAGTATATTTGTTTTGAAATAATATACATGTAAGTTTTTAGAAGCCATGTAAGCCAGTCCATTTCACCAGAAATAGAAGAAGGGAAAATAGAAAACAGCCAAATGATGAATGGAGCCAGGCTGCCAAGCTCTAACTTGAGAAGATGAAGTGAGATCTGTTTTGCAAACACAGCCTACTCATGGTATAATTCTTTTTCTGGAATTCTCAGTATTTTAGTATTTTTTTAAAAATACTCATTGTTAATTATTTTTTGAAGCTGTATTGATATATACTTACCGTTATTTATTTCATAAGATACCCTGATATTTCTTAGCCACAGACTAACAGTTTCTGAAGGCCAGTTTCTTAAGACCCAATGTGTAGAAATCTCTGTTCTGCAAGTAAGAAGGAGCATTGGTTGTTGGGCAGTTCGAACTTTCCCCATAGTTTCTTCTGGAGGAAATTCATATATGCTTAAGTTTCCCTTATTGATAAATATAAAAAACTTTTGGCGTTGGACTCTAAGGCAGATACCAAGCAGGTGATTCTAAAGCTTTTCTTTGTACTTTAGTGTGATTTTAGTATTATTTTGGAATTCGAGGTTAGCTAGGTTATGGTGCATTGTTGAGGAAGAATAGATTGGATAGTGTATTAAGCTGTTAAATAATGTATATGTTTAACAGTTCTCTGGAAAAATACATATGTATATAAAGTTTATATATTATAAATTTGTGTATTATAAATTTTACTGCTATGTAAGGATGAGTACAAACAATAACAGGGTTTCTGAGCAGGAGTTTTTTTCTTTCTCTTTTGAAAAGGGTGCCAAAAATACTGACTAGCTGAAATAAAAGAGGGAGTACAATACTGGGATACAGAGGCCTGGTGGGATCAGAGAAACATCGAAAAAAGTGCCTTTGTTTAAGGCTCATTCCTTTGTAGGTGTTAGATTTATCCCTACTGGCTGCCAGTTCTTCTTTGCCCGTCGCTGTCCTTCAGGCTTGCTTTCCTGGTTCCTTCCCATCTGCCTCAGAATGTGTTCATCCCTTACCTCCCCTCTCACATGACAAAATTAAGACAAAACTTTTTTTTTTTTTTGGATACGAAGTCTCGCTCTGTTGCCCAGGCTGGAGTGCAATGGTGCCATCATGGCTTACTGCATTTTCCGCTTCCCGGGTTCAAGCAATTCTCTTGTCTCAGCCTCCTGAGTATCTGGGATTACAGGCGTGCACCACCACACCCAGCTAATTTTTTTTTTTTTTTTTTTTTTTTTAGTAGAGGCAGGGTTTTACCATTTTGGTCAGGCTGGTCTCAAACTCTTGACCTTAGGTGATCCACCCACCTCGGCCTCGCAAAATGTTGGGATTACAGGCGTGAGCCACTGCGCCCGGCCAACAAAACTTTTTAACTGGACTTCCCTTGGGTCCCTTTGCTATTCCCATCTAGTCTCCCACCCCTTCCTCCTCTCCCCAGCAGCGAGGCCCTGGTCCCATTCACCACTCCCACTGCTCTGCTTGTGCAGCTGCTTACTTAGCAGCCCTGCCTTTGATTGCTTGATTTGTTTTGAATCTTAGGATGGTGAAATGATGCATGAAACCACCCAGGGTTTTCACAGACCAGGGCTGTGACTGGCCAGAGAGGACTCTGGTGCTGTCTTTTTGAACTTCATTTTCTTTGTAGCGTTCTCCCCTGATTACTGCTGCCTCTGTCTTCAGAGTTCCTACTACTCTCCTTAAAACTGGAGCTGAAGGATAGACAAAAATTCCTTTCCCTAAGGTAAGAGAAATGTCTTAGAATTATAAAAGTACTTAAGTTGATTTTTAGATCTTATGTTAGAATCTTTGAGTTCTTTCCCATTCAGTATCCTATCCGAGGTTGCCCCCAAAATACCTCATTAGCTTTTTAGACTCTTTAGCCTTTGATTCCATCTAGATCAAGTGCCGTCAGAGGAGGTCTTCTGGAGAAAACAGTGGGCAGTGAGTGTGGCTGATGAGTCATCCTGGGGCAGACAGAACAATGCCCCTGTGGAGTGTCTCATTATTGACTGATAGCTGCCCAGTCACTGCTGCCTACTTGGACTTTGGTTTATTGTACCGCATGCAATACTTTTACTGGAACTTTTAAATTATCCCTTCAGTTTATGTTGAGGCTCTTGTCAGAAACAGCTGTGTGAAATTCCTTACTTTATTTTATGCATTGTTATCATATGAGTGTATTATCTGTGACCCAGTAAATAAATAACTAGTAAAAAAAATACTTTTTTATGTGTAAAATGTTACGACTATGGAATTGTGTAAAATCTTTATATACATTTTTAAAGATTAGTAAAATGAATACTTACATACCCATGACACAGATTAAAAAAATAAATAAATTATCAGAGCTTTCATACCCTTAAAATTCCTTCTTAATGCATTCTCTTTCCTTCCCTCAACCCTCAGAGGAAATGGCATCCTAACTTTTGGACCAATGTTTTCCTTGTTTTTCTTTATGATTATGCCACTCATGTGTATATATTAAATATGGTGTGTTTAGTTTTGAAAAACTGAGTATCAGGCACAAACCTAGCTGCTTAAGGGGAGGACACTATTGCCCTTGTTAGATGAAAGTTCCCAGAAGAAGAGAATTTCTGAGTCATGGTCTTTAGGTTCCCTGAGGGAACTTTCTGAGGCTGTCAGGAGCACAGCTGAGCTAGGGGAGGGAGCTGAGCTGCCAGGTATTGGAGTGGCTGGTTAAAGCGACAAGGCAAAAGTGAGAATTAAGCCTTTAATCATTTACTGTAATGGTATAAGTGAGATGTGACGATCAGGATGTCTCACCCCCATCAAAAGGGAACAAAAGGCTCCTGCAGTTTATGGTTCTTGAGGTGGTGGGGCAAAGGAGAAGGGCCAGGAGCCAAAGAGTGCAGAGTCTGAGTCAGAGTGGGGAGCAACCTCTTCAAGGAGCCCCTCTCTGCCAGCAGAGAATGGGACCAGGAAATAAAGGTGCCTGGGCTAGGAAGGCAAATATAAGAAGAGCTTTATCACCCAGAAATGGCTGAGTCATTGACTGCAACTCCCCTGAGAGACTACAGTACGCTGGCTCTGCACCAAGCCTGGTGTGTGAAGGTCTTCTTTTCCCTGTGAGGCCTGCCAGGCAAAGCCTTGCATATGGCCAGGCCTGAGAAATCCCATATAGATTTTCAACCAGGAGCCTGATTCCTAAAGACATCAGTAGGCAAGGTCATGAGCTAGTCCTGGGATAAATGTGGGACTCAGTTGGTAGGGACATCTGGCAGAAATGTAGTAGCCAGGTACTGAATATCCAGCAGAAATATCATGAGGGGAAGAGCTGTTCCCTCTTTCTAAATTCACCACTGTTTACCCTGGCTCTCTGGAGCATATCAAAGCAGAACAACTTCTGTGAGTGACATAAGTGTCTTTAACTGATGCCAGCAGTAAAGCATTTGGAGCCAAGATAAAATACAGACAAGAATCTGGTCCAGGCTCATCCAGGCTCACACAAATAAAATGTGGAGATTTTGGGCATGAGTCAGTAAGTACTTGGTTCTGGACTGGCTACCTTCCATGGTTTGTGTACATCTGTCCTCTTGGCATCTCATTGGGATTTCCTTGACTGCTCTCCCCTGTTGGATCTCCTGTGCCCTTATCCTGTTTGTTCTTCTTTCTTGGTTTATTTTCTCACTTTGGTAGACTTCATCTTCTAGTAAGTAGGTCTTGAGAGTAGATAGCTGGGAGGTAAACATTTATGAAACTTTGCATATTTGAAAATGTCTTTATTTGCTTTCGTATTTGGTTCACTGTTTGGCCAAGTATTGAACTCTAGACTTGAAAACATTGTCGGTTGCTTCAGATGGTGCCATTCAGATGTTCCGAAGTTATTTGGGTTTCTAAACCTTTGTATGTGACCTTTGCTTCCCCTTCCTCTCTCTGGAAGATTGTAGAATATCTTCTTTGTCTCTATGGTTCTGAAATTTCAGAGCAATACCATCTCAGTGTAGATCTGCTTTCATGTGTTCTCTTAGACACTTGATGGGTTGTTTCAGTCTTGTAACTCATGCCTTTGATTTCTGGGAATTTTCTTGAATTATTTCTATACTTATTTCATTCCCTTTGTTTTCTGATTCAGAACTTTTATTGTTTGGATGTTCATAGTTCCCAGTCCTCTAATTTTATTTTATTTTCTTTTTTTCCCCCCATTTTTAAGCTCTTTGGCTTTGTTTTACATTCTAGAACATTTTATCAGCCTTATTTTTTCCAGCTGTTCTAATGAGTTTTTATTTTTCATTGTCATGCTTTTAATTTCCAAGTAGTTTTGTTTGTTCTATAAACATTCCTTTCTAAAAAATAGTATTTTATTTTTGTTTCATGGATTCAACACATTTTCTCTCTAAGGGTATTAATGATGTTTTTACCCTCCCAGAATAATCTTGGCATCTTCTAGCTTGTGTTTTTTTGTTTGTTTGTTTGTTTGTTTTGAGCCGGAGTCTCACTCTGTTACCAGGCTGGAGTGCAATCGCATGATCTCGGCTCACTGCAACCTTCGCCCCCTGGGTTCAAGCAATTTTCTCTTGCCTCAGCCTCCCAAGTAGCTGGGACTACAGGCACGCGCCACCACGCCCAGCCAATTTTTGTATTTTTTAGTTGAGATGGGGTTTCACCATGTTGGCCAGGATTGTCTCAATCTCTTGACCTGGTGATCCACTCGCCTCAGCCTCACAAAGTGCTGGGATTACAGGTCTGAGCCACCGTGCCCAGCCTAGCTTGTTTTTTTAAACATCTTTTGGTCTCTACCTTCCATGTTAGGTGCTTTCCTTAGATGTCTGGCAAACTTAGGCTGTCATGATTAAGGCTAGAAGACCGAAAAAAGCTGTATAGAAGCTCTAAATTGTGGGTGGAATCTATTAAGGTTGAGTTCTTATATAATTTGAATAAATGATGTGAGCAGAACTTAGAGTGACTGCCAGTTCTTTGGTTTGCCTTTAGATGTAAAAGAAAATATAAAGTAACAGAGGTCTTTTAGGGTTGTAAAAGGGAGGTGCAGTGTTTTATTAGGTTAACTAAAATGGAAGATTATAGACAATTTTTAAAGAAGTGATTGAGTAGAGGGGAGAACACCTAAATGAGTTTAAGAGACTCTGTCTTCTATGTGAGAATGGAATAAGGTAGTGTTTGCAAAGGACCCAGAAGAATGCTTGCCTTCCAAAATATTTTTTGATTGAATAAATTCATAATTAATAAAATATTGAAAGAAAAACTTAGCTTATGGTTGCCATATATGAAAGGCACAATAAAAATATATTATCTATCACATAAGCTTTACTAGCATTTACCAATTTAGGAAGTATTTTTCCAGTGGACTCATTCTGAAGCTTTCCCTCTGCAGATTCCAATCTTTCTTGAAGACTGTTGTTGATTGGAGAAATTCAGTATGTGTAAAATGCTTATGTGTGAGACTGTAGTCTAAGCTCTTTACAATCAGAAACTCATTTAATCCATATGGTTACCAGATGAGATAGGTAAACCACTTTATAGATGAGGAAACTGAGATACAAGGATATTAAATAGCTTGCCAAGGTCACAGGGCTAGTCATTGGCAGAGTAGGGATTTGAGTACTGACAATGGCTCCAAAGTGTGTGCTCTACTGTCTTTTTTTTTTTTTTTGAGATGGAGTCTTGCTCTGTCGCCCAGGCTGGACTGCAGTGGTATGATCTAGGCTCACTGCAAGCTCCGCCTCCCGGGTTTACTTATGCTATTCTCCTGCCTCAGCCTCCCGAGTAGCTGGGACTACAGGTGCCCGCCACCAATCCCAGCTAATTTTTTGTATTTTTAGTAGAGGCGGGGTTTCACCATGTTAGCCAGGATGGTCTCGATCTCCTGACCTCGTGATCTACCTGCCTTGGCCTCCCAGAGTGCTGGGATTACAGGCGTGAGCCACAACGCCTGGCCTACTGTCTTTGAGAATACATTTAAAGTGTTCTTTCCACAGCAATTAAATTGTCTGCAGCTTTAGTTAATTTTTGTTTAAAGATCCTGCATAATGAAGAAAAAAGTGTTTATTCCATTTCCAAAGTGAGTATTTATATTTCATAAAAAGTTTTACTTAAAATGTTAAAATGTTTTAAAGATACACGACACTAAGAAGGATCTAGACTTTCCGTTCTCTTTTCTGTTCTCATGTTCCAGAATATTACTGTTCTGTAATAATTCATTTCTGAAGGATTCTGAAGTCCCAGGATTTTGCTCTTCTTCAGCTGATATTTCTGTATGCATTGTTTTGGTTTGATAGGTGGAAGTTTACTCTTTCTAATATTGTCATTTTTCAGGATCCTATTTTGCTCCATTTTTAGCTGTCATACATGTAATTTTATAATTATTCTAATAGTTTCCTCAGTTAATTTTACTTAGACTCATTTATTGAACTAACGACACATTGGAGGGAAAGGTAACATACAGCGTGTTGGGTGGCGGTTTCTTAAATGTCTGCTTTTGCGATTACACATTTCCCCGACTCCTCATTCTCCAGGTAAGATGACTGTAACTCCATACCTTCGCATGGTCTGGTAGTTTGTAGTTGGTAATTTCAGTATGGAAAATTTCTCTTTTTTTTTGGAAGGTTCTTCTTTAATGTTTTCAAGCCAAGGTTAAAATATACTGTATTATTTCTTTTGGTGGTGAATACAAACATCTATTTTAATGTTATCTGGAACATTTTTATGATTTCTTCCTTATAAGTATTTTTTGACAAATATCAAGAGGTCTCCAAATAAGTAATTGAACAAATTTCTTTCTATTAATGTGCTCTACAATGGGTATATTACTTATTAGTATGTTTTTAAACTGAATTTTCACTGCTTTATATATACATGCATATCTTTTGGCATTATTCAACTTTTTATCATCAAGTACGTCAGTGGTCCCTTGCCCCATCTGTCTTCCCCACCCCATCTATCCCTTTGTCTAGGGAAAGCCACTTTCAGATCTTTGAAATCTCAGCAATTCTGATACGTAAAACAATAGTCCACAGTTACGTTATTATGACTGTAAAAATATTGCTTACTGCTGAATTAAGTAGTATAAATAATTGTTTATTTGGTAACTTAAAATTTTTCCTGTAGTTAATTATTGCTAATATTTTGTTTTCCTTGGTGTTCTGTATGCTGATTAATTGCTCTCCAGATCTACAACTGAACTGTAAACGCTTATTTTATACTTTGTCAAATGTATAAAATCCATTATTTCAATTCTCCCACTCCTATCCCCTGGGGCCTCCCTCCTGGAGCCTCTGTCTCTGGTTCCATCCTAGACCCGTCCTTCCCTGGGCTTCCGTATAGCGATTCCCTGGGAGTTTTGTTTACCACCATCCTGAGAATTCCCCTTTCCTCTCTGGCATTGGATTCATTGTGTTTTGGACCCCAGGTTGGTCTCTTTCTGGTCTGTTTCATCCTTTCGAGGATTATATCCTCAGGTAATTTCCAAGAGAGTCACAGAGATAGTTTTAAAATACATTTGTCTGGCATGTTTGAACATTTCCTTTTTTATTTTTGTACTAAATTACTGGTTTGCCTGGTTGTTGATTTTTATTTTTCCTCAGACTTTTAAAGGCTTTGTTCGACTGTATTCTAAGATGGAGTGTAGCTTTTCAAAAGTCTGGTGCTGTTCTACCATTAGTTCCTTTTGTGTGTGGTTAGTTGTTTTCCTCTGGCAGCTTTTGGGTTCATCTTTCTCTCTTTAGTCCCCAAAAAGTTCATGATGTGGTAGATATTTCATCCTTCTCATCGCATACTTTGTGTGCTCTATCTGGGCACTTACTTCACTTTGGAGGAAAACTTTTTTTAGTATTATTTCCCTAATGACTTTCTCTTCTCCATTTTTTTTTTCCTGTTTTCTTGAAAGTTATTGATATTGGACTTCTTGAAGTCGAATTTTCTCAGGGTTTTTCTCCCTTATTTTATTTTTACATTTTATTGTCATTTCTGTTAGTTTCCAACCTAAAGAATCTTGAGTTTGAAAATTTCTCTGCCTGTTGCATTGTCTTTGTTACCTCTAGGTCCCCCTTCAATTTGTATTAGTTTCTATTTTTCACATTGGAAGCTTCCATCCCCAACAGCCTGCTGATTCCTAGCTTGACATTTGTATCTAAGAATGAGGAGCTGGTTGGAAGATTGCAAAGTGGATGGGTCTTAACTGACTAGTGGCTTTTATTACAGCATGATGAGACTGTAAACTGCTTTGTTTAGGGAGACTCAGGCTCCTTTCATGTTGTTGCTTTTTAGTTTACCAGCCTCAGCTGCTTCTGCCTGTGGCCAGAGTCCGGGAGACATATCTGATTCTTCACGTCAGTGCAGAAGTGACACCCAGTGCCATTGACTACTCCTCCCCCTCACCCCTGGTCATATGCAGACACTTATGCGTGAGGGCTGAGCACACACTTTCTGAGGCAGGGTCAGTGTTCCCTTTTCCTTACTTCATCCCCTCTCTGGCGATGAGGTCGCTTTTTGAACAGAACTTTTAAATGATCTTTTTCATGAACTTCTCTACATTTAATGTGGGCTGCCCAGAGTCCCTGTGGCCCCTCTGTTGATCTGTTCCTGATCTTCTCCCCCACTTTTGAATATTTGCCCTTGTCTCTACCCAGTTCTCCATTGTTTCTGAGCTTTTGTGAGAAAAGCCTGGATGTCCTTTTGTAGACATAAGTAGTCAGCAGAAAATCCCTTTTCTTCCACATAAGGAACTGGCTAGTCAGAGGACAATACTTCATCTTCCAATTTTCTGTTCTCTGTTATCTTCTTTGGTCATTGGAGATTCAGAGTGGTTTCTTTGATACCTGAGAGATTTTTTTTAAGCTGCTTTATTTCTAGATATGTTCCAGAAGCCCTGAGGGCCTGGATGATTAGTCTGTATGTCAAAGCCCTTTTTAATTTTGCTTGATGTCCCCCTTTACATCTGGAGTGAATAGTCATCATTAACACAGTTAATCTTTCTACCTTCTCTTCCCATGATCCAACCAAGTTGCCTATGAGGTATTCTTAGGCTCTGTAGCAGAATGGAATAGTGTTTTGTATTAATTTTCCACTCTTCCACTGCCCTCCACCTGTTTTAAGGAAAAGTTGAATTTCTTAAATTTTATGCCAGTTTTGCTTCCATTGTTTTACATGATATTTTCTTATTATTTATTTTCAAAAAATCAAGCATTTACTGCTTATACAGCCTGGATTTTTGGCTAAAAACACGTCTTAAATAGGCTGTGAATTCTACCATCTCAAACTTTTCCAGCTACATTTTTTTTTTAATGTACTATTAACTTGGCCTGCTAACACATCTTTAATCAAATCCATTTGGTCTAACAGTTGTATATGAATATTTAAAAGATAAGTATTTTTATTTAATATGCATAAATTGATGAAAGTTATTGGTTGGCAGTATTGGCATCTTTTCTCCAAAACCTTCCCCTTTTTATGCCTTCACTCTCTCAGCAAATGACACTTCTGTCTACTCTAATGCCCAGTCTGACCTCTAAGAGATAGCCATGACTTTCCTCTTTCCTCTGTAATCCAAGGAGTCACAAAATCCTATTATTACTGTCCTGCTTCAGAGTATCTCTGGCGTCCTTCCACTTCTCTGCCAGCCCATCCCCCTGGGATGACTCTGCATCAGCTCATGTGGCTCTGCTCCCCACCAGTCTTGCTCCCAGGCTGCTCTGCACACTGTTGTCAGTGTGGTCTTATCATTTGAGGAACTGTGATGAGGACCGTGTAGCTGGAGAGCAGAGTGTGGGTAGGAGGAAGAATAGTGAAAGGAGTTGAGGTGTATGCAGGGGCCAGATCCTGCGAGGCATTTCGGATATGTTTTGGTGTTTGGATTTGACCTTGTGGGCAGGGATGCCATTGAAGGGCTGTGTGCATGGAGTGGGATTGGGTCCATTCATTGTTAAAGACAACACACTCTGCAGTGTAGAGGGAGCAGGCTTTGGGTAGGGGGTGTCGGAGGCTGTAGCAGCCCAGGGGAAGACGATGGGAGCCTGAGCTGGTATGATGGTGGTGGGATGGAGGGAAGTGGACAGACTCTGGGATACTAGGAGGCAGAATTGTAGGGGAGGCTCCAGGGGAAGCATTTGTTCAGAGGAGAGTGATATTTCCAGGCAGGAGAAGGAGGAAGCATCTGGGAAGAGGCTGCGGGTGTTGGATAGGTAGTTGTTCACCATGGAATGAAGGGCCTGGAGCACACAGTGGAGAGGTCTGCATAGGAGTTGAGGGGTGTGGTGGTTGGGTCAGAGCAGAGGCTCACCTGAACACATGGCCCTGCCTGGTGTGACATGAGGTGTGGTGTGTTTGGCTACAAGCTTTCAAAAAAGGAATGCCAGCAGTCTTTTGATTGAACAGTTCTGTTTTCAGGTACCCTTTCACTCTCTTTCATGGACAAGCCTTGGTCCTTGGCACCATGGGTGAATTGAGGAGTTCACAATCTAATAAATGAAAACTTCTGTTAGAACTGGCAGATAGAGAGTTAAATTAAAGGCGTTAATGACTTGCTTGAAACAGACTGGAAACGACCAAGCTGAGAACTTTTCTCACCCTTCCTGATTCTTATCCTTATTCCTCATCTTTCTTTCCTATCTCTTTCCTTAGTAACCAGTGAATCCCCCCTCCCCCTGCCACCATGAGTATAGGGGAAGGTTCTCAGCTCTGAACCAGGCCTGCTTGGCATTTCTTCATTGGGCCAGGAAGATGCTCAAGCCTTCAATCTCCAACTTAAGATTGGAAATTATCTTAATTTGGTTATTTCCAAATTTTTCTCCATTTTCTCTTTCTTAAGCATTTATACAACAATAAGAAAACTTAACTCGTAAGAGTTATTTAATATAGTTTTGAATGAACTCTGATTACTTTTTTCTCTTCAAAAGTTTAACTTTGGATGGTTCATCATTTTTGTAAATAGAGATAAAAATCTCAATGATTAATGAAACCTATCAAAACTTGATAATTGATTTAAATCTATACAACTATAGTAGGTAGGAAAGAAGAGAATTATAGCATTCTTAAATTTTAGAACTGTAAAGTATTTTTAGGTCCTTTTTAGCTTTATTTTTTATTATCCCCTCATTTTATGTCTAAGAAAAATCAAGGTTTAGGTGAATGAGATGTATGAGTAAATGTGGTAAATGTTTAGCAAGCTTAGAATGTTTTAAAATTTGCACAATAGGAGCTTTCATATTTTCTGACAGTTGGTGGTAATATTGCAGGAGAGACTTTTTTTTTTTTTAACCACTAGGGAATGCTGAAATGTCAACTGATCAACTATAATGGGAAAAATTTTTTTTAAAATTTTAGGTATTCTGATTGCTGCATCTTTTCTGTTTAGCAAAATAACAGGACTTACTTAGTAGCCTGTATGCATTGGGGTGAGAGGGTGGACGTCGAGAACACTAGTTTAGATTTGTTTCAAGTCATATCATTTCACAGTGATTCTAACTCAGAACATTCCTTGTAGATAAACAAATTTTATTCTCCTCCTCTAGCTTTGCAGTTCTCAAAAGTGTACTAGAAAAAATCTGCCTCTTATGTTAGTTAAGCAAAGCTGAGCCCATATTCATGGAAGATGTTGGACCATAACCTGTATTTTAGTAATTTGGTGAAAAAGGAATGTAGTTACAGTGGCTCTGCCCTCAGGAAATTGTCCAACCTCAGAGCCTCCCAGGTTGTATGGCAGCTGAGTGAGGGTGTGCGACTTCTTAGGCAAACCTCGTCCTGAGATTTGGTTAGGGAATTGGATTTGTGAGTCTTTTGTTCTTTCTCTACCTTTACTCTGCCATTTAGAAAATTAAAGTTATTAAATTTCCATTTTTATTCCTCGTTCCAGAGAATTTTTAAACGGAAATTTTACATTAAATTCCCCGTGTCATTTTTTAAAAAACTCATCTTTCTTGTGTTTTAGGTTGTTTTAGCTTCTAATCAGAGAATGAGGTGCCTTTGCAACTAGATGTCCCAGTGACATAAGAAAATGATGTGTAATCTCTGTATAGTCACAATATTGAGCTTGTTGATTATCTCCTTCAGATCCCTAATATGTTTCCTTTAGCTTACTTGACCTGTCAGATTATGAAAGAATTAAAATTTTCCACTGTGATCAGATTTTATCATGTTCTCTTTGTATTTCTAGAAGTTTAACTTGGTACTTGACTCTTACATTGGTTGTCCAAAAAAAAATTTATTATTTTTTGAGATAGTTTCACTCTGTCACCCGGGCTGGAGTGCCGTGGCGCAATCTCAGCTTATTGTAGCCTCCGCCTTCCTGGTTCAAACGATTCTTGACTCTCAGCCTCCTGAGTAGCTAGGACTACAGTCATGCGCCACCACATGGCTAATTTTTTTTTTTTTTTGTAGAGACAGTGTTTCATCATGTTGGGCAGGCTGGTCTCGAACTCCTGGCCTCAAGTGATCCACCCGACTTGGCCTCCCAAAGTGCTGAGATTACAGTACAGGCATGAGCCACCGTGGCTGGCCCCAAAAATTTTTATTTAAAGGAATACAATTAGAATTGAGTAAATGGAAAGAAATATACTGTGCAACTGAATGACCATCATATAAATGACAGCCCTTCCCAACCCAAATTATATATAAATTTAATGTCATTCTGATCAGAAGCCTGACAATTTTTTCTTGGGTTGGGGAGCAGGGTTGGGAGACTGGTTCAGATGTTATATGTAAGAATAAGTTGGTAGGAATTACCTAAAAAATCTTAAAAATAAGAGTAGTTGGGGGTGGGGAGCTTTTTAAAATCATGTGTTAAAATTACCATAATGCTACAGTAATAAAAATAGTGTGATACAAAAAAATAAAGAATTCAGTCAGTTGAATGAAATAGAACAGAGTCTATCATTGTAAGGAATTAATATAAGACAAAGGCTGAATTTCATTTCACTGGTAAAAGGGATGTTTACGTGATAAATGATTTTAATATAATTGGGTATTTCAAAGAGTTCAAAATTAGGGTGGAAGAGCTAAGTGGAAAATGCAGTTAATAATATTAGAAGAAATTTTAGGAGACTATAGTTTTGAGGTGTGGAAGACCTTCAGAGACAAGACAGAAAGTGCAGAAGAAATAAAGGAAAATATCAACATATTTAAATACATAAAAGTTTAAAAATTCTTTCTGACAGAATACACAACAAATTATATCAAAATACTTTGTCACACATATGTGTTAACTTAAAATAATCAAAAGGATCAGAATCTAAATAGCGTTTATTCAAGCACAAAGTGTGAGGGTAGACCACTCAGGAACACCAACTCCAAAGGAATGAAGTCAGCCTTTGGAAGTAGGGAAATTTAGGTTTCATTTATATGGGCAGAGACAGAGACATTTTTAGCAGGAATACAACATTATTCATACGGATTGGCACATAGTCACAGCAGTTTGATTGGTTATAGGTGGTATTTCTTTTGGGGAAGGGTACATTTAACTTTTTTTTTAAACAGAGGGTATAATAATGACAGGTTTTCTATAGTCTGATCTAAGCAAAGTAAAACAACACAGGGAAAGTTAATCTTTAACAGGGGTTATTAACTACAAAGGCAGGCTCACACCTGTAGTTTCAGCTACTCTGGAGGCTGAGGCAGGAGGATTGCTGAATCCCATGAGTTCGAGGCTGCAGTGAGCCATGATTGTGCCACTCTACCCTAGCTTGGGTGACAAAGTGAGACCCGGTCTCTGGGAAAAAAAAAAGGCAGGAAGTTTTTGTGCCTGACAGTGTTTAATTCTGTAGTCATTGTACTGAACAAGAAAAATAAGAAAGCAAGTTAATCTATAATCTGAGAATGGAAGTTGTAACCATATGTGACTCAGATCACAGTTACATCTTTCTGAAGGCTTAAAGTGGTTGTTTTTTTGGACAGCTTTTAAATGTTATTTTCACATTTGACAGTCAAAGGTTTGATAACCTTAATTTTTAAGTAGGGAAATAGTCTAATAGAAAAATAGACAAGAATATGAATAAGCAGTTCACGGAAGAGAAAATACATGTTGTCAAAACAAAACACTAAAATGATGCTGCATACAAGTAGGCAGTGAGAAAAGGGTTTTCACCTGCCTAAGGACAAAATTTTGAAAAACACATGAGGTGCTGCACGAGGGGTGGAGAAATGACCTCCTGCATACTCTGTGACGAGGGTGTGGACTGCTGCAGTGCTTCCGGGCACAGCTCACATCCTTTGACTCATGTGTCTCACAGTTAGATCCCTCCTGAAACAAATGCGCCAGCATTTACACGTACGAGGATGTTTACTTTCACCATTTTTTATTATAGCAAGAAATTGAAAAATATTTATATGCCCAGTAATATGGAATGGGCTAAATAAATATATTTGTACTATACAGTATTTGCCATCTATAAAAAGAATCCCTTTAACTTTACATATATTGATTAGGAATAATCTTTATGCTGAATAATTAGAAAAGGAACAAATTTTAGATGTTAATATGATCACACAGAAAATATATGTTTGTGCGGTTAGAGAGAGAGATTTGGAAGAATAGACACATACTAAAATGTTCTTAGGTGAATAGGATTGGGAGAGGGTAGCAAGAGAAAATCACATTTTTTTCCCTATAAACTATATTTTTTGTCTTGTTAGAGTAAGTTCAAAACACTAAAGTGTATTTATTTGTTTTCTAAACCATTAACTCTGTCTTAACCTTTCTAATGTCTAATCACTTGTGATGAAGCCTGGGCCTAGCCTGTGTGCTTCTCTTTTGAAGATGTGGTACACCTTTCAGGAGAGAACCCTGGCGTCCACTTCCTAGCCTGTACTGCTTTCTAAGCTCCTCTATCTGATGCTCTCATTTCAGTGATCCATCACTTCAGACACTTTCTGGCCAATGTCCTCAGTTTCTTTGCCCCTTTATATTTCATTTGTGCTTTCTAGGCTGATAATTGGTAGGCAAAAATCACACAATCTTATGATTAGTGACCCTATAGATTTGTGTTCTGCAGCCTCAGTTGTTCCCCTAAGATATCCCAGCAGCACTGTGTTTTCCCCAGTTACCACTCTCCTGAAATGTGAGTGGTGTTTCAGACATTTCTGTCTTTCCTCAAACGTTTAATGCTGCCATCGTTTCTCTCTAGCAGCGAGTGGCTGTGTCTTCTGCTCTGTGGGGAACATGGAAACTCCACAAAGTACTTGCCACTAAATATGCAGTCTTCCTCCTCTTTTGCCAAGGCAAACAGGCCACCTGTGCTGGGGTCCCAGCCCTACCTGTCTCCTGGATACTCCCTACGTGGATTATCCCTGCTGGCCATTGCATCTCTTCCTCTTTTCCTCATTCATACATCACAAGAGTAAATACAAGGCCTTTGATGCCTATACCATCTGGTTCTTTGTTTCCTCTCTGACCTCTCTGTGGTATACTTATAGATAGAGAAATAGAAGGAAGGTAGATAGAGGAAAAGAAGGAAGGATATTTGGGTAGAATAATAAGAAAGCAGCATGAGCTAAAATGAGTAAGAAGACTTCAAGAGTAAAGATGCAGAACATGATGAAATAAACCTAAAGATAGCCTTATGTCCCCTACCCAGACCTGGGGGACAGTAGGGAACATATTTCACTCTTACCTGAGCAAATGAAGGTTAATTGTTAGAACTACTAGATTGCACCATTGTAATTTCTTATCTAGAGTTATAAGCCTGATTGTCATACTTTGATATTTGTGTTCTATTCCAGTTTTTGAAAACAAATGAAACATAAAACTTCATAAACTGGTATTTCTCAAGTGTATTCTGCAGAAAAGTAGCTTGGGGATGGGATTTGGGAAATATGAAATTAAATCTTTAATGTGTGGAAGTGCCTTGTGAATTTCTAGGAGCAGGTAGGCAGTGTGGGGTTTTCCATCCTCATGACCGTGGATCCCTTTCCTTGCACGTCTTTCTCACCCTTTTTCCTAATGTATGTCATCTGTCCCAAGGAAAGCAGTTTGAGAAATGTTGAAGGACATAAATAAATATGAGGTTATAAAGAAAATAAAAAGAAAAATCAGGTTGCATGATGTACAGCAATGTGACTAGTAAGAATTTTTTATTCCCTTTCAGTTTGCGTGCTTTTCTGAGTCTATACATATTGAAGATAGCAAATGATTTTTTAAAAATGAAAAAAGATTATTTTGACTAATACTTTGGAGGAAATAAACTATTTTATAAATAAGCATAGGAGAGTTCTAGTGTGACTAAAATCTTTTATAATACCAGAGGTTATGATGTTATGCCATTTTAACATTTTTCTTAGGATTGACCTGGATTTTTGTTATTTATGTTTTCTTCTTTTCCAGTGGCAGCCGATTAGGAGGCCTGGTTACAGTGTTGTGCTTCTTTTTCAGTCATGGAGAGGTAGGTAATCAAAAACTATTCTCAGAATTACTCCTGGAAATGCAGTTTTCTTCTTTAAATTTAATCTATAATGGCATTCTTTAAATGTTTAATCTTATTATTTTGATTCAAAATTTAAACACTAGCATTCATTTAAGTTAACTTTTCATGACCGTTATACTTCTTATGTGATATAAGGCTTAGGCTTAGTAATTTGATGAAATAGTGGGTCTGTATCAACTGTATCAATTCTTTTTTTTTTTTTTTTTTTTTTTTGAGGCAGTGTCTCTTTTTGTTGCCCAGTCTGGAGTGCAGTGGTAGGTCGTAGCTCACTGCAGCCTCAAACTCCTGGGGTCAGGTGATCCTCCTGCCTCAGAATCAGCTTCCAGAGTAGCTGGGACTACAGGCATTCATCACCACAGTCAGCTAATTTTTTAAATTTTTTATAGACATGGAATCTTTCTATGTTGCCCAGGCTGGTCTCGAATTCCTGGCCTCAAGCAATCCTCCTGCCTTGGTCTCCCAAAGTGTTGGGATTACAGGTGTAAGCCATCACGCCTGCCCTCAAGTATCAATTGTTTGTATAATTTTAAAACTGTGAAACTCATATTTTAGTTATAATAGAAGTAGGCAGTAATCGATATAACTTTCTTTTGTAGGGATAACTTTTTGTTGTAGGAGCTACACAGTGTATTCTTATTTTAATGTATTAACATTTGATATTCTTTTAAGTACTTTTTGCAAAATATTTGAGTGTTCAAGGGCTTTCTAAAGACAACAGTATTGTAAAAAATACAGACCCTGGATCCAGGTTGCCTGGGTTCAAATCCTGACTGCTATTTAGTGGCTCTGTGATCTGAGCAAGTCATTTAATCTCTCTTTGCCTTAGTTTCCTCTTTGTAAATGGGCATAATGATGTTACCCACCTCATAGGATTATTGCAGAGACTAAGTGAATTCATATGTGTAAATGCCTAGAACAGTGTTTGGCACTTGGTAGCTGCTATGTAATTGTTAGCTTGTGTTATTACTGTTATTGACTAATTAACTTGGTTTAAATTCTAATGTAAATTCAGAGTTTCAGTGTTTCTAGATTAATCATAGTTGTAAATGAATTTCTAATACACCTCTGTCTAGATTTCTTTCATGATAAATTTTGTATGAGGGAGAAAAGAATAAAGGTCAGCTTGCTTTGTGTGAAGTGACTTTGTCCTTCCATGCATTTTATACACTCAGTGCCTGCTGTATTTGAATATGCACATGTTTTAACATGTGCTATAACAGTAATCATCTCCAAACATAATGCAGAGTCAATGCTGGACTTCTTTTTAGTCAGCGAGTTACTAATGGATACTTAGCTAATATGTTCTTAGTATTTAGAATCACAGAAATATAAAGCTAGAGTAGTTGACAACTGGTTGCAACATGACATCAGTTAATTGGTATAGTATGTGTTTAAAAAAAAAAAAAAAAAGATTTGGCTTTTCCTGACTGTGGATCCTGCACATTGTGATAATGTGGACCATGAAGCACTTTGAGCCACAGATTCTGTGGGAATGACCTAAGAAATAGGGAAATAACCATTTAATAATGGAAGAAAGAAGCATCGTGTGTTAACAATAAGGTGTCAGAGGAAAGAGGTTATTCAAAATTTTGGAACCTAGACCACCAGGAAGACCACTGTTTGTAAAGCGCAAAGGTCTATCGTGCTACCCTCAGTGTATACTATGGTTTTTAATTCTTGGTCTTAAGTTTTCTTATAAGTTTGATACTCATGTGGCATGAACATCATTCCTTACAAAGTTTTCTTAAATTTTAACAATGGAATTCAGACTATTCAGTTGGCTTTTCAGGCTGATGAATTGTCTTTTTGACACTTTTCAGCTACTTGGTGTAGCTGAAAAGCATGCTTAGACATTACTTTTTTAGGAAAAGGTAAACCGAATATCATTAGAATTAGAATTTCAGTTTTGCTGAAATAGTCAAGTAGATAATTTTACTTACATGTAAAATTACATGTGAAAATACAGGTAATGGCATTAAAATTGAGAGCATAAACTGCAGTTTTGGGTAAAATATTGGTGAGAACTCAACATATTTTGGTTTTAGTTAATGAGATTTTCAGACCCTATGTTTTTCAGATTTTTAAGTGTATACTTTTTCTATGGACAGAAATATTCACTCTGGTAGTACCTATTTATGTATTTAGTGAGCTTTTGTAGAGCACTGCTCACTGGAAATGCTAGTGGGTTACTAATTGGTACCTTACTTTCTTAGGAGAGTTACTTTGATCACATGAGTGATTGGTTTATGTTGCAAAGAATAGTTCTGAATTGTTACTTGCATTTAAGTTCTATTTCCATTATTTAGTTTGCTCTGCACTAGATGCTAAGATAGCATAGGTTTACTTTTTTCAAATTTTCTTTTTCCTCATATGGTTTTACAAGGGAAAATTTTGCCCGAACAAAATAGTTATAAAATGTGTAGCATGAATAGCTTAATCGATTATTAAATAAATTATTTAAAACACATTTAAAACCTTCAAATCCGAAACTTGTGAAATGCAATAAAAGGGTTTATAATAATGATCAGTAATGTTGAGGTTATACATTCTATAATAAAAACTATGCAGATGTTTTCATTGATCAAGCTTCTTTAGTAAATTTCATTCTGTCACAACTGAGAATTTTTGCAAAGGCAAAAGCTAGCAATTTTGTTTTGCCTTTAAAATGTTTTCTTTTACAAGATGCACACAACATGTGTTGATGGTGCAGGGTTTTGGCATGCTGATAGAAAAGCACATGAATGTGTATTAAGAAAAACCTGAATACAGTATTTTTCTCCAATTTTTTGATTGTTAGAAATTCTTTTTTTGTGAAATAAGATTGTTTAGCTTTTTCATGGTAAGATTAAAAAAAAAACTATTACCAAGCATGATTGATTCTGTTTTATGTAAAACATAATCGCATATATAAAGATGTGCACATATGAAGAGGAAATTCCTTACTTTGTGTTTTTTAGAAATAAATACTTTTTAAAAAAGTAATTCAAAGTAAATGAAAGGATTGCCTTGGGGTTCATATCTAATTAACCCATTTTTATGACCCACAACATATTTCTGACCCATATTTCTTAACTATTTTTGCACTGAACTGAGATTAAACTATAAACATACATGTTCCTAATTACTTATTGACAAAGTTATGCCATTTATATAAGATTTGGAAAAGAATTCTTAGAACACTTTGAAATCAATCTCATTCTTATAATATTCTTATATGGTAGATACGTAGTAAATATCCCAATATCATAAAAATGGAAGCACTAAAACATTAAGAGATTGGCTCAAGGTTACTCAGCAGGGAGATGATTTTATTTATTTATATTTTTTAAAAATTATTTATTTTAACTTACAAATAATAATTGTAGATATTAATGGGCTACAATGTGATGTTTTGATTTATGTATACATTGTAGAAGGAGTCAATCAAGCAAATTAACGTATCTATTCCTTCACCAACTTAGCATTTTTTGTGGTGAGAATGCTAAAAATCTATTCTTTTAGCAATTTCGAAATACGCAGTACATTATTATTAACTGTAGTCGCCAAGCGGAGCAATAGATCATTAAAACTTATTCCTCCTGCCCAACTGAAACTTGATATCCTTGGATCATCTCCCCATTACCCATCTCTCCCCTGAGCCTCTGGTAACTACCTTTCTGTTCTCTGTTTTTATGAGAATGACTCTTAGATTCCACATGTAATTGAGATCATACAGTATTTGCCTTCCTGTGCTTGGCTTATTTCACTTAGTGTTGTATCTTTCAGTTCCATTCATAGTGTCTCAAATGACATAATTTCCTTCTTTTTTTAAGGCTGTGTCATATTCCATTGGGTATGTATAGCACATTTTCCTTATTAATCTCTTTATGGACACTTAGGGTTGCTTCCGTATCTTGGCTATTGTGAATAATGCTGAAATGAACATGGGAGTGCAGACATCTCTGATGTACTGATTTCAGTTCCTTTGTATATATACTCTGAAGTGGGATTGCGAGTTCTATTTATAGTGTTTTTGAGGAAACTTACATGGCTTTCTAGAATGACTGTATGAATTTACGTTCCCACCAACAGTGTGCAAGAGTTCCCTTTTCTCCACATCCTCTCCAACACTTATCATTTGTCTGTTTTGATAATAGCCATTCTAACAGGTGTACATTGATATCTCATTGTGGTTTTAATTTGAATTTCCCCTATGATTTGAGAAGCTGAGCATTTTTTTTTTCATACATCTGTTGGCCATTTGTATCTTTCCTTTTGAGAAATGACTTCAGATTCTTTGCCCATTTTAAAAATTGAGTTGTTTTGTTGCTATTGAGTTATTTGAGTACCTTATATATTTTGAATATTGGGGCCTTATCAGAGGTATGGTTTGCAGATATTTTCTCCCAATCCTCGGGTTGACTCTATACTGTTAATTATTTCCTTTGTTGTGCAGAAGCATTTTAGTTTGACACAATCCTATTTGGCTATTTTTGCTTTCCTTGCCTGTGCTTTTGCAGTCTTATCCAAGAAATCATTGCCCAGATCAATATTGTGGATCTTTTTGCAGAGAGAGGATTACAAGTTTCCTGATTCTCCCATTAATCTCTCCAAACACGAAACTCTTAGTTAAGGGAGTAGCATTTCAAAGAAGACATCACTATAATTTATCGTTTATAAATGAAAGGTGCAGAGACCTTTTCTTACCAATTTGTGGACCTCTTCGTTTTTCTTTCATTCTTTCTTCCTTTCTTTCCAGTGTTGGTAAGGTTTTGGCCTGCTGTACTCCAGGTACTTTTTGATGCTTGAGATGTATAAGTAAAACAAAGACTCCTATCCTTGTGGACAATCATGTGAATGTGGGATTATCTTCTGCCTTAAAGCAGGAGAATAACTGGCTTATTTGGGCAGTAGCAAGGAGGAGCAGAGAGTGATAGCAGATAAGGTCAGACAGTTAATAATTGGAGGTAGGATAGAGTGGGAGCAGATTTCTGTAGGTCATTATAGGGTCCATTTGGAGTGGATGGAATGCCACTAGAGGATGATGACTAGTAGAGTGACATGATTTAAATTATGTTTTACATGAATTTGGGAAACAGTGTAAGTACAAGATGTATAGTTTTATGAAGGCTATTCACTGGTATGTCTATGGATTTGTGAACTTATTATATTAAACTTACAGTAACTGCAAAAGTTCAATAAAAATAGAATGTGTTAATCTTAGCAGCATATCTGCTGATGTAAATTTGAAAAGCAGTCTACAATAGAAAAGTAGCCTACAACATCTTTTATGACCTTGCCCAGCTGGATTTCTGGTTTTGTCTCACATCACTCTTCAGGCTGTTTTTTATTGTTTTGCTTCAGCCCTATTGGCCCTTCTTTCTCCAGTTCCTGGAAAGGACTATTCCTTTTCCTTCCTCAGGGCCTTTGCACATGCTGTTTCCTATGCTTTGTATATGCCTCTGTGCCCCTCATCTTGACCTCTGCCTAATTAACTCCCGGTTATCCTTCACAACTGAGCATTTCAGTTTGCATCTCAATGGTGTTCTTAATTTCTTCCTGCAGATCTGGATTTCCATCTGACATAATTTCTCTTTAGTTTTAAGAATTTTATTTAGCATTGTGATAAAGATATCCCAATAAGTCCCTTAGTTTTTGTCTGTCTAAAAATGTTATCTTGCCTTCATTTTTGAAGTATATGTTTGCTGCATAAGAATTATAGGTTGATAGCTTTACCTTTCAGCACTTTAAAGATGCCATTCCATTATCTTCTGGTTTCTACCGTTTTATAAGAAGTCAGCTATAATTTTTGTTGTTGTTCCTCTGAATGTAATGTGTCTTTTCTCTGTTGTTTGAGAATTTTCATTATATATTTGTTTTTTATTGGTTGATGGTGGTGAACCTAGATGTGCTTTGTTCATTGAACGCTTTTGTTTTGTGGGTTAGTTTTTATTTTTAATCAGTTTTGGAAAATTTCTAGCCAAGATCTTCTTTTTAAATACTTTATTTTCCCCATTCTTTCTCTCTTCTTCTTTGGGGATCCTAATTACATGTATGTTCAACTTTTTAAAAATACTATCACAGATTTTTGACACTGTTTTTTTTTTTTTCCCCATTTTTTTTCTCTCTATTCCTCGCTTTGAGTATTTTCTCTTGCCATGTCTAGGAGTTGATGGATGCTTTATTCTGATGCATGCAGTCTGCTATTATCACTCTCTGGTAAATTCCCTCCCTCCCTCTCTGCCTTCCTCCCTTCTTGCCTTTCTTTCTTCCCTCCTTCCCTCCCTCCCTCTCTCCCTCTCTCTTTCCCTTTCTTCCTTCGTTACTTCTTAGAATTTCCATTTTTTTCCTAGAGCCTCCATTTTTCTGTTGAAATTTCCTATCTCTTCATTCATCTCACTAATATTTTTCTATACATTTTAAAATCTAATTATCATAGTTATTTTAAAGTCTGTCTTCTAATGCCAACACCTACATTATCTGGGAATTTAACTCCATTGACTGTTTTTTTCTCTCGATTGTGGATCATGTTTTCCTGCTACTTTGCATGTCTCATAGCTTTTTATTTTATGCAAGACAACTTCTGTAAAAGAATAATAAAGATTGAACTAGATAATCATTTTTGCCTCAATTTCCCTAGAAAGGGAACATCTTCTTTTATGTCAAGCACCTAGGAAGAGAGACTGAGAATTTGGATCCCACATGAAGCCCTGCCAAGCAGGGCAGTAGTATAGTTTTAATTTGTTTTAGTTTACTTCCAGTTTCAAATGAACTACAGTGATCTCTTTTTTCTTTGTCTCAGTCCCCAACTTTCCAGATGCTCAACTTGGGATTCCTTTGATCTTACCACTCTTTAAACTGGGAAGGGGTTAGTTTTCAGCTTTTTAGTTAATTTTAATCCATCTCCAGATTCAGCCGTGGCAAGACCCTGGAACCTAAGCGCTGTGTGAGATTGTGATCTCACAGAGTTCTGACTTTCCCCTACTCCTCTTTATCTGCCAGATTCATGTGTGTGTATGTTTATGTGTGTCCCAGGTTGGGGGAGGGGTGGCTGTCACAAAAAATATTCATTTTTGTGTTTGTAGCTTTTTCAGATTCTTGTTTATATTGTTAGAAGCTGTTTGGTTCCAGCAAAGACTCTCTGCCTGTGGCAGATCCTTACATAAATTACGCAGTTGTTCTCAGGTGTGAAGGTAGAGCCAACAACTGTTTTATTATCTTCACCTGGGCTATGTCTAGTTCCCCTGTAAATCTTGTACTAAAAAGGCAGTACAAGAAAAGTACATTTTTCTCTACTGTTTTTTCTCCGGCTTTTTATTTTGAGCAAATTGAAACTTACAGAAATGCTCTAGATTCAGTTTCATTTACTAGTTTTAATATTTTGACACATTTGCTGTCTCTCTTATACAAACACCGACACAGACATTTTTCTAATCCGTTTGAAAATGAGCTACAGATATGATGAGATCTCACCCCTAAATACTTCAGTATATATTGCCTAAAAGCAAGACATTCTCCTACATAATCACAATACTGTTATCATACTTGAGAAATTTCACACTAATAATTATATAATAATATCTTAATACAGCCCATATTCTTATTTACATAGTTTAGTCCTATAAATTCTTTGATGCTTTTATTTTGGATCCAGAATCTGATTAAGGATTGTACATTGCATTTAGTTGTCATTTTATTTAGAAAAGTTTATCTCAGTCTCTTTTTTTTTCATGGCATTAACATTTTTGAGGAGTCTGAACTAATTATTTTGTAGAGGTCTGACATTTTGGACTTGCCTGATCGTTTCTTCATTAATAGATTCGGATTAGACCATTTTATTTTATTTTATTTTGAGGTAGGGTCTCACTCTGTTGCTCAGGCTGGAGTGCAGTGGCACAGTTTTGGCTCACTGTAGCCTCTCCCTCCCTGGTTCAAGCGATTCTTGTGCCTCAGCCTCCCGAGTAGCTGGGATTACAGGCATGTGCCACCACACCCAGCTAATTTTTATACTTTCATTAGAGACAGGGTTTCACCATGTTGGCCAGGCTGGTCTTGAACTCCTGGCCTCAAATAATCTGCCTGCCTCGGCCTCCCAAAGTGTTGGGATTATAGGCTTAAGCCATTATGTCCAGCCAGATTGGACATTTTAATGAAGAATATGGCACATATGATGTTGTGTCCTTTTCTTTGCATTACATCTGGAGGCACATAAAACCAATTTGTCCCATAATCGAATTTACTAAATTAAATCACACAGTTAAGTGGTGGTGTCATATTTCTCTATTATAAAAATGCCCTTTTTCCTTTTAATAAGTGAAATGTGGGATGATACTTTGAGACACCAATACCCTCTTCCTCTATAACATTTACCAACTGATTATGCATCCATTGATGATACTTGCCTGAATTAGTTATTACATTAGCCATTGCAAATGGTAATTTTCTAATTCTGCCATTTAATCTACATTTAATGGTGTTCTGTAAAGACAAATCCCCTGTCCCGCCATTTTCTTTTACTATATATGCATAGGTTTTTTTAAAATTTATTCAATGTTTTATAATCTGTTGCAAATCTTTTTGATGTTCTCATTGTCACACATTTAGCCGGTAGTAGTCTCCCCACATTTTAATTATATATAATTTTCATACATTAAGATTTGCATATTTTAACTGTTCAGTGGATCTTTACATATGTATACAGTCTTGTATCCAGGAACTAGATCAATGTATAGACTATTTCCAGCCCCCAAGCAGGCTCACCTCTGTTCCTGTCCAATCTGTATCCTTCTCCATCCTTCAAAAGAGGTAGCCACTCTTCTATCTCTATCACTATTGATTAGTTTTGCCTATTTGGTGGTTTCATATAGTGGAATCATATTTTCTTATGTCCGATGTCTTTCTCTCAACATATGTCTGTGATATATATCCACATTGTTTTCCAAAGTGCTTGTACCAGTTTTCACTCCCATTGGCAATGTATGAGAATTCCAGTTTCTTCTATCAGTATATCCTTGTCAGTGCTTGGCATTGGCAGTCCTCTTAATTATAGTCATTCTGATGAGTGAAATGGTACCTTATTATGGGTTTAGTTTGCATTTTCCTGATGAGTAATGATATTGAGTACCTCTTAATATGGCTTATCTGATTTAGATATTCTCTTTTCTTTAATACCTATCTGAGTCTTCACCCATTAACAAATATTTGAGTTATTTTATTCATATATGGGAACTCTTTGTCAATTCCATGGAGTTGTTTGTAGAATATATGTTCTACAAGTACCTTCTCACCACTTATGACCTGCCTTTTCATCTTTTTGGATTTTGTGATTGTATCTTTTTGTACACAGATCTTTTTGAGGTTTTTTGATGAAGTTCTTAATTTTCATGAAGTTCCATTTAGCAATCTCTTATGTGTAGTCTTTTTTGTGTCTGATTAAAAAGTCTTTGCCTACTGTAGGTCATAAAGATTTTCTCGTATTTTCTTTTAGAAGCTTGAAGAAAATATAAGGGAAAATCTTGGTGTAGCTTTCACATTTTGGTTTATAATCTGTCTAGAATCTTGTATACAGTATGAAATAAGTTCCAGATTTCTTCCTCCCCTACCCCACCCCAAATAGGATGTCCAGTTAACCCAGTACCATTTGTTAAAAAGAAAATTCTTTCCCCGCTGAATTGTAGTGGGCCTTGTGTCATAAATAAAGTGACTATATATTTTTGGATTTATTTCTACACTCTCCATTATGTTCTATTTGTCCGTTTATCTTCAAGCCAGTACCACACTGCCTTAAATATTGTAGTTTATAAGTTCGATATCTGATAATGAAGATCTCTAACCTTGTTTTTCGTCAGTATTGCCATAGCTGTTCCAGGTCCTTTGTGTTTCCATATAAATTTTAGAATCAGCTTGTCACTACTCCCATCTCTTTCAACACATACACAACCTGCTGGTTGTGTATTAGATCTCTAGGTTAATTTAGAATGGACATTCCTGAACATACTAAATCTTCCAATCCATAAACATAGATTTATATTCGTCTCCTTTAATTTCTCTTAGCAATGTTTTATGTTTTGCACATATTTTATTAATCTCTAGATATTTTATGATTTTGGCACTCTTTTCTGCCCTTTTGATATATCTCATTGTGTTCAGACAAACACTTCCTTTCAAACACAAAAAGGTTCCAGAAACAAATTATTCTGTAATACACACAAAATAGTTTCAGAGTTACTACACTAATGTCATTACCAATAACAATCCTACAAAGTATGGTTCAGTATTTCTCTACTTATTTTTCTCCTAAGAGTATATTCTACTAAGGAGGTATAGTCAGAATATAAAAGTTAAACAATTTAGAAGCAACCTGAATTGTTTTTATTTCTCCACATTGTATTATCATTTTGATAGTGCAATTTGAATCATTTGTTTCTGTTTCTATTTATATTGCCTTTATATCTTGGCTAATGCTTTCATTTTATAGTCAGAATTTTGGTTATGTTGATAACCTTGAGCAGTGTAGTTTATAACCACATGATAAAGGTGGTAGAGTTGATACTGATAACATCTTGCCAGATATATTTTCTATTTTAGATGAATAAGCAATGGTCAAGTTCGAGTCATTGCAACAATGGATGGAAACATGGAGGTGTACTCACCGCTTTTTCAACAAAGTTGACTGCTTTCACAGAGGTTTTTTGTAAATTTAGGATAGGATATACTGATATCTTAGATTTTCAGAGACAAAAAGATCAATGTTTTCTGTCATACAACCAGCTGAAATTCTTTATAAAGATAGTAAAGTTTAAAATAGCATTTACGTATCACTGACACATTAAACCCTGTGTGAGCCAAAATTGTATTATAAGTTCAGATTGAAATATGTAACTGGTTAATTGAGCAGCTTATCAGTACGGGCTGTGCATCTGTAATCTGAAAATCTGAAGTCTGAAATACTTGAAAAGTCCAAAACTTTTTGAACGCCAACGTGACTCTCAAAGGAAATTCTCACTGGAGCATTTCAGATTTTGGTTTTTTGGACTAGAGATGCTCAGTTAGTAAGTAAAATGCAAATATTCCAAAATTTGAAAAACTCTGAAATCTAAAACACTTCTAGTCCCAGCATTTTGGATGAGAAATACTCAACCTGTGTATGGTACAAAAATAGACCAAAACTCCAAGAAAGCAACCAGGCTTACCTGTTATCAAGATACAGTGCCCTGAGATGCACAAAGCCTACTCCAAACTAAGGGTCTTCCTAAATAATGGGACTGCCCTAAGTAGCATCAAACAGGAGATATTCAAGCCATGTCTCTTAAACCTAGCATTCTTATGGTTACTATGTGGATAGCAGGATTCTTAACACCTGTAACATTCTCTGAAGAGAGGTAGCATAACCTTCATGGTGCCAGCAGTCTTTTAAGGAAGCACTCATAAATATAGTGTTTAAAGCCTTATTATAGTTAATATTAAGCAATATGGAGCAATAGTGTAATCAATATAGAAAAGCAGCAGTCAGAGGTGGGTAATTTGTTTTAAACCTAAACATTATAGTAACAAGTTAGGATTGATCCAGCAAATAGCAACTCTAGTAAAAACTCTTGGAATAAATCTTAAACATGATCTGTTTGATACTAATATTAACCACAATTTATAACTCACTAGTCAGGTGTTCTATTTATTTTGAAGTTATGAAGATAAATCAATTAGATCATGCTGTATTTCCAATATTATAAGTTAATAGTTTGAAAATAGAGATTGGAAAATTAAGCTATTTTTGAGATTCCTTAGTTATTGATTCTTGAGTGATTGATTAAAAATTATTAAGCAGAAAAGAAAAGCCTCTTGTTAATATCTACACAGTATTATGTTGCAATATAATCAGTGTTATGAAATGTGTGATAAAAATTATATACTAGGTGTTAGCAGTTTGAAACATGAGATTTTTATTGAATTTATTTTCACAATAAATGGATTTCTTGTACTTAGAGACAACATACATTTGTATAAGCCTTTTTTGAAGCAGTTCACATGTATATTTCCTTTAATTCTCAAATTTCAAAATAATGCCTTTAAAAAGCATTGGCATTTTAAACTGTCACACTTTTTATTTTGCATTTAAAATTAGAGATAAAGAAAAAATATTTATTTGTTGAAACGTAAGGCATGACTAAACCAAATCTCTTCACTATTTTCAGATTATATGAGATTATCTGGAATGGCAATTATGTTTGTACCAGATCTAGTAAAACACATTGTGTTATTGGAGAAACAATAGAAAGCACTTTCATGGACATTTGAATTCATATACTCAGAACTTTGGAGGGAGAAGACCTTGCCCTTCATTACAGTCCTGTAATTGGGTTTTCTTGTCCCTACTTTCAGAGGATGTAATTCAGTTTTGTTGAACTGAGTGACTTCAGCTATTAAATGCAACGAATTTCGGAGGAATGATAACGTCATTGAATGTGGGTAACAAATGTGGGGGAACCGTCCATATGAAGAAAATTCTCAAATTGTACATTGCATAGTTTGAATACTTGCTTGTTTGAATACTTGTTTTTGTACAGACTGATGACTTTGCAAATTTTGATCATACAGGCATACTTCAGAGATATTGTAAAGTGAATATCGTAATAAATCAAGTCATAACAAATTTTTTGGTTTTCCAGTGCATATCAAAGTTATGTTTACACTGTACTATAGTCTATTAAGTGTGAAATAGCATTATGTCTAAAAAACAATGTACATACCTTAATTTAAAAATAAGTTGCTAATCCCAGCATTTTGGGAGGCTGAGGCAGGCGGATCGCCTGAGGTCAGGAGTTTGAGACCAGCCTGGTCAACATGGTGAAACGCTTTCTCTATTAAAAATACAAAAAAAATTAGCCAAGTGTGGTGGCGGGTGCCTATAGTCCTAGCTACTTGGGAGGTTGTGGCAGGAGAATCGCTTGAACCCAGGAGGCAGAGGCTGCAGTGAGCCGAAATTGCACAGCTGCACTCCAGCCTGGGTGGCAGAATGAAACTCCGTCTCAAAATAAACAAACAAACAAACTGCCAACGATCATCTGAACCTTCAGCAAGTTGTTCAGATGGAGGGTCTTGCCTTGATGTTGACAACTGCTGACAGAGGGGTTGCTGAAGATTGGGATAGCTGTGGCAATTTCTTAAGGTAACGATGAAATTTGCTGCATCGATTGATTTTTTCTTTCATGAAAGATTCCCCTGTAGCATGTGATGCTGTTTGATAGCATTTTACCCACAGTAGAGCTTTCAAAATTGGAGTCAGTCCTCTCAAACCCTGCCACTGCTTTAGCAACTAAGTTTATGTCATGTTCTAAATTCTTTGTTGTCATTTCAACAGTGTTTACAGTATCTTCACCAGTAGTAGATCCCGTTTCAAGAAACCATTCCCTTTGCTCATTTAAGAAGCAACTCCTTATCCTTTAAGTTTTATCATGAGATTACAGCAGTTCAGTCACATCTTCAGTCTCCATTTCTAGTTATCTTGCCATTTCCATCACATCTGCAGTTACTTCCTCCACGGAAGTCTTGAGCCCATCTAAGTCTCCCATGAGAGTTGAAATAAACTTCTTCCAAAGTCCTATTAATGATGACATTTTGACCTCCTCTCATGAATCAGAATGATTTTAATGGTATCTGAAATAGTTAATCCATTCCAGAAGATTTAAATTTCATTTGTCCAGACTCATCAGAGGAATCACTATGGCAGCTAGAGCCTTATGAAAGATATCTCTTAAATAATAAGACTTGAAAGTTGAAATGACTCCTTGCTTCATGGGCTGCAGAATAGATGCTGTGTTAGCAGGCATGAAGGCAACATTAATCACCTCATCCATCTCCACCCGAGCACTTTTGTAACCAAGTGCACTGTCAATGAGCAATAATATTTTGAAATGAATCTTTTTTTCTGAGCAGTAGGTCTCAAGAATGGGCTGAAAATATCCAGTGAATCATGCTAAAACAGATTTGCTCTTACCTAGGCTTTGTTGCTCCATTTGTAGATCATGTGCAGAGTAGATTTAGTGTAATTCTTAAGGGTCCTAGGATTTTTAGGATGGTCAATGAATATTGGCTTCAAGTTAGTCACTGGTTGCATTAGGTCCTAACAAGAGAGTCATCCTGTCCTTTGATGTTTTGAAGCCAGCCATTGACTTCTCTCTAACTGGGAAAGTCCTAGATGACATCTTCTTCCAGTAGAAGGCTTTTTCATCTGCACTGAAAATCTGTTGTTTAGTGCAGCCACCTGCCTCAGTTATGTTAGCTAGATCTTCTGGATAACTTGCAACTTCTACATCGGCATTGCTGTTTTACCTTGTACTTTTATCTTACGGAGATGGCTTCTTTCCTTAAACCTCATGAACCAACCTTTGCTAGTTCAAACTTTTCTGCAACTTCCTTACCTCTCTCAGCCTTCGTAGAATTGAAGAGAGTTAGGATTTTGTTCTGGATTAGGCTTTGACTTAAGGAAATGTGGCTGGTTTGATCTTCCATCCAGAATATTAAAACTGTCTGCATATCAGCAATAAGGTTGTTTCACTTTTAATTTCCTTCAATAATTTTTCTTTTGCATTTCTGACTGTTAGGCATAAGAGGCCTAGCTTTTGGCCTCTCTCGGCTTTTGACATGTCTTCTTCACTAAGTTTAATCATTTCTAGCCTTTGACTTAAAGTGAGAGATGAACAACTCTTTCTATTAATTGAACACTTAGAGGCCCTTGTAAGCTTATTAATTTTCCTAATTTTAATATTGTTGTGTCTCAGGGAATTTGGAGGCCTGATGGGAGGGAGAGAGATGGGAGAGTGGCTGATCGGTGGAGCAGTTAGAACACACACATTTATCCATTAAGTTTGCCATCTTATTGGGCATGGTTCAAGGCACCTAAAGCAATTACAATAGTAATATCAGAGATTACTGATCACAGATCACCATAGCAGATATAGTAATAATGAAAAAGGTTGAAATAGGCCAGGCACAGTGGCTCACGCCTGTAATCCCGGCACTTTGAGAGGCTGAGGCGGGCGGATCACGAGGTCAGGAGATCGAGACCATCCTGGCTAACACAGTGAAACCCTGTCTCTACTAAAAAAAATCCAAAAAAAAAAAAAAAAAAAAAAATTAGCCGGGCGTGGGGCAGGCACCTGTAGTCCCAGCTACTCAGGAGGCTGAGGCAGGAGAATGGCGTAAACCTGGGAGGTGGAGCTTGCGGTGAGCCGAGATCGTGCCACTGCACTCCAGCCTGGGTGACAGAGCAAGGCTCTGTCTCAAAAAGAAAAAAAAAAAGAAAAGGTTGAAATATTATGAAAATTACCAAAACGTGACACAGAGACATGAAGTGACCACATGCTATTGGAAAAATGGCACTGATAGACTTGCTTGATGCAGGGTTGCCACAAACCTTCAGTTTGTGACAGACCTTATCTGTGAAGCATGGTAAAGGGCAATGAAACGTGGTTTGCCCATGTATCTTACTGTCAATCCTACTGAACTCTCCAGTTAATCTAATAAACTAACAGCTTTTAAAAATTGCATTCTGGTAACAACAGTATACATTATCAACAGACATTCAGTAATATTGAGTAACAAGAGTATCCATCAGATCTTTTCAGCATTCCCTTGTGTGAGTAGTTCATTCATAAATAGATATGTATGTCAGTTTCATAGAGGATGGTGGGCTCGGTAGAAAAGAGGAGTAAATTGACTCAGTCTTTCTATAGCAGTACTAGAAATATTCAGTAGTCTGAGGTAGAGCTAAAATATAGGAAACACTTATTTCTGACATGGTCTTTGTCATTCTGTGGAGTCTTTTAGGTACCCCTGCTTGCACTGAAAGACATAATTTATTTTAGTGTGACTTAATAATATCAGATTGCTTGCATTTAATTCTATGCGGTTTTCTGTCGATGGAAGGATGAACTTACTAATGTATTTAGTATATATACAGAAAAATGACATTATTACAACTGCGATAGTACATTGCTTAATTATGTCCAAAGTGAGCTTTTCAGAAAGGTTTATACTTCACAATTTTAGGACTTTTGTTACTTAATTTGATTCCGCCACCTACTTTTAAATATTTTGCAACCCAGGGTAGCTTAGGCAAAGAAGTAAAACCAAAAATGGAATATTCCTTTGTAGCAGCACTGTGAATGAAAATACTAAAATTGATGACTACAAGAATTCTCAAGTGCTGGTTATGGATAGTTTTGCTGAAATTCATGGGAAAGAAGACAAACAATAGATAAATAATCAATTCAAAATATTCTGAAATTTGACAGAACGTTTTTTTGCTGGTACTTTCCTCCCTTTCCTTTTAAGATGTAGTTGCATCTTTTTTGGTATTTTCTTGTTGACAATTCATATTAATGCTTTACATGATCTTAAGCCACATGTGTCTCTGTCAGTAATATTTCTCACATGCTAGTTTTGCTGTTTATGGGATAAAGTCCAGTAGTTTGTTTTACAACATACCATTTAAATTATTTGTTAAAAATAATTTTATTTTATTTATAAATAGCAATTTTTACTTGGAATGTCTGTCTTAGTAAATTTAGCAAGTATACTATACTACGAATTTTTTTTTCAGTGTACCTGTGTAATGTGGACACCACCTCTCCGCGAAAGCTTCTCATATCCATTTCTTGTTCTTCAGATGTTGCTTGTGACTCATATTCTCAGGTAACTTTGACTTAACCTTATTTCTTTTTGCATTAAATAATTTAAACTAGAATTTCTTAAGCTTCCATAATAAAGTCAACATAATAAAATAATTTACCAGTATGATGCCATTATTAGTAAAAATATTTTAAGAGTATAACTTAAAAATAGTACCAAAAACATTTCCTCCATCAGCCTTCTGTTCCTCTTCCTTTTTCTTGGTGGTCCACAGTGACTGCTTGAGAAGGAACAAATTGCTTTCACTTCTGTCATTTCCACTTTCTCAAGTCTTCTTCTGTTACCACTATAACTTCCTGAAAATGAGTAGAAAGAAGGTGAAGGCTGGTTATGCTATAGTGTATCCTGTAAGATGCAATCCTTTGGGGCAAAGTGTAATTCACAGAATTCACACTTCTCTCCCTTTCTGCTGACAAATATTGAATACAGCTGCCTTGCTCCAGAGGGTAAAAATGAAACAAAATGGGGGCTATGGAAAAATGGAACAAAGCATGATAAAAATCTGAAGATGACTCAGACTGATAACTCTTTTCAGTGATCCTCCGAATTTGGAAGAACTTTGTTGAAGTCTGTTATGCCAAACTCTTTGGGCAATCTATTTCCCTCTGATTGTTACAGCAAGTATAGAACCATCACATGGCTTTTAGTCTCCTATGTAGTAGTGTCTTTAGACAGACCCTTCATAGAACATGGGATGGGTAATGTTTTTGCATTAGCTTTTTAAAGTCTGTGTAGCTCCAGCTTTATTGCTGTCCCCTAAACTCTTTTATAGGATTTAAAGCTTCTTTAGCACCTTCAAATAAGGTGAACCTCTATGAATTCGTAACCTTTAGCTCTGCCTTGTTGGTTCTGAGGCACCTTGAGCAACGGTCCCTTCTCAAACATCTCTGTAAGAAGTGTTGTGCTGTAGGAGTCTTTGATTCACCACTACAGATGCTGTTTTTCCACATTCACATTCTTGACCGTGGCTTTTTTCTCCAGTATAGTGCAGACAGCAGACTGCCCATCAGTCTCTAGTTCCTTCCTGCTTTTCTACCTCTGCTCCTGTCTTAAATCCAGCGAAGGCAAACCTTTGATTCTTCTTTCACTCACTGATCTGATCTGTCCCTAAGTGGGCATGGGGATGCTGCTCCGGTGACTGAGTGCTGCTTCCTTTAGTCCGTCTGTACCATAGAAGGTAGTGTTACTTTCCTGTTGCTGTGTACCAGTCACCACAAACTGGGATCTACTACCTTGAAGTTTTCTAGCTCCTTAGTTTTAAAATCAAGGTACTGGAGGTGCTACACTCTTCCTGAAGGCACAGAGTGGGAGGGGAGAGAATCAATTTTCTTGCCTTTTCTAGCTTCTAGAGGCTGCCTGCATTTCTTGGGAGGCTGCCTGCATTTCTTGGGAGGCTGCCTGCATTTCTTGGGAGGCTGCCTGCATTTCTTGGGAGACTGCCTGCATTTCTTGGCTTGTGGCTCCTTCATCTTCAAAACCAGCAATGCTGGATTGGGTCCTTCTTTGTCAGTTTACTCCAACCTTCTCTTCAGCCTCTCTTCCACTTTTATGTATCCTGTGGTGGTACATAAAAGTGACATGACATGTTCACAGGTTCCAGGGATTAGGACACATGTTTTTGGAGGCCATTATTCTGCCTACCAGGATGGGGCCTCTCCAGTTGCTGTTTCCTGCCTTCAAGGGCTGCCTTCTATTGGGTCCTTCTCTGTTTTTGGCTCCAGGTGCTTCTGTGGCAAGCTTTTTGTGTCTTCTTTAGCCTCTTATCATTGTCATTTTCAGCCTTACCCACCTGTTCATACCTGTCTTTACTTTTTGCTGAAAAGTTTTAGAGAACTTTCCTTTCTTTAGAGCCTTTTTCATTGTCTCTGTTCATATTCTAGTTGACATTTCCTTTCTCATATTCCTGGTCATCTGAAGCTGAATCAGCTGTTGTTTTCACCACTCCTGGTTCAGATCCATCTCGTCTTGATCTTCCTCGCCATCTTCATTGGCAGCTTATCAGTTCTGATTGCGACGGCTTTCCTGGCTATGCCCCTTAGTTGTCATGGCTCCCTGCTTGCCTGCTGTGGCTATGACTGGTTGCTTGGAAGTGTGGGCTTTCATTTTGCTTTCTTGGACACTGCAGTCTTTTTTGGAGGGAAAACCTGCTAAACTTCCTTTCTTGAAGCTTTGGCAGACATCTTGTCTTTTTTCTGAAGGATAGTAACCTTCTCTCTATTGGCCATCTTCATCTTCTGATATTTCATCCTTATTACTGACATTGTCTCCTTTGGAAGAGCAGCCATTTCCTTTAGTTCTTGAGTTCTACCTGTAGTTGACATATTATGACATTAGAGGGAGGTGGTGGGTGGTGATGGCTTGGGGGAGCCAAGAAGAAGCTGAGCAGTGTTGATGCAGGCTGCAGTGCTGAGGATACTGTTATAAAACCGGAAAAGAGACTATTCCTTAATGCTAGGAATCATTTATAAATAAGGTTAGTGGTATATTTTAACAAATTGGTTTTGTCCAGTTTTGAATTTTAAGCATTTTTAGAAATTCAGTTTATATAGTCACCTAATACTAGCACAGCTTAGCTTTTTCTTGATTGTTCTTAGCTTTTTTTAATTATTCTTGGCAATATTTATGTTTCTGTTTCTGTTTTCTTGGGTCAGAGCTATTTTGATCACCAATTGAATTTTCTTTGTTTTCTGTTCATTCCTATCTCCCCATAGTGCATTCTTTACCCAACTGCCAGATTGGTATTAAATTCTGCTCAGAAATCTTAATGTCTCTCGTTACCCATAAAATGAAAATCATATTTAGTATTCAAAAGCAGTAGAGAAGTACTTTATTTTAGACAGCGGCTTTCAAACTTTTGGACTATGATCTATAAGAAATAAGAAATATGTTTTACACTGTGGCTTTGTATACACATACATGGATGCACACAACTGAAACAAAAGTTTTACAGAATAGAACCCCTCGTAAATAGGATATAGTCATATATATTCTGTTTCACTCTGCTGATCTCCATTTTTAAATGCTGAATTTTATTCCATAAGTTGATTTCATAACTCATTAAAAGGTTATCTGGAGTTTAAAAGTACTTTTGTTGGATTAAAATAGCAGAGAGGGATGTCCTTTGGAGAAGGGATACTTGGGGAAGTGAAGAAAGGCATTTCATAATGGTGCTCTATGCTCCAGGTAGGTTTATCTAACCAGGATGTCTTTACTGTATCCGAGCTGCCTATACTTCATCACCTCAGTATATTAACATGCACACTCCACTTCTGTGAAGATGGACATGTGTGGGGGCTTTGCGTTGGCTCGCAGATTTAGAGGATAAAATCATCTTACCCTCCTAAAAATCTCCTAAATTACAAGTCAGTACCAAAATGAGATCTCTAAAGATTGCTTCAGAGTGGCCCCCATATCTTTTCCTCCACTTAACTTTTCTGTGTTATCCTGCCTGTGCCAGACCCAACTTTTTATCTCACATGCTTATAAAATCTCAGCCGCTTAGCTCTTATTCTGCATTCTTGCAGTAGTTGTCTGCATAATACTTAGCACTTAGAATATGCTGCTATTATCTTTTCATAGGCATCTTCTGCCTTTCTAACTAATGAATCTGTTGAATCAGTATTTTTAAATATTCAGTCATGGATTCACCAAAATATAATTTGAAAAAAATGTTCGTGGATATACTGACCCAGCCACCCTCCTTCTCTCTGTGTTATTGTTAGCAATAATGGGTATTTACCTTTCAAAGAAAATTGTTGTAATTGAGTATCAGGAGGTATAATTTCTAACCCATTGGTTCATTTTATGTTTAGGTTTGTGTTATAACCAGATCATATATATTTCGAGATTCTAATTTGCAGCAGTTTGGAGCCATGCTAGACTATTTCGTGTTTAAACTTACTAACACTTATTTTATCTTTTCAAGGGCTACAAAACTTTATAGAGGAAGTTTGATTGCACTCTGCATTTCCAATTTATTTTTCATGCTTCCTTGGCAGTTTGCTCAGTTTGTACTTCTTACTCAGGTGAGGTGATTATATTTTAAGCTGTTTTAAGCTTAGCATGTTTGACTATGAACTTATTTGCATAAAATTATAACTGAGATGTTCTATGATTCTAAGTCCTAAAACATTTTCTAGGAAAAATGTTTTTCTAAAGCATTTTCTAGGAAAAATGTTTTTCTAAAGCATTTTCTAGGAAAAATGTTTTTCTAAAGCATTTTCTAGGAAAAATGTTTTTCTAAAGCATTTTCTAGGAAAAATGTTTTTCTAAAGCATTTTCTAGGAAAAATGTTTTTCTAAAACAGGAACAGAAAAAATGTTTTTCTAAAACATTTTTTAGGAATGTTGAACAAAAGAAAGTTCAGGGTAGAGAAATATGTAGGATTATTTATAAATGATTGTTAATTATTTACTTCCTAACATAATGCATTTATTGAACTCAAATTTGTAAGAATGCTTATCTTTGTTATTCAGTATTGTTAATGTCCTTAAAAGAGGACTAGTGCTATAACTTTAAGTATTTCTCTTAAGTTAACAATAGTATTTCTCTTACGTAAAATGTTTCTTTTATGAATAGTTGTGTACATTCTTGCATGTAAAATACAGACACATAGGATTACAGGATAAATAGCTAACCAGTTCATCTCTTATAAAATTCTCTCTACCAGTCTGGAAATTTATCTATTGCCTTTCCATGTACTCATGCCCACTATAAATGGAGGTAGTTTGTTGAGAGAGGGTTACATACTCTCAAAAAAAAAAATGAGTTATATACTCATTTTTTTCCCTGCCTACTATTTTTTTTATTGTACTGGTATATTTGTATAAAGCAGTTGAAGAGTTGCTTTTTTTTTTTTTTTTCTGAGATGGAGTCTTGCTCTGTTGCCCAGGCTTGAGTGCAGTGGTGCAGTCTCGGCTCACTGCAACCCCCACCTCTCGGGTTCAAGCGATTCTCCTGCCTCAGCCTCCCAGGTAGCTGGGACTACAGGCGCATGCCACCATGCCTGGCTAATTATTTGTATTTTTAGTAGAGATGGGGTTTCACCTTGTTAGCTAGGATGGTCTCGATCTCCTGACCTCGTGATCCGCCTGCTTCAGCCTCCCAAAGTGCTGGGATTACAGGCGTGAGCCACGGCGCCTGGCAGCTTTTTAATATTTTTTAGAACGTCTTGCTTGAGAAATGAAGTTAGACTTGGATTTGAGTCCTAATTCTATTCAGTAGCCTCTTAACTTGGATAAAGTAGTTAACTTTTCTTAGTTTAGGTTTTCTCATTTCTGAAATAGAGATAATAAAAGAACCTACTTTATTGGGTTGCGGATAGGACCAGATGAAGTAATGTATATGATTCTTAACACAGTACCTGGTACTTAGTAGGTGTCAGTAAGGTTAGTTGGTTTTATCATTATTTTTTAAAATAGGCTCTATTTGTACTTACTTTTTACTTTGATCTTGTCTTGTAGACTCCTTTGTCTAACTTAGTTCGATGACATTTTCAATCAGTTTCTGGTTTAAAATTGTCTCTGAGATTGTCTCTTGAAAATTCTACCCTGTAAATGTACTGTGTGTTGCTTAGCCCTTGGGGTGAAAAGGGAGCATTCTCATTGCTTCCTGATAGTGGAGACTGCCTGCTTTTTTGTGGAGGTGAGGGTCAGGGGAGGTATTTTGCCTCCCTGTGGGGCTTACATTGAATAATAACACACACTTCCCCACAGTTGTTATGTCATATCAGGCACCCTAAGAAATGCAGTGTTCTCCATGGGTAACTCTGAATAAAGGGAAACTTAGTTGTTTTTCTCACTAATGAAAAAATTTGTTGTAGATTGCTTTAGAGATAAAAAAACTTGATGAATGAAACAAGTTATAGTTTAAGTATTCAGCTATTTTGCAATCTGTTTATGCTATGCTTTTGTAGTAGGACAGGAAGAATTTAATTTGAATTGCTTTCTCTATGAGGAAGGGTGTAGAGGCATTGTCTGACATATTACCTCCATGTAAGAGATACTGTATCATCATTTAATCAATTCATCTAAATAATTCCAGTACTCTTAGAATTATTGATATATAACATATAATTTTCTTCCAAATGGAAAAGAAAGTTAAAAATACCTTTGCAGCGAAAGTACTCTTAATTTGAAATTGATAAATTTGATTATAACTAACTCTTGAATATTTGTATTAATGGAAGAACGCTAATGGAGATACTTGTAAAGAGTGACTAGCAAGCAGAAATTAACGTATTTTTATGCACACATGCATTGCATAATTATTTTTCAGTTAAATGTACCTTCCCCAATTATGTATTAGTTGTCATGTTATAATTACGTTTTCATCTTTTTTGATTGGACAAGGTACTTTTTAATTGTACGTGTTGACAGTAGGGTTGACCTGAAATTAAAATGAGTATTGTTTTGGACAATCAACAAAGTAGACAATTCACATGATTGAGAGAGCTGTGTGTCAGAGAGAAAAATCAACCAATATTTTCTATACTAATATATTGACTATATTTAATAATAAATTGGCAGATAAAAGGAAAACAAAAGAACTCACTCTGTGTGTAGATATAAATCAGTTGAAACAACAATAAATATATTCTTCATTCTTGTAGCTATTCATTTTATCTTTTTTACTTCTATTTTCTTTTTAAATTTCAGATTGCATCATTATTTGCAGTGTATGTTGTCGGGTACATTGATATATGTAAATTATGGAAGATCATTTATATACACATGGTAATAATTTTTTTATTGTTCTTTTCCATTTAGTTTGCCCTTAAACTCCTGATTAATATTTGATTTGTTCATGGTTGAAACTAGTTGTAACAATTTCATAACTAAAACAAATGTTGTTCAAACATTGTGATATAATCAACAGACCTTGTTTTGATAGACCACTCACAAAAATTTAATTTGGGTCATATTATCTGATTGAAGTTGTTCCCAACTTATGCATTATCAGTAAAAGAAATAATTTATGAAACGGAAACATGGGACTGATATATTATCCAGGAGCTGTCTGTTAAAATGAAGTAGAAGGGCCTAACATGGTGGCTTATGCCTGTAATCCCAACACTTTTGAGAGGCCAAGGTGGAGTTCACTTGAGGCCAGAAGTTTGAAACCAGCCTGGGCAACAGAGCCAGATCTCATCTCTACTAAAATAAAATAAAATTATCCTAGCACGGTGACGCATGCCTGTAGTACTAGCTATTTAGGAAGCTGATGTGGGAGGATCGCATTAGCCCGGGAGGTTGAGACTGCACTGAGCTATGATCATGCCACTGCACTCCAGCCTGGGCAACATAGCAAGACCATGTCTCTACAAAAAAGAAAAAAAGTTCATTTACTGAGTGTCAACTATCCAGGCATGTGGAATACACCAGCATTCATATTACTACATTCTAACAGAGTGGGGGAAGGAGGGAAGACAGAAGATAAATAATAAACATAGTAAATGGGTAAATTTTGTAGGGTGTTAGAAGGTGATAAGGATTTTAGGCCAGGCATGGTGGCCTGGGGAGGCTGAGACAAGAGGACATTTGAGCCCAGGAGTTTAAGACCAGCCTGGGTGAGACCCCCATCTCTATAAAAAATTACAAAAAGAGATTTTAGAAGAAAGAAAAGGTAAGGGTAAGGCAGATCAGGAGCACCAAGATCAGGGGGTAGGAGATGGAAAAATCAAATGAGGTGGTCAGGGCAGGTCTTCTTGAAAAGGGGGAGTAGAACAAAGATTGGAAGAAGGAGAACGAGTTAGCCAAGTAGATATCAAAGAAACTGATACCTAGGTTGGTGGAACAGCTAGAATAAAGACCCTAAAGCCGATTGGTTGATGTTCTTGAATGGTTATCCTTTAAAAACAAACATTTGTCTTCTCTCTCATTAGTTTTTATATTGATGTTTTCTTTTCCTGATAATTTTACAACTGTCATAATATCCCATTTTCATTTTCTTAACAATTTATACATATAAAAGAACATTTATAATGTGCAAGGAAGTTATAAACACAGTCATAAAATAAACAACCGGGAGCCTACTCTCCAAATGGAAAATAGAACCTTATTGTTACTTTTAAGTCCTGTATGCCCTGAGCTCATCCCCTCACTGTTCCTAGAGGTAACCGCTATTCTGACTTTTTGAATCGTAATCAATTTGCTTTTCTTTATAACTTTACCATATGTGGATTACTAAATAGTATAAATTTTTATTATTAAATGTTCACATTCTTTGTAAGGTTTATACAAATGGCATTTTATAAGTACTATTTTTTCACTCAGATTTCTGCTACTTATATGTAACTAGAATTCAAATATTTTCACTGCTTTATATTTTCCATCATATAAATAAAGCGTAATTCATTTATTCATTTTCTTGTTGAAGGACATTTAGGTTCTCTCCTCTCTCCCCAACTTCTTATTTTAGTTATAAATAATGCTGTACATTCTTCACATATCTCCTAGGGCACCTATGTTGAGAGTTTCTCTAGGGTGTTTACCTAGTAGTAAACTTGTTGGGTGGTAAATTATGTACATGTTCAACTTTATAAATACCAAATTGTTTTTCTAAAATGATTGGACTACTTCCAACAGCAATATATAGCAGCTTATGTTATTCTACATCCTTTTTTATTTTATTAATCTGGTTCATGTAAAATGGTATCTTATAACCTTAATTTGCATTTTCTCTGATTCATAATGAAGCTGAGCATCTTTTGGTTTGTTTGTACGCCCTTCATGTTTCCACTGTTGTAAATTCCTATTCAAATCTTTTACCAGTTTGTCTTGTGTCCAAAAGAAAATGACATCTATTTTAGTCAGTGCAGTGTAATCCATTATTTTTGTTATTTATGTTGATGCTCCAATTGTTCCACACTTGTCCAACTATTCAAGCTGACTTCTCTTTCCTTTTAACATGTCCTCATCATGCTTTGAGCACTTTTAAAAAGAAATTAATAAATGTTAAGTTTCATGAAATGCTTTCGTACATCTGTTTACATGATTCTATGTATTTCCCCCTCTTTAATCTGTTACTGTAATGAATTAACATTAATTAATTTTCTACCGTTAAATAAACTTGCTTTTCTGGGCTAAACACAATTTTTGCATGTCGCTGGATTCAGTTTGCTGTCATTTTGATAGGATTTTTACATCCTTGTTCATGAATGTGTTAGACAGTAATTATGTATTTTTTAGATGCGGCTTATTTTTTCCCAAACTATTTAAAATAGTTTTTTATTTTGTAGTATAAATCAGATTAAATGTTAAGCCTTCAGAGTTGGCTGGTCACATAGACAACTATGGCTGAGGGCCTTGACTCAAAGTTTTAGTTATAAAATTATAAAATTACACAGCGTAGTTAGCCGTAAAACCTACCTTGGGTAAATGATACATACTTTATTATATGACTTACTATTTTCTATCTTCTTCCATTATCGTTTTATAAATTTCTAAATTCTTATAGTTATAAAAAGAAAAAATATATAGAATTATTCCAAAAAAATTATTTTTCCATTTTTTATTGTGGTAAAATACATGTAACTTAAAATTTACCACCTTAAGCATTTTTAATTATACAGTTCAGTGATATTAAGTACATTCACATTGTTTTACAACCATCACCACCATCTATTTCCAGAACATTTTTCATCTTGCAAAACTGAAACTCTATACCCATTAAAGTCCATATTCTTCCATCTTCCCAGCCCCTGGAAACCACCATCTACTTTCTGTCTTTGTGATTTTGACTACTTTATGTATGTCATGTAAGTGAAATCATACAGTATTTGTCTTTTTGTTACTGGCCTATTTCAATTAGCCTACTGTCCCCAAGTTTCTTCTATGTTGAAGCATGTCAGAATTTCCTTCCTTTTAAAGCTAAATAATAGTCCATTGTGTGTACACACACACACACACACACACACACACACGATTTTGCTTATCCATTCAATCTGTCCATGGATACTTGGATTCCATTGTGTGTACACACACATACACACACACACTAGATTTTGCTTATCCATTCAGCCTGTCCATGGATACTTGGATTCCATTGTGTGTACACACACACACACACACACACACACACACGATTTTGCTTATCTATTCAGTCTGTCCACAGATACTTGAGTTACTTCGATGTTTCAGCTATAGTAAATAATGCTGCTATGAACAAATATTTTTTGAGATCTTGTTTTCAATTATTTTGAGTATGTACCCAAAAGTGGAATTGCTGGATTGATCATATGGTAAATCTATTTTTGAAGGAACTGCCAAACTTTTCCATAGTAGCTGTACGTTTTACATTCCTATAAACAGTGCATGAGGTTCTATTTTCTCCATGTAATCACCAACATTTATTTTCTGCTTTTGTGATGGTAGCCATCCTAATAGTTATAAGGTGATACCTCACTGTGGTTTTTGTTTCTTAATTAAAAATCTTTATTTTTCAGAGAAGTTTTAGGTTTACAGCAAAATTATTTTTTTTTTTTTGAGATGGATCTCGCTCTGTCACCCATGCTGGGGTGCAGTGGCACGATCTTGGCTCACTGGAACCTCTGCCTCCCAGGTTCAAGTGATTCTCCTGCCTCAGCCTTCCGAGTAGCTGGGATTAGAGGCACGTGCCACCACACTCAGCTAATTTTTGAATTTTTAATAGAGATGGGATTTCACCATGTTGGCCAGGCTGGTCTTGAACTCCTGACCTCATGTGATCTGCCCACCTCGGCCTCCCAAAGTGCTGGGATTACAGGCATGAGCCACTGCACCCAGCCAGGTTTATAGCAAAATTAAGCAGAAAGTACAGAGTTCCCACATACCCCCTGCCCCCAACCATGCACAACCTACCCCTCTATTGACATCCCGCACCAGAGTGGTACATTTGTTACAGTTGATAAACCTACATCACACATCAGAATCACCCAAAATCCGTAGTTTACGTTAGGCCTCACTTTTCTATGGGTGGTTGTTGTGTTTTGTTTTGTTTTTTGAGACAGGGTCTTGCCGTGTTGCCCAGGCTGGAGTTCAGTGGTGTAAACATGGCTCACCACAGCCTTGACCTCCTGGGCTTAAGGGATCCTTCTGCCTTGGCCTCCCAAAGTGCTAGGATTGCAGATGTGAACCACCGCAATCGGCCTGGATTTTGACAGATGTATAATGACATGTGTCAACCATGTAGTATCTTGTAGAACAGTTTCACAGCCATAAAGCTCTTCTGTGCTCCACCTATTCATCCCTCCTTCCCCCTAACCCGTGGCAGCCGCTGATCTTTTTACTGTTTCCATAGTTTTGCCTTTTGTATAGTGTCATGTGTTTGGAACCATACAGTATGTAGCCTTTTCATATTGGCTTCTTTCACTTAGTAAAAAGCAAATAAGTTTCCTCCAAGTCTTTTCATGGCTTGATAGCTCATTTCAATCTTGATTATTATTAACATTTTATTAACATTATATGGATGTACCACTGTTTATTTATTCGCCTATTGAATAACTGTTGGTTAACTCCAAGTTTGGGCAATTATGAGTAAAGCTGCCATAAACATCTGTATGCAGGTTTTTACATGGATGTTTCAGTTCATTTGAGTGAATACCAAGGAAAGTGATATTTGGATGGTATGGTGAGAGTATGCTTAGTTTTTAGGAAATTGCCAAACTGTCTTCCAAAGTGGCCATACCATTTTGCATTACCACCAGCAATAAATGAGAGTTCCTGCTGCTCCATATCCTTGTCAGCATTTGGTGGTGTCATGGTGGATTATGGCCATTTTAATAGATGTGTAATGGTATCTCATTGTTTTAATTTGGTTCAACATCTTTTATTATGCTTTTTTTTTGCCATCTGTGTATCTTTTTTGGTGCAGTGTCTATTCAGATCTTTTGCTTATTTTTCCTTGGGTGGTTCATTTTCTTATTGTCGAGTTTTAAGAATTCTTTGTATGTTTTTGATAACAATCCCTTATCAGATGTGTCTTTTGCAGATATCTTTTCTCAATCATTGTCCTGTCTTTCAAAGAGCAGAAGTTTTTAATTTTAGTGAAGTTCAGCTTATCAATCATTTCTTTCATGAATTGTACCTTTTTGTTTTATCTAAGAAGTCATCATCGTACCTAAGGTCATCTAGGTTTCCTCCAATGTTATCTTCTAGGAGCTTTATAGTTTTGCAATGTGCATGTAGATCTGTTGTCTGTTTTGAGTTAGTTTTCATGAAGGGTGTAAAGTCTATGTCTAGATTTATTTTTTTGTATGTGGATCTCTAGTTGTTCCAGCACCGTTTGTTGAAAGGACAATTTTTGCTCCACTGTATTGCCTTTGCTCCTTTGTCAAATATCAGTTGACTATATATGTGAGTCTATTTCTGGGCTCTGTGTTTTGTTCCCTTGATCTGTTCGTGTCTTCTTTCACAAATACCACACTGTCTTGATTACAGTAACTTTATAGTAAGTCTTGAAGTGGGGTAGTGTCAGTCCTCTGACTTTGCTCTTCAGTATTGAGTTGGCTCTATACTGGGTTGTTTATATCTCCATATAAACTTCAGAATCACTTTATTGGTAACTTGCTAGGCTCATGATTGGGATTGTGCTGAATCTGTAGATCAAGTTGGGAAGAACTGGCATCTTGACAATATGGAACCTTCCTATATGTGGAATAACTTCATGTATTTATAAAGTTCTTTGATTACTTTCATTGAAGTTTTGTAGTTTTGCTCAGATAGATTTTTTACATAGTTAAATTTGTATCTAAGTGCCTCATTCCAGGAATTCAGGAATGTGTTGATATTAGAAATTCTATTAATATGATTTATCACATTGAGAAGTTTGAAAAAATCCATAATAGGCTGGGCACGGTGGCTCACGCCTGTAATCCCAGCACTTTGGGAGGCCCAGGTGGGTGGATCACGAGGTCAGGAGATCGAGACCATCCTGGCTAACACGGTGAAACCCTGTCTCTACTAGAAATACAAAAAATTAGCCGGGTGTGGTAGCGGGCGCCTGTAGTCCCAGCTACTCGGGAGGCTGAGGCAGGAGAATGGCGTGAACCTGGGAGGCGGAGCTTGCAGTGAGCCGAGATCGCGCCACTGCACTCCAGCCTGGGCGACAGAGCGAGACTCCGTCTCAAAAAAAAAAAAAAAAAAAAAAGACCATAATCAAGTAAAAATAGACGGATATTTCATTGAAATTTAAGATACCCACACCTCAAAACAAAAACTAGTATCACATACAATGATGAAGCCATAGAACAATTTCCTATTTCCATTAATGCCAGAAGCATGGTAAATATGCCTACTGCCTCTCTCATTACTTAACATTGTTGCAGAAATGTCAGCTAATACAATTGACTGAAAAATAATTCAAAGGAAAATGTAAAAATATCATTGTTTGTAGTTGATATCATTTTGAATACTTGAGAAATCCAAATAAACTACTAGAAACAATGAAATCATATTCATTGATGCATATTTAATATAATTTTTCTATATGCAAACAGAAAATATGAAGATTCTTGATACAACAGCAGCAAAAATAATATGCTTTAGAATAAACTCAAGAAAATATGCAGGATCTATATAAAGAAAACCGTACTTGCTAATGCATGTAAAAGAAGATTTAAAGAAATGGAAGGAACATGTATTGCTTTGGGATCTAAAGATTCAATCTTGAACAGATATAACTGTAAATAACATACGTTATTGAATAAAGCAATTTTAATAAAAATTTTAGTTTTTGAAACAAGCTGATTCTGAAATTCACATTGAAATTGATATATATGGATCAAAAATAAAACTTCTAGAAGAAAATATGGATTATTTTATTTTTAGTGCCTTTTTAAATGACAGATAAATCCAAAGACCTAAAGGAAATGAAAGATACATTTGCTAACATAAATATTTAGAAAATAACCATAATACAAAAAATACCACAAAGGTCAAAAATGAACTGAGAAAAATATTTACAATATGTTTACTTGATAAGGAGCTATGTTCTTTATATATGTGTGTGTTTGTGTGTGTGTGTATATATATATATATATATATATATACACACACACACATATACTTTAAGTTCTGGGGTACATGTGCAGCAAGTGGAGGTTTGTTACATAGGTATACATGTGCCATGGTGGTTTGCTGCACCCATCAACCTGTCATCTACATTAGGTATTTCTCCTAATGCTATCCCTCCCCTAGCCCCCCACCCCCAACAGGCCCCAGTGTGTGATGTTCCCCTCCCTGTGTCCATGTGTTCTCATTGTTCAACTGACACTTATGAGTGAGGACATACAGTGTTTGGTTTTCTGTTCCTGTGTTACTTTGCTGACAATGATGGTTTCCAGCTTCATCCATGTCCCTGCAAAGGACATGAACTCATCCTTTTTTTATAGCTGCATAGTATTCCATAATGTATATGTGCCACATTTTCTTTATCTGGTCTATCATTGATGGGCATTTGGGTTTGTTCCAAGTCTTTGCTATCGTGAATAGTGCTGCAATAAACATATGTGTGCATGTATCTTTATAGTAGAATGATTTATAATCCTTTGAGTATATACCCAGCAATGGGATTGCTGGGTCAAATGGTATTACTGGTTCCAGATCCTTGAGGAATCGTCACATTATCTTCCACAATAGTTGAACTAATTTACACTCTCACCAATAGTATAAAAGTGTTCCTGTTTCTCCACATCCTCTCCAGCATCTGTTGTTTCCTGACTTTTTAATGATCACCATTCTAACTGGTGTGAGATGGTATCTCATTGTGGTTTTGATTTGCATTTCTCTAATGACCAGTGATAATGAGCTTTTTTTTTCATATGTTTGTTGGCCACATAAATGTCTTCTTTTGAGAAGTGTCTGTTCGTATCCTTCGCCCACTTTTTGATGGGGTTGTTTGTTTTTTTCTTGTAAATTTGTTTAAGTCCCTTGTATATTCTGGATATTGGGGCTATGTTCTGTAATATATGAAGAGAGCTGTTAAGGAAAATAATGAAAGCCCAATAGACAGATGGGCAGTTGGAATAAGCAGTTCACACATACACACAAGACAACATAACCAGCAAATAGAATAAAAGGTGCTGTGTCTCATCTACTATTAAAAGAATGGAAAAGTGAAACAATGAGGTAACATTTTTTCCCCACTGGATTGGCAGATATTTAAAAGAATAATACAGTGTTGCCAGAATATATATCCATAGGAACTCTCCTGCCCAGTTGGTGGGAAAGGGAATTGGCACAATCTTTTTGTAGGCCAATTTGTCAATATTTGTATTGAATTTAAAAATGTGGATATCCTTGATCCATCAGTTTCACTTCTAGTAATTTATTCATAAATGTACTGACATGTACATAAGGTATACACATAAGGATGTCTATCATAGCAGTGTTTTTATTAGGAAGATCCAAACAAAACAAAATAGAAGTGGAAAGCTCTTAAGTGTTTTGCAGTATTCGGAGGACTAGTTAAATTAGGGTACATCTGTGGAATAGAATACTTTTTCCAGTTCTTAAGCAGAATGTATTAGATTGGCTTGCATGCATATGGAAAGCTCTTTGAAACATATTACGAATAAAAGCAAGAAATAGTATAGCTTGTGGGGTAAGTGTCCGTTTGTGTTTTAACAAAATATATAAACTAGAATTTATACATGTTGTCTGGAAGGATGCACAGGAAACTGTTGATGGTTATCTCTGGGAGCTTGAAGTGTGGGATGGATAATGGGCTGTTTTAATCTTATAGTCCCTTTTGAACAGTTTGAATTCTGTTTATTATGGGCATGTACAATTTTCACAATAAAAAACAAAGGTTTTTTGTTTTATGTGCATTACTTATATTTTTTTCTTGGATTTTTTCCAGATTTCTCTTGCACTTTGTTTTGTTGTGATGTTTGGGAACTCAATGTTATTATTATGCTGCTTCTTTGGTAATTATTTGGGTAAATATTCCTTACTTATTTGGCTGTTTTTGAAATTAATGGTTTAACAATTTCTTCTTCACTGGCTTAGGATTCATGAGGGTTTTCTGTAGGAACCATCTTAAGTGTCTTACTTAATATTCTAGATGTGATGGTGTTTAAGTACTCACTTTTAAAACAGGAAAAAAAAAACAATGAAAAATTAGTATCATTTCAGAAAGATTTATATGCTTTCTTCTCCCTTCCTCCTTTCCATTTTTATCCTACTCCTGCTCCACTTTTTGAACCCCTTTCCTCAAACTGCAGTCTTACAACAGCCTCCCCTCTTCATTCCACAGTGATCAGAAGATCAAGGCCTTGGTTACTTAGGGTTTTTGTTTTGTTTTGTTTTGTTTTGTTTTTTGCCCCTTGTCTACTTGTATGGACTTATTCAGAAGGTTTAAGTAAGGTGATGATTCAATTTTATATTGCTAAATCACTACCAAGAACAGCTTTAGCTTATGGAGAGATTATTTTACAGAATTAGAACAAATTGATGGAAGGTCATCTAATTCCTTCTGCTACATTTGGCAGGATGACTTTTTTTTGTTGTTGTTGTTGTTGTGTTTTTTTTTTTTTTTTTTAAAGATGGAGTTTCGCTCTCATTGCCTACACTGGAGTGCAATGGCGCAATCTCGGCTCACTCTGCCTCCCAGGTTCAAGTGACTCTCCTGCCTCAGCCTTCTGAGTAGCTGGGATTACAAGCATATGCCACCATGCCCGGCTAATTTTGTATTATTAGTAGAGACGGGGTTTTTCCATGTTGGTCAGGCTGGTCTCGAACTCGCGGCCTCAGGTGATCTGCCTACCTTGGCCTCCCAAAGTGCTGGGATTACAGGTGTGAGCCACTGCGCCCAGCTGGCAGGATGACTTTGTAAGTCTAAAAGTCTTCTGAAATTTAAAGACTGCCTTTTTTTTTGGTGGGTTTCCATTAAAATGTTTTGCAAACTTGTTATTCCTTATGTTTAAAGTGCATGTGCTTTAGTTTCCCGATGACTTTAAAAGCACATTGCACTGTCGTAATTGGAATGTATTCTACTTCTTGAGTAATTAAGTTACTCAGATCATTTGGGGTTTCTTAATTTCTAGAAGCCATTACATTTGAAACCTCCATTTTTATTATTTTACAAATAATATTTATTTAAAAACGCATTTCTTAAAAATATGCCTCTTCCCAGTCTGGGCCACCACCCTTTTCAGGTTGTACCTTGGGTATACTTAGCTACAGAAATTAGCAATTAGCATGATGCTGTATTTTTCAGCAACAACAACAAGAAAAATCATAACTTCGGGATTAATAAGTGTAGTTCTTCAGTTCTGTGTCAAAGTGACAAAGTACTCAGTTGTATATATTACATATGTACTTTGTCATGTACTGCTATCACCCAGGATAAAGTACATGAATCTTGGTACTATGGACAAGGAAACCACTGAATCAAATATTACATATAAATAAAATCTAATTTAAGTGCCTTTTGTAGGAAATTTCTCTTCAGTTCTGTATGTCAGGTATGCTGCCAGATGCTTCACACTGAGGTGCGTCTTAGATATGAATTAAGCATATTTATGTATATTCCATATATTTTGGTGTATAAAAATAAATGATAACAGGGAGTACAGCATGTTTGTGCATATTTAACTATAAACATATTTGCATATATTTATAATTAATCACTTTGAAACCTGAATTGTATCACATTTTGTATTCTCAGTTATTCAGAAACTTCCAAAAAGATTTAATTTGGTTTCAAGTATTTATGTTGTGATCTCTAATCATATTTTTGCGATGTTTGAAGTAGTTTTAGCTCCCCAAGGGTAATACAGTTTGGGAGCGTTACTACCTGAAAATACTTAAGATTTGACAAGAGAAGTATTTAGTTGATCCATTAACATTTCATTTGTTGTTTACCCTAAGAGTCAGTAATTTTTAGCTAAAGGAAAATCTTATGCCTGTATGCAATTCTGAAAATGTTATATACCTCATGGCTCAGAGATAAATCAGATATGTCAAATCAGTGATAGACATTTACATATGGTGATTCCTTTTTCAACTTTAAAAAGTCACGCTTTCACCTAATTGACTTTGGATAATAGGGCTATACCTTGAAGTCACTGACTATAGACATGAGCATGTGGATGGTATGTGGAAAGTTGACTGTTTGCTCAATTTTAGATACTTGAGAATCTTATCATTTAGAAGAATTTTTTGGTACTTGAATTTATGTCTGTAAGTATTAACTGTGTATACTATGTTATTTTTCTCTACTCAGGGTATTCTGGCAATGAAACCACATTTCCTGAAAATAAATGTATCTGAACTTAGTTTATGGGTGAGAATCAATCTATTTTAATGCTTATGTTTTTTCTTCTCTAAAATATATCATTGGTTTTATGTTTTACTTTTAAGAAAATGATCTATGTAACTCAGGGGATCCAACAGTTTTATAGTATTTTAGGGCTCAGTTTTAATGTACCAAATTGCCCTTTTTATGAAACAAGTTAAAGTTAATCCTGGGTATGTAGTTTAAAAATTCCAGTTTTATTTATTACTCATGTTTCATCTGAGAAACAGTGCATGTATAAGAAACTGTTAAAGGGAATTTAACTGCAGTGGTTGTGTAAATCTTCTATAAAATATATTAATTTTGATAAGATTGTATGATTATATTTTTATTTTTAGTTACTGTCCCTTGATTTTGAGCAACATGCTTGATTTTAAATTGAGATGCATTTTCTAGCATTTTCTCTTGTAGATAGTAATATGTATTTCATGTATGATTAAAGCATTTATTTTTTTCTTCCTAGCCTATGTCTGTGGAATATGAAGCATCAAAGTTATTTTTGTTTTCTTTTTTTAGGTTATTCAAGGATGTTTTTGGTTATTTGGAACTGTCATACTTAAATACTTGACATCTAAAATTTTTGGTATTGCAGATGACGTAAGTGCATTTTTTGCTTAAACTTGAAAGACTTGAAAAGAATCTAATAAGCTAAGAATAAATTGAGTTATTCAAGTATCACTATTAAATGAAATTCTAGGATGAAGTCTGTTCACCTATTATTTTATGTATTTAATATAATAGAAAGTAAATGTAATTGTATATAGATTTTTGTTCTCCAAAATTAGTTTCTTAAAACAATCTCTTATTTTATTGGTCCTTCTATATCACTAAAATTTTAAAATTTTAAAGCAGGAAAACTCTAGAGATTAAAGATCGAATTTTAAGGTCTATACAGTCGTTTTTCTCTAGCTTCTTTGTAACTGGTAAAGACACCATCTTTAGAGCCTTAACTGGAGATCGTATTATAGTCTCATTCTTTTTTCTCCCCAGTTTTCAAGTCATTACTTGTAAAAGGCTTTTATAAGCCTTTATAGATTATTTAATCTAAGTTAGTCTTATTTAAAGAAGATTTTTGTTTTTGGTATTAGAGTAGAAGGGAAGATAAAATGGAGAAGTCTGTCTTATAATTTTAAGGATTCTCCCTGTCCATAATTGCTTTGCCTATTTTATTTTGGTGTTTTAATCAGCACATCCTAAGTCAGGAGGCTATCAAAGATTTAATTTAAAAAAGCAGCACAAGAACCAACATGGAAAAAATAAACTACCTTTTTTCCTATAATTTATTTTTATTGGTGATTTTCTTCTTTCTGTACTAGATTAATGCTATGGTTTTGAAACTGGGTTATGTGAAGTCCTACGACTTCCCAGGACTCTTCCCTGAGGGCTGTCTACTCCCCTGTCTCCTAGCCTCTCTTTTACCCAGGGCAGTTTAACCTTAATCTCTTTCATATAGGTTTTAATAAGAACAAGGGTTGTTTTTGCTTAAAAGATTGAAAACACATGGACCATTAAATGGGTGGTCTACAATCTGTGGAAAGATTTTTAAAACTTTAAAACTATAGTTGAAAATGTATTCATTCATTCATTCATTCAGTACGTCCTGTGTGTCTGATAGTAGAAAGTATCCTAGAGATAGAAAACTGATTAAGGTATGGTCTAGCGGAAAATTCGGAAAATAGAAACAATTCTTAGCAGTTATAATACAGTGTAATAAAGGCTATGATAAAAAATGAAGTACAGAGTGCTGCAGGAATACACAGGAGGAGCATCAGGGAAGGATCCTGGAAGTCAGCTCTGAGGATGAGAGCTGAAAGGTGGGTGAGTCAGCCAGTATGCAGAGTGCGAGCAGGAAGACAAGTGAAATAACCCTAGTCCTGCATTTATGGAATCTGTTTTATTCACTGGGGAACATGAACCAGTTAAGGTATTAATTCAGGTTAAAGCGATTATTGTCATTTTCTGTCATAGCCTAAAATTATGCCAGGGCCAAAAAATGCTATAAGCTATGTTATTTGCAAATTAGAAATAACTTAGTTGTAACTTTAGTATTTTTAGAAATACGTAACTTTGATCAAGGGCATTGGCTCATAAATTCTTAATTTTGACATTGGTTAAAGGAAGAGAGTGGCAAGGCTACCCAGCCTTTCATTTCCTACTGAGTTCTCTACTTTTACTGATAGTGCCTCTGAGTGTAGGTTTTTAGCTGTCTGCCCCAAATCAGGTCAGCCTGCTCCAGTAGTAAAGGTTATTTTTATGACTAGTCATACTCCATCCTGCCCCCTTCAAAAGAACTATTTCACTAACAGTATGGGGGAGATGGGGGTGGTGCCGAGGTGGATGGGAGCAAACTAGGTAAAAATGCCACAGACTCCCACTGTTTTTACCCAGAGTTTCTCAGTTTTTTATGAATCAATGCTTCCCACGTTGTTGCTTCCTTTTGGTTAATTTCTAGAACCCTATATGAGTGTTTTTTTAAATAATTTTGTCCAACTTTAAAGTTGTTTTGGAGAATGGGAGATACCAGTTTCTTAACTCGGCCATATTTGGAAGTCGACACATTTTTTGATATATGAGTGTTGATCTAGCTTGTATCCTGGGATAAACCTCACCTGCTCAAATGTAGTATTTCTTTTCTATATTGCTGTATTTGGTTGGCTAATATTTTTAAGGATTTTCGTCTATTATTCATGAGGAATATTTGTTGTAGTTTTCTTTTCTCGTAATGATTTTGTCTGGTTTTGGTTTCAGGGTAATGTCATCTCCTAAAATTATTTGCAAGTGTTCTGTCTCCTGTTTTCAGAGAGATTTTTGTGTAGAATTGGTATTATCTCTTCCTTAAGTGTTTGGTAGAATTTGGCAGTGAAGCCCTCACGGCCTGGAGCTTTCTTTGTGGGTAGGTTTTTTATTACAAATTCAATTTCATTAGGAAGCTCTCCAGTTCATCTGGAGTGAACTTTGGTAGTTTATGTCCTTAGAGGAATTTTGCCCATTTTATATATGTCATCAAATGGATAATGCCTTTTGAATTTAGTCAGTTAAAATTCTTACTGGAATTTTTGTGTATATGCGTATTTGCGAAGTGATCTTTTGTTCTTTGGTTGACGTCTCCTTATTTGGATTTGGAATTAATATTGGTCTCCTATTAAGAGCTGTTGTGTCTGTTTGTTTTTGGTGTTCTTTTTTTTTTTATTTTTCCTACTTCCTGGCAACTTGGAAAAGATTTTTTTAAAAGTTTAATAACTCATCCATGTTAACCATCTCATTCTAGGGCTTTTTGGGAGGGAAAATACTTGATTTCTATTTCAGATATTTGAATGCTTTTTGTTCTATTCAAGTTTTCTATTTCTTTTTGTGCCAGTTTTGGTGTTTTATGATTTTCCAGAAATGTATCCATTTTACCTAGGTTTTACAATTTATTAGCAAATTGTGTAGCCTACTCTTCTTATTTTAATTATGTTGAGTCCATAGTTATTTCTCCCTTTTTCATTTGCTTTTTGTTTGCATCTTTTATTTCCTTCATTAGACTTGCTCTAGAGGTCTATTGTTTTAATATTTTTAAAGTTATACCTTTTTTTAGTCCTCTTTGGTTTTATTGTGTTTCTCTTTGTCACCAATTCCTGTCCTTATTCTCACTTCTTTTTGTTTCCTCTCTTCTGATACCCAAGGGAAATGCTTAGCTCTGTTGTTTTCACCTCTCTTATTTTCTGATCAATGCTTTTAAAGCTAAATTTTTCTTAGAAGTATATAGTACTTTTTAATGTATCTTACAAATTGTCTATTTGTGATTTTTTTAAAGGTTAAGTTTTATGATATTTAATTTCTAATCAAAATAATTTTTAAAGCAATTTCTAGTTATTTTCTGGGCGACAGAGTGAGACTGTGTCTCAAAAAAAAAAAAAAAAGTTAATGCTTAATTTTCCCCTTGAATCAAGTGGGCAAATAGAATGAATATGGTGGAAATGACAGTGTATGACTTCCAAGAGTAGGTCACAGGAGGCACTGCTTTCTCCTTGCTTTCTCTCTGAGATCTCTTTCTCTAGGAGAAGCCAGCTGTCATGTCATGATGACAGTCAAGTAGCCCTATGGAAAGTTCCATGTGATAAGGAACTGAGGCCTTCTCAGTTCTAGCACTAACTTGCCAGGCATGTGAATGAATCATCTTGGAAGTAGATTCTCCAGCCCTGGGCAAGCCTTCAGATGACTGCAGCTTCTGGCTGGCGCTTAAATGCAACCTCATTAGAGACCCTGAGCCAGAACCACCCAGCCAAGCCACTGCCAAATTCCTGACCCATAGGAACTGTCTGAGTTCATAAGTATCTGTTGTTTTAGGCTACTAAGATTTGGCATAATAGCAGTGGGTAACTAATTACAGATGCTGAATCTAGGGGAAATTTTGATGATAAGCAGGATATTTCTTGATCTCAAAGTGTTGTCCCACAGACTGTTAATTATCTCTAAGAAGGAAAAAAACAGTAATTGTACAGGGATGAATCAGGCAACAACCTTAACTGGTGATCAGTATTGACACTGGCCATCATATGCCTCCAGATGTGATACCCTGAAAAGGACACAATATCACCTAGTCAGTATACTGACTAGAGTCACCTTGTCAAGATGTGCACATCTTGAATCTAATCATAAGGAAACAGCAGACAGCCTCCACACAAGGAACATCTTAAAAGAAGAAAGAGGAATTTATTTTTCCAAAAAGTCTATGTCATAAAGGACAAAGGTTCTGGAAATTTTCTTTTTTTTTTTTTTTGTTTTTGTTTTTGTTTTTGTTTTTTGAGACAGAGTCTCACTGTGTCGCCCAGGCTGGAGTGCAGTGGTGCAATCTCGGCTCACTGCAACCTCCGCCTCCCGGGTTCACGCCATTCTCCTCCCTCAGCCTCCTGAGTAGCTGGGACTACAGGCACCCGCCACCACACCCAGCTAATTTTTTTGTGTTTTTAGTAGAGACGGGGTTTCACCATGTTAGCCAGGATGGTCTTGATCTCCTGACCTCGTTATCTGCCCGTCTCGGCCTCCCAAAGTGCTGGGATTACAGGCATGAGCCACTGTGCCAGGCCGAAATTTTCTTAATTAAAAGAGACTGACAGGCTGGGTGCAGTGGCTCATGCCTGTAATTCTAGCACTTTTGGAGGCCGAGGCTGGTGGACCACCTAAAGTCAGGAGTTCAAGACCAGCCTGGCCAACATGGCGAAACCCTGTCTCTACAAAAAAATACAAAAATTAGCTGGGCATGGTGGCACGCACCTGTAATCCCAGCTACTTGGGAGGCTGAGGCAGAAGAATTGCTTGACCTGGGAGGTGGAGGTTGCAGTGAGCCAAGATCACGCCACTGCACTCCAGCCTGGGCAACAGAGTGAGACTCTGTCTCAAAAATAAAATAAAATAAAATAAAAATAAATAAAATAAATAAAAAAATAATAAAATCTGACAATTGAATGCAATACCTGACCTAAAACTGGATCCTCTAATGGAGGGAAAAGAAATACTGTCAAGAACATTATTGGGGTCGGGCACAGTGGCTCCCATCTGTGATCCCAGCACTTTGAGAGGCCAAGGTGGATGGATTGCTTGAGTCCAAGAGTTCAAGACCAGCCTGGGCAACATGGCAAAACCCCATCTCTATAGAAAAAAAAAATTATTGGGTCAAGTCACAAAATTGGAATACAAATGGTAGAGAAAATAAAATGATTGAATTAGTTTACATTTACTGAATTTGATAACTGTACCATGGTACATAAGAGAATGTCATTTTCTTGGGAAATACACATTAAGTATTTAGGAGTAAAAGATGATGATGTTTATAATGTAGCCTCAAATAGTTCAGAAAAAAAGTGTGTGTGAGTGTGTGTTTGTGCAGGGGGAGATAGCGTGTACAAATAAGCAGTACAAATGTTAACAGGTGAATCTGGGTAAATGGTAATGGGTGTTCTTTTTATTATTTCCATCTTTGCAACTTATTTGTAAATTTGAAATTATTTCCAAATAAAAAGTTAAAAAAAATACAGCAAAAAAAGTTATATGAGATGGAAGAAAATAAGTGTGGGTAAATATGAAACAAGATCGGCCATACATTGATAATTATTGACACTGAGTGGTTTACTGTAGTATAAAAAGAAGTTTATTATGCTCTTTGACTACTATTGAATATATTTGAAATTTTTCATAATAGAAGAAGGTAAACAATAATGAGGGCATCTGAATTTGAAGATCGCTAATTGTATTTCCCAGCTCTAAAGCTCTATGGCCATTTGAGTGTGATGAATTATGTATGTTAGGTATGATCCTATTTTTTTTTTTTTTTGAGACAAGGTCTTGCTATGTTGCCCAGGCTGGCTTTGAACTCCTGACCTCAAGCAGCCCTCCTGCCTTGGAGGCCTTTTGAATAGCTGGGACTACAGGCTTACACCACTGTGCCCAGTGGTTAGCACATTTCCTGGCACATAGTATAGTAATTGTTCAATATATGTTAGTAATAACTTATTATTGGATGAGTGAATGAAACAAAAAGATTAATTTTCACTGATGGTTAGAAGATGGAGCATTATCGGTAAGGAATTTGACCTGCATAACTACTCTCATTATTGTCATGAGGTGTTACAAGAGGTTCACAGAGGGGGGTACGGAAAGAACAACCTCTTTATAATTTTTTGGGTGGACTCCTATGTATTGAGTAATATATATTTCTCTCTTTTTTTTTTTGAGACGGAGTCTCACTCTGTTGCCCAGGCTGGAGTGCAGTGGCGCGATCTTGGCTCACTGCAAGCTCCGCCTCCCGGGTTCACACCATTCTCCTGCCTCAGCCTCCTGAGTAGCTGGGACTACAGGCATCTGCCACCACACCCAGCTAATTTTTTTGTGTTTTTAGTAGAGACGGGGTTTCACCGTGTTAGCCAGGATGGTCTCGATCTCTTGACCTCGTTTTCTGCCCGCCTCGGCCTCCCAAAGTGCTGGGATTACAGGCATGAGCCACCGCGCCTGGCCTATATTTCTCTTTTTTAAACAGAATGTAACAGAGTCATTTTTTTACCAGAAATTAACACATACAGAGAATAACATATAATATCCCAGGAAAAGTAGAAGACATTTCTCTGTTGTAAGCAGAATGTAACAGAGTCATTTTTTTACCAGAAATTAACACATGTAGAGAATAACATATAATATCCACAGGAAAAGTAGAAGACATAAAATTAGAACCTTTCCCATTGTTAAACAAAGGCTCTGTGGAATCAAACCTGAATTTTTTAAGAAAAAATTGTGGTAGGCCGGGCACAATGGCTGGTGCCTATAATCTTAGCACTTTGGGAGGCTGAGGTGGGAGGATCATTTGAACCCAGGAGTTCAAGACCAGCCTGGGCAACACAGTGACACCTCATCTCTCCAAAAAAAAAAAAAAAAAAAGTATGGAGGTGCCGGCCTGTGGTCCCATCTACTGGGGAGGCTGAGGCAAGAGGACTGCTTGAGCCCCAGAGGTCAAGGCTGCAGTGAGCCATGATCACACTGCTGCACTTCAGCCTAGGCAACAGAGTGAGACCTTGTCTCAAAAAAGAAAAAATTGTGGTAAAATACACATAACATAAAATTTACAATCTTAACCATTTTAAAGCGTACGATTTGTTGATATTAGTACCTCCACAGTGTTGTGTAACCATCACCACGATCCATTTCCAGAACTTTTTTATCTTCCCAGCTGGAAATTCTGTACCCATTAAACACTAACTTCCCATTCTGGCTCCCTCTACCTCCTGGTAACCAGCATTCTATTTTCTGTCTCTGAGAATTTGACTACTCTGGTTGCCACATAGGAGTGGAATTGAGGTAGGAGGCAGGACTCGACTCCAGAGACAGGGCTCATGCTCCAGACCAGATTGAAGACTAGCTGAAACAGGGAAGAGGCGAAAGCACCTTTCCATAAGACAGACCCATTGTCAGCTTACCATTGCCATGAAAACACCTGGAAGTTACCACCCATTTCCATGGCATGAGCCAATGACCCAGAAGTTAATCTATTTCTAGAAATTTCTGCATAATCTGCCCCTTAATTTGCGTATAATTAAAAGTGGGTATGAATATGACTGCAGACCTGCCTCTGAGCTGTTACTCTGGGCACACAGCCTATGGGGGTAGCCCCGCCCCACAAGGAGCAGTGCCTCTGCTACTGCTGCTGTGCACTGCCACTTCAATAAAAGTTGCTGACACCGCCAGCTCACCCTTGAATTCTCTCTTGGGCAAAGCCAAGAACCTTAGTCCTGGGGCAAGCCCCAATTTTGGGGCTCACCTGCTCTACATCAGAATCAGATATAATAGTGTTTGTCTTTTTGTGACTTGCTTATTTCATGAAATACGTCTTCAAGCTTCATTGATGTTGTAGCATGGGTCAGAATTTCCCTCTCATATGGATACACCACATCGTGTTTATCCATTCATTTGTCAATGGCTGCTTAGGTTATTTCCATCCTTTGGCTTCTATGGAAAATGCTTCTGTGAACGTGGGTGTACAGATCTCTCTTCAAGCCCCCGCTTTCAATTTCAAGCCTGGATTTTTACATATGTTGGAGAAAGAAAGTTATGTTTTAAGTTCCTCTTCCCATCTAGCATTTAGGGGTTTTTTGTTTGTTTGTTTTTTGAGACAGTCTTGCTGTGTCACCCAGGCTGGAGTACAGTGGCATGATCTCGGCTCACTGCAACCTCTGCCTCCCGGGTTCAAACAATTTTTCTGCCTCAGCCTCCCGAGTACCTGGGACTACAGGCGCACGCCACTACAGCCAGCTAATTTTTATATTTTAGTAGAGACGGGGTTTCGCCATGTTGGCCAGGCTGGTCTTGAACTCCTGACCTCAGGTGATCCGCCCGTCTAGGCCTACCAAAGTGCTGGGATTACAGGCATGAGCCACCACACCTGGCCAGATTTCGTTTTTATTTGATGTTTTAATTGGCTTTTAAGGGGATAGTGATTATGCTTTTCTTGGTAAAATACCAACATGAATAGTCTTGACCTGTTTGTAATAGCCAAGCTTCAGTTTAGTTTCCAATGTGTTCCTTCATGTGCAATGCTCCTCACATGACTATTTGTAAGTAATTTCTGCTGGAGGGAGTTGATAATAGAAACCTTGTTTTTGGTTTTGGATGTTGGGTGAACACAGAGAAAACACACTGAGGTTGGTCAAGTTCATGAGAAAGGGCACATGAGCCCAGATTCTCTTCAGTAACAAAGTCCTCTTCTTTGAGGGCTGAGACCTGTTATTTTCTCAAGTGAGCCCAGCTTTGCTCATGCTCACATTTGATTTTCCCCATGCACTCCAGCACGATAGCGCTTCTTGTCTCTTTGTTAAAGGGTTATATAATTATGCAGATCAACGTTGTGGGTCTTTTTCCCCTTGGACAGTACTTTCTGGAACTGCTAGATTTCCAGATGAGTGCTGTTTATTCTGGATCAGACTTAATTTGGTCAGCTGAATTCTCTTGGGTATGAAGAGTTTTTCTTACCCTTGGCCTAGTTTTTGTGGTTCTAAATATCTTTTTACAGTTTCAACAAGTACTCTGTAAAACAGGAATAGTTGAAAGCACTGCTTTCTTTTGCCTTCTTAGTTCCTGTGCTGTTTAATGATCTCAGTATGTCAGTTACATTGCCTTCTTTGAAAGCCATAACAACTGAGCCCTGCATTGCAAAGGAATGCTTTGTTATTCTCACCATATTCATCGAGTGCCCACTACATGCCAGGCTCCTCTCAGCTTGTTACAAAACCAGATGGTTACCCCAGTGCATTCAGGAAGGTGATGGAGATATATTCAGGGCCCAGTGGGAAAAAAAAAGGCACTGGTCTAGCTGAGATGGCCCAGGAAGCTCCGCGCTGCTTTTACCCACACACAGCATCTTCTCTACCTTTTATTGCACTTGGATTCTAAGCTCCCGCCCTCCCAAAGAGTAACAACTTAAAAGCAGAAGAAAATCACTGTAGTAAATCACCCTAATAAATCAACTCATTTCCCGTGTTCTCACAGTTCTTGTGGAAAAAATGGAGAAAAAATACAGGAAGAAGAGAGAAGAAATGAAGATGGAAGCGAGTTCGACTCCTATTCTCCTGGGTGCCTCGTCCCTTTGCCTAATTTTGTATTCTGCATTTTCCTCTTTTCCACCTTCCCCCAGCGTTCACAATGATTGGTTTGTTTTTAATTTTTATTTATTTATTTATTTATTTATTTATTTATTTATTGAGACTGTTTCGCTCTTGCTGCCCAGGCTGGGGTGCAATACTGCAATCTTGGCTCACTGCAACCTCCACCTCCTGGTTCAAGCGATTCTCCTGCCTCTAGCTGGGATTACAGGCATGCGCCACCACGCCCAGTTAACTTTTTGTATCTAGTAGAGTTGGGGTTTCACCATGTTGGTCAGGCTGGTCTCGAACTCCTGACCTTAGGTGATCCACCTGACTCGGCCTCCCAAAGTGCTGGGATTACAGGCGTGAGCCACCACACCCGGCCAGCCACCACATCGGCCTTTTTTTTTTTTTTTTTTTTGAATAGAGATGGAGTCTCAGGCTGGTCTCAAACTCCTGGGCTCCAGTGATTCACCTGCCATGGCCCCCCAGAGTGCTGAGATTACAGGTGTGAGCGAGATAGTCTCACTCTGTCCCCCAGGCTGGAGTGCAGTGGTGCCATCTAAGCTCACTGCAACCTCTGCCTCTCTGGTTCAAGCAATTCTCCTGCCTCAGCCTCCTGAGTAGCTGGGATTACAGGCGGCCACAACCACGCCTGGCTAATTTTTATGTTTTTAGGAGAGACAGGGTTTCACCATGTTGGCCAGGCTGTTCTCAAACTCCTGACCTCAGGTAGATCCACCCACCTCGGCCTCCCAAAGTGCTGGAATTACAGGTGTGAGCCCCTGCACCCAGCCTCACATTGCTTGTTTTATTAGTTGTCCAACATCACACTGAGTATCACACTTAGTATTATGCTTCAGTGTGTAACTCAGTTCTCTGTTGGTTCCCAGTTTTCACTATTATGTAAAATGCTGTGACAGAGAACTTCATGCTTATAACTTTTCTTTTTCCTTTTGGATTATTTCTTTAATATAAGAATGGAATGCTGGTCAGGCTTAGGATGGGAGTCAATCCATTTTAAATGAATTATGATCTCCTTATTAAGCTACAGGGGCATAAAAACATTCAATCCTGCTGTATTGACCATGCTTCTCAAAAGCACACCTTGTTCAAAGCAATGAAACAAGTGTTAGTTTAATATTCAGATACACTCATAAAAGAACTCGGTTGAAGCAGGAGAGCCAGCTACAGTGCTAGAAACCCTGAGTCACAGAGCCCTCAATGAGGGAGCCTGGACCGCCACGTGCTGGGGGAGTGCCCCCTTGCTGCCATACTCCTCATTTTATCAGGGCAGGACTTCGTTTGATCAAAGAGTCTCCCATCTAAAGAAATATTTGGAAACCAGGAGCCCATTTCCTTTATTTTATTCAGGACATAGGCTCAGCAAGGTCTCTTTTTAAATGCAGCCAAGATCCACAACAATCCAGGACTGCATTCTGCCTTCAGGTTTTGGGGTGCTCTGGACACAGAATTCCTCTCCTAGTAAATGAGGGGAACGGAAGGAGTGAGGGCCTGGGAGGCCAAGGGAGGAGGTTCACCAGGGAGGAGTCAGGCCTGTTTCTCCTCATTTCTTCTCTTCCTCATTCCTAGCTTCTTCCACACGTCTGTGAGGACAGATCTTTCTAAAACAGCACATCTCGAGGCCAGGCATGGTGGCTCATGCCTGTAATCCCACCACTTTGGGAGGCCAAGGTGGGCGGATCACCTGAGGTCAGGAGTTTGAGACCAGCCTGACAAACATGGTGAAACCCTGTCTCTACTAAAAATACAAAAAAAAAAAAAAAAAAAAAAAAAAATTGGCCAGGCATGGTGTCGCGTGCCTGTAATCCCAGCTACTTGGGAGGCTGAGGCACAAGAATCACTTGAACCTGGGAGGCGGAGGTTGCAGTGAGCAGAGATCGCCCCTCTGCACTCCAGCCTGGGCGACAGAGCAAAGCTCTGTCTCAAAAATAAATAAATAAATAAATAAACAAAACAGCACATCTCCTATGTCGCTCTCCTGGTGACAGCCCTTCACTGCCTCCACTGCTCACCAGGCACCTACAGCGTCCTGGCCACACAGCTCCTCCTCACCTCCACTAGCCCCTCACACCTCCCCCTGCAGGAAGCCTCCTGGCACAGGGATTTCACCCTCTGTTCCTTCCTCTCTGTTGTCCCTCTACCTGGAGCTCCCATCCTGGTCTCACTCGACTTTGCCCTTCACGAGAATGTTTCGCGAGAATCCCAAGGGTATCCTTCCCACGCCCATGGCCGTGGTGTTCCTAAGGCTTCTGGAAGGTAGGACCCTGTCTGCTTTCCTCGGTTTCTCCAGCAGCCTGGGGCCAGGAGAAGGGCAGCACTACGAGAAAGAAGGGGAATGGGAAAGCCATTTGCTTCCTTAAAGATGGCGGGAAGCTGTTTGAATTATATCGGTCAGCCATCACCGGAGGGGGCAGATTTGTGAGTTTTTCCCCAAAGAGAGCTTTCTTTTTTCTTTTTTTTTTTGTTTTTCAACTTTTATTTTCAGCTCAGGAGGTACATGCGCAGGTTTGTAACATGGGTAAAGTGCGTGTCACTGGGGTTTGATGTACAAATGGTTTCGTTACCGGGGTAGTGAGCATACTACCTGATACGAAGTTTGTTGATGCTCACTCTCCTCCCAGCCTCCACCCTCAAGTAGGCCCGGTGTCTGTTATTCCCCTCTGTGTCCATGGGGACTTCATTTATAAAGTGAGATAAATAAGAACGTGTGGTGGCCATGGTGGTGGCTCACGCCTGTAGTCCCAGCACTTTGGGAGGCCGAGGCAGGTGGATTACGAGGTCAGGAGTTCGAGACCAGCCAGACCAACATGGTGAAACCCCGTCTCTACTAAAACAAAAATTAGCTGGGTGTGGTGGCGCATGCCTGTAATCCCAGCTACTCAAGAGGCTGAGTCAGGAGAATCGCTTGAACCTGGGAGATGGAGGTTGCAGTGAGCCCAGATCTCATCACTGCACTCCAGCCTGGGTGACAGAGTAAGACCCTGTCTCAAAAAAAAAAGAAAACAAAAAACAGAACACGTGGTATTTGGTTTTTTGTTCCTGTGTTAATTTGCTTAGGATAATGGCCTCCAGCTCTGTCCATGTTGCTGCAAAGAACATGATTTCATTCTTTTTTTGGCTGCATAGTATGCCATGGTGTATATGGACCACGTTTTCTTTATCCAGTCTACCACTGATGGGCATCTAGGTTGATTCCATGTCTTTGCTATTGTGAACAGTGCTGCAGTGGACATATATGTGCATGTGTGTTTTTGGTAGAATGATTTATATTCCTTTGGGTATATACCCATTAATGGGATTGCTAAATTGAATGGTAGTTTTTTTTAAGTTCTTTTAGAAATCTCCAAACTGCTTTCCACAGTGGCCAAACTAGTTTACATTCCCACCAACAGCGTATAAGCATTCCCTTTTCTTTGCAACCTCACTAACATTGGTTATTTTCTGACTTTTTAGGATTAGCCATCTGACTAGTGTGAGATGTTATCTCATTGTTTTGATTTGCATTTCTCTAATGATTAGTGATCTAGAGCATTTTTTCATATGCTTGTTGGCCACATGTGTGTCTTCTTTTGAGAAGTGTCTGTTCATGTCTTTTGCCGATTTTTTTTTTCTTGAGATAGAGTCTTGCTCTGTCACCCAGACTGGAGTGCAGTAGTACGATCTCAGCTCAGTGCAACCTCTGCCTCTTGGGTTCAAGTGATTCTTCCTGTCTCAGCCTCCCAAGTAGCTGAGATTACAGGCACCCGCTACTACGCCTGGCTAATTTTTGTATTTTTAGAAGAGACAGGGTTCTGTCATGTTGGCCAGCCTGGTCTCGAACTTCTGACCTCAAGTGATCCACCCACCCAAAGTGCTAGGATCCAGATATATCTCTTTCTTTTCTTTTGTTTTTTTTGGACAGAGTCTCATTGTGTAGCCCAGGCTGGAGTGCAATGGTGTGAGCTCGGCTCACTGCAACCTCTGCCTCCTGGGTTCAAACGATTCTCCTGACTCAGCCTCCTGAGTAGCTGGGACTACAGGCACATGCCACCATGCCCCGCTAATTTTTTGGATTTTTAGTAGAGACGGGGTTTCACCGTGTTAGGATGGTCTCGATCTCCTGACCTCGTGACCCGCCCACCTTGGCCTCCCAAAGTGTTGGGATTACAGGCGTGAGCCACTGCGCCTGGCCCCACATATATCTCTTGTACCACAATGATAATAATAGTAATAGCTTACACATACCTAGCACTTTACAAAGAGTGTCTACATGCCTGTGTATCTGATAACTGCTAAAAAGAAGGAATTAATATTTGTTGAGCAGAAATGATTGAATACATGCAGCAAAGCCAGCCCCTCATTTTCCTCAAACAACACTTTTAATTTATGTAGTGATAGGAAGTTTTTAGGGAGATGAAGTGAAAACTCAATTAAAAGTCAGGAGTCCTGAGTTTGACCTTATTTCCTTATTTATAAAACTGGGACGTGACCTATTCTTGCCTTTTCCACAATGAGATATGCTATTCTGACCAGCACAGATGATATGATTTTGTAGAAACTCTCCCCCATTATAAAATTATAAATTATTGAATTATAAAGCAACAACAAAGACAGAATGGCTTTAATGCAGAGATAGTCAAATTGACCAAAGGAATGGGAGGAAATATCTTGAAAAGGACCCAGGCTACTTGTGGTAGCTCACGCCTGTAATCTCAGCATTTTGGGAGGCCAAGGCAGGAGGATCACTTGAGCCCAGGAGGAGGAGACCAGCCTGGGCAGTGTGGCAAAACCTTGTCTCTACAAAAACTCAGAAAACTTAGCTGGGCATGGTGGGACATGCCTGTAGTCCCAGCTAATCAGGAGGCTGAGGTGGGAGGATCACTTGAGCCCAGGAGGTTGAGGCTACAGTGAGTCATGATCACACCACGCTACTCCAGCCTGAATGTCAGAGTGAGACCTTGTCTGGAAGAAAAAGACTCACATGTATATCTTTTCATCCAAAGATATTGTAAAGAAAGCAGAAGGCCAACCCGCAAACTGAAAGAAGATATCTGCATCCACATAACTGACAATGGACTAGTGCTGTGGTTTGAAAGTCCTCTGCAAAACACTTGGGGAAATTATTTATTTTTGTTTTATTATTATTAGTAGTAGTAGTATTAGAGTCAGAGTCTTGCTGTGTTGCCCAGGCTGGAGTGCAGTGGTGCAATCAAAGCTCACTAAAACCTTGAACTTCTGGGTTCAAGTGATCCTCCTGGCTCAACCTCCTGAGTAGCTGGGACCAAAGCCATGTGCCACCATGCCTGGCTAATTTTTTATTTTCTGTAGTGATGGAGTCTCACTGTGTTGCCCAGGCTAGTCTTGAACTCCTGGCCTCAAGCAGTCCTTCTGCCTTGTTCTCCCAGAGTGCTGGGATTGCAGGCATGAGCCACCACACCTGGCCTTCACGTTGAAATTTAATTGCATTGTGGTAGTATTAAGAGGTGGAACCTTTAAGAGGCAATTAGTTAATGAGTGATCTGTCCTCATAAATGTATTAATGACATTACTGGGGGAGTGGGTTAGTTATCATGGGAGTGGGTTTGTGATATAAGGGTGAAGTTCAGCTCCCATCTGTTCTTGTTCTTGCACCTTCCACCATGGGATGAGACAGCATGAAGGCCCTCATGTGCCAGATCCTGTGCCATGCTTTTGGACTTCACAGCCTTCAGAACTATAAGCCTAAAAAACTTCTAGTGTTTATACATTAGTCAATCTGTGGTATTGTTATAGCATCAGAAAACAAACTAAGACAACTAGTATTGAGAATATAGAAAGATTTCCTACAAATAAATAAGAAAAAGAGCACTCTATAATACAGTGAATAAAAAACTTGAGCAAACATTTCACAGATGAGATATGAACAACCAATAAACATTTGAAAAGGTGCTCAAATTTCTTAGAAATTAGGAAATACAAAATAAGTCCACAACACTTTTATACTCACTTGTGTTGTGGAAGTCAGGAACCCCAAACTGAGGGACTGGCTGAAGCCATGGCAGAAGAACATAAATTGTGAAGATTTCATGGACATTTATTAGTTCCCCAAATTAATACTTTTATAATTTCTTATGCCTGTCTTTACTGCAGTCTCTGAACATAAATTGTGAAGATTTAATGGACATTTATCACTTCCCCAGTCAATACTCTTGTGATTTCCTATGCCTGTCTTTAATCTCTTAATCCCGTCATCTTTGTAAGCTAGGATGTATGTCGCCTCAGGACCCTGTGATGATTGCGTTAACTGCACAAATTGTTTGTAGAGCATGTGTGTTTGAACAATATGAAATCTGGGCACCTTAAGAACAGGATAAAAGCGATTTTCAGGGAACAAGGGTTAGATAACCTTAAAGTCTGGCTGCCTGTGGGCCGTGCGGGACAGAGCCATATTTCTCTTATTACCAAAAATGGGTAAGAGAAATATCGCTGAATTCTTTCCTCAGTAAGGAATATTAATAATTAACAGCCCTGGGAAAAGAATGCATTCCCAGGGCCGGGCCTCTAAAATGGCCACCCTGGGAGTATCTGCCTTATGCAGATGTAGATAGGGATGAAATGCGCCCTAGTCTCCTGCAGCGCCCCCAGGCTTGCTAGGATTAGGAAATTCCAGCCTGGCAAATTCTAGTCAGACCGGTTCTCTGTTCTTGAACCTTGACAATGCGTGCACAGCAGGACATGGAAGTTCATTAGTGATTCTGGTTTCACCCTGACCTTTTGCCTTGTGATCTTTTGTTGCCCTTGAAGCATGTGATCTCTGTGACCCACACCCTATTCGTGCACTCCCTCCCCTTTGAAAATTGCTAATAAAAACTTGCTGGTTTTATGGCTCAGGGGGCATCACGGAACCTGCCGACATGTGATGTCTCCCCCAGACACCCAGCTTTAAATTTTCTCTCTTTTGTACTCTTCCCCTTTATTTCTCAGACTGGCGGGCACTTAGGGAAAATAGAAAATAACCCACGTGAAATATCGGGGGCTGAATTTCCCCCAATACTTGAACAGCAAAAATTTAAGTCTATCATGTGTTGGTGAGGTCAAAGAGCATGTCTTGCGAGTGGGAATGTCATTGGTACTACCACTTGGAAAACCATTTGGAATTACCTTGTAATGTAATGCCCAACCTTGTTTCTTCCTTTATTCACCTAGCCTTGTTTCTCCCTTAGCTAAGAGAACCAGACAAACTCCATTTTGGCTCTTTCACTGGCAGCCCCTTCCTCAAGGACTTAACTTGTGCAAGCTGACTCCCAGCACATCCAAGAATGCAATTAACTGATAAGATACTGTGGCAAGCTATATCCACAGTCCCCAAGAATTCATCTGATTGACAACGCCCAAAGCCCCTAGTCTATCACCTTGTAATAGTCTTAAAGCCCCTGCACCTGGAACTGTTTACGTTCCTATAACCATTTATCCTTTTAACTTTTTGACTACTTAACTTCTGGAAAATTGTTCTAAGTAGACCCCCCCCTCATCTTCCTAAACCAAGGTATAAAAGTTAATCAAGCCCCTTCCTCGGGGCCGAGAGAATTTTGAGCGTTAGCCGTCTCTCGGTCGCCGGCTAAGGCTAATAAAGGACTCTTAATTTGTCTCAAAGTGTGGCGTTCTCTCTAACTCGCTCAGGTACAACAGTATGATACATTGAAGATGGCCACATTTTCTGATGCTGTTCCCATTGAGAGGTTGAGTCCCTTCTCCTTAAATGTGGGCTGGTCTTAGGGACTTCTTGGCCAATAGAATGCAGCAGAAGTAGCCGGGTGCAGTGGCTCATGCTTGTAATCCCAGCACTTTGGGAGGCTGAGGCAGGTGGATCACGAGGTCAGGAGTTCGAGACCAGCCTGGCCAACATGGTGAAACCCCGTCTCTACTAAACATAAAAAAATTGTCCGGGTGTTGTGGCACATGCCTGTAGTCCCAGATACTTGGGAGGCTGAGGCAGGATAATCGCTTGAACCCGGGAGGCGGAGGCTGCGGTGAGCTGAGATCACACCACTGCACTCCAGACCGGGTGATGGAGCAAGACTCCGTCTCAGAAAAAAAAAAAAAAAAATGCAGCAGAAGTAACACTCTGGGACATCAAATGCTAGGTCAGAAGAAGCCTGCAGTTTCTGTCTGTTTAGGTCTCTTGGAACACTTGTTCTTGGAGCCTAGCCACCATGCTGTCAGGAAGCCCACACAGTCCCAGAGAGAGGCTCCCTTGCCAGCCAGTACCAACTTGTAGTCATGTGAGGATCCTGGAAGTTGGATCCTCCAATTGACAGTTCATCCTGGGAGCAGATGAAACATACCTGCTAATCTCTGCCCAAATACCAGACCCTTGAGCAAAATAAATGACTTTTATTGTTTTTTAAGCTATGTAATTTTTAAAAAATAACTTTATGTTATAACTTACATACCATAGAATTCAACCATATAAGTGTACACTTGGGTGATCTTTAGTACGTTTTAAAAGTTGTGCAACCATTACCACAGTTTTAAAACTTTTTTTTTTTTTTTTCATTTTAGAGATAGGGTCTCTCTGCCACTCAGCCTGGAGTGCAAGTGACATGATCATAGCTCACTGCAGCCTTGACCTCCTAGGCTCAAGTGATCCTCCTACCTCAGCCTCCTGAGCAGCTGGGTCTACAGGCACTTGCCACCATGCCCTGCTTTTTTTTGGGTAGAGACAAGGTCTCGCTTTGTTACCTAGACTGGTCTCAAACTCCGTGCTCATGTGATCTTCCCACCTTGGCCTCCCAAGTGCTGGGATTATAGGTGTGAGCCCACTACCACCCTATTATGATTCACTGTGAGACCCCAAGTTTTGGGAAGGGTTGTTTTATACAGTAATAGATAATAGAAACCTAACAAACTGAAGATACATACACTATGGCTTAGCAATTCCATTCCTAGGTGTGCACCCTAGAGAAACTCTCATACACACCTATCAGGAAATGTACACTAGACTGATCTTAGCAACCTGCTTGTACAGTAGTCCCTCCTTATCCAAGGTTTCATGGTTTTAATTCCCTGCAGTCAACTGCAGTCTGAAAATATTAAATGGAAAATTCCAGAAATTAACAACTCATAAGGGTGTTTTTTTTTTAAATATATGTTTCTTTTTTATTTATTTATTTTACTTTAAGTTCCGGGATACATGTGCAGAACATGTAGGTTTGCTAGATAGGTATACATGTACCATGGTGGTTTGCTACACTTATCAACCCGTCATCTAGGTTTTAAGTCCAACATGCATGCATTAACTGTTTGTCCTGATGTTCTCCCTCCCTTCGCCTCCCACCCTCCGACAGGCCCCAGTGTGTGTTGTTCCCCTCCCTGTGTCCATGTGTTTTCATTATTCAGCTCCTACTGAGTGAGAACATGCAGTGTTTGGTTTTCTGTTTCTGTGTTAATTTGCTGAGGATGAGGGCTTCCAGCTTCATCTATGTCCCTGCAAAGGACATGTTCTCATTCCTTTTTATGGCTGTGTAGTATTCCATGGTGTATATGTACCACATTTTCTTTATCCAGTTTATCATTGAGCATTTTTGTTGGTTCCATGTCTTTGCTACTGTAAACAATGCTGCACTAAACATACGTGTACGTGTGTCTTTATAGTAGAGTGATTTATATTCCTTTGGCTATGTATCCAGTAATGAGATTGCTGGGTCAAATGGTATTTCTGATTCTAGATCCTTGAGAAATTGCCACCCCGTCTTCCACAATGTTTGAACTAATTTACATTTCCCCCAACAGTATAAAAGTGTTCCTATTTTTCCACAGCCTCACCAGCATCTGTTGTTTCTTGGCTTTTTAATAATCGCCATTCTGATTGGTGTGTGATGGTATCTTATGGTTTTGATTTGCATTTCTCTAATGATCAGTGATGTTGAGCTTTTTTTCATATGTTTGTTGGCCACATAGATGTCTTCTTTTTTTTTTTTTTTGAGACGGAGTCTCGCTCTGTCGCCCAGGCTGGAGTGCAGTGGCGGGATCTCGGCTCACTGCAAGCTCCGCCTCCCGGGTTCACGCCATTCTCCTGCCTCAGCCTCCCAAGTAGCTGGGACTACAGGCGCCCGCCACTACGCCCGGCTAATTTTTTGTATTTTTTTAGTAGAGACGGGGTTTCACCGTTTTAGCTGGGATGGTCTCGATCTCCTGACCTCGTGATCCGCCCGCCTCGGCCTCCCAAAGTGCTGGGATTACAGGTGTGAGCCACCGCGCCCGGCCTAGATGTCTTCTTTAGAGGAGTGGCTGTTCATATTCTTTGCCCTTTTTGATGGGGTTGTTTTTTTCTTGTACATTTGTTTAAGTTCCTTGTAGATTCTGGATATTAGACCTTTGTCGGATGGGTAGATTGCAAAAATTTTCTCCCATACTGTAGGTTGCCTGTTCACTCTGATGATAGTTTCTTTTGTTGTGCAGAAGTTCTTTAGTTTAATTAGATCCCATTTGTCAATTTGGGCTTTTGTTGAAATTGCTTTTGGCATTTTCATCATGAAATCTTTGTTCATACCTATGTCCTGAATGGTATTGCCTAGGTTTTCTTCTAGGGTTTTTATGATTTTCAGTTTTACATTTAAGTCTTTAATCTATCTTGAGTTATTTTTTGTATAAGGTATAAGGAAGGGGTCTAGTTTCAGTTTCCTGCACATGGCTAGCCAGTTTTCCCAGCACCACTTATTAAATAGGGAATCCTTTCCCCATTGCTTGTTTTTGTCAGGCTTGTCAAAGAGCAGATGGCTGTAGATGTGTGGTGTTATTTCTGAGGTCTCTGTTCTGTTCCTTTGGTCTATATATCTGTTTTGGTACCATGCTTTTTTGGTTACTGTAGTCTGGTAGTATAGTTTGAAGTCAGGTAGCGTGATGCCTCCAGCTTTGTTCTTTTTGCTTACAATTGTCTTGGATATATGGGCTCTTTTTTGGTTCCGTATGAAATTTAAAGTAGTTTTTTATAATTCTTTGAAGAATGTCTATGGTAGTTTAATGGGAATAGCATTGAATCTATAAGTTACTTTGGTCAGTATGGCCATTTTCACAATATTGATTCTTCCTATCCATGAAGATGGAATTTTTTTTATTTGTTTGCGTCTTCTCTTATTTCCTTGAGCAGTGGTTTGTAGTTCTCCTTGAAGAGGTCCTTCACATCCCTTGTTAGCTGCATTCCTAGGTATTTTATTCTCTTTGTAGCAATTTGTGAATGGGAGTTCATTATGATTTGGCTCTCTACTTGCCTATTGTTGGTGTAAAGGAAAGTATGTGATTTCTGCACATTGATTTTGTATCCTGAGACTTTGCTGAAGTTGCTTATCAGTTTAAGGAGTTTTTGGGCTGAGATGATGGGGTTTTCTAAATATAGAATCATTTTGTCTGCAAACAAAGACAATTTGACTTCCTCTCTTCCCATTTGAACACCCCTTATTTCTTTCTCTTGCCTGATTGCCCTGGCCAAAACTTCCAATACTATGTTGCATAGGAGTGGTGAGAGAGGGCATCCTTGTCTTGTGCTGGTTTTCAAAGAGAATGCTTCCAGCTTTTGCCCATTCAGTATGATATTGGCTATGGGTTTGTCATAAATAGCTCTTATTTTTTTGAGATCTGTTCCATCAATACCTAGTTTATTGAGAGCTTTTACATGAAGGGATGTTAAATTTTATCAAAGACCTTTTCTGCACTATTGAGATGATCATGTGGTTTTGGTCATTGGTTCTGTTTATGTGATGGATTAGGTTTATTAATTTGTATATGCTGAACCAGCCTTGCATCACAGAGATGAAGTGGACTTGATCATAGTGGATAAGCTTTTTGATGTGCTGCTGGATTCAGTTTGCCAGTATTTTATTGAGGATTTTCACATCAATGTTCATCAGGAATATTGGCCTGAAGTTTTTGTTCTTGTTGTATCTCTGCCAGGTTTTGGTATCAGGATGATGCTGGCCTCATAAAATGAGTTAGGAACGAGTCCCTCCTCTTCAATTGTTTGGAATGCTTCAGAAGGAATGTACCAGCTCTTTTTTGTACCTCTGGTAGAATTCACCTGTGAATCCATCTGGTCCTGGGTTTAAAAAACTTAAACCAATAACACTTTAAGAACTTGTTATTGGTCAATTCAGGGATTCAACTTCTTCCTGGTTTAGTCTTGGGAGGGTGTACGTGTCCAGGAATTTATCCATTTCTTCTAGATTTTCTAGTTTGTTTGTGTAAAGGTGTTTATAGTATTCTCTGATGGTAGTTTGTATCTCTGTGGGGTCAGTGGTGATATCCCCTTTATCATTTTTTACTGTGTCTATTTGATTCTTCTCTCCCTTCTTCTTTGTTACTCTAGCTAGTGGTCTATCTATTTTGTTAGTTTTAAAAAAAAATCAGCTCCTGGATTCATTGATTTTTTTTTTGAAGGGTTTTTCATGTCTCCATCTCCTTCAGTTCTGCTCTGATCTTAGTTACTTCTTGTCTTCTGCCAGCTTTTGGATTTGTTTTCTCTTGCTTCTCTAGTTCTTTTAATTGTGATGTTAGGGTGTCAATTTGAGAGCTTTCTAGCTTTCTGATGTGGGTATTTAGTGCTATAAATTTCCCTCTTAATACTGCTTTAGCTGTGTCCCAGAGATTCTGGTACATTGTCTCTTTGTTTTCATTGGTTTCAAAGAACTTCTTGATTTCTGCCTTAATTTCATTATTTACCCAGGAGTCATTCAGGAGCAGGCTGTTCAGTTTCCATGTAGTTGTGTGGTTTTGAATGAATTTATTAATCCCTGAGTTCTAATTTAATTGCACTGTGGTCTGAGAGACTTTTATGATTTCAGTTCTTTTGCATTTGCTGAGGACAACTTGTAAGTTTTAAATTGCTTGGCGTTCTGAGTAGTGTGATGAAATCTCAGGTTGTCCTTCTCTGTCCCACTCAGGACATTCCATCTCTTTGTCCAGTGCATCCTTGAGATCTACACTGTTGACCTGGTTGGTAGTCATCAATTTGGTTTCCTCCTGACACACAACCATCAACATCATTATGGCTCAATGATCCAGGATCACCTGAAGCAGATGGTCCTTCTTTTGACATATCATCAGAAGGTCAATAGTAGCCTGACGCTAGTCACAATGCCTGTGTCATTCACCTAATCATGTAGGCATTTTATCATCTCACATCATCACAGGAAGGGTGAATGCAGTACAAATAAGATATTTTGAGGGAGAGATCATATTGGCATCACTTTTATTATAGCATATTGTTATAATTGTTCTTTTTTTTTTTTGAGACAGTCTCACTCTGTAGCTCAGGCTGGAGTGCAGTGGCGCGATCTCGGCTCGCTGCAAGCTCTGCCTCCTGGGTTCACGCCATTCTCCTGCTTCAGCCTCCCGAGTAGCTGGGACTACAGGCGCCCATCACCATACCCGGCTAATTTTTTTGTGTGTTTTTAGTAGAGACAGGGTTTCACTGTGTTAGCCAGGATGGTCTTGATCTCCTGACCTCATGGATCCGCTGGCCTCGGCCTCCCAAAGTGCTGGGATTACAGGTGTGAGCCACTGTGTCCAGCCTCTATTTTTATTGTTAGTTATTGTTAATCTCTTACTGTGCTTAATTTATAAACTTTGTCATAGGTACGTATTGGAAAAAAACATAGTAATATATAGAGTTCAGTACTATCTGTGGTTTCATGTGTGTAGTAGGGGTCTTAGAACGTAACCTTCAAAGGTATGGTGGGACTACTGTATTTTTTGTTTCTTTTTCTTTCTTTCTTTCTTTTTTTTTTTTTTTTTAAATTCCAGGCACATGATGCTCGAGGGGGGCCTACTATAATAGCAAACATCGATTGGGGAGGGGAAGACCAAAAAAATTGTTCATGAACTCATGAACAATTGAGTGTGGAAATGAACTGCAGTATTTTCACACAATAGAATACTTCCTGGCAGTGAAAATGATCTACAGATAGACAAAGCGACATGACGCTCAGAAACTTAATATGCAAGAAAAAGCAAGTCACAGGGTAATATGTATGTATGATTCAACTTGTATAAAGTTCAAAAATCTGACACACTAAACAATCTGTTGTTGAGAAGGGAAATATATCATAATTTTTTTTTCCTTTGAGACAGAGTCTCTGTTGCCCAGGCTGGAGTGCAGTGGCACAATCACAGCTCACTGCAGCCTTGATTCCCCTGGCTCAGGTGATCTCCTGCCACAGCCTTATGAGTAGCTGGTACCACAGGCATGTGCCACCATGCCTGGCTAATTTTTTTTTGTATTTTTCATAGAGATAGGGTTGTGCCATGTTGCACAGGTTGGTCTCAAACTCCTGGGCTCAAGTGATCCAGCTGCCTCGGCCTCCCAAAGTGCTGGGATTACAGTCGTGAGCCACAATGCCTGGACAAATTTTTAAGCAAAATGAGGGATGAGAGACACACTCTTAGAGCTGGGTGGTGGATTGTTCATTTTATTATTTTTTATATCATACACATTGATAAAAATTCTTTTGGGTCTCTTCAGTTATTAATATAAAGAATCAAAAATAGGCCATTGTGGTATCTCACACTCATAACCCCAGCACTTTAGGAGGCTGAGGTGGGAGGATCGCTTGAGTCCAGGAGTTGAAGACCATCTGAGGCAACATACCAAGGTCATTTCTCTACAAAAAAATTTAAAAGGGCTGGGTGCGGTGGCTCACACCTGTAATCCCAGCACTTTGGGAGGCCGAGGTGGGCGGATCACGAGGTCAGGAGATCAAGACCATCCTGGCTAACACAGTGAAATCCCATCTCTACTAAAAATACAAAAAAATCAGCTGGGCATGGTGGCACACGCCTATAGTCCCAGCTACTCAAGAGGCTGAAGCAGGAGAACCACTTGAACCTGGAAGGTGGAGGTTGCAGTGAGCCAAGATTGCACCACTGCACTCCAGCCTGGGCAACAGAGCGAGACTCTTGTCTCAAAAAAAAAATAAAATAAAATAAAAAACATTAGCTAGGTCTGGTGGCATGAGCCTGTAGTGCCAGCTACTTAGGAAGGTGAAGTGGGAGGATCGCTTGAGCCCAGGAGTTTAAGACTGCAGTAAGCTATGATTGCACCACTGAACTCCAGCCTGGGCCACAGAGTGAGACACTGTCTGTAAGAAAAAAAAAATTAAATAAAGAATTAAAAATAATAGTAATAGCAGGCCGGGTGAGTGGCTCACTCCTGTAATCCTGGCACTTTGGGAGGCTGAGGTGGGTGGATCACCTGACATCAGGAGTTCGAGACCAGCCTGGCCAACATGGTGAAACCCCTGTCTCTACTAAAAATACAAGAATTAGCTATGTTTGGTGTTGTGCACCTATAGTCTCAGCTACTCAGGAGGCTGATCCAGGAGAATTGCTTGAACCTGGGAAGCGGAGGTTGCAGTGAGCTGAGACTGCACCACCTGCACTCCAGCCTGGGTGACAGAGCGAGACTCTCTCTCAAAAAAAAAAAAATAGTAATAGCGCATATGTATTCAGAGTCAACCATATATTAGACATAATGCCAGTTTGAGTATGTATAAGTTCACACTTCCTTTTCATATCCAATTATGTCATTCCTTTCTGATGACCTCTCTTCTAACCACAGGAACTCACGCCATTCTTTTCATTTTCCTTTGTTCTGCTTCTTCTCCCAGTAAGAAAACATCTCCCTTCTTCTCCATTTACAAATCAGAATTGTCTATCGGTCTATTCATCCAGTGTCCACTAAGTGCTTACTCTGCACCAGGCACTGTTCTAGGCTCTGAAGATAAATAAAACAGGAAAAAAGCCCTGTTCACTTGCCATAGAGGATGATGAACAATAGACGAATGTGAAGATACACAAGTGCAGCCTCAACACATGCATCATCATCTCATTTAAACCCACTGTACTGAAGGAGAATGTGTGGTTCAGAGATGTCAAGTAACAAGCAAGTGTGGGTGCTGGTGTTCCCACCCAGGCCTGTTGACCTATTTATGGCATCCCGACTTTATTATAAAGCCCTGAACAAATGCAAAGAGTGATGCTAATTGTTGCCAAAATTGAGTGAAATGAAATGCAGGCAATTTTATGCGGAATTTTTACTTGTCAGAAACACCAGCCTCTTGGATTTGTAGTTTTCTTCAAAGATGTGTCTGAAAAGTGGAAGCTATATTCCTTCCACTGATCATACTTCCCTGAGAAGTAAATTACATTTTGAAATGATTGGGTATTTTTTTTTAATGATTAGGAACATTAAAATACATCTTACATGTACAGCTTGACTTTATGTGTATACTTATGTAACCACCTAAATAAGATGAAATAGTTGATTTTAATTAACATCTGCTTAGCCTTGAAATCTGTCGCAGCTTCCAAGTGGATAAAACATCTTTTGGTCCCCAAGAAAAACTGATGTTTATTTTCAAAACATTTTGGTTTGTGATATTGATATAAAGGTAGTTGCACTTTCCCAACCCTTCCAGCTTCCTTGGTGGAAGGTACTTCCCATGCTTGCCCCTGGAAAGGCAGCCACATCATCACACACATGTCCTCAGCACAGACCGCTCCTCACAGGCTCTTCTCTTTTTTCCTGTGTTTGCCAAGAGGGGTTTTCCCCCTCCTCACACTCTTTCCCTTAGTCCCTGTAGCCTCATCAAGAGAAACAGACTCCCAGGGGCAGAGCAGGAGGAGCTGGTTTCTGTATTTCTCAGATTCCTTCTGGCTTTAGCAACCCTGCAGGCTGTATTCTTCTTCAGTTCTCCTCTCTCATCACTCTTTTCCCCTTCCTAGAGCTTCACTCCCCCTGACCTGCTCCTCCCCTGCATCTCAGGCCATGCCACCCCTGGCCCCATCCCCAAGGCCGGAGGACAGAAAATCTGCTCTCATCTTCACTGCCTCATCCTCACTTCAGCAGCTCAAATGACACTTCCTCAAGGAAGCTTTCTCTCACTGTCCCAGCGAAAAGATTGCCATGATGGCACTTTACTGGACTTCTCAACACACTCATCTTTCTTTTTTTTTTTTTTGAGATAGGGTCTTGCTTTGTCACCCAGGCTTCAGTGCAGTGGCACCATCATAGCTCACTGCAGCCTTGATCTCCTGGGCTCAAGCAATCTTCCCACCTCAGAGTAGCTGGGACTACAGGCGCTTGCCACCATGTCCAGCTAATTTATTTTTAGTAGAGAAGGGGTCTCGCTATATCACCCAAGCTGGTCTCAAACTCCTGGGCTCAAGCAGTCCTCGTGCCTCAGCATCCCTAAGTGTTGGGATTATAGGTGTGAGCCACTGCACCCAGCCCCATCACTTTCTTTATATCATGTATCTGTACAGATCTAATCTGTTATCTTCTGGACCCAGACAGCCCTCACCCATAGCAAGTGGTTTTGTGTTAAGACAAGACTGAGTGAAGCTTAACTTACTCTGCTGGGGCTGCGGCGAATGGAAGTTACGGTTTCAGCTGCCAGGTTGTCACTTAACACGTTTCCATCTGTTGCACAGTTCTCTAGTACCTTTATACCACACAGTCATGTGCCACATAGCGAACCTTTGGTCAGTGACAGACAGCATATACGATGGTGGTCCCTTAAGATTATAATACTTGTCTTTTTTTTTTTTTTGAGATGGAGTTTCACTCTTGTTGCCCAGGCTGGAGTGCAATGGTGTGATCTTGGCTCACCGCAACCTTCCTCTCCCAGGTTCAAGCGATTCTCCTGCCTCAGCCTCCCGAGTAGCTAGGATTACAGGTATGCCCCACCACCCAGCTAATTTTGTACAATGCTGTCTTTTTACTGTACCTTTTCTATGTTTAGAAACACAAATCCTTACCATTGTGTGAACACTGCCTGCGGGATTCAGAACAGTACCATGCTGTATAGGTTTGTAGCCTAGGAGCAATAGGCCATACCATATGACCTAACTATGTAGTAGGCTCTGCCATCTAGGATATTGTAAGTACACTCGATGATGTTCACACAACAGTGAAATTATCCAGTGACGCATTTTGCAGAATGTTGTTAGTGACGTGTGACTGTATTTTGGTATCTACTCTGGCTGTCTGGTGAGCTGCCTTTTTTGAGCTGAGACATAGCTCCCATAAACAACACTGTCCATATGGGAAATCCATTTTGAGTTCCCTATGAATTACATTAGAAGCTTTGGAAACACAATAGCCTGTCCTTCAAGGGAGGGTGGTCACAGGGTTAACTTGACAATTTAAAAGGAAACAAGCGGGGCATGGTAGCTCATGCCTGTAATCCCAGCACTTTGGGAGGCTGAGGCAGGAGGATTGCTTGAGCCCAGGAGTTCAAGACCAGCCTGAGCAACATAGTGACACTGTGTCTCTATTTAAAGATCAAAAATTAAAAAAAAAAAAAAGCAAAAAAGGAAACAAAAGACACGTTTTCCAACCGGAGGAGTGGTGACTAGTTAATCCTTCATTTCCAATAAGGTCCCAAAAGAAAATTTTAAGGATTAAGCCCAGATGCTCAAAGGAATGGAATTAACCACACTCAAAAATGATTTCCACTTTGAGTCCCAAAGTGAGGGATATGTCACTAATGAAAAAACACACTTTAAAGGTCATAAAATATATAAGATTTAAAAATTCTAGTCCTGCTGACCTTGTGGTTTTGATGACCATAAAATGGGTGACACAAAAAATACTCATTCATCTTCATCTGTTAAAACTTTACCTTGGAATTTCCATTTGGAAAGTATTTAGCGAGAGTGAGTGGTTTATCAAGGCCACAGTAGCTTTGGTTTCTAGATGGATGATCCTGTACAAAGAACCAATTCAGGATGTGAGAGCCAAGGACGGGGTAATTTTGCTTCAGTCTCCGTGGTTTCTAGGAAGTGCTGCTCAGTGATGGTTTTCTAGGGCAGAGCTTGAGGAGGCAGGTGGACAGGCTACTTTAGAAATTCTCCATTGCCCCACTTTTAACCTTGGCATTCCTGAGAGCATGAATGTGGTTAAATTTTATCAGAAAAAATAATTCTATGAATTGAATATAATTGAAAGTCTAGATGTTAGCGGCAGATGGGCTTTTTGAATGTATAAATGACTCCCTTTGTGCTTGTAAATGACATGAAGAAACAGCGGGTTTTCTCCAAGTTTAAACACATCACCACAGCGGTGGTGCCACATGTCTCCTGGGTCTCCACTTAGCCAGAGAGAGTAATGGAAACAGATGCTCAAGTGCCCTCTGTGCTCTTGGCTTCCTGGCAGGGACACCATCACTTGACAGGTTCTTTTCATCAACAACTTCCACGGACCTAATGCCTGGGGAAATCGGGAAAACAGTGTTCTCACAGTAACTGGTTTTTGACTGAGGGCCATGCCATAGACTTTTGTTCTTGGCTTTATTATGTTTGGGGCAAATGTGATTTAAAGTCAGTGGAAAACTGTGAAGGCCAGTGAGGAAGGGAAAGGGGCGGTGGTTGAGTTCAGAGGTCAGCTGAGGAACATCACTAACTTTACAGCAAAGGGCAAAGCAGAAGCAGTGGTGCCCACGACCGAAAGAACTTTCCACAGGCAACACCCAGCCAACCTGCCACCTGCCTGTGGGAAACCCTTGAAGGCTTTCCCCTGTCCGCGGGCTGACAGGGCTCTCCTCCAGATATGGCCTTATTTCCTGACCTCATCTCTAGCCTGTCGTCCTTGCCATTTCGGTTTCGGCCACTCCAAAAAACATCCCCTCAAGCCGCGCTGCTTCCAGTCTTTGTGCTGCTCTGCCAGGCCACAGAGCCCTTTACGTCTCATGGTCTCTCCCCTCACTCCCACCTCACCTGGAAAACTCCCTCAGGCCTCAACTTAGACTCAGGGGAAGAGATATTTATTGGTCCCTGTGAAAAAGCAGTTACCCCCTGTGGTGTGTTGGCGCCACTCGTGCTCCCTCACCACCCAGCACTCTCTCCCCTCTACAGTGACCGCCCACCCGCACCTGCTGAACAGCAAGGTCCACGGAGTAGGAACTGAACGTGTCAGGGACTATGTGTGGCACTGTATGGCAAGTCTCCAAGACTGGGAAGCACCGCTTTACATAGTCCTCAGTAAGTACTGAATCCAGGTATTTTATTATTTTATTTTTTTGAGACAGAGTCTCATTCTGTTGCCCAAGCTGAAGGGCAGTGGCACAGTCATGGCTCATGGCAGCCTTGACCTCCTGGTTTCAGTGATCCTCTCACCCGAGCCCACCCCCTCATCTCCCGTAGCTGGGACTAGAGGAAGATGCAACCATGCCCAGTTAATTTTTTTTTTTTTTTTTGAGATGGAGTTTTGCTCTTGTCGCCCAGGCTGGAGTGCAATGGCTCAATCTTGGCTCACTGCAATCTCTGCCTCCCGGGTTCAAGCGATTCTCCTGCCTCAGCCTCCCAAGTAGTTGGGATTACAGGCATGCACCACCACGCCCAGCTAATTTTGTATTTTTAGTGGAGACGGGGTTCCTCCATGTTTGTCAGGCTGGTCTCGAACTCCTGACCCCAGGTGATCTACCCACCTTGGCTTCCCAAAGTGCTGGGATTACAGGTGTGAGCCACCGCACCTGGCCTTCAGCTAATTTTTAAATTTTTTGTAGATACGAGGTATCCCTATGTGGCCCAGGCTGGTCTCGAACTCCTGGGCCCAAGCAGTCTTCCTGCCTCAGCCTCCCAAAATATTCAGGATTACAGGTGTGAGCCACTGGCCCCTGAGAATCCAGGTATTAGAAAGGACTCAGAGTAGCCTGGGGAAGACTTTCAGGAGGAAGAGAGGTTGGGCTGGGTCTTTGATTACTGTGTACTACGGGTTCTCTCAATAGTGCTCCTCCAACAACTAGAGGGATGGGAAGGCAACAGCAGCAGCCAAGGTTTCAGTTGGTGAGAGGGCTTGTGGAGGCCAGGGCATCCATGGAGAAGCTACGAAGTTAAGCCAGTTCCTAAGTCAGGCCCTCAGGGTCCGCCGCACAGGAACTAGTGCCTTTTCATGGGTAACGACGTTGTTTAATGGCTAGCAAGTAGTTTCTAACTCTTCGTTATGGAAATTCTCCAACATACACAAACAGAATAGTCTAAGAAGCCCTTATGTACCCATCACTTGCCCTCAGCAATGATCAGCATTTCAGTAAGTGGCTTTCATAATTTTTCTGGGCCTAGCCTACATCTATGTGCTCCAGGAGTGCAGCCCAGTCCAGTGAAATGTTTAAAAACATTTGAGTCTTAATTATGTTATGTTGGGATGTCAGTGGTTCCAAAAGCAGGTGGTTCATGGGATCAAGAACACAGAACACGACCATTCTGATCTTCATGATCATACAAAGTGTCTATGCGTGCCATGTGAGGATCTGTTGATGGTGAAGTTGGACAGGTCAGTCCTGCTGCAGTGGCTTCCCCAACCCTGTGTACATTACCTCAGGCAGAGAGAAGCCCTTCATGAAGGATGGAAAGAACTTTCCTTGGAAAGAACAGGCTCCCTAATCACACTCCTTCCAGATGTTACCAGATTCAATAACTGCAACTCCTGTCCTATCAGAATGAAGGGTAGGCAGCTCTTCCTTGGTGGGTGATAGGGACCCATCACATCCCCACAGGAGAGCTCAGTCTGAGGGGGACATCTGGAAAGGGAAGGAGATGCCTTCCTTTCCCTGAGTAGAGGAAGCTCCACTGTCCTCAAGTTATCCCATCAGCTCCAGGGCTCTCACGGTCCACATCAAAGAACACTGGTAACTCCAGCTTAACCCTGCACCAGCACTCAAGGAAGCACACATTCCCAGGGGGCAAGGAAGTTTGTCACTTCTTCTGTGAAGCACATCCTAAAGCCTGTTTTGTAGAACAGTTGTAAGGGAACCCAGTACATGAACATATACATGAAAATGTGGCAGGAGTCTTCAGTGGCAATATCAAGGGCTATTTTGACACTTATCAGTCCAGGTGCAAAATGGGTTGCTTGGGACAATATCCTAATGAGACATTATCTTGTGACCAGGCTCTGCTTGATACTTTTTGCAGCTCTCTGCACTTAGCATTCCACAGAAGCTAAGGGCCTCTTCCTGCAGAGGTCACTGCCTTGAAAGCTGGGCACCACTGTCAAAGCGATGTCAAAATGAGAGTAAATGAGTCATGAGTCTTTAGTTCATTCTGTGTGGTTTCTTAATAAATGAAGCTGCCGTTTAACTGTGAAGGAGGCCAGAAACCACATGGACAACACACAGGGTACTTCTAGGACAGGTCAAGTCCAACTGTAGGCAGGGTGAACAGGATCATTTTATTCTCATTTATGCTTAAAATAAAGATACAATTCAAGTTTTACAATTCAGTATGATTAGACGTGATTTATAATTTTAACAATTTAAAAAAACAACAGAAATAAAGAACTAGTACAAACTTTAAAACTACCAGAGCAAAGAGAACTACCTTTCTGATCAAAACATGTGCCACAGTTAAACTTCCTTAGAAAACTTTTTAAGTTTTCTCAGCTAAATTTTCTTTAAAAAGGTTTGTGAAAAGCCTTTAATCATAAATATTTAAACTGTTTTTGTAACCACTAAATGCCTTCACCAACTCATTAATCCAATGTTTTCTAAATTCAGGAACCAGTGACCAAGTGGCCTGAAACATGTAAGCCTTGATCTTATTCTTCCAGCTACAAAATACTAATATTTTAAGAAAACAACAAAATATTTTCTAAGCACAGAAGCTTTCTGAAAACTTCAATTACCTTTTCTGGCTCAGTACCTAACTGAAATGTTCAAATGTTCACATTTGCACACACGAAAAAATTTGAGCAGCATACTACGTGGGTGTGAGAACCTGATGAAAAATAAGATTGGAAAAACCCCCTACACTGTGTTCCACTTACATGATTTAAATATATAGTTATCTTTCATATAAGTAAAAAGGTAAACTTTAGAACAGCACAGAAATACAAATGTATTTAGAGTTTTACAAAATATATTCAACCCCTCAGACATGCACAATTTTTTAACTTTGGAGTTACCATACAAGGGAACTAGTTTCCCCTCCTTCATAATGAAAGCAGGAAGTCATGTGTACAAAGTCATTCATATGAAAAGAATAAACATCCACATTCCTTTTCTTTGTCCTTGACAAATATTTATGGAATGCCGGAAATTATGGAAAAACAATTCCAATGTTACGAAGTCCAAAGAACTGGAATGAGAAAACTCCTCACGGCACATTATGCTGCATGGAATGACAATCATCCTCGGGGAATTAGGGCAGCATCTTCTACCACTTTTAAAGGCTACCACGAGACGGGGTGGAAATGCCAAAAATGGCACCTCATCTCTGATCAAAGATTCAGAGCATGCAAGTGTTGATGCCATGAAGAGTCCCAGCCTTCTCCCCACTAAAATACCAGGCAACGCTTAGCAGCTGCTGTCCTAACAGGCTACTTTCTGCAACTGCTGACGCAGGTTAGTTCATGTGGTTAAAGGTCAGAACGCTGGCCCCTTACAGAGCTGAAGTGCTCCCACACTCATCACTGGCTCTGGAGGGAAAAGACCACTAGCTGTAACTTCTACAAAACTTTTTTTCACAAAATGTAAAACAATAACAAAACCTACCTGCCAGGGTGATAATGCCGTAGCGTGACTTTAAAACTTGTAACTAGCAGAGTAAAATTCTAATCCCTTTCTAAAAGAATTCTTATAACCCTTAGCACATGAAATACTGCTCTCAAAATACTTCCATTCAGATTTTAAGCATCTTGTTCCTCAGCCATGCAACAATTTCTCACTTCTCTCTCTTCCTAATTTGTTTTCTCGTTGGCTTTCCAAAGGAAATTATTCTAAAAAACATCAGATGCTTAGTATAGAATTTGGAAAGGAAGATAAGGTTGAGCAAGTTACATCATATGCTCTGGTTTGCTGCCAAAGTATATTGCTGCTGTGTTTCTTAACAGGAAAGTGGACGAGAATTGTTTTAGGGCTGTGCTTGGCGGGGGGTAGTGAATCACTAATGGATTTGGGGAGAGACTGTTCATGCTGGTTATGTGAGCCAACTGCATATGCACAATCATTCTAAGCCTTCTTTGGACATGCAACTATTTCTATTCCACAACTGGTAGTTTTAACTCTCTCTTCCTTACCTACACCATTGTCATTACAATGTCTAGTAGGAATTGAAGTATACCAGGGACATTTTCCAAACACTCTTTTAAGTCACCTGGATAGTGGTGAAGCCACCAGCAAGCCATTGATGTAGTGTGTGTGCCTGGCGCCATCTGAAAAAGGCTGGCTGACCCTGGTTCCCTCACACCTAGGTACAAATACTCAATTCTTAGACACAAAAGCCTTAGCAAGTGTGGCCACCAACACACACACACCTTCACCAGGGCTATGTCAGAAGATGACCTAGTGCTGGTTCCTATGGCTCACAGAGCCAGGGTTTGGAGAGAGGCTGCTGCTTCTATGCTGGCCACTTGGAGCCTAGAATCCAAGCCTGAAGTATGTGTGTGTGTGGGGGGGGGGGGTCACAGGACCAGGGGTGAGGCTTCCTGCCTTTGATTGTGCGAGCTGCCTTGGGGCCCCTGCCAACAATACAACAGCCAGTGTTCCTTGAAAAACTCCACCTCCCAGAACCTGAAGGAAATATAGCTATGGTCTTTTGACCATTTCTATGATGAAAGTTGTATCTTCTGAGATACTTGTTTTATGTTGGAAAGTCAGTAAAGTGACCACTAAGAGTCAAACTCTTAGCTAGAAATGTTAATAGAAAGTCCGATCAAAGTGTATATTCAATGAGGAACAAGTGATATTAAAGCAAAGTTAAACTTCATGTAACTATTTTTATTTCAGTGGATTCCAAAGCATGAGTTGGGCTGCTTTTGAATAGTGGGAGACGGGAGTTTACCCCGATCACAGAAACCATACCAACTGAAAGACAAATCAGCATCTTGCTGGACGACCCCTCACAGAGCTCCTAGATCCTTGAAGTGTGAACTTCAGCAGCTGAGAGGTAACAATTGTACACAAATCACACTATCATGCTCCAACGAATGATGTGGCCCTTATGAAACAAGATGTTAGAATGAATTCTTTATAGTCTCAGCGCAAAAAAGATTCAAGTACTGTTTAAGGTTTTTGTTTGGTACTACTTTCTTCTCTTCAAACAGCATTTCCTGAGGTTAACTTTCTTGGAAGAAGTGGAATTAATGGAGTTCTCACATTCAGCCCTTCAATTTATCATCGCTGAATTCTTGAGTTATGCTCAAATGAGTAATACAATTTGTGTTTAGAAAACACAAAGTGGAAAATTTAGAGACATTTAGATTATGTTTCTATGTTCATTTCAAATGCCTTGGGAGCATTTACTTCTTAAACATTTAGTGAGGAATAAACCAAATATAATCAGGGCCCTCCTTTATTTCCCCAGCAATCTGGGATAGATCATACTCACAATGTATTTCCCAAGTATCCCTTGTTACTAAAAGGCAGTCTGTTCCCCGTAAGTACTCTCTGAGAACAGCCATCCCAGGTATCCTTGAAAAGCAAATGAGAGCTGAGCATGGCAAACACACGAGGTCCAGCTGTGTACAAATCATCAGTAGATGGCACACACATGCATGTATGTGCCTAACATGAAACCAGATATCCTTTCTCAGATGACAGATGTCAAGGCTGCAGTTTTCTTCTCTTGCCTCTTACTTTGCTGAATATAAACTAAGATGAGATTTCTATTTAATACTTACAATCACCTTGCTTTTCTTTTAAGATACTTCTAGAAGGGGGTAGGGATTGATTATAGGAGGACTTTCAGTTAGGGAAGTAGAAGACTAAGTGCTTTGAAAAGCTTTATGAATAAGACTACGAGAAAAGCTGTAGGTCTGCAAACACCCAATAGAAAACTGTTTAAAAAAGAAACAGGCCAGGCGCAGTGGCTCATGCCTGTAGTCCCAGCACTTTGAGAGGCTGAGGCGGGCAGATCACTTGAGGCCAGGAGATCAAGACCAGCCTGGCCAACATGGCAAAACCCCGTCTCTACTAAAAATACAATAATTAGCTGGGCATGGTGGCGCATGTCCATAATCCCAGCTACTTGGGAGGCTGAGGTACAAGAATTGCTTGAACCCGGGAGATGGAGGTTGCAGTGAGCCGAGATGGCACCACTGCACTCCAGCCTGGGCGATAGAGTGAGACCCCGCCCCCCCCCCCCCCCCAAAAAAAAAAAGAGAAACAGATGGCACAAACTCTGGAATAAAAAAAAAGTGCTTGTAAGACTGCAACATGACTGCGGTTGAAAAATAAACACATAGGTCTTCTTTGAAAGTATTGCCCTACAGACACATTCATGTTAAACTGCTTCAGTATCATCGAACCATCACTCTGCTATTTCTCTGCACACCCACCTGCACAGTTATAAAGAGGAGGAAAGCACAGTGATACTCCTTGATGTCTGAAACCAAGTTTTTAAGGATGTGGAAAGAACAAACTAAAAACGTAAAACAAAACACCCAATCCTCAGAACTACCACCTCTAACTTTCATGTTTCTGGGAGGAAGTGAATTAATAAATGTTTTGTGGGTAGAAAGCAAAAAAATCATCACATAATTCAGCAAAATAATGAAGGCCCAACTGTATGACCCCTTCACTTTATAAGCACGTTTTAAGGCCAACTTTAGAGAAAATGGTAATATAAATTAATTTTAGCAAGTATAAATTACAGTGACCATCTAGATATTCAAACACCAAAACAGAACAAAATTTACATAAGTAAAAACTCTTCTAAAGTAAACCAATGTACAATATCAGAACTCAAAATTCATTAGAAGGTTCACTGTATGTTTTAATCAGGCTCAGACTGAAATAAAAGTAGTCAATTGAAACCCCAACCTGGAAAGCCATCCCTGCTATGGCTGTGATTTCATCATTTCGGCATCCCGAAACATTCACTTAGAGCAACATCCATGTAAACAGTTCGACATATGGTCCCCTGCTGTGGATCTGTGGCTAGTAACAGCCTGGGAGCAGCAGACAGACAGGGGACACTTAAACCTCAGAAAGCAATAGCAGCCTCTGACGCCTTGCTCAAGGCTTCTCATCTGGTGGCTCAGTGAGACTTTGGGAGGTGGAAGTGGTGAAAGTGGAAAGCCATGAAGACATAGCTGTCTTTGCACTGGAAAAAGCTCCTCCAACTGACTGGCCTGGATGGAGAGGAGAAAAACAAAAGGAAAAATGTCTTAACTTTTGTTACGAGACAGTGAAAGACCAACATAATTAATACATTTTTAATTAAAAATTTAAAAAAATGTTTTTTGAGACAGCGTCTTACTCTGTCGCCCAGGCTGGAGTGCAGTGCAGTGGTCACGGCTCCCTGCAGCCTTGACATCCTAGGCTCAAGTGATCCTCCCACCTCAGCTTCCCAAGTAGCTAGGACCACAGGCCTGTGTGACCACACCTGGGTAATTTTTTGATTTTTTGTAGAGACAGGGTCTGGTCTTAAACACTTGGCTCAACTGATCCTCCTGCCTCAGCCTCCCAAAGTGTTGGGATCACAGGTGTGAGCCACTGTGCCCAGCCAATAAATGTTAATTCACTAGAACACATCAATATGTTAATAGTAGCCAAAATATCATTTAAATTTTTAGTTTCAAAACAATCCCTTTCCATGGGAATGTCTTAAGGAAAAATAGATGATTTTTTAGCGTAGGCACCTACTTGCCTCAGCATTCTGAAAGTATTCATCAAACTGTTTCTTTAATACCCTCAGTGCTAGCAACACTGGCTATGTATCAGAATTATTAGAGAGCTTAAAAAGTCAAACTGCTTTGTGTATCTTCAATACCAACTTGATAATCAATAACCATCTAAACAGGGAAGAGTGGTTAGACTGTTGTAGGGAAATGTGCTTTTGTCATCTAAAATGAAGTTATGTTACACAAAGATGTATAGAGCTCTATCTGCCCCAGGTCTATTGTGTTTTATAGAACAGTATCTCAAAAGTTGATGTTAGGCCAGGCATGGTGGCTCACACCTGTAATCCCAGCACTTTGGGAAGCCGAGACGGGTGGTTAGCTTGAGTCCAAGAATTCGAGACAGCCTGGGAAACATGGCGAAACCCTCTTTCTACAAAAAATAGAAAAATTAGCCAGGCATGATGGCACATGCCTGTAGTCCCAGCTACTTGGTAGGCTGAGGAAGGAGGATCCTGCCAGGGGTTGCAGGGATTGCAGTGAGCCAAGATCGCACCATATTGCACTTCAGCTTGGGCAACAGAGTGAGACCCTGTCTCAGGAAAAAAAGGTGATGCTAAGTGAAATTATTTAAGTTGACTAATACACTCCCACTATTCTTGGACAGAAGAGTATAGAAGAGATTTGGCTTTAGAATTTAACTATCAGTAGCAGCATCACTAAAAAATAATAACGTATAATGATGTATCTATAATAATCTATAATATAGCATAGTTTTTCTATTAAAAAATAAAAATTCAAAATAAGCCAAAGGCATATTGTTTGGAAATAAATGTTTGTGTGCTAAATTCCATTCCTTTGCAATAAAACTAATCTAGTGGTAGCGCTGTGTGTTGTCTTTACAAATGAGTCTGTAGAGTTTTCTGTCTCTCTCTAGGTATTCAGAAAACTAGGGATATAAGGACACCTACACAAAGATTACTTAGTTCTGGGGCTTTTGAATTGTGTTCAGTAACGGTTAGTCAACCTCTTTCAGAAGCTAGGGAAGTAGTAATGCCCTATTTTTACAACACATTGTATGACAAAGCAGATGGGGCAAAATGTAAATAATTGGTGAATCAGAAGATAATTGGGAGTTTCTTGCACTGTTGCAATGTTCAGGTTTGAAACTACATCAAAATAAAAAGTTAAAAATATAGAAAAGGAATGAAAAATTTTAGAACTGATGTGGAACAATATTCAAAATATTTTAAGCGAAAACAGCTAGGTGCAGAAGAGCATGCTACCATTTGTCTGACTTTGATACTAATATTGGCCTCATCCAATGAGTTGGGGAGTATTACCTTATTTAAAGATTTTGTGTAAAACTAGTATTTCTTCCTTAAACATTTGACAGAGTTCAAACTGAAGCCACCTGGGCAGCCTGGTTTAAATTAAAAACCTTATGGCAAGGCTTTTCACGTTAAATTCAATTAATTTCTTTCTTTCTTTAAGACTCTTGCCCTGTCACCCAGGCTGGACTGCTCACTGCAGCCTTGACTTCCTGGGCTCAAGCAATCCTCCCACTTCAGCCTTTCAAGTAGCTGGGACTGCAGGCACACACCACCATGCCTACTGACTTTTTAAATTTTTTTTTAGAGATGGGGTCTCACTATGTTGCCCAGGCTGGTCTTGAACTCCTGGACTCAAGCAATCCTCTCACCTCAGCCTCCCAAAGTGCTGGGATTACAGGTATGAGCCACTGCATTCGGCCCAATTTCTTTAATAGATAATAGGGCTATTCATATTTTCTTTTTGCAACTGTGTTGGTAATGCGAATCTTTAAAAAAATTTGTATATTTCATTTATGTTGTTAAACTGGTTAGCATAAAGTTGTTCACAATATTCCCCTATTTTCTGTTCTTTTAATTTCTGTAAGAGCTACAGTAATGTCCCTCTTTCATCCCTAACGTTGGTAATTTGTACCTTCTTTCTTTTTATCTTTACCAGATTTTATAAATATTGTTGATCTTTTTGAAAAACCAACTGTTGGCTTCATTTTCTTTATTGTGTAATACTACCTTAGAGGATAGCAGTTCCTAATACCTACTTTTATTATGAGTCTCTGCCATTTATAAAGAACTGTGGACAGCACAGGGAATGGGGGAAGAAAACTCTGGTGCAGCTTGAATCTTGGTAGCAAAACAGTGACTTCATCAGAAAATTTTGTCACTCTCTATTAGATAATGGAGTTTGACCATTTGGAATTTGGAATTTTTCAAATGAATATGACAAAAATTTAAAAAACTCTTGTATTACTATGTGATAACACAGATCTTTACAACTTTATGTTTGTTTTATCAATTACATATTAAAGATAGAAAATGGATGTGTTGTGATTCCAATTTGTTCCTGGCTAAAGGCATGTCTTACCAACAGCTTTTCCTGTTTGTACAACATTCCGGCTAGTTGTGACCATGACGTTTCCAATTTTTTTGCCACGTTCACTATTCTGAACAGAACTGGGTAAAAGATAAGATAAAAGAAGTGTTAGGTACAATTTTAAAAAAATCTCACACACGCACACAGACACATATAGACACACACACAATAGTCACTCTGTAACCATCCAAAATTAGAATTACTGAGAAAAGAAGCTAAATTATTATTTGTTATGAATTAATTTATTAACCTTTTAAGCATGTGCATTTTCAGAATACACGAGAAGAACATACAGATGAACCAAAAAGTGGTGAGGACATAAGGATGTATGTATGGCTGCATCTCTCCGACAGCCACGGCTTGCTAAAAGCACTTCACCAAAATAAAAATGGTAAATCCTGTTATTAGTTCACACCATCCTGTATGAAACAGTGGTGTTCTCACTTTGAAACATACACACTGCTGAGCTAAAGAATGTTATGCACATATTTGGTTACTATTTGAAGCATAAGTCTATCAAGTAGAGAAAAACAATTCCCAATTAGCAATGAAACACATGGCATAAATTCAGACTTAAGAATTTTCCCAGTATTTTCTCTAAGTACTTACTGTGAGAACCTTAACTTCATGTCTGATACTGAGTATTGGCCTTGAAATGGATGGCTGTAAAAAAAGTTTGAGTTTAAACTATCAGTATTTTACCAAAAAGGCTGCAAAAAGAGTTATCACAAGAAAATATTAGTAAACTTCTCATGGACAACACAGCTGGGTGGTAGTGCTGTGTTTGGTATCGGGAAACTTGGCTTTGGTCACAGCTCTCCACTTACAGTGACGACATCCAGAAAAGATTACTTAACCCCTCTGAGCTTTAGTTTCCTCACTTGTAAAACAGGTGTGTTGTCTGTTTTGTGTGTGTATAGCCTGTTTTAGTGCTATCCTGACATTCTAATTTATTTGGTCTGTCTTGGGTGGGGCTCAAACATCAACACATTTTTTACAAGCTCCCCAGGACAGTCAAGGTGAGTCACTGGTTTTAGGACATGGTCATAGATCATACCTTGATCCTGGCCATCTTATAAATGTGTGCTATTGGTTATGCAAAGATTTGTGGATGGATCAACAAAATCTCTACTTTCTGTTAGAAAAGCAACTCAAAAGGCAGGTCTTAAAAAAAAACAGCACTATCATTATTTTTGTAAGAAAATACATTATTCAGACTTCCCTATTTCCATTATATTAAAAGAAAAAAGTGTATTATATATATATAATATATAATATAATATATAATATATAATATATAATATATAATATAATATATAATATAATATATAATATATAATATATAATATAATATATAATATATAATATAATATATAATATATAATATGTAATATATTATATATAATATAATATATTATATATAATATATAATATATTATATATAATATATATATTATATATATAACATATTATATATAATATATAACATATAATATGTTATATAACATATATTATATATGTTATATATTATATAAAATATGTGTTATATATATTATATAAAATATATATAATATATAATATATATAATACATATATATATATAAAATCAGGCATTCTGCAATTATACAGGCAGTAGGAAAAAAATCAAGCAACTTAACCACATAAAATGGAGGGGTCAATAAATATCCAATTCTTATCTCAGGGGTCCCTCTGTCAAGGTCTAACAAAGAAAGTGACCCTAGTAAAATCCATAGCTGCTTATAAAATTAATGGTTCTTCAAATGATAACAAACTACTCTTCATGGCCCAAAGTAAGTATATGTGACACTTCTTCTTCTTGGATTCCTGAATCACAGGATTGAAATACGGACACATCACTTGATCATTCTCTGTGTTCCTGGCATGGCTGTATTTAAGGGATGAAATACACCTGCTGCTTGTTAAGTTAGAATGCTGCCTTCCCTAATCTTTAGGAGTTAAAGGGTTTCATACTTCTCAAAAGTTATAATTAGTTTGAAATATTTCTAAATGACACCCTCTGATAACAACAGACGTCTAGCATTCATTTTATTTTTTTGAGACAGAGTCTCACTGTTACCCAGGCTGGAGTGCAGTGGCGCAATCTCAGCTCACTGCAACCTGCCTCCCAGGTTCAAGCGATTCTCCTGCCTCAGCCTCCTGAGTAGCTGGGAGTACAGGCATGTACCACCACACCCGGCTACTTTTTTGTATTTTTAGTAGAGACAGGGTTTCACCATGTTGCCCAGGCTGGTCTTGAACTCCTGAGCTCACGTGATCCGCCCACCTCAGCCTCCCAAAGTGCTAGAATTACAGGCGTGAGCCACCAGGCCTGGCCACATTTGTTATTTTTAATTTGGTAAAAATGTTGAAAATTTGCTATTGAAGAAAACTAAACTATTTCACCCCAAAATATACTTCTTTGATGTATTTCAAGATGGCTATTCAGAAAGGCTGGAAATGCAAGAATTACTGAAAAGCTGTCTTTTTGGGGGTAGATTTGCATCTGTAGAGAAAATCTGCATTAATGCAGCCTGGTTTGCTCTGAGGCCCTCCAATATCAAGATATAGGAAAGATGAACCGAGTGTCTGACACCTTTAAAGGTCTGAAAGAAACATTTACCATCAATTCTCTCTGAGGGCTGCTACCTGTGAAGTTTTATCTCTATAACAAGACCAACTCTGCTAGCCAGGCCTCCTTTCTTCTCCCTCCCACAACCTGTCTTGCCACTATAACCTGACTTACCACCATAACCTGTTTTTGGCCATGCTCCAAGCCCCCAATTCTTTCTGTAACCTGAAGATGGTATGTATATAAACTTGTGTACCCTGTTGGCGGGTTGGGTACACGAGCTTGGGTACACAGTCCAATCACCCTGTAGCTCTCCCTCATGCACATTAACAAATTTGCATGCCATTTCTCCTATTAATCTGCCTTTTGTCAGCTGACTTTCCAGTGACCCTTCAGAGGATGAAAGGGAAGTTCTCCCTTGGCCTGCACTATCATATCTGCATGATTTCCCTACCTATATATTTCAGTTAACAAGTCCTTCTTCAGCCTTCTTTTCAATCTAAATAGGCTCAACTTCTTCACATGTTCTTCTAAGCACTATTTCATAATCCTTTTAAAACTCATTTCAGCTAAGTCTCTTTTGGACCTGCACTAACATCTATAGAGCTGGTTCAAGTTAAAAGCACCAGATGTAGTGACAGATAAAGATCTGACCAGGCCTCCCAGTGCAGGGCCCAGGGAGGAGACTAGGATGGCTCTGCATGTTGACTGCTTGGACAGTCAAGGCCGACCTGCCTTCCCAGCACCACCCTGTGAGTGCCACCCTGCTAAGCACCTCCACATCTGTTTCCCTTCAGCACGCTGAGAATAGAGACTTTGTTGTCAGTGAGGGAGAACACTTTGAACTCAGCCCTTTCATTTAATACTATTAAAATGGTTTTGCCTTTTAATTCTGTTTTTACTATATTCAAATGGCAATATAGGTTTCTGCTATAGCCAAGTATGATGATTAAATTCACCAAAATTGGTGTTGAACCTAGTACTTTAAAAGATGGGGTCTCATTATGTTGCCTAGGCTGGCCTCGAAACCGTGGGTTCAAGTAATCCTCCTGCCTCAGTCTCCCAAATAGCTGGGACTATAGGCACCCACCACCACGCCTGGCTAAATTTTTTGTATTTTTAGTAGATACAGGGTTTTCACATCATTAGCCAGGATGGTCTTGATCTCCTAACTTTGTGATCCACCCGCCTCAGCCTCCCAAAGTGCTGGGATTACAGGCGTGAGCCACTGTGCCTGGCCTTATCTTTTAATTTAGAAAACAAGTTCCTGTATACACTATATCAACTGATCTCCTTCAATGCTCTCTGTTGTATTCACACTCAGATGTTATTGTTTCATAATGGCTGTAATCAATGGCCTTTTATGCCTATGTGGGATAAAGCCTTCATCATCAACATTCAGTATTACAGCAGGTATTAAGTTTTGTTGAATTTTAGAGTCTGATGTGGAAACCAGGTATGACCATATATCCAGGAGTCCAAATATTAACTTTTTTTTTTCTTTTGAGACAAAGTCTCCCTCTTGTTACCCAGGCTGCAGTGTAATGGCATGATCTTGACTCACTGCAACCTCTACCTCCTGGATTCAAGGGATTCTCCTGTCTCAGCCTCCCAAATAGCTGGGATTACAGGCGCCCACTACCACGTCTGGCTAATTTTTTTTGTATTTTTAGTAGAGATGGGTTTCAGCATGTTGGCCAGGCTGGTCTTGAACTCCCGACCTCAGGTGATCTGCCCACCTCGGCCTCCCAAAGTGTTGGGATTACAGGCATGAGCCCAGCTTCAGATATTAACTTTAATTGGTTTCGCATATGTCATGTTTTAAAATTGCCTCCTAATTTTACTCATGCAGTAAACCAGTGGTATTTCCTTCTAGGATTCTATCTTGTTGAACCATTCTGTTAAAGAACAGCTCCAGGGAGAAAGAGAAGAATCATTGTGTACTGAGCATCACCAAGTGCCAGGGACTTCCTCTCTGAATCACATCGAGAGCCAGGGAAATGTTAGTGCTTCCCATAATGCTCATGCTTTTTGTATAACAATCTGAATATGGAAGCAGTTTCTAAGCTGTTTCTCTATATTTGGGAGCCTTTTTATGACCTACTTAAGGGGATTCTTGAGGATATTCACAATATCAAAGTTAAAATAGATTTTTCTCTGTATTGGGCACTCGTAAACCAACCATTTATGTACTATCAATCTTCAGAGGACGCGCTTACTTTGGATTTATTTCTGCAAGTGCTGGATGCTTGTTGCTGTTCCACACCCTGTAGTTGTGAGTATTCTTCCATGCTGTAACAAAAGTTGTCCCATAGTCCGATAATATCTTTTCATTGTCTGTCAAGTAAATGTTTGAAAGAAGTTGAGCTGGGCTGTAGCCATTCAGGGATGTGAAGATTATAACCAAAAAGGGTAAAGGAACGACTTTATCCCCTTGCCCTCCCATATTTGTGGGGAGATAGCCTACCAGATGTCAGGAAACTTGGGTCTAGTTCCAGAAATCCTGTTAAGGAGCTATGTGGCCTTTGGCAAGTCACTTAATCACTCAGAACTTCATTTTCCTAACTGGAAAATAAGAGGGTTGAGCCAGATATTTTCCAAGGTTCCTTACAACTCCAAAATATTTCCATATTCTCCTTACCATTATGAGGATAGTATTAATTAATCAAAAACTGTATGCTTGACAGTGAATAAACATACTGATTGATATGTATGGCACAGGCAATTGGGATATCTTTCTACTTTTTTATAAATGTCATTTTTCTACAAAAAAAAAGATTAAGAATGAATACACAAATTGGTTCTTTCAGTCATGATGTTCTCTCCTTTGGACTTTATTTGGTGTTTCATTCTTGAATTTCCTAGCATTTCACTGTCAAAAACACTTAAAAAAGGCCAGGTGCAGTGGCTCATGCCTGTAATCCCAGCACTTTGGGAGGTCGAGGAGGGCGGATCACTGGAGGTCAGGAGTTCGAGACCAGCCTGGCCGACATGGCAAAACCCTGTCTCTGCCAGAAATACAAAAATTAGCCAGGCGTGGTGGCGGGTACCTGTAGTCCCAGCTACTCGGGAGGCTGAGGTAAGAGAATCACTTGAAACCAGGAGATGGAGGTTGCAGTGAGCCAACATCATGCCACAGCACTCCAGACTGGGCAACAAGAGCGAGACTCTGTCTCAAAAAACAAAACAAAACAAAACAAAAAAAGTCTTAAAAGAATATACTGAAAACTGATAAAGTTTTCAGCTTTATCAATACCATGGGAAAGCATCCATATGTGTTTCCTCCGCTTGGAAGATTAGAAATGGTTTGGAGAACTGATACAAATGGCTATTACTTCATATATTAATTGCATGTTGTTTACTTTGAAGGTGAAATACAAAGTACCTTTTGTTGCTAGGAAAGGAAATGAATGAGATACACAGTTCCATACACAGCATAAAGAAGTTGTTCTAAGAACACTTCCTCAAGCAGTTCATTGGGCTGAATTTCCTCTTTTGACCTTGTTACTTGTAAGAGTATGGGCCTAAGCCAAACTGTTTGGGATCAGATCCCACCTAAGCCTCTTATGAACCTCTGTGAGCTTCATTTTCTCTTCTGTAAAAGGCAATGACAAGGTCCCTACCTTCAGGATTGCTGTAAGGATGAAATGAATTACTAGATGTAAAGTGCTCAGAACACTGGTCCCTGCATATATTTAATGTTCAAAAAAAAAAGTGAGCTACTATTATTCAGTGCTTACAGCCTCCTGGGCAAATATTTTTAAAAAAGCAAATTAATTAATTTGCTTAAAAGCAAATTAATTAAGCTACATGGCAGTGGAGACTGAAGTTTTCTTTCTAGATTACCAAATGATTTGGGGTTAAAGGATTTAATTTTGGTGTCTCAGCTGCTACATTGTTAGTGGTGGCAAACATTTAAAAATATCTCATTAACAAACGAGGGCTTGTTCCTCAGCTGTCTTTTACAAATGAAAAACTCTCCCGAAACCTACTTTAAAACTCCTATGTGCACTGTAAACAACTAACCTGGGAGCATGTGGTGGTGGTGTTGATTAAAAAAATCTACTGATACAACAATGAATGTATCTAATGCCACTGTGGAACTGTACATTTAAAAATGGTAAAGATGGTAAATTTTATGCTATGTGTATTTCATCACAATTAAAAAAATAATGGTTAGTTAACTGAAACAAAAACACAAGCTCAACACATTTTTAACAACTCTAATAAATATCTGCCAAATGTCCAAGGTGAAAAGCTCACTGCAGAGCTCCATTTTCACTATTTATATATTTCTTTCCCAAGGAGAATGAGATAGTTTTAATGCAGGAGTAACTCCATGTTTACCTGCTCCATTTTAACCATTTAATACGAATAATAATATTTCTTAGAATGGGTTATAAATTTGAAGATTTAATCATTTACAACACGATTTTCAATGATTTCTATTTTTTATATTCTTTCTCCCTTTATACATCTTAAAAAACATGTGGCAGTATTCACAAACAGCTGCCAAATACTGATGAATATGAAGCAGTCATGTAAAAGTGATGATATATGTTCATGTTATGTTGGTATGTGTTGTTTCTATTATAAAGTAATAGTTTCAGAAAACATGTATAAAGGGATCCATTTTTGTAAAAGGACCACCAAAAGTACCATAAAACCAAAATCCAAAATACATGCATAGGAAAAGATTTGCAAGGCTATAAAGTACTAAAGACGTTAAAAGTGGCTATCTTTGTATGAGGGAATAACTGGTAATTTTTCTATAAGGAATATGTATTTATTGTGCAATCCAAAATCTCATAAATGTTACAAAATGAAAAATTATAATAAAACAGGTAGCTGTAGGCTCCGTGTGGTTTCTTACCTAATTGCAGTGTGGCAGCCAGCAGGGCATGAATGTAGACCGCAAACTGGGCCCGGATCCATTCGTCACCTCCCTCCCAGCCCGTGCCATCTAGGAAGACGTCATCCCGATTCTCAGTCACGTGCCTCACTAGGTAGTCTGCGAACCTTAGGTCTGCAGTGGTTGGGTTAAGCAGCTTCCTGAGTTCTGGATCATGGATCTGGATCAGAGCTTCTTCTACCTAGAGGGTATCCAGGTACAAGTCAGAGTCTGGGCATTCACGCAGACATCCATGCCACACTTTACAGAGTAACTACGGGGAAGGTGGAGCTGGAAATAAAAAATATGAATAATGGCATTCTCAAAAGGTGAGTCTAAGAAAGAGGTTTGTACACTGAAGTTTTCTTTCTATTTATAAAATGCTCATTTTCTGTTTTTAGAAAATACACACATAAATATAGTATTTTAAATTACAAAATTACTCACCTAGATTGCAAATATTTGGGAAAATATAGAAATACATGTAAAAATCACCTTTATTTCACTAGCAGAAATGAACACATTTAACAAGTATAATTCCTTAAATACTTTTTCTTTTGCGTGCAGATACTTTAGAATATTCTTTTTTTTTTTTTTTTGAGACGGAGTCTTGCTCTGTCGCCCAGGCTGGAGTGCCATGGCACAATCTTGGCTCCCTGCAAGCTCTGCCTCCTGGGTTCATGCCATTCTCCTGCCTCAGCCTCCTGAGTAGCTGGGACTACAGGCGCCCACCACCACGCCCGGCTAATTTTTTGTATTTTTAGTAGAGATGGGATTTCACCATGTTAGCCAGGATGGTCTCGATGTCTTGACCTTGTGACCTGCCCACCTCGGCCTCCCAAAGTGCTGGGATTACAGGCGTGAGCCACCATGCCCGGCCAGATACTTTAGAATATCTTATTATGTAATATTTGATATACTAAAAAATACATGTAACTTACAGGTTAGTTTTGAAGTATAATAATAAAAGAAATTCCTACGAACCCACCAACCAACTACAGAACTAGAATGTAACCAATAATGATGAAGCAGCTTTATGGTCCTCCCATCTGTATCCTCCTGTCTTGGAAAATGTATATACTTTTTCTTCTTCAAATTTGGGATTATAATAAATACATCTTTGAATCCTGGACTTTCATTATATTATAACCATTCACCCAAGAAACATGTTTTCATACTTTCTGTCAGAAACTACAAAAACCTCAGTGTGGCTGAATTTTTTTTTTTTCTTTTTTTTTTGAGACAGAATTTCACTCTATCGCCCAAGCTGGAGTGCAGTGGCACGATCTCGGCTCCCTGCAACCTCTGCCACCCGGGTTCAAGCGATTCTCCTGCCTCAGCCTCCCGCGTAGCTGGGATTACAGGCACCTGCCACCATGTCCAGCTAATTTTTGTATTTTTAGTAGAGATGGGATTTCACCATGTTAGCCAGGATGGTCTCGATGTCTTGACCTTGTGACCCGCCCACCTTGGCCTCCCAAAGTGCTGGGATTACAGGCGTGAGCCACTGTGCCCGGCCAGATACTTTAGAATGTCTTATTATGTAATATTTGATATACTAAAAAATACATGTAACGTACAGGTTAGTTTTGAAGTATAATAATAAAAAAAATTCCTACGCACCCACCAACCAACTACAGAACTAGAATGTAACCAATAATGTTGAAGCAGCTTTATGGTCCTCCCATCTGTATCCTCCTGTCTTGGAAAATGTACTTTTTCTTCTTCAAATTTGGGATTATAATAAATACATCTTTGAATCCTGGACTTTCATTATATTATAACCATTCACCCAAGAAACATGTTTTCATACTTTCTGTCAGAAACTACAAAAACCTTAGTGTGGGTGAATTTTTTTTCTTCTTTTTTTTTTGAGACAGAATTTCACTCTATCGCCCAAGCTGGAGTGCAGTGGCACGATCTCGGCTCCCTGCAACCTCTACCACCCGGGTTCAAGCGATTCTCCTGCCTCAGCCTCCCAAGTAGCTGGGATTACAGGCACCTGCCACCATGCCCAGCTAATTTTTGTATTTTTAGTAGAGACGGGGTTTCACCATGTTGGGCAGGCTGGTCTTGAACTCCTGACCTCATGATCCACCCGCCTCAGCCTCCCAAAGTGCTGGGATTACAGATTTGAGCCACTGCAGCTGGCTTTTTTTTTTTTTTTTTTTGAGACAGGGTCACTCTGTCACCCAGGCTGGAGTGCAGTGGTGCAATCTTGGCTCACTGCAACCTCCACCTCCAAGGTTCAAGTGATTCTCCTGCCTCACCCTCCCGAGTAGCTGGGACTACAGGCATGCACCACCATGTCTGGCTAATTTTTTTGTATTTTTAGTAGACATGGGGTTTCACCATGTTGGCCAGGCTGGTCTCGAACTCCTGACCTCAGGTGATCTACCCACCTCGGCCTCCCCAAGTGCTGGGATTACAGGCGTGAGCCACTGCGCCGAGCCTCATAAAATTTCTCAAAAATTATTTCAGGCTGGGCGCGGTGGCTTACGCCTGTAATCCCAGCACTTGGGGAGGCCGAGGTGGGTGGATCACCTGAGGTCAGGAGTTCGAGACCAGCCTGGCCAACATGGTGAAACCCCATCTCTACTAAAAATAGAAAAAATTAGCCGAGCGTGGTGGCGGGCACTTGTAATCCAACCTACTCAGGAGGCTGAGGCAGAAGAATTGCTTGAACCCAGGAGGTGGAGGTTGCATGGAGCCGAGATCGCGCCATTGCACTCCAGCCTGGGCAACAAGAACGAAACTGTCTCAAAAAAAAAAAAGAAAAAAGATTATTTCAGTTGTAAAATAACAAATGATTTGAATTTCGTATATATTGATGTCAAATATTTATTCCTAGCTTTCGTCTTGGTATCAAGAGCATTCTAAACAGGCTAGAAGGATTGAAATTACTTAAACAACAAACACATGTTAAAAATCATGAGGTAGTGGTAGGCCCAGTTGCCCAGGTTGGAATCCTGGTTTACCTGTTTACTGGCTGTTTGATATTGTACAAATCACTTCATCTCTCTGTTACTTAGCCTCTGCAGGTATAAAATGTGGATAGGACAGTGCTATTGACTGTGTTTTTATGAGAATTAGACCAGTTAATACACATAAAATACTTAGAATACATGGCATACAGTATGCAGTTATTATCATTACTAATGTTGTTACTATGTATTCATAATTGTAGTTAAGAAAGGAAAACTGGGATGAGCAGGGCCAAATACACACACTCACACATAAACGTACTTCCACAATGGCATCACTGAGGTGTTTCTGTTGTCGAAAAAGGATGTTAGTAGCTCCAGCAACAAACCCCCGAACGGTGACATCGGAGAGAAGATGATGCTGCTGCAATGCCATGTAAGGCAAACACAGATATCCCTATGAATTAGAAGAGTAATAGAAAATATCAGAAAAGTAAAAGGTTACCTTTCTCTTTAAACTTAGTGAGCTAACAGTAGGAAAAGAAACTTCCATTCTTCCTTGCCCTGTCTGTAAGTCAGCTAATCTTTGACTCAATAAAATAATATTCCAGGGGAACTTCAAGTCTTGACTACAGTAAGTCCAGTTAATGATTAGCTAATTGTCTCCATGAATGGTCAAATCTTGGCAAGGTGGTTTAATATGAAGGTTGTCTTTCTTGATCACTTTGTTCTCATTCAATTTAAAAGTCTCCACAGTAACTAATGAATTGAACCTTTTCACTTAGGAAATGAAGCATTAAGCCTGTTAGTAAGTACGTTGTTTAGTAGAAGGCTGTTAAAAATTTAAAATACATGCATCTGCACATAACCACCGAAGCACTATTAGGAGAACAGCAAGGTACTACATAGCATTTGTTATACCGTCCTATGTTAAAAATCATGCAAAAAGATTTCAAGATATTTGTTACTAAATATTTAAAGCAAAAATGACACTGGTAGTATCTGTGTATTTAATTAATTTCCATTTGAATTTTATTTGAAAACAGCATTGCTCCAAAAATTACAGTGGAATTGCTAAACTGCAGCAGGCATCTAAGTATAGAAAAAATCCAGCATACTTCCTGAGAGTACAAGTGTTAACACTGGAATGATTGACTGAAGGAAGATATGCAATTTCTGCTGAAAGATTCTAAATCAGAATGGGTTTTCAACAAGTGGCATGACTTGTATATACAGCCAGGAAGGCAGACTCACTGAGCCCCTCAACTTGTTTTCAGCCTCAAGTTCTATAAGTTTTATTTTTTTACATCTCATCACTTTTTAAAACACAGAATTATGTCATCTGGATAATATCGTGTTTACATCATGAGACAAATCTCTCTGAAGGCAGGGGATATCCGCTTTGCAACTTGATATTCTTTATTCCAACTAGGAGAGCGCTTTGTGTGTAACTAACAGGTGGTTGTTAAATACTTAACATGAAAGGGAAGACTTCCAAAAGTTGGAATATATGTCTGGTAATTTGGTTATATTCTTACTCTTGAAAATGTCTTTTGTTGCTTGATCAGACCCTAACAGAAGCAGCAAAAATAAATCTATACCTTTGCATTAGAGATGCTCAGTATAGAGCTTCTCAACCCAGGCTCCTCATTCAGAATCAGTATTATATTTCATAATAATAACAAAACTAAAAAGTATGTTTTTAAAAAGTAGGTCAAAGCTTTCAAGAAATGTTTAAAAATCCTTTAAAAATTTATAAATATGTATGCCTTTTGGCCCAGCATTCTACTTGTAATTTATCCTACAGTATCCTACAAATATTATATCATATGTGATATTATATTTATGAAAATAAATGCAATACCAAAAAACTCGAATCCAAACTCTTCATGAATAGGGGACTAAATAAATGTTCATCCATACAATGAACCTGCAGCCATAAACAGTGATGATATTCATCTCCAAAGAATATTATGGGCTGGGCATGGTGGCTCATGCCTGTAATCCCAGCATTTTGGGAGGCTGAGGCAGGCGGATCACTTGAGGTCAGGAGTTCGAGACCAGCCTGGCCAACATGCTGAAACCCTGTCTCTACTAAAATTTCAAAAATTAGCCAGGCATGGTGGCGGGCACCTGTAATCCCAGCTACTTGGGAGGCTGAGGCAGGAGAATCGCTTGAACCCAGGAGGTGGAGGTTGCAGTGAGCCAAGATGGCACCATCGTACTCCAGCCTGGGCGACAGAGTAAGACTCCATCTCAAAAAAAAAAAAATAAATAAATAAAAGAATATGATGTAAAAAAAAGAATAAGCGGGCTGGGCGCGATGACTCACACTTGTAATCCCAGCACTTTGAGAGGCCAAAGTGGGAGGCCTGCTTGAGTCCAGGAGTTCCAGAATGGCCAGTCAACATAGTAAGACACTGTGTCTAGAAAAAAGAAAAATTAAATTAAAAAAAGGGCTGGGCGCGATGGCTCACACCTGTAATCCCAGCACTTTGGGAGGCTGAAGAGGGCAGATCATCTGAGTTCAGGAGTTTGAGACCAGCCTGACCAACATGGTGAAACCCTGTCTCTACTAAAAATATAAAAATGAGCTGGACCTGTGGTGGCGAGTGCCTGTAATCCCAACTACTCAAGAGGCTGAGGCAGGAGAATCGCTTGAAAAGACCAGGAGGTGGAGGTTGCAGTGAGCTGAGATCATATCACGGCACTCCAGCCTGGGTGACAAGGGCAAAACTCTGTCTCAAAAATAAATAAATAAATAAATAAAAATAAAATAAAATAAATAAAAAATAAAGGGCAAAAATGGGCACATTCTGCTACCATTTGTAAAAAGGGAGGGGAAAATATGCATTTGTTTCTGCATAGAATACCCCCAGAAGAAAACAAACATAAGACAGTGACAATGTTGGCTGCCGCTGGAGAGGGCTGCTGGATAGCAGGGGATGAAATGGAAGGGAGACTTTTTATTAGCGATGCTTTGAAATCTTTCAAATATTGAACTAAGTGGAAACATTACATATTTATACAATTATTTAAAATAGTTCAAAACAGCTTTAAAATTGTAGCATTACTTGCTAGGTGTGGTGGCTCATGTCTGTAATCCCAGCACTTTGGGAGGCCAAGGCGGGCAGACTGCTTGAGCTCAGAAGTTTGAGACCAGCCTGAGCAACACGGTGAAACTCCATTTCTACCAATAATACAAAAATTAGCCAGGTATGGTGGCCTGCATCTGTGGTCCCAGCTACTCAGGAGACTGAGGTGGGAGGATCCCATGAGCCTAGGAGGTCAAGGCTGCAGTGAGCTGAGATCACACCACTGCTCTCCAGCCTGGGTGAAAAGCAAAACTCTATCTCAAAAACAAACAAACAAAGTTACAAATAAAATGAAACTTAAGAGAATTATAAATTAAGTCATCTTTTGGGGGAGGCAATTGTGTATTTTTTAAAAAAGTACCAGATATAATAAAAGCCAAACAAAGAAATGGCTACTGCTCTTTAGAAAAGTTTTAAGACTCAGCAAAACAGAACAATACTTGAAATAATCTTCCCTATCTCTCAAACACTAAAAGTCACATTTACTTATTTATTTTTTGAGACGGAGTCTGGCTCTGTCACCCAAGCTGGAGTGCAGTGGCGCGATCTCGGTTCACTGCAAGCTCCGCCTCCCGGGTTCATGCCACTCTCCTGCCTCAGCCTCCGGAGTAGCTGAGACTACAGGCGCCCACCACCATGCCTGGCTAATTTCTTTTTTTGTATTTTTAGTAGAGATGGGGTTTCACCGTGTTAGCCAGGATGGTCTCGATCTCCTGACCTCGTGATCTGCCCGCCTCGGTCTCCCAAAGTGTTGGGATTACAGGTGTGAGCCACCGCACCTGGCCAAAAGTCACATTTGTTTGGCCTACTAGATTGTAGGTAACTTTTTTAAAATATTAGTATTTATATACTATTTTATTTTTATTCTCTATCCCCAGTGCTTCATTTGACTAGCCTTAAACATTATTATTTTGGCTGGGCATGGTGGCTCACACCTGTAGTCCCAGCTACTTAGAAGGCTAGGGTGGGCAGACTGCTTGAGCTCAGGAGTTCAAGACCAGCCTGGACAATATGATGAAACCCCATCTCCACAAAAAATTAGCTGGGCGTGGTGGCAGGTGCCTGTAGTCCCAGCTACTTGGGAGGCTGTGGTGGGAGGATCGCTTGAGCACAGGAGGTGGAGGTTGCAGAGAGCCGAGATTGCACCACTGCATTCCAGGCTGGGCAAGAGTGGTGAGACCTTGTCTCCAAAAAAAAAAAATAATAATAATAATTAAAATTTTTTTAAAATAATAATAATTTGTTGAGATGAGGTCTTGGTCTTTTGCCCAGGCTGGAGTGCATTGACATGACCATGGCTCACTGCAGTCTTGACCTCCTGAGCTCAAGTGATCCTCCCACCTCAGCCTTCCAAGTAGCTGGGACTACTGGCACATGCCACCACACCCAGCCTTTTTTTTTTTTGGAGTGCAGTGGCACGATCTTGGCTCACTGCAACCTCCGCCTCCCGGGTTCAAGTGATTCTCCTGCCTCAGCATCCTGAGTAGCTGGGACTACAGGCGTATGCCACCACGCCCAGCTAATTTTTGTATTTTTAGTAGAGATGGGGTTTCACCATGTTGGCCTGGATGGTCTTGATCTCTTGACCTCAGATGATGTGCCCGCCTCGGCCTCCCAAAGTGCTGGGATTACAGGCATGAGCCGTCGCACCTGGCTCCAGCTAATTTTTTGACTTTACTTAGTAGAGCTGAGGTCTCACTATGTTGCTCAGGCTGGTCTCAAATTTCTGAGCTCAAGTGATTCTTCTGCCTTGGCTGTTTTAAAGTTTTTTAATCGACAATAATTGCATTGAGGTAATTTCTTTCTTTCTTTTTTTTTTTTTGAGACGGAGTTTTGCTCTTGTTGCCCTGGCTGGAGTGCAATGGCACGATCTCCACTCATCGCAACCTCTGCCTCCTGGGTTCAAGCGATTCTCCTGCCTCAGCCTCCCAAGTAGCTGGGATTACAGGCATGCACCACCACACCTAGCTAATTTTGTATCTTTAGTAGAGACGGGGTTTCTCCATGTTGGTCAGGCTGGTCTCAAACTCCTGATCTTAGGTGATCCGCCTGCCTTGGCCTCTCAAAGTGCTCGGATTACAGGCGTGAGCCACCACGCCCAGTCGCATTGAGGTAATTTCTAAATAGAGTTCTATTATAGTGACTCAATTAATTTTACTAAATAATGGCAATAATCTCGTAACTAGAAAAGAGGGAGAAAATTGATGCATGAGATTAAGTCAGGTGGGACTCCGAGCTCCAAGGGCTCCAGTCCTTTCTGGCCAGTCCTCCACTAACTATTTTGCTCCAATGTGCAGCCAATTCCAGAACACTTTCAGTAACAAGATGGGAAGACTTAAAATCAGGGAAGAATGGAAGAAAAGCCCTCAGGATTGTCTTTTCACATCAGAAAATAGCTACTGTATCTTCCTCGTTATCTTTTTTTCCACTTCCCTCATTCCACTTCAATGTTCCTCTGGTTAGAAAGTGATGGAGCAGCAGAGCACAAATATTACACAGGCACAAATCATCCTCTAATTTTCGTACTTCTCCTTCAGTGTCCCAGTTGCCTTCCCATCACCCTATAGGCAGCCTACCCCACAGCTGCCTCTAGCCCCGCCTCTTATTCCTTAGCAGCTGTTTCTTCTCTACACTTCCTGAATCAGCTCTCAGGCTTTCCTGAGAAGGATATTTTAGAAGCTAGTATTCACAGCATTTACATAGTAAGCCTCCTCTCTGAAACTGACATGAAAGGCATCAACCTCAGGCAAGTTCAAGTACCAGAGAGAGGATTAGAAAGTTGGTAAGCTGAAGACTTTCTTCCGGAAATAATTATTTTATTATGTAGAAATTTGTTTCCATTTATTCATATGATAACTACTCTACTTCAGCAATATTCCCCAGGCACCCAGGCTTCTCTCCGGCTATTTCTAAAATTATTTTCAAAATGTTTTGCTAACCTAATTCCTTCTGTACAAGGATTTTAAGATCTTCAAGAGAAAAAAGCCTAAAGACAATTCGGTTTTAAGAATATTTTATATTCCAAAGTTACTGACATGAAAAAGTCAGCATTGGCATTTGAAACTGTGATTAAAGAAATTAGATTTTCATCCAAACACTCAAAAAACATAAAACCAAAAAGACAAATATTTTATAGGGATGTTAGTAAGCCCATCACGTATTTAATACTGATATTGTATACGGCACACAAATCTAATATTCCGCTAAACATGCTTTATTGACAAGACACAAAATACATCTTTACATTGCTTTGTCAGCAACCTGACAAAACCTAAATCCCTCTACAGTTAATTTCCCTCTTGATATCTTCACAATAGTAAAAATTAGAGGGCAGGTCGGTGAAATAGCAAAGTCAGGGCTCCGAAAGGTATAGGAAGTCATAACACAGCTCAGAAAGCCCGCAATTTGTGGCTACTTGCTTTACCAGTAGTCTGAGAAACCCGAGTTTTCTCCCAAGTTCTTAAATTCCAGTTTTAAGAAACTGCATTGATTTAATCATGAAATCAGTTAAGATAATTTCAGAATCCCAAGCAGGTTACAAAATGAACAAAGATGGCATTCTGTATTAACTATTCACCAACAATGACTCTGGGCAAGTACATTTTTGCAAAGCTGGGTAAACCCAGAAATAATTTATCGAATAATATAGGAGAGGAATACATACATTGTTCAAGCCAACACTACCCATCTTTCTTTTCCACATAAAAGTGGAATACCACTTCATGGATACCAGACAGTATTCAGGGAAAAACAGAATACTTTGTTCTAGTAACTGAAAAGGTGGTAGACTGCCTTTCATGGTAGACTGCAAGATCACAGATGGCAAGAATTCAGAATCTAGTATGGTGTCTGGCTCATGGAAGGGCAAGAAATACAGTTGGTTCTCCACATCCATGGGTTCCCACATACCAGATTCAACCAACCTTGGATTAAAAATATTGAGAAAAATAATAATACTAAATTAACCCCAGCATAGTAACTACTCACATAGCATTTACATTGCATTAGGTATTATAAATAATCTAGAGGTAATTTAAAGTATACGGGAGAGGCTGGGCACAGTGGCTCATGCCTGTAATCCCAGCACTTTGGGAGGCCAAGGTGGGTGGATCACCTGAGATCAGGAGTTTGAGACCAGCCTGGTCAACATAGTGAAACCCTGTCTCTACTAAAAATACAAAAATCAGCCAGGCAGAGTGATGGGCACCTGTAGTCCCAGCTACTAGGGAGGCTGAGGCAGGAGAATCGCTTGAACCTGGGACGTGGAGGTTGCAGTAAGCAGACATCACGCCACTGTACTCCAGCCTGGGGGACAGAACAAGACTTTGTATCAAAAACAAAACAAAACACAACAAAAACCATATATGGAAGGATGTGCACACGTTATATGCAAATACTATGCCAATCTATGTAAGTGACTCAGCATCAGTGTAACTTTATTTATTTTTATATAGAGACAGGGTCTTACTCTAAACTGTAAAGCTCAGGCTGGAGTGCAGTGGCACAGTCATGGCTCATGGCAGCCTGAAAGTCCTGGGTTCAAGAGATCCTCTTGCCTCAGCCTCCCAAGTAGCGGTGACTACAGGCATATGCCACCATGTCCAGATAATTTTTTTACTTTTTTGTAGAGATGACGTCTTGCTTTGTTGCACAGGCTGGTTTCTAGATCCTGGTTTCAAGCAATCCTCCCCACCTCGGCCTCCCAAAGTGCTGGGATTACAGGTGTGAGATGCTATGTCCAGTCCAGTGTAACTTTTGACCCAGTGAAGTTGACTGCTTCATCTTAATGCATTACTGACATTAAGAAATGATATCCTGAAAAGACTGTGAATTAAAGATTCAATTTGATTTACTATATTGCATTTAAGTTATTAAAAAATTTCAAATACATTCTGAATGGTTTTTATAAAAAGATTAAAAAATAGGGTTAGAACAATTAGCCAAAACAGTTATATTCAAATGAAGTTTACTAATATAAGTACAGTTAATAAGTGTATGTGTTAAGTATACTTAGTAAATACATATGTATAATATTTGTATTTGTTAGTTATAACTTACCTCACTTATAAGTGATATAAGTTAGACATCTAAGCTTTTTTCTTTTAAAACTGTAGTATTTTAATATACATAGGCACCTCTTTTTATTGTACTTCACTTTATTGTGCTTTTTCTAAGCTGAAGGTTTATGGCAGCCCTGCAAACATCAAGTCTGTCAGTGCCATTTTCCCAACAGCCTGTGCTCACTTCCCTGTCTCTGTCACATTTTGGTAATTCTCACATCTCACACGTTTTCCTTATTATTGTGTTTGTTATGTTGATCTGTGATCCGTGATCTTTGATGTTACTATTGTAATTGTTTTGAGTGACACGAACCACGCCCACATAGACAGCAAACTTAATAAATGTTGTGTGTGTTCTGACTTCTCCACTGACTGGCCATTCCTGTCTCTTCCCCTGTCCTCAGGCCTCCCTATCCCCTGAGATGCAGCAATATTTAAATTAGGCCAATTAACAACCCTACAATGGCCTCTAAGTGTTTAAGTAAGAGTCTCACATCTTATTTGAAATCAAAAGCTAGAAATGACTAAGTTTAGTAAGGAAGGCATGTCAAAAGCTGAGACAGACAGAAATCTATGCCTCTTGCACCAAACAGTTAGCCAAGTTGTCGATGCAAAAGAAAAGTTTTTGAAGGAAATTAAAAGTGCTACTAAAAGTGTTTTTGTTTTTGTTTTGTTTTGTTTTTTAAACCAGTGAACACACAAATGGTAAGAAAGTGAAACAACAGCCTTATTGCTGATATGCAGAAAGTTTGAGTGGTCTGGATAGAAGATCAAACCAAACAGAACATTCCCTTAAGCCAAAGCCTAATCTAGAGCAAGGCCTTAACTCTCTTCGATTATATGAAAGCTGAGAGAGCTGAGAAGATGCAGAAGTATGAAGCCAGCAGAGTTAGCTCACAATGTTTAAGAAGCCGTCTCTATAACATAAAAGTGCAAGGTGAAGCAGCAAGTGCTGATGAAGAAGCTGTAGCAAGTTATTCAGAAGATCTAGCTAAGGTCATTGATGAAGGTGATTACAGATTTTGAATACAACAGATTTTCAATAAAGACAAAACAGCTTTCTATTGGAAGAAGATGCCATCTAGGACTTTTGTAGGTAGGGAAGAAGTCAATGCCTGGCTTTAAAGCTTCAAAGGACAAGCTGACTCTTACTGGGGGCTAATGCAGCTGGTGACTTTAAGTTGAAGCCAGTGATGATTTACCATTCCCCAAATCCTAGGGCCCTTCAGAGTTATGCTAAATCTGCTGCCTGTGCTCTAGAATGGAAAAACAAAGCCTGGATGACAGCACATCTCTTTACAGCATGGTTTACTGTATATTTAAGGCCACTGTTGAGACCTACTACTCAGAAGAAAATAAAAAAAGATTCCTTTCACAATATTACTGCTCATTGACAATGCACCTGGTCATCTAAGGGCTCTAATGAAGATGTACAAGGAGATTAATGTTTTTCATGCTTAGGAACACAACGTTCATTTTGGAGCCCATGGATCAAGGAGTCATTTTGACTTTCAAATCTTATTATTTAAGAAACACATTTCATAAGGCTATAGCTGCCATGGATAGTGATTCCTTTGATGGATCTGGGCAAAGTAAATTGAAAGTCTTCTGGAAAAGATTCATTACTCTAGATGCCATTAAGAACATCTGTGATTCACAGGAGGAGGTCAAAATATCAATATTAACAGGAGTTTGGAGGAAGTTGATACCCCTGTCATGAATAACTTTGGGGGGTTCAAGACCTTGGGGGAGATTTGGTGGAAACAGCAAGAAAATTAGAATTAGAAGTGGAATCTGAAAATGTGACTGAATTGCTGCAAACTACTGATAAAAACTTGAACGGATGAGGAGCTGCTTCTTAGGGATGAATAAGGAGAGTGGTTTCTTGTGATGGAGTCTGCTCCTAGTGAAGAAGATGTGGTGAATGTTGTTGAAATGACAACAAAGGATTTTTATTCATTTATATTTAAATAAATTAAAAATTATTTAATAATTAATTGTACTTCACTTTATTGTGCTTTTAACATTATTATTTAAGTTTTATTCACTTTGTTGTTTTTTTAAAATAATTATTAAATTTTAAATAATAAACATTTATTATTTAAAAAATAATAGAGTCTCCCTCTGTCACCCAGTCTGGAGTACAGTGGTGTGATCACAGCTCACTTTAGCCTCAACCTCCAGGGCTCAACCAAGCCTCCTAATCTCAGCCTCCCAAGCAGCTGGGACCACAGGCGCGAGTTACCACATCTGGCTAATCAAACTCCTGGCCTCAAGTGATCCTCCTGCCTCAGCCTCCCAAAGTTTTGGGATTATAGGCATGAGCTACTGTGCCCGGCCTAAAGTATTTTTAAATTAAGATATGTACATTAAAAAAAAGACATAATGCTACAGCGCACTTAATAGACTACAGTATAGTGTAAACATAACTTTTATATGCACTTGGAAACAAAAAAATTCCTGAGACTCGCTTTATCACAGTGTTCTGTAACTGAACCATAGTATCTCTGAGGTGTGCCTGTATTTATTGAGTGCAATCAAGGCTGTCTGGACTTCCTTAATTCTGTTTTTAAGGAGAAACCTGAATAATTAAAAATAGACCCAAGAGAGTGATTGTGCATATGACTCATATCTACTAAGTTTCAAAACATTTACCAATCAAAATCCCCTATATACTTCCCCATAGACTTATACTATGGTCACGGATGCCACAGTACTATGTATTTGGTTGTACTTTACAGTTTTCAAGGAAATTTTTCCACCTGAAAATGTGTTGAATACCAAAAGTTCAAAAGTTAAACTCCGAAAGGATTTTTCAAATTCTTTAAGGAATTCGATAAAAAATATTACACTTTACCTTTGTGAAGATGGCCAGGGGCATGCCATACTGATCCTCTTCCAAACCCGAAATGAGCCCTGGTATCAGGACTACCTGTCCCGTATTAGCTTGAGGTTGTACAGTAATTGGAAGACTCTCTGAGGGGACAGAGTCCTTTGGAAACAAATTTGTCTGGTCTGATCCCAGCTGTTCCCTTTCTTTCAAGTTGGGGTCCTCTAAGACACTAGGATCCAAAGTTTCCCAGTCACTTTCTGAAGAATCTGGAGATGGGCGAGATGGAGGTTTCAAATATTGATTGGTATCATTGGGTTCCTGCCCTTTGCTGCTGTCTTCCACTTGGAACAAAGGCTCCTCAGTCTTCATGGCAGCATCTTCTCCATGGTTTCCTGCCATGACTTTCCTGATAGTTCCCAAGTTGGTATGTGAAACATCAGCAGTGGATGCAGAAACAAAATCATCTGCACATGGGTTACTTTCCTGAAGCCCACCATCTTCAGACATACTTTTCCGGGGTCTATACTGAGAACAGTCACTGAGACCATGTTCAATCATGCCTAAAATATGCAATATCAAAGAACAGCTTGGCTTATAATAATATGGAAGAACCTGAGAGCTATATATTAGTAGACTCCCCTATAAAATTTAATAAGCTATGCTTGTACACATTTTAATTAAAAACAAAAAGAACAGAAAGAAGCCCAGACAAAAGAGAGAAACCTATTTCCAAAAGGAAGACGTCATATTAAAATAGAAAGGATAACCCTAACGAATTTATCTTTGAAACTTTATTTCTAAAAGTTTAGGTTCCAGTACAAGTTAAACAAAAGAAAGAGTAGATACTGCTGTTTTCTTACCTGGAAAAAGGGATAACACAGTCATCAGTGCACCCACCAATTTATTCACTGGAGAAATATAAAAAAGAACCTGGAATGGAGTCAATCAAAATCAAATTAGAAGACCCATGAAGCCGTCCATAATGATAACAAATAAAAAAGAGGGAAAAATTCCTTATATAAGAATAACAGCTGGCCGGGCGCAGTGGCTCATGCCTGTAATCCCAGCACTTTGGGAGGCCGGGGTGGGTGGATCACGAGGTCAGGAGATCGAGACCATCCTGGCCAACATGGTGAAACCCCGTCTCTACTAAAATACAAAAACTTAGCCGGGCATGGTGGCACACGCCTGTGGTCCCAGCTACTCAGGAGGCTGAGGCAGGAGAATCACTTGAACCCAGGAGGCAGAGTTGCAGTGAGCCAAGATCACACCACTGCACTCCAGCCTGGCTAGAGAGCGAGACTCTGTCTCATAAAAAGAAGAATAACAGCTGCTGGGCTTGGTGGCTGGCTCACACCTGTAATCCCAGCACTTTGGGAGGCCAAGGCGGGCAGATAATGAGGTCAGGAGATCGAGACCAGCCTGACCAACATGCTGAAACCCCGTCTCTACTAAAAGTACAAAAATTAGCCAGGCATGGTGGCACACACCTGTAATCCCAGCTACTCAGGAGGCTGAGGCAGGAGAATTGCTTGAACCCGGGAGGTGGAGGTTACAGTGAGCTGAGATTACGCCACTGCACTCCAGCCTGGGCGACAGAGCAAGACTCTGTCTCAAAAAAAAAAAAAAAAAAAAGAGTAACAGCTAATAAACATAGAAGTACTAACAGACAAATCACCATTTAGCATCCACCGTGATTTAGGTACAAATTACCAACAGATGCTAAAACTACTGTGAAACAACAGGATAGTCACAATGTCTGAAATTTATCATTCTACGGATTAGCTATTGAGGTGGCAACCACCACCTCAACCAAATGATCGAACTTCACATCACCAATACTACTAACTACAAATAGTTATGGGCCTCCTGATATCATGTCCTGACAGAGACACACCACTACCTGTGTAGGATTTTTGCTAAAAAGGTTTAATCTGAAACTAGCCACAACAAAACAAACAAATCTCACCCTAGAACACTAGTCTTGATTATTTTTAAAATGCCAGTGTCACAAAATATAGAAAGAAAAGAACAAACAAAAAAAGAGACAAAGGTGGAATACCTTTTTGAAATAAAAGAGAGCTAGCAATGCAGTACATGATCCTTGACTGGATCCCAGACTGAAAACAACAATCAGGTCAGGTGTGGTGGTTCACACCTGTAATCCCAGCATTTTGGGAGATTGAGGCAGGAGGATCACTTGAGGCCAGGAGTTCAAGACCAGCCTGCGCAACACAGCGAGACCCTATCTCTATTCTTTAAAATAAAAAATTAAATAATAATAAAAAAAGAAAACATCAGCTACAAAGGACATTATCATATCTGGGGAAATTTGAAAATGGACTTATGTCAGATTTCTCTTATTATCTCAATGTTAAATTTCCTGAATGTGAAAATGGTATTCCGATTATGTAGGAATATTTTCTTTTTCTTAAGAAATATATCCTGAAGTATTTATTTAGGAGTGAAGTACCATAATGTCTACAAATTACTTTCAAGGTATTATGATTCAGGGGAAAAAATGGACATATATAAAGGAATACAGACTGGGTGTGGTGGCTCATGCTGGTAATCCCAGCACTGTGGTCCCAGCTACTCAGGAAGCTGAGGTGGAAGAATTGCTTGAGCCTGGGAGTTAGAGGTTGCAGTGAGCCATGATCACACCGCTGCACTCTAGCCTGGGCAACAGAGCTATACCCTGTCTCAAAAAATAAAAAGGAATTCAAAGTGTTCTGTGGCTGGATAGTGATGATGGCTGCATAACATGAATGTACTTAATAGCACTGAATTGTACACCTTAAAATGGTTACGATGATAAATTGTATGTTATGTGTATTTTATCACAATTTTAGAAATTAAATAAAATTTTTTGAAATACCACACTAATATGCTGGGTTCATTTTTAAAAAAAAAACTTTATCTTTTTTTCTGTTTGAAGGAATACTCATTCATTCATTCATTCATTCATTTACTTTGAGATGGAGTCTCGCTCTGTCACCCAGGCTAGAGTGCAGTGGTGTGATCTTGGCTCACTGCAACCTCTGCCTCCCTGGTTCAAGCAGTTCTCCTGCCTCAGCCTCCTGAGTAGCTGGGACTACAGGCACCTGCCACCATGCCTGGCTAATTTTTGTATTTTTAGTAGAGATGGGGTTTCACCATGTTGGCCAGGCTGTTCTCAAACTCCTGACCTCAAGTGATCACCCACCTTAGCCTCCCAAAGTGCTGAGATTACAGGCGTGAGCCACTGTGCCCAGCCTGAAGGAATATATATTTCTTATAGAAAAATAGGATACAGAAAAATATTCCCTTTAAAAAAAATAACCTATGTTCTCACCAAACTAGGTTGATATCTTTACTTCCAGTCCCTTTTCAATTAATATATATTCATTTATAAAATGGGATCATAGGCTTGACTTGTTGTAGACAAACTTTTCTCACTTAACATGCCATGAAAATCTTTAAAACAATAAAAACATCTTAGTATCTTTTTTATTGTCTGAAATTCTATACAACATACAAGATAAACTAATAGTTACTCACTTATAATTTATTATTCTGTGATAGACTCTCTTAGAGCTTTGTGTCCAATTCAGATTAATTTTGGAAAATAGATCTCTAACAGGAGAATTACTGGGTCAAAGGAATATTTTTAAGGTAATGAACTAAAGTGGATATTGTGCATGGTCGACTCCCCAACATTCTTTCAACCCCGACTCCACTAGGCACAGTAATACGGTGTATAAAACTGGCCCAGATCCAAGGATGGCTCCTGATTAGTCTAAACCAAAGGCTGGTGAACTTTTTCTCTAAAAGGTCAGATAAATATTTTTGCTTTGCGGGCCATATGGTCTGTCACAACTACTCAACTCTGCCACTACAGTGTGAAAGCAGCCATAAACAGCAAGTAAATAAATGGGTCTGATTTCCAATAAAATTTTATGTATAACAATAGGTAGTAGGTCAGATTTGGCCTTGGGACTAAGCCAATCATGGCAAACCCATCCCTTTGTATTAGGGAGTGGTCAGGAACCCAAGTTTAAGCCAATCAGGGCAAACATGTATTTGGCCACAGGAGTAGCCATGTGTGTGGCCTGTAATAGGCCCAAACAAATTGAAGGAAATAATTATTGCTTTTTTAATTGTTATTTTTTGAGACAGTGGCTCTGTTTGCAGGCTGGAGTGTAGTGGCACGATCTCAGCTCACTGTAATCTCTACCTCCCAAGCTCAAGCCATCCTCTTACCTCAGCCTCCCAAGTAGCTGGGACTACAGGCACATGCCACCACACCCAGCTAATTTTTGTATTTTTTGTAGAGATGGGGTTTCTTTCACCATGTTGCCCAGGCTGGTCTCAAACTCCTGAGCGCAAGTGATCCTCCTGCTTCAGCCTCCCAAAGTGCTAGGATTACAAGTGTGAGCCACCGTGCCCGGCCAAGAATTCTTATTAGATTGTTTAGGAGGAGGTATTATTTCTGCCAGCAGTTATGACTGAGGAAGCAAATAACCCAATTACTGTCGGCAGTTCCCTATACTACCAGGGAAACTAGGCCCTGGAACAAGCTAGCACTGTGCACTGTAGAGCAAAGAGATGGAAAAAACCTAGGCACTTAATTACACTATGGAGCCACTGAGTCAAATCCTGAAATCCAAAGTGAGCCAATATGTCCTTTCTATTTAAGTCAGCTTAAAATTGAGTTGTATGTTACCTACAGAAAAGCTGCATGAATTTATATTTTTACGGCAGAGAACAAGAAAATGTGCTTCAGCTTACCACAATGATAGGCAAAAAGTATCTTAATACTTTATCATTAGTTTCAATTTTATGAAATAATGTAAAAAAAAGTGAATAAAAGTTAAATACTCCATCTTTCCTTTCATCCCTTAGGATCGTACCTTTTTTTCAAGAAGAATTAGCTTAAATAGGATTAAGACCTGCAAAAGGAAAAAAAAATGTTGTATTGAAATGAGAGACTCACGCCTATAATTCATCTTTTCCCCTCCTAAAACATAACCATAATCAGTAATACTAAATACAGCACTTTAAAAAGTACATGAAAAATTATGAACTTATACTGAGAAGTTAAATATTACCTGTGTACTCTTAAATGTGAGAATCACTTAAATCTCTAACTGAAATTATTTTTTCTTGAAGGGGTGGTACCATTTTTGCTTGAAGTATCTGTAAGCTCTTTAAAGGGGACCCTGCTCTTTAAATAAATACTTTATTTCTGGATGTCCAGAGTGTTCACATAGCATGTGCTCAGTAAATGTTTGTTAAATAAATAATCAATGTGTTTATATCCTAGTCAACATCTGCTTTAATAATAAAGATCAGAAGGTATAAGTATATATAGATGTTTTATTGAAAAATGCTCCATTCTCAGGGCAACATATAAAATATTCTGCAAGATCAAAACATGTTTCTTTCCACTCTAATCTCATGATCGATGAAATTGCAAAAACAATAGAAAAAATTACCCTATCCTGCAAAGAAGTAAACAGTATTTGTGCTCTTTTAAATTTCTACAATACAAGCACTACCAACACTTTTAATTTTGTATAGTTATAAGGCCAAGTACATCTTAGAAGAACTAAAGCATGGTATGCCACAATCTGCATTCAATTTAGCACACTGAATTTGGCAGTTAAATGAGCACACTAAGAACAGTGTTGGCCATTTTAGTACTGTACATCATAAATTTATTTAAATAAGGTACCATACCTTGTGTCGAAAATGAAGGACAAGATCTCGAGGTGACAGACCTACAATGTTAACAAAAAAGCTCAAGTGTGACTACAATGTAATGTTTTTGCTGCAGAAAGGTTATTTCCCCCTTAACAGAAAGAAAGGTTAAAAAAAAAAAAAAGTAGGAATATGCAAATATCCAAATATTTCTGTAATGTTTGATTAGGTACACATATACTCAGAAACAGTGCTGTTCAGTACAACTTTCTGCAAGGATGAAAATATTTTAAACCTGTCTTGTCCAATACAGTAGCCAATACAGAGCAACTGAAATGTGGCATGTGTGACTGAGACAAACTGACTTAAGTTTTATTAAAATTTTATTAATTTTAATCTAAATGTAGACAGCTATAGGTGGCTAGTAGCTACTGTTTTGGACAGTGCAGGTTTAACACATTTCCCCATTCTATAAACATAAACTACACAAGTTTAGAAATGATATAGCTTATATTATAGTGGCAATCAATGATTAAACAAGGTTTTTGGTCATGGCACTTCATATGTTATTATTTCTGAAACACAGTCTATCACCTGCCTGAAACAACACAGTACAAGAGAAAATAATTTAGACAAAAATATGTTCTCAGAATAGGACCTCATATTATGCAGAATAATAGTTTACATTACACAGAGGATTGCAATCATAAACTACCACAATTGGCAACTGCATGCTGAAATTGGAATTGAGTGAGCATAAACCACTATGTGATTAAAAAGTTTTAATCACAAAATGGATATTTATTGAGTTGCCCATTGAATATTTTGGCTACCAGTGGATATTCTGGGTTGTCAAGATAGTATAAATTAAACAAAAATCCCTAACCTGAAGAATCTTATAAAAGAGCTGAGCAGCTTTCTATCTTGCTTCATCTGTTATGATAGGGAATTAAGCTGGTCAGCATTAACGCAAAGAAAAGAAAAAACAATAAAAAACTTCCATTACTATCCTAGAAGGTAGAAATTCCAGCCTGGGCACCATAGGGACACCTTGTCTCTACAAAAAAAACCCAAAACAAACAAACAAAAAATACCAACTAGCTGGGAGTGATGGCATGCACCTGTGGTCCCAGCTACTCAGGAGGCTGTGGCAGGAGAATTGCTTGAGCCCAGGAGGTCAAGGCTGCAGTGAGCCATGATCACACCACTGCACTCCAGCCTGGGTGAGAAAATGCTATCCATTTTCAATGATAATTGAGGTAGTTTGTCTCAAAAAAAAAAAAGGCAGAAATTCACCTTGTACGTTAATAGTTGTAAACCTGGTATGTTCTAATACTCTTCTCAGTATAAACACTGGCTAAGAAGATATTTAAGGAAGAAACAGCATCAAATGTTGAAGAATTTAGATCCCATATAGAGATGTAATTCTAATCAAAGTTTTACACGCAACTCAGTTTGCTAAACAAATAGAAATGAGGGGATCTCTTTTAACTTGTAAGTCAGTTACTTACCAAGATATACTTGGGATCCTTCTAATGAAGCACCTCCCAAGGAACTATTCATATGTTCATAAAGCTCCTATAAAATATAGATTGAATTTAGCACATTTTACTATCATTTTAGATCTGAATTAGAAATATATTGATCAGAAAAAAGCTGATTCCTTAATTGAGGTAGTTTGTTCTGCTAGGCGCTAAATTTAAAAACAATCAAGCCTCTCTGCAACCTTGCCAGTTCTCATTTCTTCTCTTCTGGATATGAGCAGTATCAGAAGAGACGTGGGCAGTTGAGTATGAAAAGCTACTCAGGGTATTCCTTTCTCCCTCTACATTTTAGAGCGTGGTTCATTCACATAGTGGTATGAATTCCTAGTATAAATCCCCTCTGCTCCCTTGCTAAGTCCCTAGATGTCCTACTCCCACCAGAATCCAAGAGAGATCCATATTCTTTACATGAATGGCAGCACTGAGGAAAACATGCTGTCCATTTTCAATAAAATAATCATGTGGTTTTTCTGATCTATGTATTGGGAACTAGGAACCAGAAACCTAATATATAAAAATACTGTGCAGTTTATTAATAAGATAAGCAAATTTACAGAAGCAATGCCATAGCAAAAGGGCTATTATCCACTAAGAGAAACATTACTGTTAGTTATAGTTATTTGTAGTCATTATTTCCTAAAAAAAAAAAAAAAAAAAGTTTGGTTAAATTTAGTATTTGGGCAGATTCCTAGTCTTTCAATGTTTTAATGCAAATGCGTTTTCACATTAGAATGTCTTTCTTAAGGTAATAATTATCCTTCACAGTATTACTGACAATATTTACTTGATTCATGAGTCTATCTTCAGCCAAACACATCTATAGAGGGGTATAAAGTTACCTTTAGAATAGAAATTTGGGAAAAATCCTTCTCTTCAAAATATGCATGTGTAATGAGTTGAAGTTTTGCTTGAAGTAAACCATACAGAGGCTTAAAGGAAAAAAGAGAAATTACCATTGATTAATAATTAGTTGATAACAGTAAAATTGGTTGATAATAGTAAAACAAACAGAACCCCACAACTTTTTAATTTGGAGAAAAAAGTTAGTAACTATCAACTTTAGTGCGTATTATTCATAGTTGAAAGCCGTGAAGTCATCTGTTCTTTGGCTACAAGTGAAAAGTACCTGAAACACTGAGTACAGTGCTTAAGAGTGTGGGCTCAGACTTGCTGGGCCTGGCTCCATCACTCAGCTCTGGGAATTTAACCTCTCCACCTCTGCTTGCTGATCTGAACATGGGCATATGAAAATAGTACCTCTTACTTGACTGTTTTAAGGATTAAATAACAGGTAAAAGCACTTGGTAAAAAGTATCTGACACATAGAAAGTATCCAAACATTAGCGATTACTATTATATGATTTAAAACATATTCTAATTCTGCACACTTTTTTGCTGGCCTGTAGCGACATTTAATCATCCTTATAACAGCTTGTTTTTATATCTATTTGAACATTCATGATTACATTTTTTGTCCTCTGTGGAGGCTCACAACAACTAGTTTGTGTCCTTTATCATAATATTGTTTTATATATTTGAGCAAAGTTATCCCTTAATGCTTATTTCTCTATTTAGAATCTTCTACCATTTTCATCTTTTTATTTGTAATGTTCTTTTCTAGATGTTTTCTCATTTCTATGTCCATTTCAGGATGTAATGACCAATGATGTATATATACTCTAATTAATTAAAAACAAGTAATACTGGAAGAGTCTCTTTCCCAGTATCCCTGTTAATATATCATGATTCCCATCAAAGTATAAAATCATTTATATTTATACATAGACTTCAATACATAGACCAGAAAAACCACAACCAGACCTTTCTGAGTAAGCTACCCTCTTCCCATCCCTTGTGTCTGCTTTAGAGACAGATAAAACTCGATTTTTTTACCCCAATTTTATCACTTAGTAGTTACATGTCTGTGAGAATTACACATTTTTTCTGAGATATGCCTTTATTTACAAAATGAGAACAGTAAATATGTCTCAATATTGTTATAAGGATGGAAATGACAATTACATATAAAAAGTGTCTGGTACAGAATTAATGCCTGATATATAGGCACTCAATAAATGGCATCTATTATTATTGTAATCGTCCTTTGAAGAATGATTACTCAGGAAGCCTCTTAACATGTTGCACTTCCTTTAATATCTGGTACTCTTACTCTTCTGTCATCTGGTCCAGTATAAAAAAGCTATTCACTCATGTATATTTTTCAGGCTACTCTTCTCAAAGGTGTGTACAGGAATCAGATGAATAATTGATCAATTTTCTGACATTGGGGTCTTTTATAATAGCCATTCCTTTTCTTTTTTTTCTTTCTTTCTTTTTTTTTTTTGAGACGGAGTCTCCCTCTGTCGCCCAGGCTGGAGTGCAGTGGCTGATCTCTGCTCACTGCAACCTCCACCTCCTGGGTTCAAGTGATTCTCCTGCCTCAGCCTCCTGAATAGCTGGGATTAGAGGGGTGCACCACCGTGCCTGGCTAATTTTTTTTTTTTTAATTTTTAGTAGAGACAGGGTTTCAGCATGTTGGTCAGGCTGGTCTCAAACTCCTGACCTCATGATCCGCCCACCTCGGCCTTCCAAAGTGCTGGTATTACAGGCGTGAGCCACCATGCCCGGCCACAGCCATTCCTTTTCTAGGAGACTATTCTTGCCTTATGTATAAAATTACTTCTTGGAAGAAATATTCTCATCCTCAAAATTTTATTTTGGATGAAATAAGATTTTGGCTGGGCACGATGGCTCACTCCTGCAATCCCAGCACTTTGGAAGGCTGAGGCGGGTGGGTTGCTTGAGCTCAGGAGTTTGAGACCAGCGTAGGCAACATGGTAAAACCTCGTCTCTACCAAAAATACAAAAATATTAGCCAGGCATGGTAGTGCATGCCTGTGGTCCCAGCCACTCAGGAGGCTGAGGTGGGAGGATTGCTTGAGCCTAGGAGGCAGAGGTTGCAGTAAGCCAAGGTCACGCCACCACACTCCAGCCTGGGCAACAGAGTGAGACTCTGTCTCAAAAAAAAAAAATTATATATATATATATATAAAATTTTTTTTTTTTGGACAAAACCAAAATGGATAAATGAAATATATCAGCTACCTCATTTTGTTTATGTGTCAACTTACTTTCCAATAGCTATAAGATCTCCTTTCTCTTACCAAGTCTTGGGTAGAGGTGCAAATGAAAACTGCTGAAAGGGAAAGAGAATGAGGAGATGCTAGGGCATAAATAATTTTAATATGTCATTTAAATCTCTTCTTATTCTAATAGTGCCTTATCCTTAAAGAAAGATCTGCCATGAAGGTTTAACATAATGAACAAGTTACTTCGTCTCTTACCAGCTTGCTTAGAACACAGACACTTTTCTGAACAGTCTCTCTGGTGATATCTGCTTGCCTTACTTTCAGTGCCTATTATGAACAAAGAGCAATTTATCAGAAATATTTCATAGCAATATTTCAAAAATATTTTTTCAACATAAAAATAGAAATTATATATAAGAAATTTCTTACATTCAGTTAAATTCAAAAAGTTTTTTATTAAGACTCTCAGGAAATACTGAACAAATAAATGTCAGTTTGGGCCTATGTGCCAGAATCTGTGGGAGGCACTGGGAATATAATAGTGAATGGACAATCCCGAATCTCAAGGAATTTATAATCTCATGGAAAATACTTTATGTATAAGTCACCAGGCCCAAATCAGCCATTCAATGCAAATCAATCACTGTTGATTCTGGTTATAAATGGACAGTCCTTTCAGAGACCATTGTTTCTGGTGAGAAGGGGCTAGTTTAAGAGACGACAAAAGGCCAAGAGCAATGGCTCAAGCCTGTAATCTCAGCATTTTGGGAGGCTGAGGTGGGTGGGTCACCTGAGGCCAGGAGTTTGAGACCAGCCTGGTCAACATGGTGAAACCCCATCTCTACTAAAAATACAGAAATCAGCCAGGTGTGGTGGCACAAGCCTGTAATCCCAGCTACTTGGAAAGCCGAGGCAAGAGAATTGCTTGAACCCGGGAGGCAGAGGTTGCAGTGAGCTGAGATCACGCCACTGCACTCCAGCCTGGGCGAAAGAGTGAGACTCCGTCTCAAAAAAAAAAAAAAGAAAAAAGAGATGACAAAAACAGACAGCTTGTTCTCCAGAGATGGAAGAACTGCCAGCAATTTTGTTAAGTTAGTTGTTCCATGTTGCCTGGACACTTGTATTGGCGCCCAGCACCAAACACAAGCACATAACTTATTTCTCAGTGATTGTGAGGATGACTATGTGAGATTTCTACAGTCCTCTTCTAGTAGAGAGCAAATCTTCATTTGATTAACCTCAGGCAAGGCTGTGAGGGAAGTAAGAAAGACTTCCTCCTCTAGTGTACTGCCTGACACCTTCTTGGATCTGTCCTGAGGACCAAGGGGCCCCCATGTTTTCAACTGATGACTGATGAACAGACTTTAAATTAGCTGTGGAGTAGAATCCTTCCTCCTGATTGGATTCATCCACTGTCTTATCTTCATTCGAAAGGAGTTGAAGTCTTTCTTCCAGGCTCAAGGTCCCTCCAATAATTGGTTTATCTGTCTGCTTCTATTGCCTATTATCTATTGAGAAGGACAGCAATCACTGGGAAAATGGGCAACTCTAATGTACTCCTGAGTGGGTCAGAACCAGGGAGTGGGGAGACAGGCAGTATTTAAAGGCTATGCAGAGCACGAGGGCTGTTAAAACAGCACTGAGGGATAAGACCCACTTGGTAGAAATAATTTTACTAGTGCTTACATGACATACGGGTAATAAAAGGTATTAAAAGGAACAGATTTCCAAGAACGGACAGCAGCTCAATTCATCTCACATATAAGTATGTAAAGATAATAGTGTAACAGTGAAGTAGCAAAAGAACATAACTAACTCCATTTTTTAGGCAGCGTTTCCCTATTTGTGCACATAGGCAAGGATAATTTTAGAGCACTAAGATAATATGCAAAAATGGCAATCATGCAGGTTTTAAAACCAACTCTGGGATTTAAAAAGTATGTAAACAACTAACTATGTTTTGTTAAAGATTTATAGGAGCATTGTGGCCTGACCAATGACAAAGAAGTATCCAAATTCCTTGGACCCTCGCTGGTACCCAGATGTCTGTGTGTCACCTCTTGATACCAACTTCCTCTTCTTCCCCATATCCCTCTCCCATAAAAATCCTCCAGCCAGACTGAAAAATTTAAGATGCTACTTTAGAATGCTAGCTCACCATCTAGCTGGCTTTCCAAATAAATCTGCTTTTCCTCCCAGCAACTCTCTTCTCTCCTGTCTTTTGAGCAGCATGCAGCCAAACCTGGGTTCGATTACAATAGTATATGAAAACATCAACTGCTCAAAGCTGTCAGGCAAACTCTTACTCTCAGGTTTCTTTTATCTTTTTATTTTTTATTTTTTTTATTTTTTTGAGGGAGTCTCGCTCTGCTGCCAGGCTGGAGTGCAGTGGCGCCATCTCGGCTCACTGCAGCCTCTGCCCTCCTGGGTTCAAGCAGTTCTCCTGCCTCAGCCTCCCGAGTAGCTGGGACTACAGGCGTGCGCTGCCACACCTGGCTAATTTTTTTATATTTTTAGTAGAGATGGGGTTTCACTATGTTAGCCAGGATGGTCTTGATCTCCTAACTTCGTGATCCGCCCGCCTTGGCCTCCCAAAGTGCTAGGATTACAGGTGTGAGCCACCGGGGTCCAGCCTCTTTTCTCTTTATTTTCTCAGCTTCATTGAGGTATAATTGACAAAAATTGTATACATTTAAGGTGTATGTTATTATTTGACATAATATCTTTAGCTTTAGATTCAGTTATTCATGACATAACATGGGTGTTCCAGGTTCCAGGCCCTGTGCTTAGAGGGTTACTTCATGGTAGTTACCTACTTTGGGTATCCTGGAATTTACACCCATGGTTTACATTTAAGTGGGTCAGGGGAAAAAGAGACACACAGTCTATGAGTCTAGGTGATGGGTACACAGGTACTCAAGGTACTATGTTTTAAATTTACCTGCATATTTGAAATTTCCTTCATAACAAGTTAGAAAAAGATTTACTAATTATTCACCCGAGGAAGCTTTTAAAACTTTTAATTGTCCAGGCTCAAATCCCAGCGATTCTAATTCAGTCACTAGGAGGAAAAGCTAGGTACAGATATTTAAAAAAAAAAAAAAGTCTCCAGGTAATTCTAGTTAAAAATCATTGTTTCAGAGCAGTGGTTGTCAATCTTGACTAGGCAGAAAAATCACCTGGCGAGCTTTTAAAACATTCCCACCTCCCATGTCTAGATCATTAAATCAGAATCTTTTGGGGCGGGGGCAGACCCACTCATCCTAGCTTTTAAAGCTCTCCAGGTGATTGCAATGTGCAGCTGAGACTAAGAACCACTCACTACTTTAGAGTATTAATGACCTTTTGAGAGGAAAGAGCTTTTTACTCATCAAGATTATCCCCACCACAAAAAAAACAGTGCTACACATAAGCAAACCATGAAAGGTGGGGCCACCATCTTGGCTTATTTGAATTTATCAATTAGAGCTATTATAGTAAGTCAGGCATTAAGCTAGCAGGTAGTTTAAGAATAATCAAGGCTGGACACAGTGGCTCATGCCTGCAGAGGCTGAGATGGGCAGATCACTTGAGCTCAGGAGTTCGAGACCAACCTGGGCATCATGGTGAAACCTTGTCTCCATAAAAAAATACAAAAATTAGCTGGGTGTGGTGGCACACACCTGTATCCCAGCTACTTGGGAGTCTGAGATGGGAGGAGGGCTTGAGCTCAGGGTCAAGGCTGCAGTGAGCCAAGATTGTGCCACTGCACTCCAGCCTAGGCAACAGAGTGAGACTCCTCCTCAAAAAAAAAAAAAAAAAAAAAAAAAGAAATCTTAGAGATAAATAGGACAGCTTATGAGTAGTTGGGAGCCCCTCTAAGCACGTTCCACTACTTCTGAAATGCTGCTTAAAAAAAAAAAGCAAGGCACAGTGGTGCACACCTGTAGTCCCAGCTACTCAGCAGGCTGAGGCAGGAGGATCCCTTGAGCCTAGGAGTTCAAAACCAGCCTGGGCAAAATAGCAAGGCCCTGTCTTTAAAAAAATAAAAAAACTAAAAAACACACAAGCATTACCACTCAATTTTTCTAAGTTATATGCCAAACACTAGAAACAGAAAATTCAAAGACATCTTGAAATGTAAATACAGTATTTAAAAGACAAATAGATAATTTATGTATCACTATCTAAAAGCAATGTACAAAATATTGTGATACAAATATAAGCATAGCCACCAATGTCAACTTAATAAAATGTTTCTGTGAATAAACTGGCACTATTGAAAAAACAGCTACAAATTGTATACAAAAATCTAAAACAACATTACAGGCACCACTGAAAAATAAAGACTGTGTTTAAGTGTCCAACATCTAAGAAGGGACTTTGGAATTGTTTTTCACTATTAACTATCGTACCTTGGCTTCAATTTGTCGATAGCAAGAGATACCAAATACTGTGGCTCCATTTCCATTTCTGGGTGGCAAGTGAAAAAACACAGTATCTAAGAGATACATAGAAAAATGTAAATAGTGAGGTGAATTACCCTTATTAATAAGTAGTATAATCTGAAGCTATCATAATGCAGTCATTAACACAAAAATGATGATAAAACAAGGAATCCAAATCATACTTATTTGTAGCACCACAACCAATGGTTTCCTAGAATTTTTCTCATTGCTTTATGGTAAATACTCATCACAAAAAGCCCAAGAGACTGAATTATAACAGGTCAAACTGAGACTACAATTACAGAAAATACTTAATCTTTAGGGAATCGTTCTAGATGAAAAGAAAGTAGACAGTCATAAAAGCCAACAGCAACACACGAACCTTGAATGAATACAAGAAATTTGGGGGACAACTGAGAAAATTTGAACACAGATTGGATGTTAGATAGTATTATGAAATTACTGTTACATCTCTTAGCTGTGATAATGGTACTGGAAGTTACACTGGGGAATGATCTCATTCTCAGATCTTAAGTATTTAAAGTGTCACAATGTTTGCAACTGACTTTCAGATAGATAGTACAGACAAAATTATACACATACACAAATATAAAGAAAATCTGTAGAACATTTGCTATAATCTTAATTCACATGTTTGTAGCAGTCCTTTTGCTGGGCATGGTGGCAGAGCCAGGCATAGTGGCTCACGTCTATAACCACAGCTACTGGGAAGGCTGGGGTAGGAGAACTGCTTGAGCTCAGGAGCTCAGGAGTTTGAGACCAGCCTGGGCAACAGGGCAACATAGTGAGATTCCATCTCCAAAAAAAAAAAAGAAAGAAAGAAAGAAAGAAAATCAATAGCAACAGTAACAACAAAAACATTTTTGTAGAGCATCAAATACCATAGTAAAATACAGTCCTTCATTAAGTCAGGCAAAGTACTCAGTTATAGGGTGGTAAGAGATTCGGTAAGAACTTCACAGCCCTGCTTTCTTTGAGGGTGTTAACATGCTCCGCATGCAAGCAAGCAACCTTGCAAGCAGAGTACTTGTGACAGCAATGGTTCCAGAGGCACAAAAACAATCTCAGCTGTTTCTAAGGTGGGCACTGGAGTGATAACCTAGTACTGCAAGTATGCAGCTAGAGTCCCAAGCAATGTACAGCTGGTGCTGGTAAGCCCCCTGATTTGCCTCTGAGGAGTATGAAGTATAGATGTAGGAAGTGCTTCCAGTGGTGGCTGTCCTGCTCTGGCTAATCACTTGGCAGAAGCGTGGCCAAGGTTCACCAGCCACAGCCAATGTAAGCCTGGCACTCCTTTAGAGGTGCTCTAGTGAATGACTAGTTATCTCCAAACAAGCATGTAAATATTTTATAAATAGTTCTAACAGGCTGAAGGCCTTTAATTTCTAAGTATTTAGAACCTAAGATATCTTGGCAAATTTTTTCAAAAATGGCACCTAACTGCTTCACTGTCTTGTTACATACCTTCCTGGTAGTTGTGTGCGCCATCTGGTAAGGCAAGGAAGGGCAAATACTTCCATTCTTCAGGTAAAGTGTGGCTGTCATGTCCATCTCCTGGAATCAGGGGCGGGTAAGAGAATTCAACCTAAAATAGTAAGGAATGTTAGCCAAAAGGTGGTTGACCAAAGGAAGCATTTTATTCTGATAGGTAAAAATGCTTTTAAACCCTGAATGACAGAAGTCGGGATAAGCCACACTGTATAATGTCATTTGATATCATCAGCAAACCTATGGCATGGAAGAGGGGGAAAAAAAGCAGTAAAAGGAGGAAAAGTTTATAAGCCTTTCTCCACTTTCTGATTTAAGGTCGGTTAAACTTTAATGTGCATAATGGTAGTGGGGTTGGTGATTGAACTGCAGATTGATATCTGGGGGCTGTCATCAAACAGATGGTAATTGAAGCCACAGGGCCCTGAGGAAAACCAACAGCCTACTGAATTGAGTAGGAGAGGTCCAACAAAGGAGCCCCAAGTTGAGCCCAGAATCACTTTTGGAACCAATCCTTTAATGTGGAAAAATAGGATGGCTCATCTTTCCACATTTCAATGAAATCAAGCTGCCACTTGAATCACAGGAAAGCCAACGGTAAAAGGGCTTTAAAAATGATTTAAAATTTTTGTCCACTGAATTTAAAATTCATGATTGTTTCTTCTTTTTTTCTTTTTTCTTTTTGAGACAGTCTCACTCTGTCAGCCAGGCTGGAGTGCAGTGGCATGATCTCAGCTCACTGCAACCTCTGTCTCCCATGCTCAAGCAATTCTCCTGCCTCAGCGTCCTGAGTAGCTGGGATTACAGGCGTGTGCCACCACGCTCGGCTAATTTTTTTTTTTTTTTTTTTTTGTATTTTTACTAGAGACAGGGTTTCACCACGTTGGCCAGGCTAGTCTCGAACTCCTGACCTAAGGTAATCCGCCTGCCCTGGCCTCCCAAAGTGCTGGGATTACAGGCATGAGGCACTGTGCCCGGCCAATTCGTGATTATTTCTAAAGGTGATCCAATTCCATATTTAAAATGTTTAAAGACACCAAAAAAAAAAAAAAAGGACTGTAAAAAAGACTGCCTCCCACCCTTGATATCACCACCCCAGCTACCCAGTCCCTGCTCCCATCTCCAGAAGCAATCAACGTTTTCCGTTTAGAAGAACTCTTTAAAAGTTTAGATTAAGGAGTAAAACTTTTCTTCCAGAGATCATTTAAAATCAACTGAAAAATTGGCTGGGCACGGTGGCTCACACCTGAATTCTCAACACTTTGGGAGCTGAGGCGGGTGGATCACTTGAGGCCAGAAGTTCGAGACCAGCCTGGCCGACATGGTGAAATCCCGTCCCTACTAAAAATATAAAAATTAGTCAGGTGTGGTGGCACATGCCTGTAATCCCAGCTACTCAGGAGGCTGAGGCAGGAGAATTGCTTGAACCCAGGAGGTGGAGGTTACAGTGAGCCGAGATTGCGCCACTGCACTGCAGCCTGGGCAACAAGAGTGAGACTCTGTCTCAAAAAAAAAAAAAAATTAACTGAAGGTGAGGCATAAATAACCTCCAGTTACATTTCTCTGTATCTTCTCTATATATTTATCATACAGGTTTCATCCCAGTTTGCTTTGTTGGACAATTTTCTAAAGTGTGAGGGAAGGCAGGATGTGACAATGAGGTAAGATACACACAAATTCAAAGATGATGTTATGAAGTTGGCAATTTTAGAGTTAAAAAAGTTACCAATTCAGAATTATTTTTTAACACCAAAAATAAATGTAAAAAAATAAATAATTATATTTTATATAATCAATACCAAAGTCCCATATATAGTATTTATCATAAGGAGTCCTGGTAATTATTACTAAACAATCTTTTTGAAAATCATTAAATTTTGATGTACAGATATTTATTTAAAATGAATTTTGTATGAAATAAACATGGTTTTAAATAAACAAACATTATGTACCCCAATTCTCATGATGCATCATGAAATATGTTTCTCTTTAGGGTCCAAAAAGTTTAATACAGAAAATTCTAAAAAAAGTAGTACAGGCCGGGCGCGGTGGCTCACGCCTGTAATCCCAGCACTTTGGGAGGCCGAGGCGGGCGGATCACGAGGTCAGGAGATCGAGACCATCCCGGCTAAAACGGTGAAACCCCGTCTCTACTAAAAATACAAAAAATTAGCCAGACGTAGTGGCGGGCGCCTGTAGTCCCAGCTACTTGGGAGGCTGAGGCAGGAGGAGAATGGCGTGAACCCGGGAGGCGGAGCTTGCAGTGAGCCAAGATCCCGCCACTGCACTCCAGCCTGGGCGACAGAGCGAGACTCCGTCTCAAAAAAAAAAAAAAAAAAAAAAAAAAAAAAAAAAAAAAAAAAAAAGTAGTACAACAATGCTTAATCTCATTTTTAATCATGGAAATGCAATTTGAATTAATATAATTTTTACCCATCTACTGAAAAACATTAAAAAGACTGAATATTTGACAACAGAGTGGAGAAGCCGGCTGTAGGAATGTACGGTACACTGGCACAACAGTTTGGAGGGCAACTTGGCCGTATTATCAAGATAATTAAGATAACAAAATGAGAGGCCCTTAGACTGAGGTGGCTTTAAGGCTCAGGGTTTTATACTTAAGCAAACCAAAAGTAAATTTAAAAGATCACCAAGCTTAGCTCAGCCAATCACAGGCAGCCAACTGGGCATCAGTTACATCTTCTTGAACTTCCCACAGGCATGACCAAAATAAGGCAACTGCTCAAATTTTAATGAAAGAATTTCTTTGCTCTACTTCTATATTCACCCTATAAATGCCTTCCCCATGCTCCTTTAGTAGAGCCCCAACCACTTCTGGTTTGATGCTGCCTGACTCATGAAGCACTGTCTGCTCACATACACTTCTTAAAATCTTAATGTGCCAAAATTTATCTTTTACCACCTTTGACTCAGCAATTTCAGTTTTAGAAATTTATCCCATAGATACTCTCACATATTCAGATACATACAAAAATGTTCATAGCAGTATAATTTATTTCAGCATAAAAGGGAAACCTAAATATTCATCATGAGTGGTTACATCAGTGGTTTATATCAGTTTTGTCCAGCTGTTAAAAAGAATGTCAGATTCATATATACTGATAAAGCAAGACGGCCACAATATCCTATGTGGTAGGCGAAATAATGGCCTTCCAAAGATATCCTAATCCCCGGACTCTATTTGTTACCTTACTTGGCAAAAGGGCAAAAGGGACTTTGCAGATATGATTAAGGATCTTGAGCTAGGGATTATCCAGGCGGGTAAAGTGTAATCACAGAGTCCTTATAAGAGAGGCAGAGGAATCAGTGAAAAAGATATTTGAAGATGCTATTCCATTGGCTTTAAAGATGGAAGAAAGGGCCATGAAACAAGAAATGCAGGAGACCTTTAGGAGGTGGAAACAGCAAGAAAATCGAGTCTCTCCTGGAGCTTCCAGAAGAAATGGAGCCCAGCCAACACCTTGATTTTAGCCCAGTGAAACCCATTTCGGAATTCTGACCTCAGAACTTTAATAAATTTGTGTTGTTTTAAGGCACTACATTTGTGGTAATTTTTCAGCAGCAAGAGAAAACTAATAAATACTGTTAAATTTTAAAAGCAAGTAGAATATCAGTCAACAGTGTCAGAGGCACCCTAACCAGAGTGACTCCATCTTGAATAAAGGCTGGATAAAGCCAAATCTGCTGTGTTATGTTCCCGGAGACTGGGCACTGTTGGTCACAAGGCATTTATGTTTGAGAGAACAAGTTAATGATGTTAACTAACTGAAGACCCAGGACTTATGGAAATGTCCCAGTACTTTAAGAACAAAAAGCATTCTTAGTTTAAGAATAGGTTTTGCTTTAAAAATATTAGTACACTCATAAATTCTTGCTAAAATCAATAGTAACATAGGAAAGTAACAACACTAACAGCCTGTCACAAGCTGGTCACAAGCACACTTTTCTTTTCCTTTTCTTTTTTTTTGAGATGGAGTTTCGCTCGTTGCCCAGGCTGGAGTGCAATGGCACAATCTCGGCTCACCGCAACCTCTGCCTCTCGGGTTCAAGCGTTTCTGCTGCCTCAGCTGCCCAAGTAGCTGGGACTATAGGCATGCACCACCACGCCCGGCTAATTTTGTATTTTTAGGAGAGACGGGGTTTCTCCATGTTGGTCAGGCTAGTCTCAAACTCCCGACTTTAGGTGATCCGCCCGCCTTGACCTCCCAAAGTGCTGGGATTATAGGCGTGAGCACTGCGCCTGGCCAAAGTACACTTTTCTTAATAACCCATATTAGCATTATATTGAAATGGGTGCACCCTCCTCTTGCTCTCTGAGGATGCCCTATTCTGTAATTCAGTAGTCTGTAGTAAATCATTTTAACTTCACTCTACTCTGTGACTTGCCCTGAATTCTTTCCTGCATGAGAGCCAAGAACCTGCTCTTGGGGTCTTGGACAAAATCCCTTGACTGGTGACTGTAGTATGATTCTGTATATACTGTGATTCCGTTTGTGCAAAAAAAATTTTCTGTAAATGGATTTAAAAAACATGCTTGAAAAGACACTTGAAAATCTATATACACTGCTAGCAGAGGTTTTAACTCTGGAGAGGAGAATGAGGTTGGGGATGGAAGATAAGCGAATACTCCTGTTACTTTAAAAAAAATCGCCACCATTTTGTTTTGAAATTTTCAAACTTACAGAAAGTTAAAAGAATATGAACAACCTAACAAACTTCATCTTTATTTACCAACTGCATTGCTTTTTTTAGCCACACTTGTTCTAGCTGTGTTGTATGTGTACACAAAAACAATTTTCTAAATGATTTCACAGCAAGTGGAGCATACTACCTCTACTTTTAATTATTTTTAAATGGATATGTATTGCTTTTAGGATTAAAAATAAATAAATAAATAAGACAATCACAAGCAGTTCTTAACTTCTGAAGGAAATCTTATTTCCATCCTATAATCTTGGAGTTAAGGGCAGGTGTAGAAATCTATCTTCTGTTCTGAAGATTTAGTTAACAGGTTGCCATTGGCCAGAAGTTTAATTAATATCTGAAGCTATGCTATGCTTAACATATTCTCCGAATTCGCAACTCTACTGAAGGAAGATCAGTTTTAGATGGTTCTAGCTGAAACTGAAGACGCAGTTGACTCAAAACTGTCATAAATAGAAGTGTGGATACTACATGTATTCCAAGAATTCCATGGGTAAAATTAAGGCTGTTCTAGCCTGACTTGGGCCCAGAGTATTTACAACATTGTTTCTTTGGGAAAGTGTTCAGAATTTCAAACAGCCAACTTTTAGAACACAACTCTTTCATAAATTGCAGACTGCCTGTACTGTGTTGGCAGCTTTCTATAATTCTCTTCTCCTGCTGGTAGATTTTCTACCAACGAATACTTCCATTTGGAAACTGCTGAAATTGCTAATCAAGTTCAAAACTGTTTATTAAAACTCCTTTCTGGCCGGGTGCAGTGGCTCACACCTGTAATTCCAGCACTTTGGGGGACCGAGGCAGGCAGATCACGAGGTCAGGAGATCAAGACCATCCTGGCCAACATGGTGAAACCCTGTCTCTACTGACAATACAAAAAATATTAGCTGGGTGTGGTGGCAGGCGCCTGTAGTCCCAACTACTCAGGAGGCTGAGGCAGGAGAATCACTTGAACTCAGGTGGTGGTGGTTGCAGTGAGCCGAGATGGCGCCACTGCACTCCAGCCTGGGCAACAGAGAGACTCTGTCTAAAAAAAAAAAAAAAAAAAAAAAAACTCCTTTCTAATGGATATATATTATTTCATTATTTTAATATCAATCCTCTATTGTTGAGTTTTTCTAGTTTTTTAAAACATTATACTACTGCAAACTTTTCAGAATATTCAAATGTGATATAATTAAAAATACATATATTTGGTCCTTGTCCCTCATTCCTGGAACAAAACTCCTAACATCCTTGGAATTTCCTGAGTAATAGGAGCATCTTTTGTTATTCATAATAAGCCCCAATCAATCATACTTGAGTTTATGCTAAGGTGACTCTAGTGGTAGGAGGACCTAGATAGCTTCATGACAGAGGCTGATCACCGGAAAGACCAAGCCTTGATTAAAGGGATGGAACTTTCAGCCATACCCCTTGACCTCCCAGGAACGGTGTTGGAGATTGAATTCTATCACCAATGGCCAATGGTTTAGTCAATCACGCCTATGTAATGAAACCTCCATAAAAACCCCTAAACAATGGGATTCAGTGAGTTCCTGGGTTGTTGAACACATCAAAGTGCTGGGAGGGCAGCATGCTAAAGATGGCATGGAAACTCCCTGACCCACCAACCAACACCTTGCCTTATTCATCTCTTCCATCTGGTTGTTCCTGAATTGTGTCCTTTAATAATAAACCAGTGAATGCAAGCGAAGAGTTTTCCTGAGTTTTATGAGTCATTCTGGCAAATTATCAAACCTCAGAGAAGGTTATGGGAAGCCCTGAATTGGTAGCAAAGTCAGACAGAGGTGGGGTGGCCTGGGGACCCAGGACTTGTGATTGGTGCCTGAAGTGAGGGCAGTTTTGTGGGACTGAGTGAGCCCTTACAGAGTTTGATGTTAACTGAGTAATGTCACAATATGACTGAATTGTAGAATGCCCAGTTGCTATCTGATAATCCCTAATTATCAGAGATTAAGCATGAAAAAAAAAAGAATGTTATTTCCAAATTGATGGTATATTTAAATCTTAAATTGTATGTTTTTCATGTTTTAAATACTGACTGAATATCTGTCCCCTTTCTATATATCCAAATTAATCCACACAGACACAAAATTTCATGGCACAGAGGCTAAAGAGGAATTCTCTTGGAAGTTAACATGAGACTCTTAAATACTCAGTTGAATCAAGACAATTTAAATAGTAATGCCAATTAAACTAACCAGCACCACAGAAGTGATGATAAGTGTAGTAGGCTGCCTCACTGCACAGCTCCAGGGAGAACCACAGACATTGTCATTTACATGAATGGCTCTCCCTGCAATTGTGTCGTGAAGTACATATAGCTGTACATGGCAGCCCTAAGTATATGTAAAAAAACCACAGACGAAAACCAATGTTAAGTACCCAGATATATCAGTCCTCATACTGCTATGAAAAAACACCTGAGACTGGGTAATTTATAAAGGAAAGGTTTAATTAACTCACAGTTCTGTAATGCTAGGGAGGAAACCTCAGGAAACTTATAATCATGGCGGAAGGCAAAGGAGAAGCAGGCACCTGCTTCACAGGGCAGTGGAATGGAGTGAGTGCAAGCAGGGGAAATGCCAGATATTTATAAAACCATCAGATCTCATGAGATTCATTCACTATCAAGAGAAATGCATGGGGGAAACTGCCCCCATGATCCAATTACCTCTACCTGGTCCTGCCATTGACACGTGGGGATTATGGGGAATATAATTCAAGATGAGATTCTGGGTGGGGACACAGCCAAACCATATCACCAGAAATTGAGAAACACTTATTCTCATCCAGTAGGGTTATTATTAAATAGTGAAATTTAATGGCCCCAAATCTAAATCAAATTTGGGGATCAAAATAGAGTCTGCCAAGATAAATTTAACAGTTTATTTGAGCAAAGAACAATTCACCAGTCACGTAACCTTCAGAACAAGAAGTTGAGAGAGCTCATCTCTGCAATGTGGGTAGTGAGTATTTTGGGATGGGTAAAAGGCTGAAGAAAGCAGAAATAAGGAACAAAAAGTAAATCAGTAGTTTCAAAGTTACTTTCCTTTTAAGGGTTAAAGCAGAGGAGACTCCCTTATCATGCCAGCTAAAACTAGCCTGTTTGGGGATTTGACTTTTGTTTCTCTTTCTCCTGATTTCTCAGGTCAGATAACTTAGATTGGTGACGTCGAACTTTAGCAGGAGGGACCTCTAACTTGGTTTGGTCTGTTGGAGCTGATGAAGGAGCTCAGTGGAAACCAATGGTCTCCAAAGATTTTATTTACATTTCCATAAGGCGGAGGGAGCCAACTGTAGAGTTCAGGACATGACACCCCAAAATATGTCTGTAGGACACCAGTATATGCCATTCCAAATATGCCTCTTTGGCACAGGATTACTTTAAACTGATTATTTTGGGAAACAGACACAGGAGAAGCTCTGAAAACAGTAAAAGTTGTATTTTTGTAAGAGAAATTTATTTTATAAAGAATATCTACATTTGTAAGAGTGTCTTCCTTTCTGTACCAGGAAGAGAAGGATGACTAAATCACTGGAAACTTTCATTTATTTGTTTGAGACAGGATCTGGCTCTGTTGCCCAGGCTGGAGTGCATTGATGTGATCTCGGCTCACTGCAACCTCCACCTTCCAGTTTCAAGCGATTCTCCTGCCTCAGCCTCCCGAGTAGCTGGGATTACTGGTGCCTGCCACCACACCTGGCTAATTTTTATATTTTTTTCAGTAGAGATGAGGTTTTCACCATGTTGGCCAGGCTGGTCTCGAACTCCTGACCTGAAGTGATCCACCTGCCTTGGCCTCCCTAAGTGCTGGGATTAAAGGCCTAAATCACTGGAAACTCTTATCAACACAAAAAGCACAAGTTCAATCTGCATAACAAACCTCACTTTTGTTTACCCTGCACTTCTTCACCAGGTAGTCTTAACAGAGAATGAGGGTTGTCTGGCCTACACCCTTCATTCTTTGTGTTGGGGAATGAAGTGTGTAAGTCTGAAGTTGAAGCCACCTCTTTGAGATCTACTCTTGAGATTTTCTCATTTCTGAGTTATCTCCCATGTATTCACAAGGTAATCATGTTAATAAACTTCTGTTTGCTTTTCTCTTAAAAAAAAAAAAGATGTCTGGTAGGGCATTAATACATGCAATGCATAAAAAATGTATCAAATATCCCCAGAAAGGCTGCTACTAAATCACACAAATTTCAAATATGACTTTGTATGTAACCAATATTCATGTGGCCAAATCTATTTTGATTCTAATTTTTAGATTTACAAGATTACTAAGGGAGAAGAGGAGGGAAAAATAAGACAATAGCTGATTTCTAAAAAGTAAAAGCTGACTCTGATCACAAGGAATAAAAAAGCAATTTTTCTAAATGCTAAATGAACTATGCAAGAAAGGGTGACATGTTTGTCCTCCAGTAATAAAAATTACCATGCTTTGTCATAGTTTATAAACCAAATTGGTGTCCTCTAGTCAGATTCCATTTACTTTGTCCTCAGAAAAAAAGACTGAGAAAACAAGAAAACTACAAAAACAAAGTAACATAGTACCCTAGTGTGAACTCTGAGTACTTCAGGAATACCCTCTGTTCACTTTTTAACAATGCACTATGTTCCACTGCCAGAGAACCATACGGCAAATAGAAGCCACACTGCCAAACTATTAGCACACACATTAACCACATCCATGGACCCTACGTATATCAACGGCTTACAGAAGGAAGGAGAGTGCTTCACAACTGCTCTGCCTCTTTGCTTCCTTTCTCGGTATCTCAGAGATTTTTTCTTTTCACTCAGAAGCACAAAGTATTTATTTTCTTAATAGTCATAATATTTTAGGCAGCAAAGTCAAAGCTCTGTCATGTTTTCTGCTTAAAACAAAAGAAAACGAAAAAGCCCTGGGCATCAGACATGTTTTCTTCTCAGTTATGGTTTCTTTCTCATATCTCTTGAAAAGTCAATACTACAAAGCAATTGGCATTTATTCCTCACTCGACTACAAAGTTGGCAACAAATCACTGTATTTGTCAAGTATAGATTTGAAACAGCTGCGCTTTACACTCCTATACCTCAATATGACAACATTTTCATGACTGCATTAGATGTTCAGAAATATAAAGTGTATACTGCAGAGGTAAAATGGTACTTTTGAGACTTACCAATTAAAAGTAAGATTTTTTATTTTTTATTTTTCTTGAGACACAGTCTGGCTCTGTCGCCCAGTCTGGAGTGCAGTGGCATGCTCTTGGCTCACAGAAACTTCCACCTCCTGGATTTAGGCGATTCTCCTGCCTCAGCCTCCCGAGTAGCTTGGATTACAGGCACCTGCCACCACAGCCGGCCAATTTTTGTATTTTTAGTAGAGACGGGGTTTCATCATGTTGGCCAGGCTGGTCTTGAACTCCTGACCTCAAGTGATCCACCCGCCTCAGCCTCCCAAAGTGCTGGGATTATAGGCCACCGTGCCTGGCCTTGTTCTGTTTTTAAGAGACAGGGTCTTGCTCTGTCACTCAAGCTGCTGTGCACTGGTGTGATCAGGGCTCACTGCAGCCTCGGCCTCCTGTGCTCAAGTGGTCCTCCCACTTCAGCCTGAGTAGCTGGGACTACAGGCGTGCACCACTGCACCCAGTTAATTATTTCATTTTTCGTTGCCCAGGCTGCTCTCAAACACCTAGGATCAAGCAATCTTCCCACCCTGGTCTCCCAAAGGGCTGGGATTACAAGCATGTGTCACTGAGCCCATCAAGAAGTTTGTTTTTAAATTAAATGGAAATAAGTATCTTAGTTTAAAGCATGTACTTTTATACATTCAAGTGAATAAAGGCTGTTATCTTCTATTTTTTCCCTAGAATTAAAGAGCTATTATTTCACATTCCTTAAATTGGAGTACTTGGATTATGAGCATGAAAATAGATAATGTGTATTTTAATTTTAACGTAGAAATTGTTATTATGAGAATCCCACCACAGTGAAACAGAATATCAGGACTCTATTATATAAAATGACATTTTGCTTGTGTCAACATATATTGATAGGGATGGAGGTAGAGATATTCTAGGCAGAAAAGGGTGGGTCCCCAATAAAACACCACCTTGAAGTGGAAAAGCCTGAAACCCGTGGCCCAAAGTGAGAACTTGTTTTTCCACTAGAATATTGCCTTTCATTAAACTATCCATGGCCTGCCCAGCCCCCATCCTGTGCCTATAAAAACCCCTGACTCAGCTGGCAGAGAGACGCAGCTAGATGTCAGGGACTACGGCTGGACACTGGAGAGAAGTGGCTTGACTTCAGAGGGACAGCTTGATGGCCTAACTTTGGAAAAGAATCTGGTTGGAGATGGCTGGACTTCAGGGGAAGCTTACCTACCTGCCCCATCTCTTTTTCAGCTCCCCTTTCCACTGAGAGCCACTTTCATTGGCAATAAAATCCCCTGCATTTACCACCCTTCAATTCGTTCAAGCGACCTCATTTTTCCTGGACGCTGGACAAGAGCTTGGGAGCCACGAGTGTGGATACAAAAGGCGGTCACACTGCCCTGGTGGAGGACACCTGCCTCATGCAAAAAGGCAGAGGGCCCACTGATCTGTTAACACTTAAGCTGTTTGCAGATGGAAGAGCGAAATGAACACTGTAACACACCCTCTGGGGCTTTGGGGGTCACAAGCACCCCCACCTAGATGTTGCTGCAGGGCCTGCACAGAGTTTGCTCCTGCCGGTGTCCAAAAGCGCTCGCTTTGGCTCCTGTACCCACTCACCTGTGCATTCCCTCCACGAGGGGTGGAATGCAGTGGATCTGAGTGGAGTTTGATCCCATCAGCTCTGAAGCAGCCAGTCAGCTCCAGTGCTCGTGCACTCCAGTTCCCACCTCATTCGCTCGTGTGCTCCCTCCTGCGAGGAGTTGAGAACGGTGGGCTGAGTAAAGGAGGTACCCTGTTGTGAGTCCCGCAAAGGGGTCAGGGATATATCCTGCCTCAGGATTAAGGAAGCTGATTTTCACGCTAATGGTACTTGAGGCACTAACATTAAGACGCTATCATTCTGTTTTTCCACTTTAAAGTCATTGGAACGTTATATGAATATACATGTTCATTAACATGTATATTCATATAAAGGTCATTAACATGTAACTGCATATACACAGTAAACTGAAGTAAGATTTGATAAAATAGAGAAAGAAAAAGAAAACTTATCTGAGGAATGCAAGCCCCTTTAAATTAGCAGACCCAGAAGTCATTCCACCTTGAGCTAAATAATTACCGCTTAAAGCCACTTGCTATGCAAGCTCTAGACTGAGGCCAAGTAGCCAAAAAATGCGTTACACCCTATAGCTCAACAATGTATAGGCAATCACTAACTAATGCCATTTCTGTAAGCCAATGAGAATTCCTGAAGAACAACTTTTGTAATTGTCCCTGCCCCTCATTTGTCTTTTTTCTTTAAAACTTGAGCCTCTCTTGTTCTCTGGAGTACTCCCCAAGGCAAACTGGAAATGTGTCCTGGACTGCAGTCCTCAACTTCTGTTCTTAAATAAACTCTTTTTTTTTTAATAGGTGGAGTCCTGCTCTGTCACTGAGGCTGGAGTGCAGTGGCATGATCTTGGCTCATTGCAACCTCCGCCTTCTGGGTTCAAGCAATTTTCATGGCTCAGCCTCCTGAGTAGCCAGGACCACAGGCACATGCCACCATGCCCAGCTAATTTTTATGTATTTTTATTAATAGCAGAGATGGGGTTTTACCATGTTAGTCAGGCTGGTCTCGAACTCCTGACCTCAAGTGATCTGCCTGCCTTGGCTTCCCAAAGTGCTGGCATTATAGGTGTGAGCCACCGTGCCTGGCCAAATAAATTCTCTTTTAAACTACATTCTGACTTTTGATTATTTTAGGTTGATAGAATTATGTTTGTTTAAAAGAAATATTTCTTCTAAAAAGGAAAAATCTTTACATATGAATAGCAAAATTGAGAACCCTACTAAGTATTAATCTCTACCTGATATGAGAATAAATAGCATTGTTATAAGGATTTGGCATTTATTGAAACGTAAGTATTTGCAGATATACAACTTAGAAAATCAGAAATGCCCTCAGATATGGCATTAATAGAATTTGATTTATGTTTCTGACAAATAATTTCCAGTAATACCAGATTTGTTTTGGAGAGCTACTTTATGTAAAGCTAGACAGCATCAAATACATTTACTAGTTATGAGTGAACTCTCACTTAAAACATAGTTATGAAGGATCTTAAATGTATTAGACTTTGACTTGATCTTTTATATTGAAGAAATCTGGGACTCTTATATTACCCTAAGTTCCAAGTTAAAACACACACCTTGGTCATGTAGCACAAATGTGTATAACTATGTGGAAAAAAATTCCAACTTTTATAAACTTAAATCCAATAATTAAAAAAAATCTTTTAAAATAGAATGTGTTTTGTCTTATTTGTCATAACCAAAAGCTGGGAACCCATATGTCCATTAATAGGATAAGGGATAAATCAATCAAAGTCTATGTATATAATGAAATACTATACAGCAGTTACTGATACAAACAACATGGACCAATCTCAGACATAATACTAAGAGAAAAAAGACACAAAAGAGACAGCATGGGTCAAAACATGGTTACTCTTGTGTGGGAACTGGATAGGAAGGGGTGCATAAGGACATCTTCTAAAGCACTGGAATTGTTCTCTGTTTTGATCTGGATATTTGTTACATACACATATGTAAAAATTAATTGAACTGCATTAGGTTTCATGCACTTTATTGTTTATAAGTTACACCTCAATTTAAGAAAATGCTTAAAAATATATGAAGATGAAGTGTTCAAATGCATGGGCCTTTGAAACTGAATAAGCATTGAGTTCCAGTCCTAGCTTGCTACTTAGCTATGTAACCCAGAGCAAGTCACTGGCCATTGCTTAACTTTAACTTCAATTTCCTTATCTATAAAGAAGGCTAATAAATCTTTGCTTTTTCTAAATGAAATTTAAGGGAAATAACTGTTTTGGACTGAGCTATAGGGTGTATTAGGACTAATAAACCAGACCAAACCAGAATGGAGTCACTTATTCTAGGTGCCATGTACTTCACAAACTGTACTTTGAAACCAGTTTCCCCCTAAAACCAGGAGATTTACAGCAACCAATCAGAAGGGACCCAGTTTACCTGAGCAGGCGTGATAGGGGGGTCCCCTCTGTTTTAACCCCATAGGTAACTTTTAAATGACCAATCTGCCCTTTGTTCTGTTTCTGCTTTCTTCAACCATTTCCTGCCTACAAAGCCAACCTCTTCTGCTCAGCTCATCAGAGTGCCTTTCCTAAATCTTAAATGAGAGGCATCCCATTCATGGACTGCTAATGAAAGTCAATTAGATCTTTAAAGTAAATCTGACAAAATACTGTTTTTAATAGTTTGTGGTAAAGAATAAATGATATCGGGCACACAACTAACACAATGCTTAGTATATGATAAACATTTTTTTGTTTTTTGAGATGCAGTCTCGCTCTGTCACCCAGGCTGGAGTGCAGTGGCGCGATCTTGGCTCACTGCAGGCTCTGCTCCCTGGGTTCACGCCATTCTCCTGCCTCAGCCTCCCGACTAGCTGGGACTACAGGCGCCCGCCACCATGCCCGGCTAATTTTTTGTATTTTTAGTAGAAATGGAGTTTCACCATGTTAGCCAGGATGGTCTCGATCTCCTGACCTTGTGATCTGCCCGCCTCAGCCTCCCAAAGTGCTGGGATTACAGGCGTGAGCCACTGCGCCGGCCTATGATAAACATTTAATAAACGGCAGCTATTATGATTAACATCTTTGACTTATCAGAAAGATATCTAATCCAGAAGCAGTTTCTTTTCTGAAAAAAAGAGTAGTACCAAGGGAGCCTCGGTGGACAAGCAGAAGCCCTATGCCAAGCCTCTGGACAAAATGGTCTAGGTGACTACTCAGGGTTGGTGAAGAGGGCCTGTACCCCATCAAGGGGCTACAGTACTTCAGACAGGTTTCATCCCACCTGGGTTGCCAGAATTGTTACTGAGCAAAACGGGCTCTCTCCTCAATGAGTTAGAAGCTGTAAACCAAAAAGTATCTGAGACAAGAGACAAGTCTCAATTTAGAAAGTTTATTTTGCAAGGTTAAGGATGCACCCATGACAACCTCAGGAGGTCCTGAGGACACATGCCCAAGGTGGTTGGGCTCCAGCTTGCTTTTATACATTTTAGGGAGACATAATACATCAATCAATACATGTTAAGGTTTACATTGGCTTAGTCTAGAAAAGCGAGACAACTCGAAGGCGTGGGTGGGGTAGGGGTAGGTGTCAGGGTGGGTGGTGTTTCCAGGTCATAGGTAGATTTAAACAGTTTCTGATTGGAAATGGTTCAGACAGTTATGCATAGAAAGGAATGTCTGGGTGAAGACAAGGGGTTGTAGAGACCTAGGTTTTATCATGCAGATGAAGCCTCCAAGTATCAGGCTTTAGAGAGAATAGATTGTAAATGTTTGTCAGATTTAAGGTCTGTGTTGATGTTAATGCTGGAGGGGTATAATGAGGCATGTCCTACCCCAACTCCCCTATTTCTCATCATGGCCTGAACCAGTCTCCCAGGTTAAATTTTACGGTACCCTGGCCAAGGAGGGAGTCTATTCAGATGATTGTGGGAGGTAGGTGGGTGGGTGGGTGGAACACACTTTGAATTTTATTTTTGGTTTACATTCTCTCACTTCTGGCCAAGATTTGCCAGAGGCAACATCAATGGCCACCAAATTTTAATTCTGTCCCATAGTGTTGCTGGTGTGGCATAGCAGCCTGCCGTGGGCCCATCCTGTCCCTCGGTGGGACTCCCTATGGTCAAGGGTGTTAGAGTCAGCAAGACTTACAGACAATTCACTGTTCTAGGTCAGACTGGGCTAGACATGGCCAGGCATTCATTACCCCTTAAAATTATTTTTTTTTAAGTAGAAAGCCAACAATCAAAAAAACCAAAGGCGAAGTTACAAAACTGACTTATTTTTAACTTGTATGCACTGAGCTACTGTAGTCTCGGTTGTATAGACTCAGAGCAATTAGCTATACAAAACATAAGCATTGTCTTGAAAAATTTTTAAAAGACATATAGAACTATCTGCACTTCTCATAACTGAGGGTATTAACCCAGCAGGCTTTGTCGCAAGTTATCTTTATCCTATCAGTAACTGAACTCTTTTGGGCACCATTATTTTCATTAGTATAGGGGTAGCTTCAGTAATTGTTTTAATTCTACAGGAAGCAGGAAATTATTTATGGCTGAAGTGGATAGAAAGGTGCCACACAATAGCTCAGGAGGCAAAGTCCCTTGTTTTATCAGCTGTTTCGGCATCTTTGTACCCATCCTTGATTTGGAGGGTCTGACCTTGACCTAATTCTATCCCTCAAAACCAGCCCTTACAATCTCACACGCCCACTTCTCCTGTGATAGTCCTTGGCCCTAGAGGGAGGGTGCTTGCATAGTTTTGAGACAGTCAAGTAAAAAGGGGTCCCCGGGGAATATCCAACTGGCCTGCACACTGGGAGGATGGGATGCAGCCTCAGGAAATTTGTGCCGCAGTGGGGAGGAGCCTGGCCTCTCTTTTTCCTGTGTGGTAACCTGGAATTTCATCTGTGAGGTGGGAAAACTGCTATTGGGACTCTCTTTCGCTCTGCGGAGGGTTCCTGTTTCCCTTTTTATTCCTTTCACCCAACAAACCCTGCCCTACTCACCCTATAATGTGTATGAAACCGCTGGGACTCTTTTGAAAAAATGTCTCTTTTTTCTTTTTCCTCCTCTATCCTCTTCACAGATAGAAACAGGATGCCTCCCCAGGATGCACCCTCCAAACTGGGAAGGGTTAATTTCCCAAACCTTAAACTTGTTAGCTTAGCATTGGGCTTAGGGGAAGGGAACCCAGGAGCCTGACATGCTGACAAAAGGGTAAGTGTTTTTTTTAGCCAGTCAGGCTTTGGGCCCCTCTGTCCCTGTGCAAACTGGTTTATAAAAGGCCTCAGGATTTTTGAGAGGTCCTTACCCTTCGCCACTTATTTCGTTTTGATATATGTTTTCTAAGAACCCGGTTTGTCTCTTCTTGCCTTCAGACCATCACACTCCAAGTGGTTATGAACTGGAGCCTTGGACGACGGCCCCTTTTGCTAGGGACCCTTAGATTGGTCTCTGAAGGAGATCTGACTGCCATTTTCCCAAAACAGCACCTCCTGTCAGCAGGAAGCAGTTAAGATTGGTCTTCATCCTTATCCTTATCCTTCTAATGGCAGTTAAATGTATTTCTTTAGAAGGGTGAATGAGACTAAGTAAAAAGGGGTCCCTGGAGAATCTCTGACTGGCCTGCGCACCAGGAGGACAGGATGGAGCCTCAGGAAGTCCATGCCGTTTGCAGAGGGGAGAAGCCTGGCCTCTCCTGTTCTTGTGTGGTAACCTAGGTTTCAATCTGTGAGTTAGGAAACCTGATAGCAGTACTCTCTCAATTTGCTGAGGGTTCCTGTTTCCCGTTTTTTCCCTTTTCACTCAATGAACCCTGCCCTACTCACCCTACAATGTATCCGCATGCCTAAATTATCTGGGTTGTGTGACAAAAACCAGTGTTTTTCCCCCCCAAAAACAGTTTTAGTAGTAGGGCATTTGCAGTAAAAAACAAATCAGGCCCAGTGAGATGCCAAAGGAGGGAGACTGGTTTGGTTTCCTTGAAAGTAAAACAAGGAGAAATAAATAACATTAATATTTTGACAATAAAAAGATTATTTGTGTGTCAGGGCAGAAAAATAAACCTATTCCATTAGGGCACCAACTAAAGATATGAAAAAGTTATAATCTTATAATCTGATACTCTCTAGAGATTACTGTAGCCAAGATATAATTCATGATTCAATCTGCACTCAAAAAAACAAAAGTTAGGGGTGAAATCTAGTATAAAGCATTACATTTTTCCTTTGAAACAATTTCTCTCTAGCCCTCCTTTTCTATTAAAGAGAAATTGTAGTAAGACCAATTTGTGTGCAAAATAAGTTCTAAGCTTATTATACTTTGCCTGATGATTTACATAAAGTGCAGCAAGAATTCATTGACTATATAGGCTCTTAAGTTGGCTTTGTTGGAACTTTACCTAAAAATATGCTATTCTAGTGAAAGTCTTGGTAAAATAACCAGTGTCTCCAACTGTTTTGTTCTAAAAGACTCTTACTAAACTTATGCAAACAACTATACTGTCATAAAATCACAATCTGAATTTTGGAGAACTCAGAAATGTAATTTTGCTTACAAAAATATACTTCACCCAAATGTTCTAAACTGGAAATAAAGGAAAAATAAATTTTTTTGACCCTTCGTTAGCCAGAGCAGCAGCCTTCCAAACAAGGTGTTTGTTTACCTTTGAACTGCCATTCACGAGCCAAACAGCTCATGAGAACCATCAGGCACTGTGGAATCTAGCAGCCCGTCATACAGTTAGAAACAGTCCTAGGGTAAAAGGAAGCTCCCTGCTCATGAGTATTGTCCTCCTTGAACATCCAGGTAGCAAGATCTATGTAAACCACTTTTATTTTACCATGGAACTCTTGGGCACCATTATTTCCATTAGCATAGGGGTGGCTTCAGTTAACATTCCATAGCAAGACAGTACATGCCCCTCAAGTGGAAATTCTCTAGTCCAGTAGTTATCACTGGGAAGTACTCACAGTCTTTTGCCATAAGCCCCAGTAAATGCTCCACAAAAGGCTATGAAGTGGAGGATTTGTCCCAACTAGCACTGCAGCTTCTAACCCATATTTTGTGGGCTCAGGCAATCTTACTAGTTCCCATTTAGTGTGTCCAATTAACATTTCTCAAAGAGCAGATTTACATGCCTTCAGTTTTATAGCACTAGATAGGGGAAACATCCCTCAGTTAGATATAATACCCATTTTCTTTTCTCTCTGTGTGTGTGTGTGTGTGTGTGTGTGTGTATTTCTCCCTCCCACAAGATGGAGTCTCGCTCAGCCGCCCAGGGAGGAGTGCAGTAGCATGATCTCGGTTCACTGCAACCACTGTCTCCTGAGTTCAAGCAATTCTCCAGTCTCAGCCTCCCGAGTAGCTGGGATTACAGCCACCTGCCATCATGCCAGGCTAATTTTTGTATTTTAGTAGAGACGGGGTTTTGCCATGTTGGCCAGGCTGGTGTTAAACTCCTGACCTCAGGTGATCCATCTGCCTTGGCCTCCCAAAGTGCTAGGATTACAGGCGTGAGCCACCGTGCCCAGCGATGTAATACCCATTTTCATAAGACAGGTAAAGGAGTCACAACTACCTTACATAAAGTCTGTTTAAACATCTCAAATTTCATAATTTGACAGGTGTGGTGGCTCACTGCTGTAATCCCAGCACTTTGGGAGGCTGAGATGGGCGGATCACTTGAAGTTAGGAGTTTGAGACCAGCCTGGCCAACATGTTGAAACCCCATCTCGACTGGGTGCAGGGGCTCACGCCTGTAATCCCAGCACTTTGGGAGGCTGAGGTGGGCAGATCACGAGGTCAGGAGATCGAGACCATCCTGGCTAACACAGTGAAACCCCATCTCTACTAAAAATACAAAAAATTAGCCGGGCGTGGTGGTGGGCACCTGTAATCCCAGCTACTTGGGAGGCTGAGGCAGGAGAATGGTGTGAACCCAGGAGGCGGAGCTTGCAGTGAGCCGAGATCGTGCCACTGCACTCCAGCCTGAGTGACAGAGCAAGACTCCGTCTCAAAAAAAAAAAAAAAGAAAAGAAAAGAAACCCCATCTCTACTGAAAATACAAAATAATAATAATAATACTTAGGCAGGTGTGGTGGCACACCCCTATAGTCCCAGCTACTCCGGAGGCTGAGGCAAGAGAATAGCTTGAACCCAGAAGGCGGAGGCTGCAGTGAGCCAAGACTGCACCACTACATTCCAGCCTGGGAGATGGAGCGAGATTCCATCTCAAAAAAAAAAAAAAAAAAAAAAAAAGGAAATTTATAATTCTATTAACATGTATGTTTTTAATGTTTTGGTCCCAGGAACTTTTCTACCCCCAGACCATTTTACCTTACCTGGTTAAAAAAAGTTTAGGTTCCCAGCAGGGAGTCGAGCCAAGGGACTAAGGCTCTTTTGTTAATTTTTATCAATTTTCATCTTAATTGGCCTCAGCATTGCCCCAGGCAATGTCAGCTTTCTCATGATAAACTCTGCCTTCTGATTTTTTTTTTCCCCTTAATCTTCCAATCTGGGGCAAATGGTGAATAACCATCCCCAAATTTCTATCATCCTTCTGGGGCTAGTCCTTTGGCTCCCTTTTTGCTTTCCTTTTTTTTTTTTTTTTTTTTTTGGTTAATTACCCCAATGTTTTATTAACCATCTATAGACCCATGAGGGACAGCAAATTTGATTAGGCTTCTGTATTCAAATCCATTTTCATGCTGCTGATTCATACCTGAGGCTGGGAAGAAAAAAAGGTTTAATTGGACTTACAGTTCCACATGGCTGGGGAGGCCTCAGAATTATGGCGGGAGGCAAAAGGCACTTATTACATGGCGGTGGCAAGAGAAAATGAGGAAGCAGCAAAAGCAGAAACTCCTGATAAACCCATCAGAGCTTGTGAGACTTATTCACTATCACGAGAATAGCACGGAAAAGACTGGCTGCCATGATTCAATTACCTCCCCCTGGGTCTCTCCCACAACACATGTGAATTCTGGGAGATATAATTCGAGTTGAGATTTGGGTGAGGACACACCCAAACCATATCACACCCCTGCGCCCTCCAAATTTCATGTCCTCCCATTTCAAAACCAATCGTGCCTTCCCAACAGTCTCCCAAAGTCTTAACTCATTTCAGCATTAACCTAAAAGTCCACAGACCAAAGTTTCATCTGAGACAAGGCAAGTCTCTTCCGCCTATGGGCCTGTAAAATCAAAAGCAAGCTAGTTACTTCCTAGATACAATGGGTGTGCAGGTATTGGGTAAATACAGCCATTCCAAATGAGAGAAATTGGCCAAAACAATGGGGTTACGGGTCCCATGCAAGTCCAGAATTCAGTGGGGCAGTCAAATGTTAAAGCTCCAAAATGATCTCCTTTGATTCCAGGTCTCAAATCCAGGTCACACTGATGCAAGAGGTGAGTTCCCATGGTCTTGGGTAGCTCTGCCCCTGTGGCTTGGCAGGGTACAGCCTCCCTCCCGGATGCTTTCATGGGCTGGCGTTGAGTGTCTGCAGCTTTTCCAGGCACATGGTGCAAGCTGTCAGTGGATCTACCATTCTGGGGTCTAGAAGACAATGGCCCTCTTCTCACAGCTCTACTAGGCAGTGCCCCAGTAGGGACTCTGTGTGGGGGCTCCAACCCCACATTTCCCTTCCACACTGCCCTAGCAGAGGTTCTCTATGAGGGCCCCACCCCATAGCAAACTTTTGCCTGGGCATCTAGACATTTCCATACATCTGAAATCTAGGTAGAGGTTCCCAAACCTCAATTCTTTGACTTCTGTGCACCTGCAGGCTCAACACCATGTGGACGCTGCCAAAGCTTGGGGCTTCCACCCTCTGAGGCCACAACCTGAGCTGTACATTGGCCCCTTTCAGCCACAGCTGAAGCAGCAGCTGGGACACAGGGTGCCACATCCCTAGGTTGCACACAGCAAGGGGACCCTGGACCAGGCCCACAAAACCACTTTTTCCTTCTGGGCCTGTGATAGGAGGGGCTGTGGTGAAGGTCTCTGACATGGTCTGGAGACATCTTCCCCATGGTCTTGGGGACTAACATTAGGCTCCTTGCTACTTACACAAATTTCCGCAGCTGGCTTGAATCTCTCCCCAGAAAATGGGTTTTTCTTGTCTATCGCATAGTAATGCTGCAAATTTTCCAAACTTTTATGCTCTGCTTCCCTTATAAAACTAAATGCCTTTAACAGTATCCAAATCACCTCTTGAATGCTTTGCTGCTTAGAAATTTCTTCTGCCAGATACCCTAAATCAACTTTCTTAAGTTCAAAGTTCCACAAATGTCTAGGGCAGAGGCAAAATGCCACCAGTCTCTTCTAAAACATAACAAAAGTCACCTTTACTCCAGTTCCCAACAAGTTCCTCATCTCAATCTGAGACCACCTCAGCCTGGACCTTACTGTCCATATCGTTATCAGTATTTTGGGCAAAGCCATTCAACAAGTCTCTAGGAAGTTCCAAACTTTCCCACATTTTCCTGTCTTCTTCTGAGTCCTCCAAACTGTTCCAACCTCTGCCTGTTACCCAGTTCCAAAGTCGCTTCCACATTTTCAAGTATATTTTCAGCAGTGCCCCACTCTACCAGTACCAGTTTACTGTATTAGTCTGTTTTCGTGCTGCTGATAAAGACATACCCGAGACTGGGAAGAAAAAAAAATTTAATTGGACTAAAGTTCCACATGGCTGGGGAGGCCTCAGAATCATGATGGGAGGCTAAAGGCAATTATTACATGTCGGCGGGAAGAGAAAATAAGGAAGGAGCAAAAGCAGAAACCCTTGATAAACCCATCAGATCTCGTGTGACTTATTCACTATCACGAGAATAGCATGGGAAAGACTGGACCCCATGATTCAGTTACTTCCTCCTGGGTCCCTCCCACAACACATGTGAATTCGGGGAGATACAATTCAAGTTGAGATTTGGGTGGGGACACAGCCCAATTACCCCTATGTATTATTAACCATCTGTACACCCATGAGGGACAGCAAATTTGATAAAGCTTCTCAAACAGTCATATGATTCTGTGGGAGGGGTACCCATGTAAAAGGTGCCCCTCTCAGCCCAAAATTTGCCATGACCTGGGTTATAGGCATATTCAGTGGGAGAATATCCCAGTCCTCAAAAAGGTAGTCCTACATGGCTTGCATAAGAAGCGTATCAACTGCTTCATCTGGGGTGCTCCAGTTGGTGTTTTACAGGAAGAGTTAGGAAGTCTCCTTTTCAGGGCAAATAGACCTTACAACAGACCTTACAGTGGCATTTATCTAGTCTACTAGGCTGGTTGTTATCTCAGGAATAACCTCCTATGCCTTTGGATCACATATACTCATCAGGGATTGTTCAATAGTGAGCTGTGGGTCGTGCATCAATACAAACAAGCTCTTTCATTCAGTAGCATTTAAAATAAAAAATTTTGTCCTTACAGTGGCTATTTTTACAATCCATTAGAGATTTCTCAAGAAGCTAATGATACCAATCTATAAAATGGAACTGTTTTACATCATACTCTTCGCTTTTAATAGTTACTTGGTTTAATCCTTCCCATGCATCAACTATCTTCTTGGTAACCACAGGTCTTGGAGGTACATTTTGTTGCCCTGGCTTAATTTTTCTTTTTATCCATGTATTGTTATTTGTGAATGATATGGTTTCGCACTGTGTCCCCACCCAAATCTCATGTTGAATCATAATACTCAATGTCAGGGGAGGGACCTGGTGGGAGGTGACTGGATCGTGGGGGTGGTTTTCCCCTTGCTGTTCTTGTGATAGTGAGTTCTCACAAGATCTGGTTTTTGAAAGTGTGTTGCACTTTCCCCTTTGCACTCTCTCTCTCACACTTCCACATGTGAAGATGTGCTCACTTCCTCTATGACTTCTGCTATGATTGTAAGTTTCCTGAGGCCTCCCATTCATGCTTCCTGTACAGCCTGCAGAACTGTGAGTCAATTAAACCTTTTATCTTTACAAATTACCTAGTCTCAGGTAGTTCTTTACAGCAATGTAAGAATGAACTAATACAGTATAATTTTCTCTTTAATTTAAAACGACTGAAATAGCCTCTTAACTAGGAAAAAAATTACATTTTCTTTTATACTTTTTTACTTCTTTAATATTACTACTATTTTAACTCTTAGTAACCCAAATTCCTAGTGAAAAAAATCAAGGTTACTTAACATGATTTTAAGATTTTAAACTATTGCAGAGAATTTTGAGATTAAGTTTACCAAATTAATCTTACCAAAGACTGCCGAAGTCATGTGAATTAAAAGGCATCTGAACTAGCTTGTATCAGTCTGAAGGCCCTTCCATTTCTTTTCTTTTTTTTTTTTTTGGGACAGAGTCTCGCTCTGTCGCCCAAGCTGGAGTGCAGTGGCGCAGTGTCAGCTCACTGCAACCTCCATCTCCTAGGTTCAAGCGATTCTCCTGCCTCAGCCTCCTGAGTAGCTGGGATTACAGGTGCCTGCCACCACGCCCAGCTAATTTTTTGTATTTTTAGTAGAGATGGGGTTTCACCATCTTGGCCAGGCTGGTCTCGAACTCTTGACCTCATGATCCACCCGCCTCGGCCTCCCAAAGTGCTGGGGTTACAGGCGTGAGCCACCATGCCCGGCCAAGCCCTTACATTTCTTTAAGTCAAATTAGAACTCTTTCATAGAGTTTAACAGCGAAATACCACTTCCACATGGCACATATAATCATAGATATAACAGACATGCAGACAAAAGCAGAACCAAAAGATTTTTCATTTGCTTTTCAAAATTTTTCTTCTATAGATTATTAAGCTTGAGATATTTGAGTAGTTTCAAAAAGAAACAGATTATTGAATTTAAAAATTAAAAACTTCTTGCACTAAGAGTAACACAATTTTTCTAATGAAATCTTGTTTTAACCAATTATTGAGTGTATTTTTAATACTGAAGTCCAGTTTTTTAGAAAAACTATTATAATTTCATTATAGTCAATTAATCACATAACATTTTTATAAATTCCCTTTTTACTAACTGTATTATGACCTAGATCATTCACGACATGCTTGGACTTTCTGGTTTGTCCTACATATCCTTCTTTCTTAAACAACCCTGTCATTTTATTTTAGGAAAAAAATTCACCATAAAAGACTCTTTCTCACATATTTTTCTTTTAGCTTTCTTACCAAAAATACCTCTTTGATTATATAACTTCTTTCTTATTTGCTGGTTCCTCTTTATTTATACATAACCTTTAAAGCTTTGAATTAGACAAAAATTACCTTTTAATAAGAGCATACTTTTTTTTTTGAAACAATGTTTTCCTACAATATAATTTTTTAATTGGAAAATATCCAAACATTTAATGAAATATGTATTTAACTTTACATTCTAAATTATGACAAGTTTGTCTATAAGTATTTATTCCATTACATTTAACTAATTATTTTATTTTAATCGTTTACCTATTTATGAAAACTGCAAATAGTCGTCATTTAAAGTTATTTCCCTGTCAACCATTTTATAGTCTGTGAATTTCAGGTGTTTACCTAAGTAAGAAACTTAACATTAAATATATGTTTATTTTACCACATAATTCAAGATTTGGTTATTTTCACTAAACTAATATCAATGTCTTCTTTATCAAAAATTACACAGCACGGCTGGCACGGTGGCTCACACGTGTAAATCCTAGCACTTTGTGAGGCCGAGTTGGGTCGATCACTTGATGCCAGGAGTTTGAGACCAGCCTGGCCAACATGGTGAAACTCCGTCTCCACTAAAAATAAAAAAATTAGCCAGGCATGGTGGCACATGCCTGTAGTCCCAGCTACTCAAGAGGCTGAGGCAGAGAATCGCTTGAGCCTGGTAGGTAGAGGTTGCAGTGAGCCAAGTTCGTGCCACTGCACTCCAGCCAAGGTGACAAAGCAAGACTATGTTTCAAAAAAAAACAAAACAAAACAAACAAACAAAAAAAAAACACACAAGCAAAGATCATTCTGTTTTGGGCTGGGTTTATAGTTTAATAATGCTTATGCCAAATTTTGACACCTTATAGTATTTAGCAGGGATAAGTATGAAATCTCTTGATCAATAAATGCAAACAAAAATGTATGCTGACAATTCTTAAGACATTTCTCATATTACTTTACAAGTAATTTTAAAGCTAGATTAAAGATTTTACTGTCAGCCAGGCGTGGTGGCTAATGCCTGTAATCCCAGCACTTTGGGAGGCCGAGGTGGGTGGATCACGAGGTCAGGAGTTCAAGACCAGCCTGGCCAAGATGGTGAAACCCCGTCTCTACTAAAACTACAAAAATTATCCAGGCACAGTGGCAGGCACCTGTAATCCCAGCTACTAGAGAGGCTAAGGAAGGAGAATCGCTTGAACTCAGGCGACAGAGTTTGCAGTGAGCTGAGATCATGCCACTGCGCTCTAGCCTGGGCAACAGAGTGAGACTCTGTCTCAAAAAAAAAAAAAAGAAAAAGAAAAAGAAAAAAAGATTTTACTGTCACGTGAACTTGAAAAGCGTTTGGGCTTATTTATGAGTACTCTGTAAGTTTAAGCCACATTTGGTCCCTGTGGCCAAAACACATAACAAAATATGCATATGTACACATAAACACACACATACACCCTCACACAAAGATTCTATAGCTTTTACTTCAGAACTCTAGCCAGGAGATATTAATACAAACTCATTGGTTTGCAAAAACAATTAACAATAACAAAAACGAAATGGTTGAATACAAACAGTGGATTCTATCTCAGCAAAAAAGTAACAGCAGACTTAAAGCAGGCAGAAAAGAAAGAGATAGATAACTTAGGAACCTTATAGTTGCAGGTTGACCTTTGGGCTCTGAAATTTCCTTGATGTAATTGTGCACAAAAAGACCATAAAGACCATTTTACACAAACACTTGCAAGCAGAGGTGCCATAAAACCAACAGAGTGCCTGAAAGGGAGTCATTCTCCTTGTTTTTCCCATTCTTAGATTGTTTCCCACCTTTTTTTTTTTTTTTTTAAAGGCCTAGGGTTTAGTGGAATGGGTTGAAGTGTGCTGGTTATTGGCAGGACTCCATAGCGTGTTATCCACTGAGTCATTTTTGTCTCCAGAGGTCTAGCACCTCCAGGAGGGCTCAAAGCATGGAATGACCAGCTCCTATATTCATTTCTTGGACAAGCCTTTTAAAACTAATTTTGTTGGGGATTCCCTGTAGGGCTGCTGCACGTTGCTGGGGGTCAACCCACTAGACACTCCCACTTAGCCCCTAGTAATCCAGGGGAGCCTTTCAGCTGGGAGAAGCAAAATGCCCTTTAGGGAGCTGAGGAAACTCATTCTCTCATTTATCTATGAAAATGAGTTTCAGTTCCTCACGCAAATGCCCAGAGAAGCCAATCAAGATTAATTTTGAGAGGAAAGGCAATGGAGAAGACTCTGTAGAATGCACCTCTGAATTAGAATTAGGATCCTAAACAACTTCCTAGGTGGAAAAAACAAAACAGTGAAGACTGCTTCCTGTAAACTGTCCTCAGTCAGCTTTAACTTTGTAGCTCTCATCCGCCAGTACACACATCAAGGTAAAATCCTCTCACAGTACAAGGTAATCTCTGCTACTCACAAAAGCCAAAGAGGTGAGGTAATGTAATACAGGAAAGCAGAACTTTAGACCTAAGAAGAATCTGCCCATGACTCTTGAAACTCCACAAAGAAAACAGAACACCCCCAAATGGGGTGAGTGGTGCCTTTGTTCTGTGTTCTTTAAGGGGTTTGAGTCATCTCTAGATTTTTCTTCGTACTGAGTATGGCAAAGTGGGGAAGGAGGAATAGGGTAGAGAAAAGTAAATGAAAGAACAATTTTTTTTTAAAGACAGGAAGCAACCAGAAATTGATTTTTTTTTCTTTTGCAGCAGCAAGGAATTTTAGCTAATTCAGAGAGGCCTTGTTCCCTACAATTTGGAATTTTTATTCAGATTTGACTAAGTCAGGCAGAATTGGTCAAATCTGATGGGAGAAAGACCAGAACAAACAACAACAAAAACCCAACAATATGATTACTGAGCGCTATAACAGTAAGGAGAAACTACGACCAGCTGCATCATAACTTTAACCAAGATGAAACCCCAATTCAGTCACTTACCTAGGAATGGGTCTCAGGCTGAAGACTGCTCTCTACCATTCTAGAAGCAGGAAAACTCAAATTCGCCTTCTCTGTTGGAAGTGAGCTCTAACTCCAGAAAGGAGTTACCTGCCTTCTATTGTCATGGAAGCAGGAAAACTTGCTTTCCTTGTTGGAAGCAAGTAAAACTCTAGAAAAGGAGTTGTACAGCAAAATACACTTTGGATCTCAACCAAATTTGGGGAGATCAGGATTCTCTGGAGGGAGGAGGGCTCCCAGCTCTCAGCCAATTGTCCTGTTGGTTTCGACCATAAAGACAGCTAAAAGCTGGTACTAAATATCAATAGATTTGTCAGAGGTTGAGGCCACCTATACTCAGAGTCTCTTTCATCGGTTGCCAATTTGTAAACCAAAAAGTATTTGAGACAAGTCTGAATCAATTTAGAAAGTTTATTTTGCCGAGGTTAAAGACGTACCTGTGACACATCCTTAGAAGGTCCTGAGGACACATGCCCAAGGTGGTTAGGCTCCAGCTTGCTTTTATACATTTTATGGAGACATAATACATTATGGGGAAAACAAAGAGAGATCAGATTGTTACTGTGTCTATGGAGAAAAAGGAAGATATAAGAAACTCCATTTTGATCTGCACTAAGAAAAATTGTTCTGCTTTGAGATGCTGTTAATCTGTAACTCTTGTCCCAACCCTGTGCTCACAAAAACATGTGCTGTATTTTTCATGCGTGTCCGTGTGAAGAGACCACCAAACAGGCTTTGTGTGAGCAATAAAGCTTTTAATCACCTGGGTGCAGGCGGGCTGAGTCCGAAAAGAGAGTCAGTGAAGGGAGATAGGGGTGGGGCTGTTTTATAAGATTTGGGTAGGTAAAGGAAAATTACGGTCAAAGGGTGTTTGTTCTCTGGCGGGTAGGAGTGGGGGTCACGAGGTGCTCAGTAAGGAAGGTTTCTGAGCCAGGATGAGCCAGGAAAAGGACTTTCACAAGGTAATGTCATCACTTAAGGCAAGGACCGGCCATTTTCACTTCTTTTGTGGGGGAATGTCATCGGTTAAGGCAAGGACCGGCCATTTACACTTCTTTTGTGGTAGAATGTCATCAGTTAAGGCGGGGCAGGGCATTTTCACTTCTTTTGTGATTCTTCAGTTACTTTAGGCCATCTGGGCATATACGTGCAAGTCACAGGGGATGCGATGGCTTGGCTTGGGCTCAGAGGCCTGACAGTATTGACTGAGGTTTAAGGAATTCAGGGCTGTGCAGGATGTGCTTTGTTAAAAATGTGTTTGCAGGCAGTATGCTTTGTGAAAGTCATCGCCATTCTCCATTCTCTATTAACCAGAGACACAATGCACTGTGGAAGGCCGCAGGGACCCCTGCCCAAGAAAGCCTGGGTATTGTCCAGGTTTCTCCCCACTGAGACAGCCTAAGATATGGCCTCGTGGGAAGGGAAAGACCTTACAGCCCCTCAGCCCGACACCTGTAAAGGGTCAGTGCTGAGGAGGATTAGTGAAAGAGGAAGACTTCCATGCAGTTGAGATAAGAGGAAGGCATTTGTTTCCTGCATGTCTCTGGGAATGGAATGACTTGGTGTAAAACCGAGCGTACATTCTATTCTGAGATAGGAGAAAACCGCCTTATGGCTGGAGGTGAGACATCATGGTGGCAATACTGCTCTGTTACTTTTTACTGCACTGAAATGTTTATGTAAAGTTAAACATAAAACTAGCCTATGTGCACATCCAGGCACAACACCTTTCCTTATTTATGACACAGATTCCTTTGCTCAAATGTTTTTCTGCTGACCCTCTCCCCACCATCACCCTATAGTTACACCACATTCCCCTCACCAAGATAGTAAAGATAGTGATCAATAAATACTGAGGGAACTCAGAGACCAGCGCTGGTGCAGGTCCTAACTTGCTGAGCGCTGGTCCCCTGGGCCCACTTTTCGTCCTCTATACTTTGTCTCCGTGTCTTATTTCTTTTCTCAGTCTCTCGTCTCCACCTTGCGAGAAATACCCACAGGTGTGGAGGGGCAGGCCCCCTTCAATACATCCACCAATACATTAAGATTTACATTGGTTTGATCTGGAAGGGTGGGACAACTCAAAGAAGGAGGCTTCCAAGTCATAGGTACACTTAAACATATTCTGATTGGCAATTGGTTGAAAGAGTTTTTATCTATAGAAAAGAATGTCTGGGTGAAGACAAGGGGTTGCGGAGGTTTTATCATGCAGATGAAGCCTCCAAGTATCAGGCTTTAGAGAGAATAGACTGTAAATGTTTCTTAAGGTCTGTGATGATAGTAATGCTGGAAGGGTATAATGAAGCAAGTTCAACCCCCACCTGGCTTCAAGGCCTAAACCAGTCTTTTTTGGTTAAATTTTAGGGTGCCCTGGCTGAGGAGGGAATCCATTGGGATGGTTGCAGGGGTGCCTTTGAATTTTATTTTTGGTTTACAAAGCCAATACTATGACACCAGGTTTTTGAGAAAAGAAAAGCTTTTCATTGCAGGTTACTCAACAAGGAGACAGGAGTCCAGCTCAAATCTGTCTCCCTGTGCTGGCTTTAAGGCAGTACTTTTATTAGAAAAGGTTAAGGGGCTGATTCTGGGATTAGCAAGTAGTTGGTAGAAGGAAAGGGAACATCTGCGAAGTCCCTCAGGCGTGCACAGTTATCTCTCCATGCCTCCTCATGGATCCCATACACAAATTCAGGGGAAGTTAGTATGAAACAAGAGGAGTCAGTATGAAACATGTGGTAGAAATTTGGGTTGTGATATCAGCGAGTTCATTCTACATATATTCATTGGCCATATTAGTTTTAACCAATTTTAGCCAATTTCATTCTCTTAGAAGGGGAGGGAGTTTTATTTTAGCAAGTTGTTTCTTATCTGCCATCCTGCAAGCTCGAAGATTTCTGTTACTGCTTTCTTCAGCTCTTTGGGGCACAGTTTCAATGGGCAGAGAGTGTACCAGCTTTGGCCTTTTGTTTCTGGTTCCAGTGAACAGAAAGGCATCAAACCAAGGGACCACAGGAACTACGAGGTAAGCTACGAAAAGTACAGTTCTGCTCTTAAGCTCCTCCTACAAGATCCTGTCCAGAGACACAGGAGGAGGCAAAGATGCTGGTAAGCACTTTGTGCCATTCTGTGCTCCCTCCCACCAGCCCTCTTTCTGGCCAAGTTCTAGTCCCACCTGCTTTGTGCCTACTGGTAGTTCGTTTTCTGGTCTTTAGTGTCCTCATCGATAAAATAACGTAACATCTCTAATCATGTGCATTCACACAGTGAGGTAAATGATGTGAAAGGGCTTTGAACAATGTAGTAAGGAAAAGAGACTAGGATACTGACTTCCCATTTTCCCAATTCCTGCTTCAGAACTGCTCTCCTAGGCCCCAAGCCCCTGCCTCTGTTAGCCCCTTGATCAATCTTTGCCTATGGAGGGGCAAAACTACATGGTATCCCAAGAACAAGGACCAATAATTACAGATCCATTTATTTTCTTTGCTACTTCCCATGACCACTCTTAAACTGAGAAACTGGGACCATTTCCCTGATTGATGGGGCCTCCTCACTAGAATAAAAGGGAGCATGTATGTTTCATAATGGGCATTCCATCAAGAAATGTCCTAAGGAGATAAATGTATGTTTCATAATAGGCATTCTGTGATGGAATGTCCTGAGGAGATAAATGCTGGAGTCGGTCTCAGCACATCTCAGTTATTCATTCTGACTCGTTTGGACAAGTGAGTTACTACAGCACTCATTTGGAAAAATGACCAGAAAGCTACCTCCAATTTCTCGGCCTCAACCCTGGCCTCCATTTCTTTCTGTTCCTTCTGGCTCTCGTCTTCCAGCCCTTCTTCCTCCCCTTACTCCTCAAACTTCCTGCCCTCAGCCTCCTCTCCAGGACCGTCCAAGCTGTTCAGTTTTCCAGCGTACCTGTTTCCCCCAGCTGACTAATGTCGCCCCTTCCCAGCACCCTACCTCCCGGAACTCCCTGCCCAGCTCTTCCTCTGTTAATTCCAGAGCGTCCGTATGCCACCGCCCTGCTCGTCAGGCACCCCTTTCCAAGTGTCCTCCTATCTTTCCCCCTCGCCCTCCTCATAGACCCTCTTGCTAGTCCCCTGTACTCTAATCCCCACAACCTAGTACACCCCTGCATCTTATCCTAGAGAGATGGCTTCCCTCCTACTGGGGCAGTTCAGAATTTCCAGGACTGTGGACTCCCACAACCAGACCTGATGGCTCACAAATCTCACCCTGGAGAGATTGCTTTCCTCATACTGGGGCAGTTCAGAAGTGCCAGGACTGTGGATTCCCACAAGCAGACCTGACGGCTCACAAATCTTACCCTGGGGAGATGGTTTCCCTCATACTGGGGCAGTTCAGAATTGCCAGGACTGTGGATTCTCCCAAAGAGACTTGATGGCTCATGAATCTCACCCTGGAGAGATGGCTTCCCTCATACTGGGGCAGTTCAGAAGTGCCAGGACTGTGGACTCCTACAACCAGACCTGACGGCTCACAAATCTTACCCTGGGGAGATGGTTTCCCTCATACTGGGGCAGTTCAGAAGTGCCAGGACTGTGGACTCCCACAACCAGACCTGACGGCTCACAAATCTTACCCTGGGGAGATGGTTTCCCTCATACCGGGGCAGTTCAGAAGTGCCAGGATTGTGGACTCCCACAACCAGACCTGACGGCTCACAAATCTTACCCTGGAGAGATGGCTTCCCTCATACTGGGGCAGTTCAGAAGTGCCAGGACTGTGGATTCTCCCAACGAGACCTGATGGCTCATGAATCTCACCCTGGAGAGACGGCTTCCCTCATACTGGGGCAGTTCAGAAGTGCCAGGACTGTGGACTCCTACACCCAGACCTGACGGCTCACAAATCTTACCCTGGGGAGATGGTTTCCCTCATACTGGGGCAGTTCAGAAGTGCCAGGACTGTAGACTCCCACAACCAGACCTGACGGCTCACAAATCTTACCCTGGGGAGATGGTTTCCCTCATAATGGGGCAGTTCAGAAGTGCCAGGACTGTGGACTCCTACAACCAGACCTGACGGCTCACAAATCTTACCCTGGAGAGATGGCTTCCCTCATACTGGGGCAGTTCAGAAGTGCCAGGACTGTGGATTCTCCCAACGAGACCTGATGGCTCATGAATCTCACCCTGGAGAGATGGCTTCCCTCATACTGGGGCAGTTCAGAAGTGCCAGGACTGTGGACTCCCACAGCCAGACATGACGGCTCACAAATCTTACCCTGGGGAGATGGTTTCCCTCATACTGGGGCAGTTCAGAATTGCCAGGACTGTGCATTCTCTCAGCCAGACCTGACAGCTCACAAATCTCACCTTGGAGAGATGGCTTTCCTCCTACTGGGGCAGTTCAGAAGTGTCAGGACTGTGGACTCCCACAGCCAGACCTGACGGCTCACGTATCTCACCCTGGAGAGATGGGCTCGCTCCTACTGGGGCAGTTCAGAAGTGCCAGGACTGTGGACTCCCACCACCAGACCTGATGGCTCACCTATCTCACCCTAGAGAGATGGCTTCCCTCCTCCTGGGGCAGTTCAGAATTGCCAGGACTGTGGATTCCCAGAAGGCTGATTTAATGGACGTAGAAAATGTAAGATGGTAAACCAACATTCAGCCTCAGTAAGTTACAAGGACCCCTTTTCCATGATCAGATTCCTTGTTATCTTATTACTAACTGTATTTTGCCTTAATCCTCATTTTGTTAACCCTCTTCAGATTCTAGAGATTACCTTTTTCTAGACAGTCTTTTTTTCTTTTTGAGACAGTCTCACTCTGTTGCCCAGGCTGGAGTACAGTGGTGTGATCTTGGTTCACTGCAACCTCCACCTCTCAGTTCAAGTGATTCTCCCACTTCAGCCTCCCGAGTAGCTGGGATTACAGGCGCCCGCCACCACGCCTGGCTAATTTTTTGTATTTTTAGTAGAGATGGGGTTTCATTATGTTGGCCAAGCTGGTCTCAAACTCCTGACCTCAAGTGATCCGCCCGCCCGGCCAAGACAGTCTGTTCCTTTCCTCTCCTGTCTAGTCAGCTAGGATATACAAGCCTCTACCTTTGGAACTGGTTTCTCAATGGAACTTGGTCTGAAACCACAAAGCAAACTATAGGACTGATGACAGAGAAAGAGGAGAGTGAGGAGTAAAAAGCGTTAATCTGTTTTCAAGTAGGGTAAGTTGTGTTGATGTGCCCTAGGTTCAAGTCAATGCAAGAACAGGTGACCCCTGAGAACTCACACACAGGGTACAAGGCCCCTGCTATATAGATACAGGGTACAGAGTTTTGTTTTTTATTGTGTTTTTTTGGGTCTGGTTCCTCCCAGACTTCATTTTTCTTCATCCTAGAATTCCAGAATCTTGCCAGGGACTTTCTGCCCTTAAGGAAAGTCTCCTGCAAAAAGAGGGAGGGGGCCCTCCAGGGCTCTCATCAAAGCTGAGGGTTGAGCCTCCCTCTCAGTTAGCTGCTTCCACGCCAGAAAGGGAAAGGTAGCAGAGTCTGGAAGGCACAGCATGTCCAGATCCTACCCAGATGAGAGCATCTGATGAACAGATAATATAAAAAGAAGTGCTGTCCTCAAACTGATCCTTAGATTCAATACAATCTCAATCAAAACTCCAAAAGATATTTTTGCAGAACCTGGCAAGCTGATTATAATTTATATGGAAATGTAAAGGGTCAAGAGTAGCCAAGACTCTCCTAAGAAGAAATTCTTCTTTACCAGGTATCAAAACTTATTACAAAAATTATAATAAGATAGTGTAATACTGGTGCAAGCATAGAAAAATAGACAAATGTCACAGAATACAGGAACAAGACACACATATGTGGACACTTTAATACCAAAGTAGCATAACAGAACAGTGAAGATAGGACTGTCTTTATATTCAATAAAGTGGTCTTAAGGCAACTGGATGCCCAAATGAGTAAGTAATGATTTCTACCTCACAATTCATTCAAAAAATCATTTTCAGGTGGAACATAAGATATAATGTGAAAGGGTAAAAACAATAAATCTTCTAGAACTGCTCTGCCCATGTATGGATACTGAACATTCGAGATGTGCTATTAAGTAAAATTTGCATTTGATTTTAATTACTTAGTAGGAAAAAACAATGTGAAATATCTCAATTTTTATATTGAAACTTTGAAATACTAATTTGGAGTGAGTTAAAAAACACAATATTAAAATTAGTTTTATCTGATTATTTTGCTCTCTTAATGTGGATACTACAAATTTTAAATTATGTATGCAGCTCACTTAGTATTTTTATTAGACAACACTGATCTAGAAGGTAATACAGAAAAATATCTTCAGGACATCAAATTAGTAAAAATGTCTTAAATGGCATTTAAAAAGCACTAACCACAATGGGAAAGACTAATATAGTTGACCACATTTCAATTATGGTGTAAAAAAGACACCATTAAGATACTGAAAAGGCAAGCAACAGAGAGGGAAAAGAATTTGCAGCACATATAAGTCTTAAATGGCTTTTTTCAATAATATAAAAAGAACTTCAACAAATAAAGAAAAGACAATCCAATTGAAAAACAGGATAAGATTTGGAGCATGTGCGTCACAAAAAGAGGATAGCCCAATGACCAGCAGACCTATAAAAAAGTGTCCAGCCTCATAACAAATCAAAAAATGTGATGTAAAACAATAATGAGATGACACTACATACCCCACCAGAATTACTGTAATTAAAAGGATGGACAATGCCCAGTGTTGGCAAGGAGCATGAAGAACACCAGTGATAAAGTTAATTGGTTCCACTGTTTCGGAAAACAATTTGATATCTACTAAAAGCGAAGACAGGTATTCCCTATAATCCATCAATTCCACTCTTAAGTATATATCCAACAAAATGATTTGCACACGTGCACCAAGAGACATCTAAAAAATGCTCATGATGGCATTATTTGTAATGCCCATGATGAAACAACCGAATGCCTGTCAACAGTTGAATAAATAAATTGTGGTTTATCACCAAAGGGAACACTACACAGTTATGAGAAGAAATGAAACCACAGGAATATGCAACGGCATAGATGAATTCCACAAGCATAATGCTGAACAAAAGAAGCCGAACACAAAAGCACACATAATATATGATTATATTTCCATAAAGTGAAGAAACAGAGTAATCTATGGTGTTACAAGTGGAGAGGGTGGTTAGCGTTGAGGAAAAAGAAAAGTAGGAAAGGACACAAGAGTCGCTTCTGGGGTGCTGTCAATATTAATATTTCTAGACTTGTGAGGTAATTACACACAATTGTGATCAATCAGTGTGATCTATATATTGGGAAGGGAAGCACTTTTCTGTGTATGTATGATGTTTCACATTAAACATTTTCTTTTAAAGAATGTGCCTATCAAGAAGGCCTAACTTTGAAAAGTGAATTCTGACAAGTTGTGATTCTGGGTGGGAGGGACAAGGATATACATAAAAACCCCAGGAGCTTTCCCCTTCTACCTTCCCTTCCCATTTGCCAACTGTAGAGGACCATATAGCTTTACCCTATTATTTATTAATATTGTGAAAGGATATTTTCAAATATGAAACCAACCTGTGACAAACCCCATTTGGTTATGATGTATTATTCCTTTTATATATTACTGGATTTTTTTTGCAACTATCTAGTTAAGGATTTTTGCATCAATGTTCATGAGGGATATTGATCTTTGTTTTTTTCTTATAATAATTTGTCTGGCTTTGGTATTAATGTAATGCTGGCCTCATAAAATAAGTTGAGAAATGTTCCCTCCTCTTCTGTTTTCCGACAGAGTTTGTGAAGGATTGGTATTTTCTTCATTACAATAGTCCCCCTGACCTGCAGTTTCACTTTCTTTTTTTTTTTTTAAATAGAGACAGGGTCTATGTTGTCCAGGCTGGTCTCAAACTTGTGGCCTCAGGTAATCCTCCCGTTTGGCCTCCCGAAGTGCTGGGATTACAGGTGTGAGCCACTGCACCTTGCCCAGTTTCATTTTCAATGGCTCCAGTTAGTCATGGTCAACCACATTCTGAAAATTTTAAATGGAAAGTTTCAGTAATAAACAATTCATAAGTCTTAAATTGTGTGCCATTCTGAGGAGCATGATGAAATCTTACACTGTCCCTCTCCATTCCACTTGACTTGTGAATCATCCCATCAACCAGCTTATCCTCGCTGTACAGGCTACCCTCTCATTAGTCACTGAACAGCCATCTTAGTTATCGGATTGACTGCAGCAGTATCAAGATGCTTGTGTTTGAGTAATTCTTATTTTACTTAATAATGACCCCAAAGCCCAAGAGTAGTGATGTTGGCATACTGTTATAAATATTCTATTTTACTACTAGTTATTTTTGTTAATCTCTTATGACTGATTTCTAAATGTTTAAAAAAATTTGTTTAAAAAGTTTAAAATTTTTAAAATTAAAAAGTCGAAACATTTTAAATTAAAAATTAAAAAAATTTTTTTGTTAATCTCTTGTGCCTAGCTTATAAACTAAACTTTATCATATGTATGTACAGGAAAAAAATTAGAAAAATATACATCTTCATAGAATTACAATAATGAACTGCATGGTGACCCTCATGGATAGTTTTTAAAAATAGTTCATAACAAGCAGAGATTATGTTTAGGGCACACTTTACGGACTTAGAATCTTTGCTGTTGCTTACAAAGAGTGAAGAAAATGACTCTACTTAATAGAAATTTATGCTCTCAGTACATAAATATATATATGAGCATCCAAGAGAGGTCTGGGTTCCTATATTAAGTAGTGGCTTTTATTTCTCTAAGACACAATGTTTGCTTAGAACAGTATGTGGAAAATAGAATATAAAAAAACAGCAGAGCTATTGTTTGAGTTACTCTTTTTTTTCTAAATTACATACTTGTAAGTCTCAAAATTAAAGAACGCAAGTGGAGAACTGTCACTATATCTCCTACCTCTGTACTAGTATAAGCAATTTAAAGAAAGAAAATCATATTAATTAAATGGCAATTTTGAAAAGCCTCTTTCAAAAGTACTAAAGAATGTAGGGTTTTGTGATTTGCTACAAAGTAGAAGGGTTTCTTTCTTTCTTTTTTTTTTTTGAGACGGAGTTTTGCTCTTGTTGCCTAGGCTGGAGTATAGTGGCGTGATCTCAGCTCACTGCAACCTCCGCCTTCCGGTTTCAAGTGATTCTTGTGCCTCAGCCTCCCGAGTAGCTGGGATTACAGACACCTGCTACATGCCTGGCTAATTTTGGTATTTTTAGTAGAGATGGGGTTTCACCATGTTGGCCAGGCTGGTCTCAAACTCCTGACCTTGTGATCTGCCCGCCTTGGCCTCCCAAAGTGCTGGGATTACAGGCGTAAGCCACCACGCCCAGCCGAAGCGTTTATTTTCTAAAACTTTTAAATTAGATTTGATATATATTACGAAGTATAAAATAAAAAGATCAGGCCGGGTGCAGTGATTCACACCTGTAATCCCAGCACTTTGGGAAGCCAAGGTTGGCAGATCACTTGAGGTCAGGAGTTCGAGACCAGCCTGGCCAACATGGTGAAACCCTGTTCCTACTAAAAATACAAAAATTAGCGGGGCATGGTGGCATACTCTTGTAATCCCAGCTACATGGGAGGCTAAGGCAGGAGAATCGCTTGTACCCAGGAGGTGGAGGTTGCAGCGAGCTGAGATCATGCCACCGCACTCCAGCCTGGGTGACAGAGCGAGACTCCGTCTCAAAAAAATAAATAAAATAAAATAAAAAATCTTAGTGTACAGAGTTCATAGGTTTTGAGGATCCACACATTCATGGGCAAATACCTCATCAATGCACAGATTTTTCACCATCCCAGAAAGTTCCTCTATTCAGATTGCTATCATTAAATATTACTTCTGCCTGTCCTGGAATGTCCTGGGCATGTTTCTGAATGTAGCCTCTGATGACAGGTATTCAGCAAATGTTTGCTAATTTCATCTTAGAATCATAGAAGTGGAAATAATCTTAGCAGTCACCTACTTTAAAACTCTCATTTTATAGATGAAGAAACTGAAGTCCATAAACATTAGGCAACTTGCCCCAGCTTACACACCTAATGACAATTAGGTCCAAACTTACATCTTGATTCTCATATGGTAAAAGAGATAAGAGAGAATTTATCAGAGCTGTAAGTATAAAAAAAAGAAATATTGTATATAAAGATCCTCTGCTAGAGGATAAGACAACGATTTGTACAAAACATAAGGTGTAATGATAAAGACTGGTTTTCTGAATGAGATGATATAAATGGAACATTATCTCCAGGTTCCTGAAAATATATACAAAGATGTCATCAAAGCTATAAAAACCATTTTTCTTACAGGAAAAAAATTAGAACTTTCCCAACAAATGATCAAATCAATTGATTTATTAAATTAAATCAATGTATTTAATTGAAATGTTAATGAACTTTATCCTGGCAATCTTTTATACATCAATTCATGTTTAACATTTCAATTTTCTTCATTTCAATATTGAAATTTCATGAGGCAATAAAGATATTATAATTTCTGGGAGTGCATCACACCCACCAAAGGGAGCCTAACACATTCCTAATACCGTCAGTGAAGGCCACGGGGCAGACGTGGGTTTCATTAAGAATCTTGCAAAGGCCAGGTGCGGTGGCTTACGCCTGTAATCCCAGCACTTTGGGAGGCTGAGGCAGGCAGATCATCTGAGCTCAGGAGTTTGAGACCTGCCTGGCCAACAGGGTGAAACCCTGACTCTACTAAAAATACAAAACATAGCCGGGTGTGGTGGTGCACACCTGTAATCCCAGCTACTCGGGAGGCTGAGGCAGGAGAATTGCTTGTACCCCGGAGGTGGAGGATGCAGTGAACGAAGATCATTTTACTGCACTCCAGCCTGGGTGGCAGAGTGAGACTCCGTCTCGAAACAAAAAAAAAAAGAACCTTGTAGCCATGTGCACATATATGAACACTCAGCATACCCTGTGACAATGAGCACAGTGATGTGATGAAAGGCACAAGTGCAGAGTGCCATATTTCAAATCTAGTTTTTTTTTTTTTTTTCCCTTGAGACGGAGTCTTGCTCTGTCCCAGGCTGGAGTGCAATGGCAAGATCTCAGCTCACTGCAACCTCTGCCTCCCAGGTTCAAGCGATTCTCCTGCCTCAGCCTCCCGAGTAGCTGGGACTACAGGCACGTGCCACCAAGCCCGGCTAATTTGTGTGTGTGTGTGTGTGTGTGTGTGTGTGTGTATATATATATATCTCTCTATATCTATATCTATATATATAGATATATATATATATCTTTTAGTAGAGATGGGGGTTTCACCATGTTGGCCAGGCTGGGCTCGAACTCCGGGCCTCAAGTGATCCACCTGCCTCGGCCTCCCAAAGTGCTGGGATTTACAGTTGTGAGCCACCGCACCTGGCCCATATTTGAAATCTAAATGAACACCCAGAGTTTATTCAGAAGTCACACTTCTGACAACTTAATTACCTACAAAACTGCCAAGAACCAGAAACAAATGAAAAAAACATCTATCAGCAAAACCAGTTATTATAAAGCTCTTGACAGTATACCAAGAAGGCTTTAGGTTTCCTTTCAAAACCCATGACTGAGTCATTTTATTTCACACAACAGATTCAGTAGATGTGGTCTCCCAATCAATGGAAGAAAAGCATCAAATAAAGGGAAGCGGAAAACACCACCATCACTATGGATAGTATTGACATTGGGAAATAATTACTAACATATCTGTCACCTCTCTGTCTGGCCGGCTAGGGCCCAACAAAGTCAGAGCCACGTGCAAATCACTCTATGTTAAACGGAGAATGCCACAGTATGAGTGACATTTGCTCTGAAGAGAGTCACCCAGAGTAACTTAAATTGTGTTCAGTAAGTTCTGTTTCAAAATCCATTTTAATACAAACTTCACCAAAAAAATGGCTACAATGAAGTCTCTATACTTATGAGAAAAGGTGCAAAAAGCCACAAGGATGTTCTTTGCAGCGCTATTCAAAATAGTGAAAAATTAGAATGCCACCTAAGTATCTAAAAAGGAGATCAGTTAAATAAAAGTATTTCTACAAAATACTATTTAGCAATTTTAAAATATAATTCAATTATTTACTAATACAGAAAAATATTAATGGTATATTTCACATGAAAAAGGTAGGCCATGAAACATGATTATGGTTTGATACCTTTTCTTTCTTTTTTTTTTTTTTTTTGAGAAAGGGTTTTACTCTCTCACCCAGGCTGGAGTGCAGTGGTGCCATCTCGGCTCACTGCAGCTTCGACCTGCTGGGCTCAAGTGATACTCCTGCTTCACTTTTTTGTGACCAGTGCACTCACACCAGCCTCCCAAGTAGCTGGGACTACAGGCATGCACCTCCAAACCTGGCTAATTTTTTTACTTTTTGGCAAAGATGAGGTCTCCCTATGTTGCCCAGGCTGGTCTCGAACTCCTGGGCTCAAGCGATCTTCCCATCTTGGCCTCCCAAAGTGCTGGGATTACAGACATGAGCCACTGTGCCTGGCCAGTACATATTTTTTTTTTATCATAAATGTTATTTTCAAAAATACTGAAATATGATTTAAAAACTGCCAAAAATATCAGCTTAGATAATATCCTCTAAAAATATCCTAGGGAGAACCTGAGTTCTTAATCCATATAAAAAAGGAGCAGTCTTAAAATTAAGTAGGTAAGTAGGCTCTTCTCCCTATGTGTCTGCATCTTTCTGTTGTCCATCCCTAGTAGATTAGGGCCCTTCTGCAGTCTTCCCTTTAGCAAAAATCTACATTCAGCAAAGGATCTGAATCATATCAATGACATGAAGTAGATGATTACTCATGGTGTATAAGTATTTTACTAGGGATCAAAGGCTTAAGCCAAAGAAAGAAATTAGGCACATTCTTGCTAGCTGGGAGGACCCATAAGAGAACAAAGGAATCTTCCTGATATTTCAAAGTTCTAGTACACAAGTTGACACCCACTCCGCTTAGCCACAATGCCAAAGCCTGAATGAAAACTATTCCATTGTTCTGTCAATGCTGCAGCCCTGCTAAGTCAGAGATTTTCATAATTTCAGCATATACAAAAAGCATGGCCAAAATCAGGAAAAACCATCTACCAAAATATTAAAGTTGAAGAAATAAAAGTGCAGTGAAGGGCCAGAAAATGCAATCTTGTTTCAGAACAAAGTTTCTGTAAAACTAGCAGCTAAAAAGAATCTTAAAAGGTTATTCTTCCCTAACTGCTAACCCTTCAGTTTTCTTCTTTCTTGTTCCAAAGAACTACTTATTGCAACAAGAATCAAACAAACCCTCCCAAATGTTTCATTATTGTCACCACAGGATTTCATTAATAGCAGTTGCCAAAAAAGGCTTGTCAGTGAGTCATCTGTCACCAAAACCTGAATCACTCAGGGCTTGAGTATAGTTGTAGCACTCCAACATAAACAATCCCCCTAATATCAACCCATTTCTAAATTTGCAATGCAACATTCTGCTACCCCATGGAGACTTTCTTGTGACCAGTCCACTCACACCAACAGGAAAATCTGCCATTTTCTTCACTGCTGCTGGTTGCTTTACTCACTGGTGGAACTAGTGTTAAGATTAGTTCTAGCTCTTTTATACTTCTGCTTTTTAGACATATAGACCAACGGGACAGAACAGAGGTCTCACAAATAACACCACACATCTACAGCCATCTGCTCTTTGACAAACCTGACAAAATAAGCAATGGGGAAAAGATTCCCTATTTAATAACTGGTGCTGGGAAAACAGGCAAGCCATATGCAGAAAACTGAAACTAGACCCCTTCCTTACACCTTATACAAAAATTAACAGAGGATGGATTAAAGACTTAAACTAACACCTAAAACCATAAAAACCCCAGAAGAAAACCTAGGCAATACCATTCAGGATATAGGCATGGCAAAGACTTCGTAACTAAAACACCAAAAGCAATTGCAACAAAAGACAAAATTGACAAATGGGATCTAATTAAACTAAAGAGCTTAAATTAAAAAAAAACTAAAGAGCTCTAATTAAACCAAAGAAACTAGCATTAGAGTGAACAGGCAACCTATGGAATGAGAGAAAATTTTTGCAATCTACCCATCTGACAAAGGCCTAATATCCAGACTCTACAAGGAACTTAAACAAATTTATAAGAAAAAAAACAACCCCATCAAAAAGTGGGCGAAGGATATGAACAGACACTTCTCAAAAGATATCTGTGCAGCCAATAAACATATGAAAAAAAGCTCATCATCATTGGTCATTAGAGAAATGCAAATCAAAACCATGAGATACCATCTCATGCCAGTTAGAATGGTGATCATTAAAATGTCAGGAAACAACAGATGCTGGAGAGGATGTGAAATAGGAATGCTTTTACACTATTGATGGAAGTGTAAATTAGTTCAATCATTGTGGAAGACAGTGTGGTGATTCCTCAAGGATCTAGAACCAGAAATACCATTTGACCCAGCAACCCCACTACTGGGTATATACCCGAAGGATTATACATCATTCTACTATAAAGACACACACAGACACGTTTATTGCAGCACTATTCACAATAGCAAAGACTTGGAACCAACCCAAATGCCCATCAATGATAGACTGGATAAAGAAAATGTGGTACATACACACCATGGAATACTATGCAGCCATGAAAAAGAATGAGTTCATGTCCTTTGCAGAGATATGGATGAAGCTGGAAACCATCATTCTCAGCAAACTAACACAGGAACACAAAACCAAACACCACATGTTCTCACTCATAAGTGGGAGTTGAACAATGAGAACACATGGACACAGGGAGGGGAACATCACAGACTGGTGCCTGTTGGGGGATGGGAGGCAAGGGGAGGGAAAGCATTAGGACAAATACCTAATGCATATGGGGCTTAAAATCTAGATGACTGGTTGATGGATGCAGCAAACCACCATGGCACATGTATACCTATATAACAAACCCGAATGTTTCGCACATGTATCCCAGAACTTAAAGTATAATTAAAAAAAAAAATTGTTATTCTGCCTTTTTTGTATTAGAAATACAGTTTGGTAAATCCAGTTTACTTAAGACTTAAAACTGCTAGCTATGTATACAAAACAATAAACTATCAGAAAAGTGGCCAAAAATTAAGTAATTATTTCAACTTTTTATGACATCACTTTGGAAAATAACCTATTCCCTTTTAACTTGAGTAGTTAAAAAAGTTCTAACCTGTTTATGAAAAAAAAAAACAGAGTTAATGTGATATATATTTGATGCTACTTAGCAAAAAATTTTGGTAGTCCGACAAGTATAATTTATATATTGGAACAAACAAAACTCTGGAATACACAATCTATAACAAGCCAATTTACTACAGAGAAGGTATCCATAAATTATTTCATGCCAAAGGGTCTAATGTCAGATAAATTTTTGTTTTGTTTCGTTTTGAGACAGGGACTCATTGTCGCCCAGGCTGGAGTGCAGTAGGCAGATCTTCGCTCACTGTAACCTCCGCCTCCCAGATTCAAGCAAATCTCCTGCCTCAGCCTCCCAAGTAGCTGGGATCACAGGCATGTGCCACCACGCGCAGCTAATTTTGTATTTTTAGTAGAGGCGGGGTTTCACCGTGTTGTCCAGGCTGGTTTCGAACTCCTCACCTCAGGTGATCCACCCGCCTCGGCCTCCCAAAGTGTTAGGATTACAGGCATGAGCTACTGCACCCGGCCACACTTAGTATCCCTTGTTAAATGTTAAATTATCCCTTGTTAATTATTATCCCTTGTTAAATATTAAATTTTAAACAATTCAGTAAAAAGTTGAAATGAGTAAATATTTTGAAACAACTTTAAATGTTATGGTAGAACTCAAAAAAATCACTTAAAATGTTCTAAATGTTAAGTATATCAGTAAACTAGAAAAATGACATCTAGAAGCTAACACGCTATCTACAGAAGAATTTACTTCCACAAGTTACCCAAATAAAAGTGAAAAAAAAAAAAAGATCAAGTGATAAAGTTAATAGATGTTCATTTAAATTCAAATGAAGGAATTTTTCATTTAAAATACATCTGGCCTGATGCCTGTAATCCCAGTACTTTGGGAGGCCAAGGCGGGTGGATCACTTGAGGTCAGGAGTTCTAGACCAGCCTGACCAACATGGTGAAACCCCGTCTCTACCAAAAATATAAAAAATTAGCCAGGTACGGTGGTGCATGCCTGTAATCCCAGCTACTTGGGAGGCTGAGGCAGGAGAATCACTTGAACCCAGGAGGTGAAAGTTGCAGTGAGTGGAGATCGCGCCACTGCACTGAACTCCAGCCTGGGTGACAGAACAAGACTCCGTCTCAAAAAAAAAAAAAAAAAAAAAAAATCTGAGGACTTCAAAGGTGGAAAAAGTGCTAGAAACAAAATGAACTAACATTTTCCACAAGCCTAGTTTTGGGTCTTCAACACAGCAGTATTAGAAGATGGCTTTTACTTTGAGGTCCATGTCAAATGACAAAGTTATCATGCTTAACCAAGCGGACTGCTGAAAGGCATCACTTTTAAAACAAAGGTTTTACTTCAGTCACTTCTATTTAAAAGTTACAAATTACGACCAAGTATAGGAATCTTCCCTATGCACAATCTCAGCGCACATTTAGAACTAATGGTCATGACTGGGCGTGGTGGCTCACGCCTGTAATCCCAGCACTTTGGGAGGCCGAGGCGGGCGGATCACGAGGTAAGGAGATCGAGACCATCCTGGCTAACATTGTGAAACCCCGTCTCTACTAAAAATACAAAAAATTAGCCGGGCGCGGTGGCGGGCGCCTGTAGTCCCAGCTACTCGGGAGGCTGAGGCAGGAGAATGGTGTGAACCCAGGAGGCAGAGCTTGTAGTGAGCCGAGCTCCACTGCACTCCAGCCTGGGTGAGAGAGTGAGATTCCATCTGAAGAAAAAAAAAAAAAAAAAGAACTAATGGTCAACATGACCCACGGCAATTTTGAATACTTGGAAGAGCAGTCTAAGTACCCTCACACAAGTTAAAACCGTGTTAAGTCAGAGTCACAACTCAATGAGCCATGCACCTTTAATTTACACCTGGAAGTAAAATAGTTAAAGTGGAGAATTAGGTAGCTGATTAATCTATCCTGGGGCAAATCTTACATACTTTAATTAAAGCCTCTGAAAACACCTGATGTACAGGTTATAAAGAACAGATTCTAGACCAGTCATTCTAAGACTTATGCATGTAACACACACTTTCCAAAACTTTTTTTTTCGCTCTTGTTGCCCAGGCTGGAGTGCAATGGCGTGATCTCGGCTCACAGCAACCTCTGCCTCCCGGCTTCAAGCAATTCTCGTGCCTCAGCCTCCCAAGTAGCTGGGATCACAGGCATGTGCCACCACGCGCAGCTAATTTTGTATTTTTAGTAGAGGCGGGGTTTCACCGTGTTGTCCAGGCTGGTTTCGAACTCCTCACCTCAGGTGATCCACCCGCCTCGGCCTCCCAAAGTGCTGGGATTGAGACAGGGTCTTGCTCTCTCACCCAGGCTGGAGTGCAGTGGTGGGATCAAGGGTCACTGTAGCCTCAGCCTCCTGGGCTCAAGCGATGTTCCCACCTTAGCCTACCGAGTAGCTGGGACTACAAGTGCGCTATCACATGCAACTAATTTTTTAATTTTTTTGTGGAGACAGTGTTTCCCTTTGTTATCTAAGCTGGTCTCAAACTCCTGGGCTCAAGTGAGCCTTTCATATCAGTCTCTAAAAGTGCTGGCATTCCAGGTGTGAGGATATATTTCAAAATTACGCACAAACACGATTTTTTCACTCCCATCACTTTTCTCTTATTCCCTAGAGAACTTAATTTTTGCCAATAAGTCTTCTAAAATGTTACATTTCCTGTGGAATGCAAGAAACTAAATGCTTCATTAGCTAGTGGTGGCAATTACTATTTTTAATACTTCAAAAAAGCATTTCAATTTACTGTTCACTAGCACATTATGACATCATTCCCTTCCAGTGTTTGCTTGCTCATTAAATAATCCTGTTTCTATTTTGTTCTCTTGCCTTCAATACATAGATTGCAAATATTCCATTTCAGATGCTGCATTAATGATTCAGTGAGGCTGCTGAAAAACGCCTTTATATTTGAACGGTTTGGTAATACACTTTCTCTTATTGCGGTTGATATGGAGAGATTAATCTCTCACCAAAAGGCAAAATCTGGAGAAGATGAAATAGCAAAACTAAGGACCAATGGGAAGGGGGAGGCAAAGTCAATCGACAACCGTACCTAACAGGAGAGATTCCAAGGCTTCCATCAGATAAACAAAGGAAGCTGATTTTTCTACGGAGGCTGCATGTGCTGCAAGCTACCTGAAGCATTAGTATGCAAGCCCACTGAGCCTATTACCTTGAAAGCAGAGTCCAAGCACTGAATTTTTCTAGACTCCCATTATAGGTGGACACCCAGAAAGCCAGTGGAGACAATGATGGACGGGGAAGAGAGTGGGGCCGGTCTTCGATGCTTTCCTCCCACTCCACCAAAGCAGAAGTTAAAAACCTACAACCTACACGTATCAACCAGCTCCTCCGCTGCTCAACCATTTTTCAGGGGCAGAAGGAAGAGGTTGTGGGGGCTGGGCTTCATGTGGGGCGGGTGGGAGGAGCTGCAAAAGGAGTCAGGTTGAGAGGCGAAGGGTCGCAGGCGCTGTGGGGAGGACTGCACGACGCGAGCTGAGCACACAGAAGCAGGGCAGGGGGGCCCCGGAAGGGGCGAACGCCCGAACGGCTGGGGGCGGGGGCGGGCCCTTTCCTCACCTGGCAGCCCTTCTTGTGGTGAAATCCGACCACCACGATGTGCAGTACGGGCCCCCGGGGGACGCCATCCCCGCCTCTCCTGGCCTTCTCCATGGGCGGCCGCCGCGGGCCCGCACGACGACTTCGACCGCCAAGGGCAGCGGGTCTGACGACCCCACCGTGTGCGGAAAGCCGCGGACTTCGGGTGTCAGCGAGCACAGCACATGAGGGCCGCACAGGGAGATCGGTGGAGGCAAAGCAGCTCCCGCCGCCCCCAGGGCCACGGCCGCCCTTCCCTCATCCGCTTCCGCAGCTTCCGGGCTGTCACCTGACACGGCGGCCGCCGCCGGCGAGGCAGGGCTGGGCAAGGCCGGGAGGGCCCTGACGGGGCGGGGTCTGAGAGGCCGAGGTGGAGCCTGGGGGAGCGGGGTGGGTCTAGGAGAGGAGAGATCGACTCTGTGGGGCGGGGAGGAGCGGGGGGAGGAGCGGGGGGAGGGCGGGTCCGGGTGGGACTTGACGAGGAGCGGCGGGGTGGGGCTTACGTGACCCGGGCGGCTGGGCTTGCAGAGCCTGTGGTGTCCGCGGGACCTGGAGGTGCGGCGTGGCACACCTGCTTTTTCCTCCCTGGATTCAATCTCAAAGCACTTCCTTCTCTTTTGCCTTCTCTTTTTCCTCAAAGTTTTCCCACTTCCCTCTTCTCTTCTGTTTTCCTTGCTTTTTCACATCTTTTCGGTTCACTCTCCGAGTGTCCGATTCCTTCACCTCCTTGCCTTTGCCTCTGTGGCCCCCGTCCTTATTCTTAAATATGTAGTAACATGGAGCATACTGGTGAGGTTGCGTATCTGTGTATTCAGCCTTTAAATTACTTGCTTACTCGAGAATTCTTGTTTGTTTCTTTCTAGAGTTTTTTTTTCTTCGTTTAAATATTATGTGTAGGAATCTGAGACGCATTTAAAACCTGAAACAGAATATCCTTGACAACAAAGGAAGTTTACTTGGATACGTGTAAAATGATTATTCTAGTCCTGCGATTTTATAAGAATATTCTTTTCATTCCATCTCATTTTGGGTGTAGTACTCTGGTCAATACAAAATATATGGGCTCTGTTGTCACCAGGGTTTTTTAATTCCTTTACTGATTGTACTACAATTCTTTTTTAAGCAGTGAATCTCATGTCAATTTAAAGTGCATTATAGAAAAGATTTAACAAGTCTTATCTAGGACAGTTTTCAAATAACCTAAAGGATAGGTGTCTGCTTCAAATAGAATTCGAGATTACTACAGTAACTGTGATATTTTGCACTTCTGGTCTTGAAAAGTAAGGAGCTCTGTTCTAATCTAACCATAGCTGAGAAAAACAGTAGGCTTCCTAAATCAAATTTAGTTTCTGTGATTCAGTAGAACTGTTTTAATGCTAATACTGCAGACATTTTTCAAGATGCTGCTATACATTTCTTTTCTGTATTACAAAATTATTGGCATTGGCTAAGAAAACTGTGTAAAACTATATTGCTCCCTGTATGCAGAATATATTAACTGTTTTCTTAATATATTAACTGTTTTGAGCTGTCAGCTGTGTGATGTGTTAACTATTAATATTTTCTTGATATAACCTGTCTTGATATTTTCCACAATTGGCATGGCTAAAATTACTGTCTAATTGAACACCTTTTAAAGATGTATATAAGGGCCGGGTGTGGTGGCTCACGCCTGTAATCCCAGCACTTTGGGAGGCCAAGGCAGGCAGATCACCTGAGGTCAGGAGTTCTAGACCAGCCTGGCCAACATGGTAAAACCCCCTCTCTAGTACAAAATACAAAAATTAGACCTGTAATCCCAGCTACTCGGACGGCTGAGACAGGAGAATTGCTTGAATCCGGGAGGTGGAGGTTGCAGTGAGCCAAGATTGCACCATCGCACTTCAGCCTGGGGGACAAGAGCGAGATTTCCTCTAAAAAAAAAAAAGATATATATAAAAAGAGGGTCAGGCGTGGTGGCTCATGCTGGTAATCCCAGCACTTTGGGAGGCCGATGCGGGCAGATCACTTGAGGCCAAAAGTTGGAGACCAGCCTGGGCAACATGGTGAAACCCCATCTCTGCTAAAAATGCAAAAATTAGCCAGGCATGGTGGTGTGTGTAATCCCAGCTACTAGGGAGGCTGAGGCAAGAGAATCACCCTAACCCGGGAGGTGGAGGTTGCAGTGATCTGAGATGGTGTCACTGCACTGCTCTCCAGCCCAGATGACAGAATGAGACTCCATCTCAAAAAAATAAAGAAAGGGAGAGAGAGAGAAAGAAAAAGTTAGTTACTGGGAAAATTGAGACAGAAAGTGAACAAGGGAATTTCCAGGATTTTTTTCATCTCTAAATACACAGACTGGACCACTTAAGAATTTAGAATATAGGTGGGGCATGGCGGCTCACACCTGTAATCTCAGCACTTTGGGAGGCCAGGGTGGGTAGATCACTTGAGTCCAAGAGTTCGAGACCAACCTGAGCAATGTAATGAGACCTCATCTCTACAAAAAATAATAAAAAATAAATAGCCAGACTTGGTAGCACGCGCCTGTGGTACTGGCTTCTCAGGAGGCTGAGATGGGAGGATTGCTTGAGTCCGCGAGCACACCACTGTACTCCTGCCTGGGTAACAGAGTGAGGTCTTGTCTCTAAATTAATAAATAAAATATGATGGGGTGTTGCTATGTTGCCCAGGCTGGCCTCAAACTCTTGGGCTCAAGGGATCCTCCTGCCTCAGCCTCCTAAGTAGCTGGGGCTACAGTTGCCTGCCACCATGCACATCTTACATTATGTTTTAAATGAGTTGTATTAATGTAGAATAAATTCATTAACAAGATATTGTCCACAAGGACAAATGTCTATTGGGAAAATAATAAAATTTCTAATTTAACTCGAGGGAGAAAATTAGAAATGCCTTTCTGAACATATAATACATGGAAGAGCCTTTGGTAGTTACATGTATTTTATGATAAATTATAAATTCTATTTTACGTCTTCTACTTAAGACTTAAAGGGAGAAAAATCCTTGAGACATAGAGCTATGACATATTTTCAAGTTCATAACAACTCTCCATTTGGAATTGGCCTGTTCTTCCTTTTTGTGTCTTGCCTCAGGAGAGAAAATAATAAAAATACCACTCCCTGAAATCCCCATTAACTCTACTATGTAAGTGAACTATATATCGTTCCTTTTTTCAGATTCTAAAGAGATTTTCTTTATTCTTTATTAGTGGCATTCAAAATTGCTAATGTTTATTCTGTTTTTTTTTTGTTGTTGTTGTTTTGAGATGGAGTCTCACTCCGTCGCCAGGCTGGAGTGCAGTGGCACGATTGGCTCACTGCAACCTCTGCCTCCCAGGTTCAAGCGATTCTCCTGCCTCAGCCTCCTGAGTACCTGGGACTACAGGCGTGTGCCACCACACCTAGCTAATTTTTGTATTCTTAGTAGAGATGGGGTTTCACCATGTTGGCCAGGATGGTCTTCATGTCTTGACCTCGTGATCCGCCCACCTCGGCCCCCAAAGTGTTGGGATTATAGGCGTGAGCCACTGTGCCCAGCCTATTTTTCTAATTTTTAAAAACTCTATCAAATAACAACAATGTTTTGAATTCTCCCATACTGTCAGTATGGTATGGGGAAAATAAAATAGGAATAGAAAAGGAAAACCAGGAAAAGAGGTGGTTTTCAACCAAATGAGGATTGGACAAAAAGAAAAAAAGAGAAAGAGAAAGAAAGAAGCGTCACAAACAAATCTGGCATTACTTCGTATTTAAAATCTTATGAAGAGTAAGGAGAATGTTGATGGGTGTGAATGAAATAGTGAGAATCAATTTAAAGAATATTCATTAGGCGCCCTACAGTGTGCCTGAAAATGTAGTGTGCACAGTGTATAAAATAAGAAATTGCTTCCTTAAAGTGGCTTATGTCTGGTTATAAAAATAAGATGAATGCAAAACCAGCTAGCAATGCTAGCTTTATGTAGCTTCACTCTGAGCCAGACATCATGTATTAGAAAACAAGGATAAGTAATAACAGCTCATGTTTAAAAGGGCTATGTGCCAGGTCCTATGCTGACCACTTTTCATAGATTATCTCAATTAATCTTCACATTAATCTTATGAGTAGATACTGTTGTCCCCATTTTTTCCAATGGGTATATTGAGACTTAAAAAGTTAAAATAACTTGCCCATTGTCAAATAACTGACCATGGAATTTGAACCAAAGTCATTTAATTCAAAATGAAGAAATTTAATCACGTAAACTACTGCTTCCCATAATTCTCAGCCTTGAGGAACTCAGTCTATGAAGGAATGATGGGTGCTTAATGACCATTTGTTGTATGAATGAATGACGTTCTTTGTGGCCGCTCATGTTTATTGTTTAGCTTTTTTTTTTTTTTTTTTTGAGATGGAGTTTCGCTCTTGTTGTTCAGGCTGGAGTGCAGTTGCATGATCTAGGCTCACTGCAACCGCTGCCTCTCGGGTTCAAGCAGTTCTCCTGCCTCTGCCTCCCGAGTAGCTGGGACTACAGGCGCACGCCACCACGCCCAGCTAATTTTTGTATTTTTAGTAGAGACGGGGTTTCACCCATGTTGGCCAGGCTGGTCTCGAACTCCTGACCTCAGGTGATCCGCCCGCCTCGGCCTTCCAAAGTGCTGGGATTACAGTCGTTACCACTGCGCCTGACCTAGACTGTTCAGGTTTAAGTTCCTAGGATACAAATATAAAACAGACTAGGGCCGATACTTTGCTGTTTTCAACACAGAAGTGGAAAGCATGATTTTACACTTCTGGAATAATTTAGAGTGACATCTGGTGGTTGCCTGTGAGACAAGAATTGTTGAAGAAACTGAATTTAAAAGCCTATAATAAATAAGACTACCAGACATAAAAAGATAAGAACGATGAATTAAAGTAGTAAAAAGTTTAAAAAACATATCTTAAATCCTCACTAAAGAAAAATTTTAAAAAATGCTAGTTGCAGATTTTCAATCCACTGGACTTTAAAAAGAAACAATAGATTCCTTAATGAGTAGTTGTAACGAAAATTGTAACAGTTAATTGATGGCAGGAAATACGAATTGATTTATACTGGTTTGAAGATTCTGGCTTGAGAGGAAATGCAACTTTACGGGGGAAGAAGACTCAAACGTTACAGGAACAATTTATTCACAAGGCAAAATATCTTCAACGTCTCTCCAAAACTTCAAGGGCATTATGGGTATCTGCCGAGATGGTAAAATGTCCAGTGGGCAGGAAATATTTCACCGGATCTCACTTGCCGGGGAAAAAAGCCAGTGAACGCGACCCACGCAGCTGACTAGATCGTGCGCTCGGCCTCAGATTGGTCGAGCCTGTTTGGGCTGCGGAAAAAGCGGAAGCGCGCTTTTCAAAGTCGTCCCACCATCAATGAAGGCAGGCCACTTCCGGCGTAGCCATGGCGGCTAACGCTACTACCAACCCGTCGCAGCTGCTGCCCTTAGGTAATCGCCGTCCTTTGGGGAGCAGGAACAGGGAGCTGACATTCAGGATTGGGGGCCGAGGGGCTGTTCCGAGGCAGGCCCTGGCCGAGTGTGGGGAAATGTATAAGACCAAATGCGGTTCGACTCTGAGCTCCAAGTCTTCGCGACAGCAGGCCGCACCTGCTCTTTAACGTGGTCGGGCTCCTCCAGGCAAGGACTTTGACTTCTCAAACCAGACCTTCACTGGAAAAGGTCCACATTTAGTGAACGCGTCGTCGGCCTACTTTGTTGTGAGCCCGCCTCTGCAGTGTTATAGGTAGTAGGCCTACTTCTCAGCCTGGCGTTTACGATCCCCAGATTAGATAGACCATGTTATGTATGTGGTTGGTTAGTGACACTAACACCCTGGTCCGGAATGAGCCTTAAATGAGGAATCTGGAAACCAGCTCTGTTTGTTATTTATTCATTCAATAAGTAGTAACTGAGTATCTATACACTAGATACCGTGCCTGGGCATTTTTCAATGATAAACCATAGCCATTGCCTTCAAATAGCACACAAGCCAGTGGAGGAGAGAACACTGGACAAGTAGACATCATGCCACATAATGCTAGGCTAGCTAAAGAGATGTTCAAGCTACCGTCAGAGCACAGAGGATAGACAGAGTTGGGAAAGGGAAGCAGTGACCGGAGAGTTTCCGGTGAATATAATTATACCTATCTCCTCTTATATTTTTGTAGTTGGTGAAGAGTGATTGAACTAGTGGTCGTGGCCGTGATTGAAAAGTTTTCATTCCTTCATGCCACAGACTCTTTTGGAAGGCTCATTATGTGCCAGATGCTGTGCTTGAACTGAGATTTGTATTATAAGACCTAAAGTTATTGAATGAATGTTTTTCCTGGTTTTTCTTTCACTATATGCAAGTAAGAGTGCCAGTAGGCACTCAAATATTTGTTGAAATAATGAATGGTAAAATAATATTTTTTCCCTCCTCAGAGCTTGTGGACAAATGTATAGGATCAAGAATTCACATCGTGATGAAGAGTGATAAGGAAATTGTTGGTACTCTTCTAGGATTTGATGACTTTGTCAGTATCCTTTTAAAAGGTGGTGGTGGTATAGGTTTTTCTTAAGTAATAACATAAGAACTATAGACAATCAGTATATTTGTGATTATTATAATAAAAATCAGTTCATTCTCAGGGAACTTATGATAATGTTTTAAGAGGTATGTATTGAAAGACGGTAAAGTTCCTATCAACAACAAGCATTTTGAATTTGAGCCATTGTATTAAACATTGTAATTAAAACTGAACAGGCGAGCCCAGTGGCTCACGCCTATAATCCCAGCGCTTTGGGAGGGCGAGGTGGGTGGATCGCTTGAGCCCAGGAGTTTGAGACCAGCCTGGGCAAGATGATGAAACCCTGTCTCCACAAAAATTACAAAAATTAGCTGGGCATGGTGATGTACACCTGTGGGTCCAGCTAATCTCCGGGGCTAAGGCAGGAGGATCCTTTAAGCCTAAAAGGTGGAGGCTGCAGTGAGGTGTGATTGTACCACTGCACTTAAGCCTGGATGACAGAGCGAGACTTTGTCTCAAAACAAAAACAAAAACAAAAAACAAAAGCTGAACAAAGGCAGAAGCTAGAGTAAATTCTGTATTTATTTTCTTAACACCAAATTTCAGATATGGTACTGGAAGATGTCACTGAGTTGTGAGTAGTGTTAAAGAATTGGGGGGAATCTCTTCTTAATTAAAGACAGTTTTACTACTTTTGAGTAAAATTATTTATGAGAAAACATTACCTCTTGGTGGAATAACGTTAAAGATAGACGTTTTATCTGTTTGCTTGTAAAATTGGATCAGAGTGTTATTACCTTAATGTAATTATTAGTAAACGCCTAGAATATTAGTGGAGACACAGTTTTAAGGTAGAAGATAACAAAAAGAGCCAGGAATTTTAGGGTTCAGGTCAAATAAAGGAACTGATAGTAAGAGCATTTAGGCTGGACATGGTGGCTCATTCCTGTAATCCTAGCACTTTGGAAGGCCAAAGGAGGAGGATTAAGCCTGGGAGTTTGAGACCAGCCTGGGCAACAAAGGGAGACCCCTGTCTCTATAAAAAATTTAAAAATTAGCTGGTTATAGTAGGGGGCAGCTGTAGTCCTAGCTGCTCTGGAGGGTGAGGATCCCTTGAGCCCAGGAGTTCTAGGCTGCAGTGAACTATGATTGTACCACTGTACTCAGCCTGGGCAACAGAGCAAGACCCTGTCTCTTAAAAAAAAAAAAACCCAAAAAACATTTCATTTCATATTTGATTTCCTGGGCAAGCTTTCACTTCTTTTTATGAAGCTCTGTCTGATAGACGTGGGTCTTAGTGTCAGTGAGTTCATTCTGCTGCTTTTAATGAAGGTTACATTACCTAGTGGATAACCTTTGTATCTGAAAATTGTGGATATAATTGCTCAACCTCAGTGTAATTTGTATACAAGGATAACCTTTTTAGGGAGGGTAAGTATTTCCAAAATGTTGGCTTTGATTTTCACTGTTTGTCCTGACTGTATTTTATCTATTCATTTAGTGAAATCACACCAGAAGGAAGAAGGATTACTAAATTAGATCAGATTTTGCTAAATGGAAATAATATAACAATGGTAAGACACATTGAAACTGTTTTATTTTGATGGGAGCCCATTTTTGGGGAGCAGTGATTACAGAACTAACCTTAATGTTGCTTGCTTGACTAAATGATCATGGCCCAGTGGTGCATAAGATGGGAAAGGGGTTCTCTGTGGTCAGGGTCCTAAAGCTCAGCTATTGAAGAGGCATTGGGTCTAAAGGTTAGTTTGCTTGGAACTTTTAATCGCTGTTGAGATAGTAAGTATTAATTGATGACGTTGGGAATTGTAAATAGATACTGACAATCTGGAGAAAATGGGAACGTGGAGTGCAGGGGACAGGCAAAGGTGGCTTAATGAAGAGCAAGGGGTTTTTAGATGACATGGTGGTAGTGTTATTAATAAACTCTTTTTCCTCTTTATGCAGCTGGTTCCTGGAGGAGAAGGACCTGAAGTGTGAATGAGTTTCCTTGACTTACACTAGATTTTGTTTTGGCTTATAATGACAAGAAAATGGAATTTTTTTTCCCACTTTCTAATGTTTAAATCCCATAAAGCTAAGTTTCCCGTTAAAGGGAAGTGCTTTGAAGATGTGTACCCATTTTTGTAAGTTAATCATGATTATCCTGGAAAAAGAAGAAAAGAGCTTCTTCTTTGCAGATGAAAATAAAGGTGTTTTTGGTTAACTGTCATTTTGTTTATTCTACTGCAGTAGCCAGTGGAACAAAGTTTGTAGTTATTTTGCCACTTACTTTTCTGTCATTATATGCTTATTTGTTTTGTCATTTACGTGACCATTTGATTCTCAAACAAAAGTTGTTCCAAACAAAATGATGAACTTTGATTTGAACAGGTGCATTTAAACAACCGGAAATGATCACTTAGAAAATTCAATTAAAATGCTGTTGTTTTGTAATGAGGATTTTTCTTCTGATTTCAAATTCCATGAACTCCTATTGAAAACAAACAATGTACAGGTAATATATGCACATTGTAGAAATGCAGGAATTATCTATTGGAATTACCCTAAAGATAGAAATTTTATCTATTTGCTTATAAAATTGATTCAGAAGGTTATTACCTTAATGTAGTTATTACTGAATTGCCAGGAAATGAGTGGAGACAGAGCTTTAAGATAAAGGATACTAAAAGCAGCTAAGAACTCCAGGACTCAGGTCAAATCAAGGAACTGATAATAAGATCATTGAACTGTATAAATTAAGTCAAAGAACTCCTATTAAAAACAAACAGGTAATATATGCACATCGTAGAATTGTAGGTAAGCAAAAAGGAGAAGGTTGATCATGCTTTGCTGTATGTCTTCGTAGACTTTCTCAGTCCACTCTCAGTACACGTTTTATTTTACTTGCTCATCCTGATTATACTGTTTTTACCCTCCACTTAAGTCATTTTTTGAATTTAAATGGTGAATATCTTTCTGTGTCAAATATTTCAACATTAATATGTACATAGTATTAAATGGATTTACTATAAATTATTTAGCCTATTCTTACTGGCCACAGTAGTCTAACTAGATCTTTATACATTTGTATTTTTCTAGAATAAACTCAAAAATGTGTAAGATCAAAGGGTATATATTGTGTTGCCAAGAAAAAGTTTGTGCCAATGTATATTTTTGCCAGGAGTCTTTCATAGTACCATTTATATCCTTCCCAGCATTAGCTGTGTTCTACCTTCTCTCCTCTTTGCCATTTTTACAAGAAAACCGGGCATGTCTAAAGTTTTCTTTTCCTTTTTTTTTTTTTTTTTTTTTTTTTGGAGAGTCTCACTGGAATGCAGTGGCATGATCTTGGCTCCCTGCAACCTCCAGTCAGGCTGGTGTGCCTTGTCGCGATATCAACGCGACCTCCGCCTCCCAGGTTCAAGTGATTGTCCTGCCTCACCCTCCTGAGTAGCTGGGATTACAGGTGGGCGCCACCACTCCCATCTAATTTTTATATTTTTAGAGAGATGGGGTTTTACCTTGTTGGCCAGGCTGGTCTTGAACTCCTGACCTCTAGTGATCCACCTGCCTCAGCCTCCCAAAGTGCCGGTATTAAAGGCATGAGCCACCAGGCCTGGCCTAAAATTTTCTTGATTAATTTTGATCTCATTTGTATTTTGTAAATGACTTATCTGTTGAGGCTTTTGCCATTGAGATGTTTGTCTTTTTCTTACTAATTTGTAAGAATTCTTGATGGGTTTCTGTTAGTCATGTATTTTGCTAATAATTTCCCTAGTTTGTAGTTTGCCACTTAGTGCTATTTTTGACATAAATGATGTATTTTAATGTAGTTGCATGTTGACCTAGTCCATTATGGTTTTTGTATTTGGTCCACGTGGATTGGAAAACCTTTGCTTTGATTATACTTTTCTTTGGGCACTTTATGTTTTCTGCGTTTGATTTAAATCTGGAATCTATCTGGAATTTTGGTATTACCACATGGAAAAAGGATCCAACCTTATTTTCCAAAACACAAAGCACTGATTTGTAGTTTTCTCTGATTTACATGTTGTCAGTACTACTGCCTTGGCTAATTTCAAGCTACCAAGGCTTTAACAACTGGTTTGCAAAATTCTCAAGGATTTGACAGTTGATTCTCAGGAGCCAGTATGAGCTGGTTGCCTCACACTTTGCTTCTAACTCTTGGGGGCAATGCTTTCCCTCCACTGTTGTTTCTTTCCCTTTGGAGGGGAGTAAGTGATGTAACACCTGCTTCTTTCCACCCCTTTATTATTTGCTATCCCAGGGGAGCTAATAGTCATACCCAAGCTCTTCCTTTTTTCATCATAGGAGTTAGGCCAGGTGCAGTGGCTCATGTCTGTAATCCCAGTGCTACATTGTAGGTGGTCGAGGTGGAAGGATAGATTGAGGCCAGGAGTTGGAGACCAGCCTGGGTAATATAGTGAGACCCCATCTCTACCAAAAATTTTAAAAAATTAGTGAGGTGTGGTAGTGTGCATGCACCTGTAGTCCTACGTAGTTGGGAGGCTGAGGCAGGAGAATTGCTTGAGCCCAGGAGTTTGAGATTTCAGTAAGCTATGATTGCACCACTGTACTCCAGCCTGGGTGACAGTGAGACCCCGTCTCAAAACCTACAATGAAACGCCATTTCATGGGTGCTATAGAATGGCTATAATTATAAAAAATTATTGTAACAAGAATTGTACAAAAATTAATGTAACAAGTATTGGCTGGGATATGAAGAAATTGGAGCCCTAGTACCTTGCTGGTGCGAATGTAAAATGATGCATGCACTGTGGAAAATAATTTGATGATTCCTCAAAAAGTTAAACAATTACCATACGACCCTGCAACTCCTCTCCTCAGTTCATACCCAAGAGAACTAAAAACATGTCTGCACAAAAACTTGTATGAACATTCACGGCAGCATTATTCCTAATGTCTCAAAGTGGAAGCAACCCAAATGTCCATCGATGGATGGATGGATAACTGAAATGCGATATATTCATACAATAGAATATTATCTGTTAAAATGAATGAAGTACTTGTGTATGCTACAGTGTGGATGAACTGTAACATTATGCTAAGTGAAAGAAGCCAGACACAAAAGACCACATATTTGATTTATATGATCCAGAACAGGCAAATTCACAGAAATAGACAACTATACTAGTGACTGCTAATGGGTATGGGTTTGTTTTTTGGGGTGATGAAAAAGTTCTGGGATTAGATGGTTGCACAACCTTGTGAATATACTAAAAAGCACTGAATTATAACCTTAAAAGAGTGGATTTCATGTTACATGAATTACATCTCAATTTTTAAAAAGTGATGTATCTGAGGCATATCTAGTGTAACTTCTGAGGCCCTAAAGAAATTACTTTCCCATGAGTAACAGCTTGGGTTGTGGCTGCTGAAAGGACTTTAACCACCTAAGCATCAAACCCCCTTCTGGTTAAGACTGAACAGAATAAGGATTTGGGAAAGGTTGTTTTGGGCATTTAACTTAAGAATGTTGGACATTTTTTGTTTGTTTTGAGACAAGGTCTTGCTCTGTCACCCAGGCTAGAGTGCAGTGGTGTGATCAGTGCTCACTGCAGCTTCGAACCACTGGGATCAAGCGATTCTCCCCCCTTAGCCTCCCAAGTAGCTGGATCCACAGGCAGGTGCCACCATGCCCAGCTATCTTTTCTCTTTTTGTTTTTTTAAAGATAGGGTCTCGGTCTGTCACCCAGACTGGAGTGCAGTGGTCATGGCTCACTGTAGCCTCGACTTCTCGGGCTCAGGTGATCCTCCCACACTACAGGTGCACACCACCACACCTGGTTAATTTTTTGTGTTTTTGATAGAGACTGGGTCTTGTCATATTGCCCAGGCTGGTCTCAAACTCTGGGCTCAAGCGATCAACTCGCCTTGGCCTCCCAAAGTGCTGGGATTACAGTTGTGAGCCACCGTGCCTGGCCTAATTTTTTAATATTTTGTAGAGACAGGGTGTCACCATGTTGCCTAGGCTGGTTGATTCTTAACTTACAAAAATAAGGGTATTTAGTTTTGGATTTTAATTCTAGTGGAGTTTAACATTTTTGGACTTTGATTTGGAAGGAGGTTTAATTTTTGAATTCCAGTAAATTTGATAATGGCACAGGATTATATGTAGATTTGGGCATCTCTGTTGTTGGCATTTTATTATTGGGTGTTGGTGTGCTGATATGCCAGGTTAGACCATTTATTAGTTGGGGTTCTCCAGAGATGACCAATAGTATATGTATATAGATATATAAGGGGATTTATTAGGAGAATTGGTTCATGCGATTATGGAGGCTGGGAAGCCCCAAAACAGGCTGTCTGCAAGCTGGAGACCTTGATGTGGCTCAGTCCAAGTCCAAAGACCTCAGAGCTTGGGATGCTCATGATAAAATTCTCAGTCTGAGGCTGAAGGCCTGAGAACCCAGGGGGCTACTGGTGTAAGTCCTGGAGTCCAGAGGTCTCCTAAAGTTGGGATCACTCTTCCTTCTCTGTCCTCAGAGGACAACATCATCAGAACATCAGGAGTTCTTATATCCAAAGACAGAGAAGGAAGAGTTATCCCCGCTCTAGGAGGGAGACAGACATGTTGCCTTTTCTGTGTTGTTCTCTTTGGACCTTCTGTCAACTGAATGCTGGCCCACATTGAAGGTGTATCTCACCTAGTCCACTCAGACTCACACCCTAAAGTAGTCTGGAAACACCCTCATAAACACAGCCAAATAATGCTTTACTAGGTTTCTAGATATCCTTAATCCAGTTAACTTGACACCTAAAATTAGCCATCACAGATCATGTTGCAGGATCAGGAGGACCAGAGAGAGACCTTGGGGTGTATAGAGGAGGATATATTTATTATTGAGTGCACTCAGACCCTGCAGACTTAACATTGAAATACTGGGCCCAGAACAAAGACAGCACTTGATTTTATGCACACTTCACAAAAGGGGGTGGGCTAGCTTGAAGCAAGCTTACAGTGGCCTGAAAGCAGGGATACAGAGGCAGGACAAAGACAGTTAATCAAATTGTAACAGATCATAACTCAGGATTACACATGACCATTGCCAGTCAACCCAGATGTCTGTTATCTAGGTTTTGCCTAGGCACGGGCTTATCCTATAACCTTCACTGGCACCCAGGTGGCCATAACACAGGCCTGCTCAGAGGCTCTGACCTTCACTCTACTGCTTAGATAAAACAGAATGTTTGAAGTCACTGGTTACAGAGAACAGGAATCTATAAACTCATTCCATAAAACGAAGGAAAATTTGTTTTTCTTCTCCGTATGTTGAGGGAATGCTGGGAGAGTTTCCAGAGCACATTAGATAATATTATCAAGACTTCCTGGGTCTGGGCTGTGCCTTTTGCTGCCTCTGGGACAAGTCAGCCTAACACAGGAAAACTTATTTCTCTTTCTTTTTAAGTTTATTTTTCTTTAATTTCCCGCCTCAACAATGTGGTGGGCATACTTTGGGTGGGAAATGGAGTGAATTTTCAGACTTAGAATTACAGAAGCCTTGGAGTTGCCTTAATTAATATATTATTCTGACTCTGTTTAGAGCCTTTTGGGGCAAAATCTAAACTGCTTCCAGTGATCCCAATGGCAGTTGGATTTGGGAGTGATAGACTGTGTTCTTCTCTATGGCTCTAATGGTTAAGTTCAGTGAGTGAAAAGAACAAAAAGATGGGGAATGTAAGGGAAATGCTTCTTTTCTACCTCTGATGTTTTCTTCTACATGAAAGCTTAATTAGTGTAACACATCTGCCCTCTCTCTGTCCTTTTATTCTGTATGCCCGGAGACATGCAGACTGAGTTGCCTGAGGGAGTGTGGGTTCTGCTCTGCTTTTTCCTGTAAGTTTTAGAGGTGTCTGCTTCCACATGAAGAAGTCTGGGGTGGTTTGTGGTTTGCCTATGGTTTGGTGGGTACATCTGAATAATTCTGGAGTTCCAAACACAGAAGTTAACTACAGTCTGTAGATATAAGTTACATCATCCAATGTAGTAGTAGTAACAATGACTGCTGTCTGTTTTCTACTTTGCCTTTGTTCTCAATTGGTTCAGAACTCAATTGTGGAAGAAGAGTGCTAATTATTGGCCCCCCTCAAGACTCCAATAGCCCTTGAGTCTCTGCTGTACTAAGACAAAAACCTCCTCTGCCTTCCTGCCTGCCTCCCATCTCTACCCTGTCATATCTGTCCATCCCAGCCATCAGACCATCAGAGCAACTGACTGATTGATCTAAAATGCAGGATATGGTCATGCTATGTTTGGCTTTATTTTTTTGAGATGGAGTTTCGCTCTTGTTGCCCAGGCTGGAGTGCCATGGCGCGATCTCGGCTCACAGCAACCTCTGCCTCCGAGGTTCAAGCGATTCTCCTGCCTCAGCCTCCTGAGTAGCTGGGATTACACGTATGAGTTACCACGCCTGGCTAATTTTGTATTTTTAGTGGAGACGGGGTTTCTCCATGTTGGTCAGGCTGGTCTTGAACTCCCAACCTCAGGTGATCCACCCGCCTTGGCCTCCCAAAGTGCTGGGATTACAGGTGAAGCCACTCCACCTGGCCGGCTTTCAAACTTTTCAGTAAGTTACCTTCTATACAATGAAAGGCCAGGTTCCTTAACAGGTTACCATGAGGGGTGCCTGTTGACCTTCTCAGTCACATCTCAGTCTTGCCTTCACAGCACAGAATTTATAACACTGGCTGTTACCCATCTTTGGCCTTTGGCTTTACTCATGTTGGACTTTTGTGGGAAGAGCCTTATCTCCAAACCTATCTTCATTTGGTTTACTTGTATTCAAGACTAGGCTCAAATGTCTCTTCCTCCAGAAAGTCCTATGGGAACCCTCATCCCTCTATCACTACTCAATGCTTATATGGGACAGGTCATGGAGGCTTTTGTTATATTGTGAAACTGTCTTGAGTAGCTACTCTCTCCTAGAAAAACAACAGCCTCAAGCAGTTCATACCATGCACAGTCCTGGTTTCAAAGGAAACAAATCCTATTACATTGTTGGACCATAGACTAGAGTATGGGCCCCCATCATCTGAGTATGTTGAGTTTGGCTGGTGTGGTCGATTGGCCCTCAGTGCAGTGATGCAAGTGGGCTTCTGGCTGTTACCTGGGAAGATCAGAGGCAGAAGCTTGGGAGCTCTAGCAGGGTCCTGGTGCTCTATGAGTACCACTCTTGGAAGACAGCAGCCCTCCTGGCTGACATCTCTCTAAGAAGTGGAGCTGGTACTTCTCACATCAACCTGACACCCAAATTGACGCTCTGTGTACTTCAGTCACAAGGAGTTGAAGTTAGTGGGCATGAGGCTGGAATAGAGAGTGGTCAGAAAACAGACCTCATCTACTTTATCCAGGAGTGACCCTGACTGAATCTTTGCTTTATTAGACATTTCATTCTTGAATTTAAGAAAAATCATGCATGATACCAACTGACCACAAGAGGACACTGTGGAACTAGGCAGGCAGCTAGTTGCTAGAGCCAAGGCTTTTTAGTTTTCCCCAGAGCCTCATTTGAACTCAGGTTTCTTGTCTCCTACTCTGCTGAGCTTCCTATTGGATCACACCACAAGGGCAGGTAAAGGGTTGAATTATACTACTATTTCACACCTCCTTCCCTTTTTTTTTTTTTTTTTTTTTGCAAAAGAGGAATCTGTTTTTCATTCATTTATTTCATATTTTCTATATGAGGTGCCTTTTCTATTGTAAAATAGAATTGAGAGGAGAGTGCTTTGGAAGCCAGGATGAAGGGATGATTTCAGAGGTCTGGAGGTTTTATCACAGGGGAATAAAGAGTCATAGGTATGATGAAGTGGCTTCAAAAAACAGCATGAGTTCAGAAAGGAGTAAAGATCCCGGGAGTGCATAGTGACTCTGCTTGACAAAGCTAAATCTCCTACCCTGGAGAGTAGAGGGGTTAAGTAAAAACTAAAACCAAACCAGTGACAAGAGCTGCACAGCTTCCACATGTAAACTATGCATCTTCTGGACCCAGTATTTTTCCCTGGGCCCCTTGATAGGAAGGAGTCCGGGGACTGTGTCAGCCACACACAGGAGAAGAAGGGAGGTCAACAGTTTGGAAAGGGAGATGGAAGAACAATCAGGAAACTTGAGTTTGTCACCAAGTGGCTTTGTAACCTTGGGGCAAGTCACTCTTTTTTCTTTCAGGGCTTCAACATTTTTACCTATAAAACAAGAGTGAAGCTGAATGTTTGGGTTCCTTTCTAGCACTGCCTCTCTGCCTTGGTTGTCTGCACTTCAATGGAAGAGGACATCAGCCCAGGGCCTGAGGCCTCAGTGGGGAGAAGGGGAGGTTGACCTCTGGTGAGGGGTCATGTCCTTGGGGCTCAGGCATGCTCCCTCTTCCCTCTAACCATGGGCATCCCATCACTGCTGGCCATGCTGTGTTTGGAATCTGAGGTGAATTGGGAGTCTTTGGGAACTTGGGAGCCTGTCCCCACATCTGTGGATTGCTCTGACTTAATGTCCTGTGGGAATTTAGCAGTTTTGGATATGGTAACTAATCTTGTTTTTTTTTTTGTTTTCTTTTGTTTTTGTTTTTTTTTTTTTTTGAGATGGAGTCTCACTCTTTTGCCCAGGCCGCAGTGCAGTGGCGCTATCTCGGCTCACTGCAAGCTCAGCCTCCCGGGTTCACGCCATTCTCCTGCCTCAGCCTCCGGAGTAGCTGGGAGTATAGGCGCCTGCCAGGGTGCCTGGCTCTTTTTTTTTTTTTTTTTTTTTTTTTGTATTTTTAGTAGAGACGGGGTTTCACCGTGATAGCCAGAATGGTCTTGATCTCCTGACCTCATGATCTGCCCGCCTTGGCCTCCCAAAGTGCTGGGATTACAGGCGTGAGCCACCGCACCTGGCCTTTTTTTTTTTTTTTTTTTTGAGACAGGGTCTTGCTGTGCTGCCCAGTCTGGAATGCGGTGGCACAATCTTGGCTCACTGCAACCTCTGCCTCCCAGGCTCAAGCCATCCTTCTGCCTCAGCCTCCTGACTAGCTGGGACTACAGGCAAGTGCCTGGCTAATTTTTGGTATTTTTTGTAGAAATGGGGTTTCACCATGTTGCTCAGGCTGGTCTGGAACTCCTGGACTCAGGCCATCCTCCCGCCTTGGTCTCCCAAAGCACTGGGATTATAGGCGTGAGCCACTGCGCCCGGCCACTGTAGCTCATCTTTTAAAGCTGTAATGCTCCTTGCTTTCCTTGCTTCCTTCTCCTTTTCTCTTCTGTTTCAATGAGAACAAACTTGAAAACCATCAGACTGAAGGCCACTTCAAGAGGAATCATGGTCTGGTGTAGAAGCCCTAATGCTACAGACTGAGTGAGCCCCGGCAAGCAATTTTCCCTCTTTGGGTCTTGGTTTTCTCATCTTTTAAGCCAAAGCAGTGACTCAGACCTTTCTTACTCCACACAGTTATTCTGGAGATCCAAAGGGCTCATAGGTGTGAAATGCTTTAACTTGAATAACTTTCCATGTTGACATGAGGGCTAACTGGATCCCTATTCCTTCATCATTGGATATCAGCTGGTAACATCCTGGCTGGCTTTTACATCTATATTGCTTTCCAAAAAGAGCTGTGGTATCCTATAAAATAATTTATCATTGTATCTGCTATAGCAATAGGGAAATGTACTAGAATAGAAGATCGTGGCCATGGGATGTGGTGACTCAGATGTGGGTCATGGGCTCTGCTGCCTCCTCTGTTCTCTGGGAAGGACTCTACTTACCTCCTTTCATGCAATTTTTTGTGTCCATAATTGCTGCTTCTTGGGCCATAGGTCCCATTCATACTTCCTCATAGTAACCCTGTTATTTGTCATTGGTATTAGCCAGCTCCACAGTCAGCATCTCATGAGGGTAATAAGAAGTGGGAAGGACCTTATTTTTTCCTGTACTGAATTGCCTGGAGAGCATCTCTTGTTGATTGCAGCTGGAAGTGTGACATTTAGTAAGTGGAGAAACTTGAATCAGGCAAGTGGCAGCCTGTGCCAGCAGGAGGGTAAGAAAGGGCTGAGGAAGAAGGGAAATGCTCAGTGGAGTAATTTGGCCCAGGTGTTTTCCTGGCTCCAGGTTGGGTGTTCACATTACCACAGGTGGGGATTGTAGATGCTCAAGGAATTTTCCATTGTGATAGAAACCACAAATGAGCATGCATAGACACCTAGTTTCTTCTATTCCATCTGACACCTGTGTTGGGAAAATAAACTCCGAGAGGTAAGCACCTCACCCAAGGACTTCCTGCTTTTCCAGTGACTAGTGCTTGAGTATGACACAAGCCTGCATTGAGATCTGTGGCTTCTCAAGGCACGGGTCCAGAGTGGGATGAGCTGGAAGGGAGCTTACATCACCTCTAGGCCCAGTCCCTCACTTTATAGGTGGGGAGACCTAGGCTCAAAGAGAGGCCTTAACTTGATAAGGGATTCAGGGGCTGTGCTGGAACTGGTGCTTAGATCATTGGGACCTGATTCAGAGCTCTTGGCTGTGCCTCTCCACCTATGTGACTGGATGATGATGGTTGGGTTACCCTGGATAAAATTACCTTCCTCTCCCCCAGAGGCTGAAACCACTTGTGTCCAAACTCTTGCACTTTCTCCATGGGTATCATAGAGATACTCATTTCTAGTTTATTTCTAAAGAGCCATCTCTTCCCTGCAGGTGCATTACTTCTCAGAGTGATGCCTCTTCCAACTCACAGCCCCTGGGAACTTGAGAAGTGCTGACAATCAGCAGCAGAAGACAAATGATGTGGGGGGATCAGGAGGAGGGACTTTGATGGGACAGGAGCCTGCAAGGAAGAGGGCCCACGGAGGAATTTAAAGGCAGCCTGGGGATGGGGTGGGGGAATCTGGCTTCTAATACCTGTTTTGTCATTTCTCAATTGTGTGACCTTGGAGAAGTTACTTAATATCTCTAAGCCTTGGTGCCCTACTCTGCAAAATGGGGATGGTAACATGTACTTCAGGGTTATATGAGAATGATATGAAATACTGTATTTGATAATATATATTATATTATAGATGTAATATATAAGGGCTAATATATATGAAATATATGTGATATGACAGCATCCCACGGTGCGGGATGGGCAGTAGGTGCTCCACAGGAGGGAGTTTCTTCACTCCTGGCAACAGCTGCAGTGCCTGGAGCACTTCCTATCTTCCTCCCTTTGCAGAGCTCTCTACCCTCAAGACTTCTCCAGTTGTGCAGGTGACATGTTACAGTGACAAAGGTTAAGCAGTATTTTTTTTTTTTAAGAAAAAATGGGGTATATTTATTGGTTCATGTAGTTTAACCTTCCAGTTTCTGGCATGCCTAGCTCCACGGGCTCTAAAGATGTCATCAGGATGCAGTCTCTCCATCTCTTTGCCTTATTCTCCTCCTTGTTCTTTCCATTCTCAGGCACACTCTCCCTGATGGAGATAAGAGCAAGGATGCAGACCCACATTTTGGTGTCAGCAGAAAGCCCAGCAGAAAGACCATCAATAGAAGTGATATTAATATAGCATTTTGTAGGGGGCCCTGGACACCTGCTTTTTGCCTTTGACCATCCACCTTTTTCTAAGTGGCCCCCAGGAAAAATATATGCACAGAGGATTATAAGCATTTTTTCTTGCTTGGGCACGGTGGCAGAAATGGCTGGTTGGCTTCCATTTTTCACTCTTTCCTTCCATGGCTGCCCAACTAAAGACACATTTCTATGCCTCCATTTCAGCAAAGTTTAATCATGTAAGAATCATGTCACGAGATCGTGGCCAATGAAGTATGGATGAAGTGGTAGAGGATGAGATGAGTGCTGCGGAAGAAAAGGAAGAAGGCAATAGTGGTGCTGCCATACCAGTCGTAGACCACCTACCTGGCCGTTTGTATGAGAAAGCCATCTTATTTAACCCACTTGGTTAAGCCTAACCGATACAGGCACAAATGCAAGCCATAGCGTCCTACTGATTGAGATCAGACTATACAGAAGACTTCTGCTGCCCAGGTTGGAGGCTGTCCTGGGCCTGGATTTGGAGCTTGTTGGAGACAAGACAGAATTTTCCAAAGCAAGGAAAATTGGAACAGCTTGCCTCAGGGGAATTCCTGCTCTTAGTTGGTTCAGATGTCTGTGGCCAATGAAGCCTTCAGGGGCTGGCTCGCAGAAGCCTGGGAAAAGCTACAGGAATGAAATGAATGCAAAGATTGTTTGACATTATTTTTATCAACTCCTTTACATTTACTTTCCCAGAAAGCCTTTTGAAACCCTGTTTTATTATGAAAATATTCAAACATTCACAAAACTAGAGAAAATACCTATTCCTAGATTCAACAGTGATGAACATAATGCCATATTTGCTTCAACTTTCATTCTTCCTCCTCCTTTTCTCCCTCCCTTTTTCTCTCTGCCCTTCTTCTCTCTCTCTTTTGTTTTTTCTTTTGGCTGTGGGGTTTTATTTTTTTTTTGAGACGAGTCTTGCTCTGTCACCCAGGCTGGAATGCAGTGGTGCAATCTCGGCTCACTGCAAGCTCTGCCTCCCGGGTTCATGCTATTCTTGGGCCTCAGCCTGCTGAGTAGCTGGGGCTACAGGTGCCCACCACCACGCCCGGCCAATTTTTTGTATTTTTAGTAGAGATGGGGTTTCACTGTATTAGCCAGGATGGTCTCGATCTCTTGACCTTGTGATCCGCCCGCCTCGGCCTCCAAAAGTGCTGGGATTACAGGTGTGAGCCACCGCGCACGGCCAGCTGTAGTCTCTTAAAGGAAACCTCTGGCAATATGTCTTTGTATCCCTAAATAATTCTGTATACAATTCTTAAATATAAGCATATTTTCTTATAGGATAATACCATTATTACATATAATAAAATTGGAAGTAATTCATTGATATTATTTAATACCCAGGATTAAAGCTGTATTACATTTACCTAGTTGTCTCAAAACTGTGTTTTTACAGTGGGTTTCTGAATTAGGATTCAAGCCAAGTCTACTCATTACATTTGGTTGTTACATCAACAAAACTTTAATGAGAGCTGCTGCAACGACAAGATCTGAAGGATAGGGTTATTATAATTCTGCCTATTCTTGGAGAGTGGACAGCCAGAGGGAGGTAAAGAACAACAGTTCTGGGGATGCACAAGCCAGATAATCCCATCCACAGGTCCCTGATTTACTCAAAGATATGTGATTTCTTTCATTTTTTATGTTTGCAATAATTCATTCCTGGAGTGGTTCGTTGAAAGTGGACAGTGTAAGGGTGAGACACTTCTAGCGTCTGATTTAAATGCAGCCCTTGACTTATTTAACATATGGGTTCATTTGAAACTCACTGAGCTATGGCCTCTTATGTCATGTATGTTGAGTGCCCATTATATGCCAGTACTGTTTAGAGACAGTACAAAAAATGGCAAGAGAAGCTAGCAAAAAAGTTCTTAATTAGACGGAGGACACAGGCACGCCCTTTCAGCTGCAGGGTGCTGTACAGGGGAGTGGAAAGAAAGTGCCGTGGTTAGGCCGGGCGCGGTGGCTCATGCCTGTAATCCCAGCACTTTGGGAGGCCGAGGCGGGCTGACCACCTGAGGTCGGGAGTTCAAGACCAGCCTGACCAACATGGAGAAACCCTGTCTCTACTAAAAATACAAAATTAGCCGGGTGTGGTGGCACATGCCTGTAATCCCAGCTACTAGGGAGGCTGAGGCAGAAGAATCGCTTGAACCTGGGAGGCGGAGGTTGCGGTGAGCCGAGATCGTGCCATTGCACTCCAGCCTGGGCAGTAAGAGTGAAACTCCGTCTCAAAAAAAAAAAAGAAAAAGGAAAGTGCCATGGGCACACAAAGGGAAGGGGAAGTGTGATCAGCTCCCCTGGGAGAGGTCAGGAGAGGGTTTCCTGAAGAGGTAATCATGGTAATGCATGAAGAGGTAATGCATGTTAATATTTTCCTGCTAGGGGGAAACGCATTCCAAGCAGTGGGAACAGAATAACCCAAGGCACTAAAACTCTAAAATGCAGCGATGATCTTGAGCAGCAGTGTTTCAAGTCACATGATGGGTATTTGCCCCCATGAAAATAATTCAGTTTTGTCTACAAAATGTGCCTTCAGATTTCAAATACAGATGAACATACTGTTTAGAACACATTTTGACAATGTTACCTTTTTAAAAAATCTACTAGGGTGTGCACCATTCGTTCCTGCCCTGCCTCCCATCCCTTCCCAGGCCAAACAAACAATATTAGTTTTTTTTTAATTTTAGATATTTTTATTTCTCCAAATTTGTTATTTATCAGGTGTGAATGAAATAAAAAATATAATTGAGTCCCATCACCATCCTCATGGAAATGGCTTTAAGAGAAAACTGGTCAGATGAATATTATTGCTTCCCATTTTCTTTTCTTTTCTTTTCTTTTCTTTTTTTTTTTTTTTTTGAGACAGAGTCTCGCTCTGTTGCCCAGGCTGGAGTGCAGTTATGCCATCTTGGCTCACTGCAACCTCCGCCTCCCAAGTTCAAGGGATTCTCCTGCCTCAGCCTCCTGAGTAGCTGGGATTACAGGCGCGTGCCACACGCCTGGCAAATTTGTTGTATTTTTAGTAGAGACAGGGTTTCACCGTGTTAACCAGGATGGTCTAGATCTCCTGATCTGGTGATCCATCCGCCTCGGCCTCCCAAAGTGCTGGGATTACAGGTGTGAGCCACCGCACCTGGCTTGCTTCCTATTTTCAACCAGTAAATAGTTGCTACTGATAAATTGACAGCCAGGAGTCTGTCAAGAATGCTCAAGATATGTTATATAATACAACATGACTGTTCACAGTGGGGGAAATCCCAGGAAATAACTTATGTGTACTTCTTGATTTCACCATACAAGACAAGCACAAAAGCACCATCCATGCCTCTGAGAACACTGGACCATGCACCCTTGAAAAAATCTTTGCCTCCTTCATCACCAACAATCTTCCTCCAGCAGTCAAGCGTGCCTGTGTACATGACGTCAATTCCTTTGCGCCCTGACTGCATCATCATGCGGCATCGAACGGTGTCAAATGGATGGGAAGTCAACCCAGCAATGGCAGTGACAGTCTGAGTGATCATCCAGCTGATGATGATGTGAGTGTTCCTGGGATCCGGAAGCATTCCCTTTGCAGTGTCATAGATACCAAAGTAGGCAGCTCGGTAGATGATAATACCCTGCACAGACACGTTAAAGCCTTGGTACAGGCCCTTAATCCCATCAGTTTCGTAGATCTTAACCAGGCAGTTACCGAGGCCTCAGAATTCCCTTTCAGCTCCAGCTTTACCCACGTCAGCTGCTAGACAGGTATGGGCAAAATCAAGAGGGTACACAAAACACAAGGATGTGGCCCCAGCGGCACCACCTGATGCCGGATTCCCTGCAAAGTAGCTCCCAAACTGGGTCCTCTTGTCCACACCACCCAGGAAGATCTGCTTGTGTTTATCTTTGAAGGCCAAGTTGAGAGCCTGGGTGGGGAAGTATCTGAGGACATTGACCAGGTTACGGTGCCAGAAGGACAGGACTCCCTGCTCCTTGAGAATATGGACCACGCAGTCTATAATGCCCTTGTATTGCATATCTGCGGTGATCTGCTTGCTGGCATGCTGTACCTCCAGCAGCAGCTTGACCCTCTCGATGGGCGCTACCCCCATCTTGGAGATGGCTGCTGCCACTCCACCTGCCAGGAAGTCCTTGGTGAAGGACACAGCGGCATCTGTCATGTTGAAAGGAAAGAGGAGGCAGGCGGCAGGCTGCTGCAGGACGAGACTGGGCCGGGAACTGGCTTTGACGCCAGGGCTGCGGGGAAACAATATTAGTTTTTGTCAAATTCCAAAGCTTCATTTTTTTCCTCAGGTCCCTTTATAACTTCCCAATCTCTCTTCCTTGACTGCTCAAGATAAAACCAAAATATAATGCGAAAAATATTTCCATTCTTTTAACAAATAAAAACGCCTAAATCAATTACTTTTTACCTTCATGGTTTTGGTAATCTATTCATCATGGGTCAATGACACTTGATAGAAAAGTGGACTTCCTATCTGGTTTAAAGCCAAATCAAGGTTGTGTCCTGAGGAATTCTTGAAACTCCATGAATAACCCTGATGCCCTTAGGGAGGAATGAGATGACTGAGAGTGCTATCACCTGAGCAGTGGGACCCAGCTACTTTGCGCAATCAACTGACAAAGTGGGTGGCCTGGAACTCGGAAAGTGTGCACTCACATTCTCATTCGAGTAGCTCTGCAAGGCTAGGACAGATAGGCATGACTGTCTATGCAACGGGCAGAGGAAATACGTGGTGTGGTGTCAAAGTTCTGCACTTGGGGACTTGTCCTGGCTCACAGCCACCATCAAAGTGATATGAAGTAGGTGACATTTAGAGTGTTTTTTCCTTGTGCTAGGCACTGTTCTAAGCATGCTATTCACAACAACTCAGTGAAGTGGGTTGTATTATTCCCCTCGTATCAATCAAGATTCTCCAGAGAAACTGAACCAGTAGGATGTATGTGTGTACATATTTATCAGGTTGATGCAAAAGTAATGGCAATTTTTGCCATTACTTTTAATGGCAAAGACTGCAGTTACTTTTGCACCAACTTAATATTATATGTGTGTGTGTATGTATATATATATATATATTTATTTTTTTTTAATTTTTTTTTATTTTTATTTTATTTTTATTATTATACTTTAAGTTTTAGGGTACATGTGCACATTGTGCAGGTTAGTTACATATGTATACATGTGCAATGCTGGTGTGCTGCACCCACTAACTTGTCATCTAGCATTAGATATATTTCCCAGTGCTATCCCTCCCTGCTCCCTCCACCCCACAACAGCCCCCAGAGTGTGATGTTCCCCTTCCTGTGTCCATGTGATCTCATTGTTCAATTCCCACCTATGAGTGAGAATATGCGGTGTTTGGTTTTTTGTTCTTGTGATAGTTTACTGAGAAGGATGATTTCCAATTTCATCCATGTCCCTACAAAGGACATGAACTCATCCTTTTTTATGGCTGCATAGTATTCCATGGTGTATATATGCCACATTTTCTTAATCCAGTCTATCATTATTGGACATTTGGCTTGGTTCCAAGTCTTTGCTATTGTGAATAATGCTGCAATAAACATACGTGTGCATGTGTCTTTATAGCAGCATGATTTATAGTCCTTTGGGTATATACCCAGTAATGGGATGGCTGGGTCAAATGGTATTTCTAGTTCTAGATCCCTGAGGAATCGCCACACTGACTTCCACAATGGTTGAACTAGTTTACAGTCCCACCAACAGTGTAAAAGTGTTCCTATTTCTCCACATCCTCTCCAGCACCTGTTGTTTCCTGACTTTTTCATGATTGCCATTCTAACTGGTGTGAGATGGTATCTCATTGTGGTTTTGATTTGCATTTCTCTGATGGCCAGTGATGGTGAGCATTTTTTCATGTGTTTTTTGGCTGCATAAATGTCTTCTTTTGAGAAGTGTCTGTTCATGTCCTTTGCCCACTTTTTGATGGGGTTGTTTGTTTTTTTCTTGTAAATTTGTTTGAGTTCATTGTAGATTCTGGATATTAGCCCTTTGTCAGATGAGTAGGTTGCGAAAATTTTCTCCCATTTTGTAGGTTGCCTGTTCACTCTGATGGTAGTTTCTTTTGCTGTGCAGAAGCTCTTTAGTTTAATTAGATCCCATTTGTCAATTTTGGCTTTTGTTGCCATTGCTTTTGGTGTTTTAGACATGAAGTCCTTGCCCATGCCTATGTCCTGAATGGTAATGCCTAGGTTTTCTTCTAGGGTTTTTATGGTTTTGGGTCTAACGTTTAAGTCTTTAATCCATCTTGAATTGATTTTTGTACAAGGTGTAAGGAAGGGATCCAGTTTCAGCTTTCTACATATGGCTAGCCAGTTTTCCCAGCACCATTTATTAAATAGGGAATCCTTTCCCCATTGCTTGTTTTTCTCAGGTTTGTCAAAGATCAGATACTTGTAGATATGCGGCGTTATTTCTGAGGGCTCTGTTCTGTTCCATTGATCTATATCTCTGTTTTGGTACCAGTACCATGCTGTTTTGGTTACTGTAGCCTTGTAGTATAGTTTGAAGTCAGGTAGCGTGATGCCTCCAGCTTTGTTCTTTTGGCTTAGGATTGACTTGGTGATGCGGGCTCTTTTTTGGTTCCATATGAACTTTAAAGTAGTTTTTTCCAATTCTGTGAAGAAAGTCATTGGTAGCTTGACGGGGATGGCATTGAATCTGTAAATTACCTTGGGCAGTATGACCATTTTCACGATATTGATTCTTCCTACCCATAAGCATGGAATGTTCTTCCATTTGTTTGTATCCTCTTTTATTTCCTTGAGCAGTGGTTTGTAGTTCTCCTTGAAGAGGTCCTTCACATCCCTTGTAAGTTGGATTCCTAGGTATTTTATTCTCTTTGAAGCAATTGTGAATGGGAGTTCACTCATGCTTTGGCTCTCTGTTTGTCTGTTGGTGTATAGGAATGCTTGTGATTTTTGCACATTGATTTTGTATCCTGAGACTTTGCTGAAGTTGCTTATCAGCTTAAGGAGATTTTGGGCTGAGATAATGGGGTTTTCTAGATATACAATCATGTCATCTGCAAACAGGGACAATTTGACTTCCTCTTTTCCTAATTGAATACCCTTTATTTCCTTCTCCTGCCTGATTGCCCTGGCTAGAACTTCCAACACTATGTTGAATAGGAGTGGTGAGAGAGGGCATCCTTGTCTTATGCCAGTTTTCAAAGGGAATGCTTCCAGTTGTTGCCCATTCAGTATGATATTGGCTGTGGGTTTGTCATAGATAGCTCTTATTATTTTGAAATATGTCCCATCAATACCTAATTTATTGAGAGTTTTTAGCATGAAGGGTTGTTGAATTTTGTCAAAGGCCTTTTCTGCATCTATTGAGATAACCATGCGGTTTTTGTCTTTGGCTCTGTTTATATGCTGGATTACATTTATTGATTTGCGTATATTGAACCAGCCTTGCATCCCAGGGATGAAGCCCACTTGATCATGGCGGATAAGCTTTTTGATGTGCTGCTGGATTTGGTTTGCCAGTATTTTATTGAGGATTTTTGCATCGATGTTCATCAAGGATATTGGTCTAAAATTCTCTTTTTTGGTTGTGTCTCTGCCCGGCTTTGGTATCAGAATGATGCTGGCCTCATAAAATGAGTCAGGGAGGATTCCCTCTTTTTCTATTGATTGGAATAGTTTCAGAAGAAATGGTACCAGTTCCTCCTTGTGCCTCTGGTAGAATTCGGCTGTGAATCCATCTGGTCCTGGACTCTTTTTGGTTGGTAAGCTATTGATTATTGCCACAATTTCAGCTCCTGTTATTGGTCTATTCAGAGATTCAACTTCTTCCTGGTTTAGTCTTGGGAGAGTGTATGTGTCAAGGAATTTATCCATTTCTTCTAGATTTTCTAGTTTATTTGCGTAGAGGTGTTTGTAGTATTCTCTGATGGTAGTTTGTATTTTTGTGGGATTGGTGGTGATATCCCCTTTATCATTTTTTATTGCGTCTATTTGATTCTTCTCTCTTTCTTTCTTTATTAGTCTTGCTAGCGGTCTATCAATTTTGTTGATCCTTTCAAAAAACCAGCTCCTAGATTCATTAATTTTTTGAAGGGTTTTTTGTGTCTCTATTTCCTTCAGTCCTGCTCTGATTTTAGTTATTTCTTGCCTTCTGCTAGCTTTTGAATGTGTTTGCTCTTGCTTCTCTAGTTCTTTTAATTGTGATATTAGGGTGTCAATTTTGGATCTTTCCTGCTTTCTCTTGTGGGCATGTAGTGCTATAAATTTCCCTCTACACACTGCTTTGAATGTGTCCCAGAGATTCTGGTATGTTGTGTCTTTGTTCTCGTTGGTTTCAAAGAACATCTTTATTTCTGCCTTCATTTCGTTATGTACCCAGTAGTCATTCAGGAGCAGGTTGTTCAGTTTCCATGTAGTTGAGCAGTTTTGAGTGAGATTCTTAATCCTGAGTTCTAGTTTGATTGCACTGTGGTCTGAGAGATAGTTTGTTATAATTTCTGTTCTTTTACATTTGCTGAGGAGAGCTTTACTTCCAAGTATGTGGTCAATTTTGGAATAGGTGTGGTGTGGTGCTGAAAAAAAATGTATATTCTGTTGATTTGGGGTGGAGAGTTCTGTAGATGTCTATTAGGTCTGCTTGGTGCAGAGCTGAGTTCAATTCCTGGGTATCCTTGTTGACTTTCTGTCTCATTGATCTGTCTAATGTTGACAGTGGGGTGTTAAAGTCTCCCACTATTAATGTGTGGGAGTCTAAGTCTCTTTGTAGGTCACTCAGGACTTGCTTTATGAATCTGGGTGCTCCTGTATTGGGTGCATATATATTTAGGATAGTTAGCTCTTCGTGTTGAATTGATCCCTTTACCATTATGTAATGGCCTTCTTTGTCTCTTTTGATCTTTGTTGGTTTAAAGTCTGTTTTATCAGAGACTAGGATTGCAACCTCTGCCTTTTTTTGTTTTCCATTGGCTTGGTAGATCTTCCTCCATCCTTTTATTTTGAGCCTATGTGTGTCTCTGCACATGAGATGGGTTTCCTGAATACAGCACACTGATGGGTCTTGACTCTTTATCCAATTTGCCAGTCTGTGTCTTTTAATTGGAGCATTTAGTCCATTTACATTTAAAGTTAATAGTGTTATGTGTGAATTTGATCCTGTCATTATGATGTTAGCTGTTATTTTGCTCGTTAGTTGATGCAGTTTCTTCCTAGTCTCGATGGTCTTTACATTTTGGCATGATTTTGCAGCAGCTGGTACTGGTTGTTCCTTTCCATGTTTAGCGCTTCCTTCAGGAGCTCTTTTAGGGCAGGCCTGGTGGTGACAAAATCTCTCAGCATTTGCTTGTCTGTAAAGTATTTTATTTCTCCTTCACTTATGAAGCTTATTTTGGCTGGATATGAAATTCTGGGTTGAAAATTCTTTTCTTTAAGAATGTTGAATATTGGCCCCCACTCTCTTCTGGCTTGTAGGGTTTCTGCTGAGAGATCCGCTGTTAGTCTGATGAGCTTCCCTTTGAGGGTAACCCGACCTTTCTCTCTGGCTGCCCTTAACATTTTTTCCTTCATTTCAACTTTGGTGAATCTGACAATTATGTGTCTTGGAGTTGCTCTTCTCGAGGAGTATCTTTGTGGCGTTCTCTGTATTTCCTGAATCTGAACGTTGGCCTGCCTTGCTAGATTGGGGAAATTCTCCTGGATAATATCCTGCAGAGTGTTTTCCAACTTGGTTCCATTCTCCCCATCACTTTCAGGTACACCAATCAGACGTAGATTTGGTCTTTTCACATAGTCCCATATTTCTTGGAGGCTTTGCTCGTTTCTTTTTATTCTTTTTTCTCTAAACTTCCCTTCTCGCTTCATTTCATTCATTTCATCTTCCATTGCTGATACCCTTTCTTCCAGTTGATTGCATTGGCTCCTGAGGCTTCTGCATTCTTCACATAGTTCTTGAGCCTTGGCTTTCAGCTCCATCAGCTCCTTTAAGGACTTCTCTGCATTGGTTATTCTAGTTATCCATTCATCTAATTTTTTTTCACAGTTTTTAACTTCTTTGCCATTGGTTTGAGTTTCCTCCTGTAGCTCGGAGTAGTTTGATCATCTGAAGCCTTCTTCTCTCAACTCGTCAAAGTCATTCTCCGTCCAGGTTTGTTCAGTTGCTGGTGAGGAACTGTGTTCCTTTGGAGGAGGAGAGGCACTCTGCTTTTTAGAGTTTCCAGTTTTTCTGCTCTGTTTTTTCCCCATCTTTGTGGTTTTACCTACTTTTGGTCTTTGATGATGGTGATGTACAGATGGGTTTTTGGTGTGGATGTCCTTTCTGTTTGTTAGCTTTCCTTCTAACAGACAGGACCCTCAGCTGCAGGTCTGTTGGAGTACCCTGCAGTGTGAGGTGTCAGTGTGCCCCTGCTGGAGGGTGCATCCCAGTTAGGCTGCTCGGGGGTCAGAGGTCAGGGACCCACTTGAGGAGGCAGTCTGCCCCTTCTCAGATCTCCAGCTGCGTACTGGGAGAACCACTGCTCTCTTCAAAGCTGTCAGACAGGGACATTTAAGTCTGCAGAGGTTACTGCTGTCTTTTTGTTTGTCTGTGCCCTGCCCCCAGAGGTGGAGCCTACAGAGGCAGGCAGGCCTCCTTGAGCTGTGGTGGGCTCCACCCAGTTCGAGCTTCCCGGCTGCTTTGTTTACCTAAGCAAGCCTGGGCAATGGCGGGCGCCCCTCCCCCAGCCTCGCTGCTGCCTTGCAGTTTGATCTCAGACTGCTGTGCTAGCAATCATCGAGACTCCGTGGGGTAGGACCCTCCGAGCCAGGTGGGGGATATAATCTCGTGGTGCGCCGTTTTTTAAGCCCGTCGGAAAAGCGCAGTATTCTGGTGGGAGTGACCCGATTTTCCCGATTTTCCAGGTGCCGTCCGTCAGCCCTTTCTTTGATTAGGAAAGGGAACTCCCTGACCCCTTGCGCTTCCCGAGTGAGGCAATGCCTCGCCCTGCTTCGGCTCGCGCACGGTGCGCGCACCCACTGACCTGCGCCCACTGTCTGGCACTCCCTAGTGAGATGAACCCGGTACCTCAGATGGAAATGCAGAAATCACCCGTCTTCTGCGTCGCTCAGGCTGGGAGCTGTAGACCGGAGCTGTTCCTATTCGGCCATCTTGGCTCCTCCTCTCGTGTATGTATATATTTATATGTGTGTATGTGGGCGTGTATATATATATATAGTTCCCTCGAATAAAGTCTGCTTTATTCTTTTTTTTTTTTGAGACAAGGTCTCTCTCTGTCACCCAGGCTGGAGTCCAGTGGTGTGATCATGGGTTACTGCAACCTCTGTCTGCCTCCTGGGCTCAAGTGATCCTTCCTACTCAGCCTCCCATATAGCTGGGACCACAGGTGCCTGCCACCATGCCTGGCTAATTTTTTGCATTTTTGGTAGAGATGGGGCTTTACTGTGTTGCCTAGGCTGATCTTGAACTCCTGAGCTCAAGTAATCCACCCACCTCAGCCTCCCAAAGTGCTGGGATTACAGGCATGAGCCACTGTGTCTGGTTTATTTTTCTTTAACAAAGGTCACAGATAGTTTTTTTTAACTAAATATATACATATTATATATATATATATACACACACACATATGTATATATAAATAACAAGTTGTATTTATTATATATTGATAATATATTATATAAATGTATATTCATATGTATAATATATATTAACCACTATTCTGCACCATGGCCTAACTGGATGCAACTTCCTCAACTAAATGTGAGGTTTATATGTATACACATATATATATGTGTGTATATATTTTATATATATATATTATGTATAATGTTTAAAGAAAAATCTATCTGCAACCTTTGTTAAAGAACAGTAATGCAGACTTTATTTAAGGGGACTATAGAGACAGGTATGGGAATTACCAAAGTGGGGTTTTACAGTAGGGGTGAGAAACTGGGCTCAACTCTGAATACAACAAGGAAAAGTGGGAATTTATAGCCAAGGAACAGAGTCGGAATTCCAACCCAGGCTCTGCAGCACATGCCCTTAACCTCCGTGCTGCACCACGGCCTAACTGGATGCAACTTCCTCAACTAAGTGTGAGGTTTATAATGCCTGCCTTTCTCTATTCACAGGATTTCCTGTCCTTAGTTATTTGCTTTTATTCTGTCTCATTCCAAATTGGATTTGCAGAGGCTCTGAGAAACCAACAAGATAATTCCCATAAAAGTATTTTGAAGACTATTAAGGGAACGAAAGGAAATCTGCATTTACTGTGCACCTGTATGTGTCAAACACAGTGCCAGGCACCTTCACAGTGGTCAAATTTAGCACACACAATAAATAAGAATCCTCCATCAACTGAGATTCTTGGAGGGCAGGACTATACTTTGCTCTCCAAGTATCCTGGATGCTTTTCATTGGGCCTGGAGGAGTGTAGGTGCCCATTAAATGCCTATGAATGAATGGGGTTACTGCCCAGTGATGTAACATGAAGCCAGACAGTTGTTGCTAGGAGCTTCTTGGGTGGGGCAAAGGATTTCATGTGGGATCCAATATCTTCCAGGAGATGAAAGAATGATCCCAGCTCATGTTGCTGTGGAGAGGGAAGGAGGAGTTTTCTCCAGAGAGCGGCTCACTGGGGAAAACATTTGCAGGTGCTCTTGTTAAAATTATCCAGTTCTTTTGTGCAACACAATCCCCAGGCTGGAAAACACTGCCTCATATGTCATATGGACTTTATAAAACTTGCTCTTTCTGTAGGAAAGTCTCTCCACTTAATAGACACTGAATTCCTTTAATCCCCAGCCCTGGGAAGTGTCCCCCTGGAGAGAGGTAACATGCATAGGTTTCTGCCCTGTGGCTTGTTCCATATCAATCCTTCCTCAGATAAACTCAAAGCAACAAAAATAGCCCCTGGCCTAACATGCAAGGGGCTTTGTGTTAGGTGCATGTGTATCAAGGAGTGGTTTGCATGCAGGCAGTGTGCAGGTGGCTATTTTAGTGTTAGTGAAAGATAGCCTGGCAAACATTCAGGTCTGTGTCACCTGAGGCTCTGGGAGGACTGGGACTTTCTGAAGTTCCCAGGAGTTCTCTAAACTTTGGTCTGTTGATCTAAGAGAAATATTCTTCCTGGGTGGCAAAGAGGCATTGGCTTCTATTTCTGTATCAGGAAGAAAGAGCATGAGGCTTTGGAGTTAACCCCACTAGGTTTGGGTCTTGGCTGTGTCATTTTCTATCCATTTGAGACAAGGCAAGTTACCTCCCTCTCCAGGTCTCAGATTCCATACACATACACACTCATTCTCTCTCTCTCTCTCCTTCTCTCAATGATAATATATACATCAAAGGGCTGTTTTGAGCATTACCATGAGACAAGATATGTATAGGACCAGCTTGTAGTAGGTACTCGGTACATATTGGGTCTCATTCCTTCCAGAGCCACCAGTAGGGATTGTCCCAGTGCAGGCAGTGGGGAGACACTCCTCCCCTGCTGCTGTTTGAATCCAGATGAAATCTAGTTTAAATGGACACCAGGGCATTCTGAGAGGGGAGAGTGTGGTTGAAGGTACAGAAGTTGGGGAGGGTTGCCTGTGGAATGGGTTCTGGGAATTGTAGTAGATGCTGTCAATGTCCCTGCAATATTCCCTTGGCCCATCCTGTTGGTCATGTGTAACTTGATGGAAAGTTTCCATATCATGCCAATGACTTCCTACCTCAAGCACATGATTCTCTCTGTTTAAAGGTTTTATCTGGCCTCATATGCATGTTCTGCCTGAAAGTGCTGGGAAATTAATGTCTCCAGGAACAACTCTTAACCAATGGAGACAGGAGTTGATGGATAAAAATCCCAGCTTTTTGCTCCATTGTGGGGGACAATTCTGAGCTGTGCTCTGCAGAGTTTCTCAGAGGGTCTCCAGTGGGATTGAGCCACAGTGGACCATAGCAGCATGCAGTTATTTACACACCCAGTTGCAGAGTTTAACATACTTCTCTGCCCCCTCACTTGCTTCCTGGGAAAAGTACTTGTACTTTGACCTCGAAAAGTACTTGTACACAAATCTTTCTCAGGATCTGCTTTTGCGGGAACCCCAACCAAGAAAGAAACCTGTAGCCCAGTAGCCTTTAGGAATGTAGGCCCTGCTTATCCAACCTGGGCCAGCTTCATGAGAAAGACAGCTTCTTTCTTTCTCACAAACTTCTGCTTCACTTCACAGCTGCTATCGGTTTTGTGGGAGGGGAGGGCCTCATGGATTATGGAAAATAACACACTCTCCTTAATTCTCTCCTTTTCCTTGTTCCAGAAACAAGCCAAAAGCATCCCTTACCTTGAAAGAAAGAAACACAAGAAGAGGCCTTGTGCTTTACCAGTCTTGACTGCAATTGTCAGGGTCCACTTATTATTTATGATAATACTTTGTGGGGTTCTTTTTATAAAATATTTTTGCAACTGAAGGATCTCTCCTCTTGGAGTGAGGACTCTCTGCAATGTCTTTTTTCTTTTTCTTTTTTTTTTTAGACGGAGTCTTGTTCTGTTGCGCAGACTGGAGTGCAGTAGTGCAATCTCAGCTCACTGCAACCTCCGCCTCCCGGGTTCAAGTGATTCTTGTGCCTCAGCCTCCTGAGTAGTTGGCATTACAGGCCTCCACCACCACACCCAGCTAATTTTTGTATTTTTGATAGAGACGGGGCTTTGCCATGTTGTCCAGTCTGGTCTCGAACTCCTGACCTCAAGTGATCCACTCGCCTTGGCCTCCCAAAGTGATGGGATTACAGGTGTGAGCCACTGCGCCCGGCCTGACTCTCTTCAATTTCTTTTTTTTCTTTTCTTTTCTTTTTTCTTTTTTTTTTTGAGACAGAGTCTTGTGCTGCTGCCCAGGCTGGTGTGCAGTGGCACAATCTTGGCTCACTGCAACCTCTGCCTCCTGGGTTCAAGCGATTCTCCTGCCTCAGCCTCCCGAGTAGCTGGGACTACAGGCATGCACCACCATACCCGGCTAATTTTTTATTTCCAGTAGAAATGGGGTTTCACCATGTTGGCCAGGCTGGTCTCGAGCTCCTGACCTCAAGTGATCCACCCACCCTGGCCTCCCAAAGTGATGGGATTACAGGTGTGAGCCACTGTGCCTGGCCTGATTGTCTGCAATTTCTTTCTTTCTTTTTCTTTTTTTTCTTTTCTTGGGATGGAGTCTCGCTCTGTTGCCCAGGCTGGAGTGCAGTGATGCAATCTTGGCTCACTGCAACCTCCGCCTCCCAGGTTCAAGGGATTCTCCTGCCTCAGCCTCCCGAGTAGCTGAGACTACAGGCATGTGCCACCACACCCAGCTAATTTTTGTATTTTTAGCAGAGACAGGGTTTCACCATGTTGGCCAGGCTGATCTCGAACTCCTGGCCTCAAGTGATCCACCCACCTCAGCCTCCCAAAGTGTTGGGATTACAGGCATGAGCCACTGCACCCAGGCTGCCATTTCTTATGCAACTGAGTGTAACTATTATAGTGGATTGTCCTTTAGGGTCCTTTTTCTAGGAACTGCTTTTTCCTTTGTCCATGGAATGAGAACAGAAGTTGGCATGTTAGCACAGAGTGACTCTCAATCCCTGGATCCAGTTAATTTGTTCAGGGATTGGCATCTACATCAAGCTCAGCCAATAAGGCTCTTTCCAAAGATTTTTGGACTTGGAACCAGAGAGACCTTGAATTCAGTCTCTCAAGCTGTGAGACATAAATCTCAGGAGCTGTCAGCAGCCAAGTTTCTTGCTATGTCACAAAAATCAGTCTGAGTGGGAAAGAGTATTGTTGATATGCAAAGAGGAGCAAACATGAGTGACAAGGGAGAGCCCTGAGCACTCACGGTTCTATTTCTACTATGGCCCAGCTGCATCTTTGGATATTCCGTTGAGTTGGCTAAGAAGAGTTGACCCTTTCTTAGATGCTAAGAACCAATCAGTTCCATGTTTTCTTTAAGCTGATTTGAATTGTGTTTCTGTCACTAGCAACCCAAAAGTCCTCAGTGATACAAAGATAAATTTTAAACTCTTAGGGATATATTGTGGAGGCTCCAGCACTGGTTCTTCCTAAGACATTGTTGGGAAACCATGGTGGACTTTATGGTATCTCTTTAACATCCAGCATACTCTTCCACCATTGGAGAATAGCTATGCTGTGTGGGCAGTTTTCTGTAGCTCCAGGGAAGGGCCTGGATTGTTGAAGGCAATGATAATTATCCTATCTCCTTTGCAGTGATTGTCAGAAATGGCCATGTGACTCAATTTGAGGAAGTCTGCCAAGGAATTCTGGGAAAAGTTTATTCACTCTTAAGAGAGACCCACAGGAGGATATGTTCTTTTCTTATTCAGGGCTATGTTGTATATGTTGAGAGGCTGGAAACTACTGTAGCTATCTCTTTACCAGTCTGAGGATAAAACAAAGACATGGAGAAGGTCAAAGAAATGGAGTTAGAACCATTCTGTCTGGTCTTCCAGTTTAGTGGGTCAATGCATTTTCTTATAATTTAGCTAATTTGGATTGGGTGTTTTTGTTCTGTTTCGTTTTGCTGCTGAAAGCATGCTGACCAACACAAAACTCTCAGCCAATGGATCACAGGAATAATCTCTGTTCATATCAAGTCTTTCATATCCAGAATCTGTTTCCTCTGTTCCATTTGTCCTATGTCATTCTCATTCTACTGGGATTAACCCCAGTCGATGTTTGCCTGGGGTGGTTGTGGGGGGAGGGGCGGGTGTTAGGCCATTTTTGTGTTCCTATAAAGAAATGCAGGAGACTGGGTAATTTTTAAAGAAAAGAGGTTTTATTTTGGTTCATGGTTCTGCAGGCTGTACATGAAGCATAGTGCCAGCATCTGCTTCTGGTGAGGGCCTCAGGAAGCTTACAGTCACGGTAGAAGGCAAAAAGGGAGCCAGCACATCACATGGTGAGAGAAGAGAGCAAGGTGGGAGGTGCCACACTCTTTTAAACAGCCACATCTTGTGTGAACCACCAGAGCAAGAACTCACTCACCACAAAGGGGTTGGCACTAAGCCATTAATAAGGGATCCATCTCCATGATCCAAACACTTCCAACATGAGATTTAGAGGGGACAAACATCTAAGCTATATCACCTTGTTTCAGGGTCTCTGACATTACTTTTGCAATTTGTAAAAAGTCCATGTTTACTCCAGCTTCCATCAGTTGATTTCTGCGGAGGCTGGTTTCTTCCAATATGTGTTGCAAAATGTTGAGGTCATTCTGTTTTTGCTTTTCTGGGAGTGCTTTTATCTGTTTGCCTAAGAAGGAGTCCCTCAAATGTGCTGCTTTGTCTGATGCCTGTTTCCCACCTTAATAAACTTTCTCTGCCTTGTTGCTGTAGTCTCTGTGGCAAGAAGAGACCCTTTCTGATAGGAGTCTTGGTAGGGAACAGAACTTGCCCGCCCCCAACCCAGTCCCATTGCACAACACCGTGATGCTTCCTGTGTAACATGGTCTACCCCCTCTCTAGCAGCACTAGCACGAGGGCATGCCCTGTGAACCTGAGGCTCTTAGTGCCTGGGCCACACAAGCACACAGGTCAGGCTTTTCCTGCCAATCATAAGGGAAGGAGTGACCAAAATAACATGTGGGGAAGTTACAATGGTTTGGGAAACCTCAAAAAATTCTAATGGCAGTGATTTTACAGTCTATGCTAAATATTAATGAATTACTTTCTTTTAATGTTGTAGTCCTTTTCTTTGCTCACATGGAAAGAGAAAGAGGTGAAACAGCATGTAGCATCCAAAAATAAGAAGATCTTTTCCAGAGCTGTGCTCCCTGCCCGCAGCCAGGCCCCAACCCACCTCTGCAACCCCTCCTCCTCTCTTCCAATGGCAGTGGCAGTGGCAGCTCTTTCCTTGCTCCTGACATCACCACCTTGAGCATCCCCTGGCTCCACCAAGCTCCAGCTATGTCCAATATGGTGCTGCTTGGCAGCAGCTCACTGGGACTTGCCCAGAAAGTGGTGAAAAGGTGGGGGTTGGAGTTGGGCAAGGTGGTCACTAAGAAGTTCAGCAATCAGGAGGTTAGCATAGTGAGTGGTGAAAGAATGAGAGACCAAGCTGCCTATGTCATTGTGAAAATTAATGACACCTTGACATCTCTTGCTATGACCAATGTGTGCAAAGCCACATGGTCCTCTGGCATGAAGGCAGTACTCTCATGTTCTCCATATGCCCAACAAGATCAAAAGGACAAGAGTCATCCTGCAGTTTCTGCAAAACTTGTAGCCAATGTGTTTTCAGTAGCTGGGTTGGAGCATGTCAGTACTATGGATCTGCACACTGCTCAAATACAGGGATTCTTCAGTACTGCTGTGAATGACTTACATGTGGAGCCTGCAGTTCTGTGATGGACCTGAGAGAATATTGCAGACTGGAGGAACTGCAGCATTGTTTCACCCAAAGCAGGAGGAGCCAAAGAGACTCCACCATTCATGGACAGACCTAACATGGCTTGCCTTGCAGGAGAAGTGTTGGGGTGGATAGGATGTTTCTGGTTGGTGATATTAAAGACTGGGTGGCTGTCCTTGTGGATGACATACCCAATGCATGTGGCACAACACATGACTCTGCAGACAAGCTACTGTCTGCTGGAACCACTAAAGTTTATACCACTTCAGCTCTGAGGCTGTTATTTTACAAACACCAGTCCCCAACAAGACAACATGATTTTGCTCTTACTTGTTTAGCCATGTTCCTCTATAGCTCCATGTATTGGTCTGTTTTCATGCTGCTAATAAAGACATACCCGACACTGGGTAATTTACAAAAGATAGAGATTTATTGAACTTATAGTTCCATGTGGCTGGGGAGGCCTAACAATCATGGCGGAACATGAAAGCCATGTCTCACATGGTGGCAGACAAGAGAAGAGAGCTTGTGCAGGGAAACTCTCCTTTTAAAATGATCAGATCTCGTGAGACTCATTCACTATCCTGAGAACAGTACAGGAGAGACTTGCCCCCATAATTCAATCACCTCCCACTGGGTTCCTCCCATGACATGTGGGAATTGTGGAAGTTACAATTCAAGATGAGATTTGGGTGGGGACACAGCCAAACCATATCACTCCAGAATATCACGATTTCAAACATCATATTTGGAATTTAAACAAAAATGTTGACTTTAGATCTCAATAAAATATAGAATGACAAATGTTAAAACATCAGATCTCTGTTTTAAACCTTGGAACTCTATGGTTTCAGGAGACAACAGGTAGGGATAAAGTAATATTTGTTTAGTTTTTAATTGAACTTGTCTTGAATGAGAAATATATATGTGACTTTAACTTGTGATAGGTAACTTTAACCTTTGTTCTTATGGTACTTTGAGGTCACAATCATATTACAGAATTGTATAGAATTTCCTTCTGTAATAGAAACCCCTTGTAAAAATTCATAGCCTACATACATATGTTGCCAAAGATACCACCCTATTACAGCACCTTGAGTAGGAGTTTATATGTAATAGTAATATTATGAACACTGGGGTTAAGTCCTATATGGACTTAGAACATTTCTTTTGAGTGAATGTTTAAAAATCATATAATATAAGAATACTGACTTTTTTGAACAAAGCTTTATTTAGCTAAAAATGACCACTGATCCATTTCTTTTCTTTTCTTTTCTTTTGAGACAGGGTCTGGCTCTGTCACCCAGGCTGGAGTGCAGTGGTGCGATCTCGGCTCACTGCGACCTCTGTCTCCTAGGTTCAAGCAATTCTCCTGCCTCAGCCTCCCAAGTAGCAGGGATTACAGGCATGTGCAATGATGCCTGGCTAATTTTTGTATTTTTAGTAGAGATGGGGTTTCGCCATGTTCGCCAGGCTGGTCTTGAATTACTGACCTCAAGTGATCCGCCTGGCTTGGCCTCCCAAAGTGCTGTGATTACAAGTGTAAGCCATGGTGCCCAGCCATCCTATCTATATTTTTCAAATAAAATCTGTAGTTAAAAAAATCATTTGCTTGAGAGACTTGTTACTTCAGAATACTAAAGGCAAAAATATATTTAATATGAATGAATAAACAAACACATGCAGAAAGAAACAAAGAAAGGGATAGTGTTTTGTTTTTTGTTTTTTGTTTTGTTTGTTTGTTTGTTTTTGAGTCAGGATCTAGCTCTGTCACCCAGGTTGAAGTGAAGGGGCACACATGATTTTGGCTCACTGCAACCTCTGCCTCCTGGGTTCAAGCCATCCTCCTGCCTCAGCCTCCTGAATAGCTGGGACTATAGGCACATGCCACCACGCCTGGCTAATTTTTGTATTTTTTTGTAGAGATGAGGTTTCACTATGTTGACCAGGCTGGTCCCGACCTCCTGACCTCAAGTGATCTACCTGCCTCGGCCTTTCAGAGTGCTGGGATGACAGGCGTGAACCACCGTGTTTGACCTTGAATTTCTTAGAAAAATGGAAATACAGTTTTTGACCTGCTTAGATACCTTGACATATAAATACAGACTAAACACAGAATTAAACGTAGTTCATTTAGAAATAAATATTCTGCTTTGAGATATTTAGAATCTAAGAATATACTGAACCAGTTTTAAAATAATGATCCTCATACAGAACACATGACTTAAAAATCTGCATTGTCTTTCCTTGTCCTGATATGTATTATTTTATCATTACTTAACAGGACTTTTGTATTTTAAAGTATTTTATACACAATGTGTATAGGCTGGATTTGGCCATACTCAGGGGCCAAATTTTAAAGAGATTTGGGGGTTGCAATCCAGCCCAGTTAATAAAGATCCTCTGTAAGCAGCTGATCCCAGTGTTTGCCCATCTTTTGCTACTCATTGTCTGGAAGCTGTGATACCAACCACATTTTCTGATCATGTCTAATTCTGCTGAATGCAGAGAGGCTCAGGCTCTATCTAGTAAAATAAGGGAGTCAGAGAAATATGAACATGTGAAAGTCATTGAGCCCAGACTAAAATTACAACAATCAACTTACAAGTATTTATATTATACCATATTATATGTCAACAATATTCAGGAATAGTATATTTGGTGTGTGTATAGAATACAGTGTTCCTCCAAAACTGTGCTAAAATATTTTAAATAAAATCATACAGCAAACTAAAAACAGTAAAAAGAAGATCCCTTTCTTCTTAAGAATATCTTATTCCTTCTCACTGGGGATTTCTTGGAAGTTGTTCTAGTCAAGTGTTTTCCTTGAGCTGAAAGAGGGAAGAGGCATACCAAAAACATTGGGATCAATGTAGAAACTTGTACATGAATGTTTATAGCAGCATTATTCAGCATAGCCAAGAGATGGAAACAATCCATATGTCTGTCAACAGATGAAATCAACAACTTGTCGTACATCCATACAATGGAATATTATTCAGCCATAAAAAGGAATGAGTAAAGTACTGATTTCTCCTATAACACAGATGAACCTTGAAATCATTATACTGTGAAAGAAGCCAGACACAAAAGGTCATATACTGTGAATCCTGTTATAGGGAATATCCAGAACAGACAAAGTTGTAGAGATAGAACACAGGTTAGAGGTTACCAGGGGATGGGACTAAGGAAGAAGGTGGAGTGACTACTTAATGGGCACAGGATGTTTTTATGGGGTGATAAAAAGTTTTGGAATTCGCGAAAGCCATTGGTTGTATAGCATTGTAAGTATGCTAAATACCACTGAATTGTAAATTTTAAAATGGTTGTGTGCTATGTGAATTTCATCTTAAGTTTTTTAAAAGTTGAAAAGGCTTTAAAAAAATGTGAGCCCTTATCACCCCCACCCTGCACATTCTGATTTGCCTCCTAGGGAGCATACTGACATGTAAGTTCACTTTATAAGGGATGTGAGGTGACTACCTGGCTTAGAGTGACTCATCATCACTTATTATGTACTTTGGAAGCTTGAGAGCAGTGCATTTTGGGCAATTTGCTGATTGCTTTAGGCAATCCTAACGTTGAGCCCCGTGGGTAGCAAGAAATAGCAGGTGATTAGAACAGAAGCAATTACTCTCAGAAAAGCATCATTAATTTCAAAAGCTCTCGTCCTGAGATATGTGGCTAAGTGGGGACAAATTAGGATGCTGTCTAGAGGAAAGAAAGTGAAGTAGTTTCCCCCTCTTTAGGACAGAAAGGTAACCTAATGTCATCTGTTCCAAGTAGTTAACCCTCCTCTGGGGGTGGGAATGGCGGACTTGGGATTGGCCCGTTGTAGGAAGGTCGGCCGTGGGAGGCCTAGGGTCTGTACCAATTCCAGTTTAAGCTGCTGAATTCAGTTTTTTCTTGCTTTACCTCCTCCACAATGAAAAGTGCTGTTTCATGTTTCCCGTTTGTCTGCATCACAGTGCCTTTCTGGGGTTTAATTAATATTATAGAAAAGGCAAGAAACATTCTAAGGAGACTGGGCTTCTAGGGTCTCTTTTGGAATCCACTGTGTCCAGCCACAAGTCTCGTCCTTTTTCTGCATTCTGCTCTTCAGTAAAGCAAATCAAAGCAAAGGAAGGTCACCTTCTTCTTAACAAGGTGCTCAAAGCTTTTGGGCAGTGTGCTCTTTTACCCTCCACTTCTGGAACTCCACCCAGGCAGGACATAAGACAAAAACATAGAAAACAAAATCCAAACCTCAATCACTAATGAATGCAGTGAGAGTTTGTCAAGATTATCTACATGATTACTCAGGTAGCAGTTGCTATCTCTCTGAGGCTTAAAATTACACATATTGGGCACATAGTATGTGCTAAGCTTTGGACTATGTTCTTTCACAAAGATTATGTCATTGAACGATATTTTGAGGCATTACTGTCTCCTCTTTACAGAAGAGGAAACTAAGGTCCAAATAGACTGCATGACAAGCCTTACATCTCATAGCCAGGATTTAAATGCAAATTTTAACTCCAAATCTAGTGCTTTTTCTATATCATAATATGTATATAGGTGACTTTTCTTTGGGGCATGACTCAGTGGTTGTACCTATGCTTTCTCTTCTGATCCTTCTCTTTCTAGCTCCAATAATAGAATCCCCACTCCTTCCAAAGAAATAGCTCTACATTTTATTTGATAGCCTGGAGTAATATGACTTCTGCCTCCATCTTCCCATTGAAACACTCTGCAGAATTGGGTTTCCAAAATAAATGTGCATAGTTTATGTTCTTACTGGACCTCTCCATGGTGGTTGCTCTGTGGACAACCACTTGCTCCTCCTATGTTGCCTTGTCCTGCTCTCTTCTGGTCCTCCTCTCTCTCTGAGTTTTCCTCCTCAGTCTCCTTTGAGGGTTCCTCTTTCACTCAGAATGATCAATAGCAAAAATGTCCATGAACTATGAAGAGAAGCCCCCATCACCACTCACAGTTACACAGTGGTTGCACATCAGTGCATTTCCCAAAGTCTGGATGATTCAAAGTAAATAGCACCGCCCAAAGAACGAGTCCTGGTCTAAGCTGGGACCTAGTCTTCTTCTTCACTTTTGAATCCTCACTGCTTGGTCCATCATTGGTATAGAAGGAAGTATTTGCTGAGTAAATTGAAAGAATAATGAGTAGGAGGTCTTCTAATAAAGAGTCCACTTCGGCCGGGCGCGGTGGCTCACGCCTGTAATCCCAGCACTTTGGGAGGCCGAGGCAGGCGCATCACAAGGTCAGGAGATCGAGACCATCCTGGCTAACACGGTGAAACCCTGTCTCTACTAAAAATACAAAAAATTAGCCAGGCGTGGTGGCGGGCACCTGTACTCCCAGCTACTTGGGAGGCTGAGGCAGGAAAACAGCGTGAACCCGGGAGGCGGAGCTTGCAGTGAGCCCATATCATGCCACTGCACTCCAGCCTGGGCAACAGTGCGAGACTCCCTCTCAAAAAAAAAAAAAAAAAAAAGAGTTCACTTCATGAAGAGGGTGCAAGAAGTGGCCAGAAATGTTTGAGGCCTTCCTAGGCAACTGTGAAGAGTGCAGTGGGACTACCATATAGGGTAGAAGGCCGGAGGAACTGTTGAAGGTGAGGTTGGGAAGTGTGAAAGACTCGGAAAGTGCCAAAAAGAAAAAAAAAAAGAGAGAGAGAAAAAAAGATTACCGAGATGACCGGGTGCCTTATGGAATGCTGAGCATTGTCTAGTGCACTTTTCCATAATATCTTGTTCTACAGTGGTCTGCAACTTTCAATGTTTGAACTCTTTTACCACTTTGTAAGTTGTAGAAAACTGATAGTAATGCAAATTAATCTTTTTTATGGAAATGAAATGAATTTTGTCAGGTAGGTGACATTGATTCCCTGCCTGCTTCACCCCCAAACCCTACCATGGAAGCATTCAGGTTTGCATCTATTAACAAATTCATTTTAGTATTCTTCATTGCCTATATATGTGTCTGTCTGTGGACACACCTTTGAACTGGGCTTTAACATGTTACTAGTTCCTCATTTTAATGAGCAACATATAATCTTTGACCCATGTTCATTTTATGTTTGCATGAGAGCCATGATTTTACCTTTTTGTAGAGAATTATCCTTTAAAAGAAAGTAGATGACAATTAGGCTCTGAAGGGCCTTAAAAGCCACTTTAGAGGGTTTAGCTTTTATACAGTGTCAGAGGATTTTAAAGCTGAAACAAAATGGAATTAGATTTGTGTTTTTGGACAAACACTTTTGGAGTACGTGTGGTTGGGGTAGAGAGACCAGCTATTGGGCCATTGCTGGAGTCCACTTTGGAGAAAATGAAAGAAGGAATAGGACACAATTTGAACCTTAGAATGTAGAGTGATGCCTGGTGCTTCGAAAACGCTTACTGAAGGAATAAAGAAGTGAATGAACTTACTAACTTTAGGAAAGGCAAATAAGAGAGGCATTTCTGAGGGCAAATTTAAATTAGGTATACCCACTACCTTCCAGACTCAATAATTTAAACCTTATGATCAGATTCTTCGGGTTTATATTTTCACTTGTCCTTATTAATACTTTTTTTTTTTCTAGTAGCATCAAGTAACAGATCTTCTTCTTCTTTTTTTTTTTTTTTTTTTTTTTTTTTGAGACAGAGTCTCACTCTGTAGCCCAGGCTGGAGTGCCGTGGCGCCATCTTGGCTTACTGGAAGCTCGCCTCCCGGGTTCACGCCATTCTCCTGCCTCAGCCTCCTGAGTAGCTGGGACTACAGGCACCCGCCACCATGCCTGGCTAATTTTTTGTATTTTTAGTAGAGACGGGGTTTCACCATGTTAGCCAGGATAGTCTCGATCTCCTGACCTCGTGATCCACCCACCTCGGCCTCCCAAAGTGCTAGGTTTACAGGCGTGAGCCACTGCGCCCGGCCGTAACAGATCTTCTTAACTACACATACTCTAAAATCCTCTTTAACTCAATTTTTTACTTACTTTCACAATTTTATACTTGTTTCTATTGATTCAGAGAGTCTTTAGGTCACAGGATCTCACAGCTGTCCTCCCTGCAGAGAATTATGCTCCCTAGAGAGGTAAGTGAAAAAAATGCGCACTTTGAGGTTTTAGACAGCGACAATGGGCCCAATGGGCCACTCACTGTGTAGTCTCCTCCTCTTACATCATCAGCATGTGGCTTTTTGTGTCAATGGGACATTAGCAGGCATGATACAAGCAGGGGCTGGGTCATGTACACTGGGGCTTGTCCCCTAGAGCAATCTCTTTTGGAACCCAGCTACCATGCTGTACTGAAGTCTAGGCCATCCTGTTGCAGAGTAAAACCACATGGGGGAAGATCTGGAGTTGGAGACACTCATGGAAGACCATGTGAAGGAGATGGGGATCCCTTGCTAAGCTCCCTGCTGAATATAAGCTGTGGGAATGACCTCAGCCAACACCACATGGAGCAGAACTTCCCAGTCAACCCATAGACTTAGGAGAAGTGATAAATCATTGTAGTTTTAAACCACTACGTTTCTGTGTGTGTGTGTGTGTGTGTGTTTCATGTAACAATAGGAAACTAAAACACAGGATGAGAGTAGCTTGCCTAGAGGGTGACCAGGAAGAGTACATCTGAGGGAAATTTACTGTTTGAAAAAAATCTCAATCAATGCTTCCTGTGGTTTTGTTCAGCCATAGTTCCTATCAGCAGTAAGGTAGTGTCTTAGTCTATTTTTATTGCTATAAGACTGGGTAATTTATAAATAAAGAGGTTTATTCAGCTCATGGTTCTGCAGGTTGTACAAGGGAACTGGCAACAGCATATGCGTCTGGTGAGGGCTTCAGGAAGTTTCCAATCATGGGGGAAGGGGGATGGGAGGGGGCATCACATACACAGAGGGGAGGCACCATGTTCCCCTTCTTCCCCTTCCCGTTCCCCTTCTCCCCCTTCCCGTTCCCCTTCTCCTTCTTCCTCTTCTTCCTCTTCCTCTTCCTCTTCCTCTTCCTCTTCTTCTTCTTCTTCTTCTTCTTCTTCTTCTTCTTCTTCTTCTTCTTGCTTCTGCTTCTGCTTCTGCTTCTTGTTCTTGACAGTCTAGCTCTTTTGCTCAGGCTCGAGTGCAGTAGCGTGATCTCAGTTCACTGCAACCTCCACTTCCCTGGTTCAAGTGTTTCTTGTGTCTCAGCCTCCTGAGTAGCTGGGTTTACAGGTGTGCACCACCACCCCCAGCTAATTTTTTTTATATTTTTAGTCAAGATGAGTTTTTGCTATGTTGGCCAGGATGGTCTCAAACTCCTGGCCTCAAGTGATCTGTCTACCTTGGCTTCCCAAAGTTCTGGGATTGCAGGCGTGAGTCACCACACCTTGCTCACCATGCTCTTCTAAACAACCAGCTATTACGTAAACTAATAGAGCGAGAACTCACTCATTACCATGGGGATGGCACCAAGCCATTCATGAGAGATCAACCTCCATGACCCAAACACCTCCCAGTTGGCCCCATCTCCAAAACTGGGACCAAATTTCAATATAAGATTTGAAGAGGACAAATATCCAAACCATCTTAGGTAGCAAGTGCACCGTCTTTCAGCAGGCTAAGCTCAGCTCTCAGCAGGCTAAGGCTAATGGGTCTTTGAGTGCTTCATTTACTTTATTCTCTGCCTGTTCTGCCTGGGTCTTACTGAAGGGAAAGATACCATGGCAAACTCTCAGGCACAGCAGATTCTAGAGGACATCAATAATTGGCTGTCTATGTCAGACAGGTGCCTGAAAAGTTGGCGTCACCATAGCAAGCTTTTGAGGGGTGTGGGGATTGGATCCATTTGGCTAATTAATAATGATATTTAATACACACATATGCCTGCATAGAAAAGTTTGAACATGAAATTAGAGCTAATTAAAATAGAACATGACAACCTGAAGTGACTTTGTCTTGTTCTTGCTTTGGGTATATTTTTTATATCACAGGAAAAGGACTTTTAATTGTAAAAGTTAGCTACCCTTGGGTGACCTAAAAAATGAATACCTGTCTAAAGATACAACAATCAATGCTCCCTTTCTTTTTTTTCTTTTCTTTTTCTTTTTCTTTTTTTGAGATGGAGTCTTGTTCTGTCACCCAGGCTACAGTGTGCATTGACACAATCTCGGCTCACTGCAACTTCCGCCTCCCAGGTTCAGGCGATTCTCTCACCTCAGCCTCCTGAGTAGCTGGAATTACAGGTGCCTGCCACCATGCCTGGCTAATTTGTATTTTTAGTAGAGATCGGTTTTCACCATGTTGGCCAGGCTGGTCTTGAACTCCTGACCTCAGGTGATCTGCCCGCCTTGGTCTCCCAAACTGCTGGGATTACAGGCATGAACCACCATGCCCAGCCTCCCTTTTCAATATTTCTTACTGAATTACCACTTTAATCTTCACCTTTTATTCCTTTGCTCTCCTTCTTATCCTAATTACCAATATATATAATATTGAATGAAAATTTTAGTTGCTTTGCTTGATGAAGAATATTTGGTTACAGATCTATGAACTGCTGTTGGGTTTTTGTTTGGTTGAGTGGATAAAGTAAGCTGAAAGTGATGGCAGATAACTCGGGGCAATTTTTGCTGAGGATATGTGAAGGAAGGGCAGAGGAGTGGTGGTGAGCTATCAGAGAGATAGCTCTGGAAGGGTTGTTCAAGGCAGAATTATTGGAGTGAAGGGCTCAGCAGAGGCTCTTCACTCTGTTTCTGTTTCTGTGAGATCTGTAAAATATCCATGACTAGTAAATTTATTGTGGAATTTGTCTGTCTTGAGATATATTAAAGAAATCCTGAGTCCTTGGGTGTGGGATATAGCAGAGACTGCCTCTGGAGATCCACATCATTGGGATTCCATGGGGGAATGTTTGTGGCAGGAATTTCAGCATAATGAGCAGAAACTGGCCCTCCCACAGAGTCTTTCCCCTCTCATTAAGAAGAGTGCTCCTCCTTTCTTCTGTGAGCAGGCCAAATGGATTTGATTATCAAGGGCCAAGTTCATGGGAAGGGGGGAAGGGTAACGAATAGGTTGGGGCACTGTTGCTTTGCCTAACCTTGTTAAAAGAAGCCCGATTTTGTTTGGGAGGCAACTCCCAGCCCCAGGTAAGAAATCAGGATTAAGGTAATTACAGTATCCTATTTCTCTTTGCCAGTGATTTGTTTAGGGAACTGGGCATATGACCTGGTTCTGGCCCGTGAGATACAAGGGGGGATGTTTGCTGAGTGACTTCCAATTTTCTTCCGTAATAAGAGAGGTTTGTATTACCAGAAGGTCCTTTCCCACCAGTCCTCTTCTTTCCTACTTGGATTACTATGGTGTGAGGAAGTCATGGCTGGAGCTTTGGCAGCCATTTTGTGACCCTGAGATGAAGGCCAATACAATTGCAGGGAGGTTACACAACCTTGGAGCTACCTATCTCTAGACATTTTGTCAGGTGAGATGAATAAATACATTTGTGGTTAAGCCACTGTTAGTCAGGTTTTCTGTTATGTGCAGCTGATATAGAACCCAAGTGCTCCCTCTCCTTTGGTCATAGGCTAGATGAAGTTAGACGCTTTAGTCCTCACCTCGTGGGTAGAGTTGGAGTTTCCAAGTTGCAGCCCGAGGCAGCTGCAGAATTGAGGTAGTGTTCTGGGGTCATGAAGGGTTTGCTTTTGTTGCTAGGCAGCACGCTGGGGTCTGGTCCTTACAGAGCTCTCTCTCAGTGTTCTTTACCTGTCTCCATGCTCCCTCCCTCCATCTTCCAGGAACTGTCTCTACCTGTGGGGATGGACAGCAGCATCTAGCCTAGAGGAACCCTCTGAGGTAGGTCACACTCCAGTTGGAGTTGGGTGTGTTGCACTTTGGTGGGGATCCTTTCGACTTGGACAGGCCACCCCCCCTGCCCCATAGCTCATGGGCATAGATGCAATGCACCACAGACAATCACCTCAGGTCACCTCTGATGAATATTCTACCTGTGGGGTGATCTGACCGCTTCCTTCCAACCAACATCATCTTCCATGCCATGACCCACACATTAACCTCCAGTAACATTCATGTGTCTTCTTTTGAGAAACGTCTTTTCAGATCTTTTGCCCATTTTTAATTAGATCATTAGATTGTTCTTCCTATAGAGTTGTTTGAACTCCTTATATATTCTGGTTATTAATCCTCTGTCAGATGGATAGTTTGCAAATATTTTAATATTTTTCCCCATTCTGTGGGTCGTTTTACACTTTGTTGATTGTTTCCTTTGCAGTCGTGGCTACAGCATTTTTTTTCTTTCTTAAACTTTTATTTTAGGTTCAGGGGTACATGTACAGGTTTGTTAATACAGGCAAACTCACATCATGGGGGTTTGGTGTACAGATTATTTCATCACCCAGGTATTTAGCATAGTACCTGATAGTTATTTTTCCTGATCCTCTTCCTCCTCCCACCCTTCTCACTCAAAGAGGCCCCAGTGTCTGTTCTTCCCCTCTTTGTGTCCATTGGTTCTCTTTTATTTTTATTTTTTTTTTGAGACAGAGTTTCACCCTGTTGCCCAGGCTGGAGTGCAGTGGCATGATCTCGGTTCACTACAACATCGGCTTCCCAGGTTTAAGCAATTCTTCTGCCTCACTCTCCGGAGTAGCTGGGATTACAGGTGTTCGTCACCACGCCCAGCTAATTTTTGTATTTTTGGTAGAGGTGGGGTTTTACCATGTTGGCCAGGCTGGTCTCAAACTCCTGACCTCAAGTGATCCACCCACCTCAGCCTCCCAAAGTGCTGGGATTACAGGCATGAGCCACCACATCTGGCCTGATTGGTTCTCATTGTGTAGCTCCCACTTATAAGTGAGAACATGGGGTATTTGGTTTCCTGTTCCTGCATTAGTTTGCTAAGGATAATGACCTCCAGTCCCTGCATATTCATGTTCCTGCAAACGACCTGATTTTATGGCTTTCTTATGGCTGCATAGTATTCCGTGGTGTATATGCACTACATTTTCTTTGTCCAGTATACTATTGATGGCCTGGCCGTTTAGATTGATTTCATGTCTTTGCTATTGTGAATAGTATTGCAATGAACATTCACATGCATGTGTCTTTATGGTGGAGTGATTTATATTCCTCTAGGTATATATTCCATAATGGGGTTGCTGGGTCAAATGGTAGTTCTGATTTTAGTTCTTTGAGGAATCACCATACTGCTTTCCACAATGGTTGAACTAGCTTACACTCCCACCAGCAGTGATAAGTGTTCCCTTTTCTCTTCAACCTCACCAGCATCTGTTATTTATTTATTTATTTATTTATTTTTTTGAGATGAAAACTCATTCTGTCACCCAGGCTGGAGTGCAATGGCACGATCTTGGCTCACTGCAACCTCTACCTCCCAGGTTCAAGTGATTCTCCTGCCTCAGACTCCTGAGTAGCTGGGATTACAGATGTGTGCCACCACACTCGGCTAATTTTTGTATTTTTAGTAGAGACGGGGTTTCACCATGTTGGTCAGGTTGGTCTCAAACCCTCGACCTCGTGATCCACCCACCTCGGCCTCCCAAAGTGCTGGGATTACAGGCGTGAGCCACCATGCCCAGCCTATTTTTTTGACTTTTTAGTAATAGACATTCTGACTGGTGTGAGATGATATCTCATTGTGGTTTTAATTTGCATTTCTCTAATGATTAGTGATATTGAGCATTTTTTCATATGCTTGTTGGCTGCATGTATATCTTCTTTTGAAAAGTGTCTGTTCATATCCTTTGCCCACTTTTTAATGGGGCTGTTTGTTTTTTTTTCTTGTAAATTTAAGTTCCTTATAGATTCTGGATATTAGACCTTTGTCAGATGTATAGTTTGCAAATATTTTCTCTCATTCCATAGGTTTTCTGTTTACTGTTTTGGTAGTTTCTTTTGCCATGCAGAAGCTCTTTAGTTTCATTAGAGCCCATTTGTCAATTTTTGCTTTTGTTGCAATTGCTTTTGGTGTCTTCATCATGAAATATTTGCCAGTTCCTATATTCAAGATGGTATTTCCTAGATTACCTTCCAGAGTTTTTATAGTTTTAGCTTTTACATTTAAGTCTTTAATCCATCTTGAGTTAATTTTTATAATGGTATAAGGAAGGGAGGGTCCAGTTTCAATCTTCTGCATATGGCTAGCAAGTTATTGCAACACCATTTATTAAATAGAAAGTCCTTTCCCCATTGCTTGTTTTTGTCAGCTTTGTCAAAGATCAGATGGTTGTAGGTGTGCAGCCTTATTTCTGGGCCTCCATGCTGTTCCATTGGTCTATGTGTCTGTTTTTGTACCAGTACCGTACTGTTTGGGTTACCGTAACCCTGCAGTAGTTTGAAGTCAGGTCATGTAATGCCTCCAGCTTTGTTCTTTTTGTTTAGGACAGTCTTTGCTATTAGGGCTCATTTTTGGTTCCATAGGAATTTTTTTTTTTTTTTTTTTTTTTTTTTTTTTTTTTTTTGAGACGGAGTCTCGCTCTGTCGCCCAGGCTGGAGTGCAGTGGCGCAATCTTGGCTCACTGCAAGCTCCACCTCCTGGGTTCATGCCATTCTCCTGCCTCAGCTTCCTGAGAAGCTGGGACTACAGGCACCCACCACCACGCCTGGCAAATTTTTTTGTATTTTAAGTAGAGACAGGGTTTCACTGTGTTAGCCAGGATGGTCTCGATCTCCTGACCTCGTGATCTGCCCACCTCAGCCTCCCAAAGTGCTGGGATTACAGGCATGAGCCACCGCACCCGGCCGGTTCCATATGAATTTTAAAATAGTTTTTCCTCATTTTGTGAAGAATGTCATTGGTAGTTTAGTAGGAATGGTATTAAATCCATAAATTGCTTTGGGCAGTATGGCCATCTTAGTGATATTTATTCTTCCTATCCATGAGCATGGAATGTTTTTCCATTTGTTTGTGTTACTCTGATTTCTTTGAGCAGTGTTTTGTAATTGTCATTGTCATTGTCATTTTATGACCCTGGTTAGCTGTATTCGTAGGTTTTTTATTCTATTGGCTACAGCATTTTCTTAACACACAAGTCATTTAACCTTTCTATGTCCCGGGTTCCACACTGATAGATAATTATATCTACGTTTGATTGCTACTGCGGAAACCGGGTGAAGTGAAAATGCCCAGGTCTCAATTGAGCATTGCTGCTTCTCTTGCATTGACCTCCTGCTCGAGTTATGCAGGTTATATGAGGGTTTAAGGAATTTGGCTCAGGGTGGGGCAAGTTTCTTTTCTTTTTTTTTTTTTTTTTTTTGAGACGGAGTCTCACTCTGTCGCCCAGGCTGGAGTGCAGTGGCATGATCTCGGCGCCTCACTACAAGCTCCGCCTCCTGGGTTCACGCCATTCTTCTGCCTCAGCCTCCTGAGTAGCTGGGACTACAGGCGCCCGCCACCACGCCCGGCTAATTTTTTGTATTTTTAGTAGAGACGGGGTTTCACCGTGTTAGCTAGGATCGTCTTGATTTCCTGACCTCATGATCCGCCGGCCTTGGCCTCCCAAAGTGCTGGGATTACAGGCCTGAGCCACCGCGCCCGGCCGCAAGTTTCTTTTAGTGTTTTGAGTAACAACCTAAAAAGAATGTTCAAGGCCCTAGCTGAGTGAAAACTTTCAGAGGAAAACATGCAGCTGGCTGAGTCACAGAGGGATTAGGCCCCTTGTGTTTTTCAGTCAGAACAGAGAAAAAAGCAGGAAGAACCGAGAGACCCCACAACATGAGATTATGTATGTTAACATTTGTTACCATTTACTAGAGGCCAGCACTTTAGGTAGAGAGTTCAATGGCAAAGTTCTTATTATTCTCACCCATTATACAGATGAAGAGCTGAAGGATAGAGAGGTGAGCTAATGGTCCAGCATCACACAGCTGGTAAATTGTAGAGCTGGACTTTGAATCTAGGTATCTGTCATCAGAATCCCTGCTCTAAACAATAAGCCAAGTGTTGCATTTAACATACTCCCCAGAATATAGGAAGCGCTGGAGAAAGATTACCTTTGACTATAATCATTTATAAATGCACATTAAGTCTGTAGTACCATTAGATGGATTTGTTTAAAATTCCTTGAAGTGCCCCAGGGATGGTAAAATAAGATAATGCAATCTAGCAGATGTTAAGACACTTAACAGTGTTAAAAGGTGGTTTTAGTTTATAAGACAAGTTGTATAGGCGTACCTTGAAGATATTGTACGTTTGATTCCAGGCCACTGCAATAAAATGTATATCACAATAAAGCAAGTCAGTTAAGGTTTTTGGTTTCCCAGGACATTAGGCTGGGTGTGGTGGCTCACATCTGTAATCCCAGCACTTTGGGAGGCCCAAGTAGGCAGATCACCTGAGGTCAGGAGTTCAAGACCAGCCTGGCCAACATAGCGAAACCCAGTCTCTACTAAAAATACAAAAATTAGCCAGGCGTGGTGGTGCATGCCTGTGATCCCAGTTACTTGGGAGGCTAAGGCAGGACAATCGCTTGAACCTGGGAGGTGGAAGTTGCAGTGAGCCGAGATGGTGCCACTACACTCCAGCATGGGCAACAGAATGAGACTCTATCTCAAAAAAAAAAAAAAAAAGTTATGTTTATACTATACCGTAGTCAATTAAGTATGCAATAGCATTATGTTTAAAAAACCCAACATAAACAAATACTTTTTTTAATATAAATATGTCCCACGCAATATTTGGGCTATATTTATACTAAAAAAGTATTTGTTTATCTAAAATTTAAATTTATATGGGCCTTCTGCGTTTTTATTCACTAAATCTGCTTGCCCTTACTTGGGAGTCTGTTCTGTCTTTGCTGAATGAACAGGCTCCTGTCCTTTGGTTTCTCACTAGGTTTGATCAATGAGAGACATCAGCAGGAGAGAAGGGGACAGGAAAAGAAGGAGGTAGGGGTTTATTCTTCTCCGGTCCACTGCAGATTGGCGGTGTTCCTCCTCATCGGCCACAGCTCTGGGGTTGGGTAGCTGCTCCCTCCTTGCCCTTTCAGGCCTAGGATTGGTACCAGTTCCCTGCCCTTACTGACCCTAGGATACTGAACTATCCCTTTTTGTTTTCCCCAAACTCAGTCCACACCTTTGTAGATGAGATTCCTTATTAAATTCTTGTCAAATTGTCCAGTCTGTGGGTGTCATCTGCTTACTGTTGTACCTCAACTGATAAAGGCATGCAATGTTTTACACCTGACATGGTTTGGATCTGTGTCCCCACCCAAATCTCATGTTGAAATATAATCCCCAATGCTGGAAGTGGACCGTGGTGGGAGGTGATTGGATCATGGGGAATGGTTTAGCACCATCCCCTTGGTGCTGTCTTGTGACAGAGTTCTCACAAGGTCTAGTTGTTTAAAAGTGTGTAGCACCCTGCCCCCTTGGCCTTGCTCCTGCCATGTAAGACACCTGCTCCCACTTTGCCTTCTGCTACGAGTACAAGCTCCCTGAGGCCTCCCCAGAAGCAGATGCCACCATGCTTCCTGTACAGCCTGTGGAACCGTGAGCCAATTAAAACTCTTTTCTTTATAAATTATGCAGTCTCAGGTATTTCTTTACAGCACTGTGAGAATGAACTAATGCAATGTGTGAAGACGATACTGTTAATATATCTGTTTTGCAGATGACAATAAAGAGGGTCAAAGAAAGGTTAGGTAGGTTGCCCCAGGTTTTGCTCCTGCTAAATGGTGAGAGTAGGTATCAGACCTAAATCTGTCTATTCCAAAACTCAGTTCATTACTATACTATGCTTTATTAATGAGCTCGAGGAGGCTGGAGCTGCTGGATAGTTTCCAAGAAGCTTCACTGTTTATGCTTTCCTACTGGCATGCAGAGGCACAGACAGATCTGTGAGGCAGACTACATCATGGCCCCAGTTCAGTTTCTTTTTTCTTTTTTTGAGACAGGGTCTTGCTCTGTCACCCAGGCTGGGGTGCAGTGGCACGATCATAGCTCACTTCAGCCTTGACCTCCTAGGCTCAAGTGATCCTCCCACCTCAGCCTCCCATGTAGCTGGGACTACAGGTGTATGCCACCATGCTCAGCTAATTTTTTGATTTTTAGTAGAGACAAGGTCTCAGACTCCTGGCCTCAAGTGATCCTTTCCCCTTGGACTCCCAAAGTGCTGGGATTGTAGTCAGGAACCACCGCCTGGGGTTTTCTTTATTCCTTCTTGCGCTTGGAGCCTACTTCCCTGCCTCTTGACTTGCTTTGGCCAATAGAATGAGGCAGAAGTGATGGGTGCCATCCATAAGGCTTGGTGGACCCAGCAGGACTTGTAAGATCCAGGGAAGAACAGATGAGTGGAATACAGTGGGGAGTGATAGCCAGGGCTTCAGGTAGGAAACTGGGCGTCTGGGTAACCAGATTGAGACAGAGGGGTATAACAATTTCTTATTGGCTAGTACCACTCAATATTCAAGGCCTGATGAACAAGTGTATTTTGTAAAAACAAAAACAAAAAAACACAAACAAACAAACAAACAAAACTGGTTGTGGGAAGCTCATCTTAGTTTAATCTAATTTCTACAAAATTTTTACTTTTCTGATTTGTAAAGGGAAGTAACAGTAAATCGAAGAAAGTCTCTATTATTGTGACTTAAATGTTTAAAAATGTTAAGTAATTTCATGGGTTTATCATTTTGCTGGGTAGGCTTTGAGAGCATTGTCTTAAATGATGACCGCAAGACAGTTCTAAATACCATTTCCTGAATCTAAGGGCCTTGCATCTACTTTGAAGACAGTGAAGGCTATTCTGGAGGGTTATGGGTATATATATATATATATATATATATATATATATATATATATACCCATATATATGAACTCATGTATATATGAGTTCATATATATATATATATATCCATATATATATATATCCATATATATATATTATATATATATATCCATATATATATATATCCATATATATATATATCCATATATATATATATCCATATATATATATATCCATATATATATATATCCATATATATGAACTCATATATATATGAGTTCATTAAGGTCCCACAAGGTCCCACAATAGGCTGTTGGCAAGCTGAGGAGCAAGGAGAGCCAGTCCGAGTCCCAAAACTGAAGAACTTGGAGTCCAATGTTCGAGGGCAGAAAGCATCCAGCATGGGGGAATGATGTAGGCTGGGAGACTAGGCCAGTCTTTCCCTTTTACATTTTTCTGCCTGCTTTATATTCCCTGGCAGCTGATTAGATTTCCCCCACCAGATTAAAGGTGGATCTGCCTTCCCCAGCCCACTGACTCAAATGTTAGTCTCCTTTGGCAACACCCTCACAGACACACCCGGGAGCAACACTTTGCATCCTTCAATCCAATCAAGTTGACACTCAGTATTAACCATCACACCCACCAGGTAGGGCAGTGACCGCGTCATATTCATCCCTTTATTTAAAGTATCTCATGTAGTCTCTAGTATGTAGTTAGTGGTTATATAAATGTTTATGGAACTGAAGTGAATTTTAGTCTTTTGTATTTGAGATGCTAATATTCAAACAGACAATAGCTAGACCATATATACAGTTACCTGCACTAAATACAGGGAGCCAAGTAACAACCCCTGTAGCAATGGCCCTAAGTGCCAAGACTTGATTAATAACTGACAGCTTCCCTATTTTTTGTTCCCTATTTCTAACTTGGGACCAACTGGAAAAAGCCAAATACACTCCCCTAACCAATTGCATAGAATTTTCCACTTACAGTTAGCCTGCCTAGAGCTTTCCATGCCAACAGCTTCAGGGCACACCTGAAGCCTTCCCTTTTGCCACCATATGCTTTCCAACTCCTCTGCCTTTGTGCTGGTGGCTGACTCTTTTGCTATAGCAAGCTCTGAGTAAGTAGCCATTGCTGTTTCTGATTTGGGTGGTTTTCATTTATTTCTGCATGTTTGGAGTAACTGCTTTTCTTAATAAATTGAAATAGAAGGATTTAAATTATTTTAATTAAATGCAACAAACATTTATTGTATGCCCAGTGTATGCCAGGTGCTAGGGTATTTCCTATGTATTTCTGCTATGGTTTTATATGTATTTATATATGGAAAATGATATAAGGTATGTATCGACCTTAATAGTGGTTAATTCATACATGCACACACTTCATATAATGTATAACATTAAAATAATATTTTCCCATATATATGTTTCCTATAATAATATGGATAATTAAAAATGACATCATTAATATTTCTGTTTTCTTTTGGTTTCCTTTAGGATTCTGTTTCCTGTTTCTGACTTAGACTCTGGCTCAAAATTGAGTGGGTGGGGACAAAGCAGAATCATCAGTCCTGAATATGCAGATGTCCTTTGACATCTGAGGGAATTACACACATTAGGTTTTCTTTTCCAGCTTTATTTCCTATGACACGGTAGTGACAATTAAGAGCAATTGAAACACTTATGCTCATAGTCTTTAGACTTCAATCACAGGACCATTGGTGGAAATTCAGCTACAGTAAAACCCATGGGGCCTTCCTGGCAAATTGGTGGCATACTTACCTCTGTCTCCTTACCGCAGTCTTTGGCAGACATCTTTAATCCATCACTGCACTTCTGCCTGAAGGAGGCTCCTAATAACAGTGCTGCAGGCAGCCACTGCCAATCAAATGCAGGGGTATACTCAATGAAACTGATTTGCCATGTCTGCTGTAGAGTTTTGTCTCAGTCTTGATCTAACAAAAGCTCAGATGTTAAAGTTATCACGTGAGGAATGGCTGAAGAAGCTGAGAAGGAAGACTCAACGTGACTTTCAGAATTGGTTTTTTAAATTTAGATCTACATTTTAATTTAGGTTGGGTTCTTTTCTTCTTTGATTTTTGGAAGTGGTTTGATTTAATTTAATTTAACATAGCTGAGGCAAAACTTAGAAAATTAAATAAATAGGAATATATTTGAAATTCTGCATTTAGGTTCAAAGGCCCACGTACCAAATGAAGGAAGCAGATTCCACAAAACTGGGCCTGGGGGTTTGGTAGATGATATTCTTAGGACACATTGACAGAGGTCCAGCATCTGCTAGGTTGTAGGAAGTAGCAGTTCCAAAACATTCTATCCTGATTAGACACACCTGAATTATGATCTTTGGTCTGGGAATCCTATTTTAAGAAAAGCATTAAAATAACAACAACCAGAGAGTATTAAAGGAACATGATAGAGGAAAACAAATAATCTGAACAGTCTGTCATATGGGGAAGATCTGATGAAGATGATAACGGTTGGTTTGAAAAAGAGAAAGCAGATGTGAGCACAATGACTGTCTTCACATATCTGCAATTTTATCACATAGAAAAAGGAACAGACTGATTCTGGAGAATGTTTCTTTTCTCTTCTTTTTCATTTTGCATAATTAGATTTTTAAAAAATTGTGGTAAAATATACATAACATTACGTTTACTATCTTAACCGCTTTTAAGTGCACAGTTCAGTAATGTTAAGTACATTCCCTTTTTTGTGTAACCAATCTCCAGAAGTTTTTCATCTTGCAAGACTAAAATTCTATGCCCATTAAACAACTCTCCACCCCTCTCTCCCCCCAGTCCCTGGCAACCACCATTCTACTTTCTGTTTCTATGACTTTGACTCCTCTAGACATCCTATGTAAGTGAAACGATACCGTATTTGTCTTTTGATGACTGGCTTATTTCACATAGTGTAATGTCTTCAAGTGTCATCTATGTTGTAGCGTGTGTCAGAATTTCCTTTATATATGCCACACTTTGTTTATCCATTCATCCCTCAATGCCCATTTGGGTTGCCCCCACCACTTGGTTATCGTCAATAATGCTGCTATGGACATAGGTGTACAACTATTTCTTTAAGACCCTGCTTTCAATTCTTTTGAATATATACCCAGAAGTGGAATTGCTGAATCATATGGTAATTCTGCTTAATTTTTTTGAGAAAGTGCCATACTGTTTTCTATAGCAGCTGCACCATTTTACATTCCAGCAACAGTGCACAAGGATTCCAATTTCTCCACAATCTAGCCAACACTTGTTATTTTCTGCTTATTTTTTGGATGGCAGCCATCCTAGTAAGTGTGAGATGATATCTCTTTGGGATGAGGAGTGTTTCTTAAATTATAAAGACTCATTCCCCTTTTGGAAAAAAAAATCCAGCCCTTTTAAAATGATATCTGAAATTTCAAAGTAAATGGAATATTTTGTACCAAGAGAAATTAAAACAATGATGTATCTTAGTGTGCTTTTCCCTATCCCACATACTCCTTAAACTTCACCAAGCTTGTCTTCCTCCTTCCCACAACAAATCTTTCCATTAGAAAGCCTAGAGCAGGGGTTGGCACACTGCAGCCCACAGACCAATCTGTTCTAAAAAAGTAAATCTAGAAAACAATTTGTGTAAGAACATCCAAGAAGCTTTTGGAAAATGTTATTAAAACTTATAAATTTAAGATGAATAAATACAGGAATAGGTCAGTAGATAAATGTCCATTTATTTATTTATAATGTTATTTACAACATTACAAATTATAAATTACATAAATATATTAATAAATCATAAGAATGATTTTGATAGTAGCCATCCTATTGAATATGAAGTGATATCTCATTGGGATGGGGAATGTTATGGTTTTTTAATGTATAAATAAATCATAACAATGATTTATGTACATATATTTTACATTTATAAATATTATATAAATTACATATTAAAATATATGCATATATAAATTGTATATAAAATTATAAATAATTAAGATCATAAAAGTATATTAATTTTGTAAAACATGAATGTATTGGACTGGATATATATAATTGGACTGACTGGTTATATATAATTGGACTGGTATATATGATTAGAACATACTATTCTAAAAAGTAGGCCAGGCGTAGTGGCTCACGCCTGTAATCCCAGCACTTTTGGAGGCTGAGGTGGGCGGATCACGAGGTCAAGAGATTGAGACCATCCTGGCCAACATGGTGAAACCTCGTCTCTACTAAAAATACAAAAATTAGCTGGGTGTGGTGGCACATGCCTGTAGTCCCAGCTACTCAGGAGGCTGAGGCAGGAGAATCGCTTGAACCCAGGAGGCAGAGGTTGCAGTGAGCTGAGAGTGTGGCACTTCACTCCAGCCTGGTGACAGAGTGAGACTCTGTCTCAAAAAAAAAAAGTAATAGAAATCATATCTTGGATATTATCCTATGTAATATAACTAGAATTCAGCATATACTTCATTTCTCTTAGCAAGGGGGAAATAAAGGATATGTCAACATTATGGGTGGCTTAAATTTTATGCTTTGTGCTTTTTTGCAGTTTCTAAATTTTCTCCCATGAATGTGTAAATGAGTATCACTTCAATAGTCAGAAATGATTATATTATAAAAGGTAATGAATTTCCATTACTGAGGCATTGATTAGGAGCTGTATGTTTAATTTGCTTGTGTTTTTTCTTTTTGGAGGTGGGGTCTTGCTGTTGCACAGGCTGTAGTGTAGGGGCTATGAATGCATGTGATCATAGCACACTGCAGCCTCAAACTCCTGTGCTTAAGTGATCCTCTTGCCTCAGCCTCTCAAGTAGCTGGGACTACAGGTGTGTGCCACCATGCCCATTGAATTTTACATTTTTTTTTCAGAGACCTATAGAAGGAGGTCCTTTCTACACTGGATGGTAAGTTGGAATTGATGGCCCAAAGATCCAACTCAAATATTTTTTATTTTTTTTGTTTATAGAGTTGGAACATTAGTTGGAGTCAGAAGACCTGGGAGCGGCTCACACCTGTAATCCCAGCACTTTGGGAGGCTGAGGCAGGTGGATCATGAGGTCAGGAGTTCAAGACCAGCTTGGCCAACATAGTGAAAACCCGTCTCTACTAAAAATACAAAAATTAGCCGGGCATAGTGGCCCGTGCCTGTAGTCCCAGCTGCTCAGGAGGCTGAGGCAGGGGAATCATTTGAACCTGGGAGGTGGAGGTTGCAGTGAGCCGAGATCTCACCACTGCACTCCAGCCTGGAGAGCGAGACTCTGCCTCAAAAAAAAAAAAAAAAAAAAAAAAAAAAAAACAACAAAAAACAAAACAAAACAAAACAAAAAAAACCTTGGAGCTAGACCTGTGTCTATCCCTATTCTCCACTTAGGTTTGCAATCCATTTTAGCTTTTAAGCCTTGTTTTGTTTGAATGTAGAATGAGAGTGAATAATACCTTTAACCTTTCTAATTACAAGGATACTGCAAAGACAAATGAAACAACAAAGCATCCAGCAGAAAAACATCCTGTTTTTTTTTGTTTTGTTTTTGTTTTTTTCTTTTTTAAATACAGACAGAGTCTTGCTCTGTCGCCCAGGCTGGAGTGCAGTGGCGTGATCTCGGCTCACTGCCAACCTCTGCCGCCTGGGTTCAAGCGATTCTCTTGCCTCAGCCTCCCGAGTAGCTAGGACTACAAGTGCGCGCCAACACGTCCCGCTGATTTTTTTGTATTTTTAGTAGAGACGGGGTTTACACCATGTTGGCCAGGCTGTTCTCAAACTCCTGACCTCAGGTGATCCACCCACCTTGGCTTCCCAAAGTACTGGGATTACCGGTGTGAGCCACTGTGCCCGGCTGTTTTTAAGAGCAATACTTGTGATATTTATTTTTGTACTGCACCCAGAGGCTTAGCAACGATGTTACAGTTCCAGAGCTCTACATCCCAACCATTCTCCAGCTCTCAGATTTCCCTGGAGCAGATCACCCTCTGATCTTTCAGGCTGAATGACGCATATTTTTTCTTTTATTTGCCAATGCCTGTGTTACAGCTCAAGCTCCCAGCATTATGGTATAGTCCCATAGTCCTGACTGGTCAGAAGCCATGTGGAGACTATAGCCATAACAAGCTGTAGGTGCTCAATCAATGTTAAATGGATCCAGCTGAGTTGCTTCTTTGCTCCTGTGTGTTCTGACTTCACTTGAAATCCTTTGATTACCTTGGTTGGGGATCTTCTTGGGAGCCCTCTGAACTTTCTTGGAAATTGTCTAGACTAACTCAGCAGAGAGCAGTTCTAATAAGGCTGACAACAAGACAGAGCTGTGAAGCTGGTGAAAAGTGGTAGCTGTGGTTGTGCTGGAATGAGATGGAGCCTGGGGTGGAAGATTTGGGCTCTTTTCTGAGCTCTTCTGTCATTAGCATGTTGGTTGACCCTAGTTTCCCCAACCTGACCAGGCAGGAGCTGGACTCTGGGATCTTTAAAATTTTGTGGGGAGCTATTGTCTGTGTTGAACCTATGATTCCAAGTTAATGACCTAGGTTTCAGTCTGGCCTCTGTAGGGTCTTTGGGAAATCATTTTGTATCTTTGAACCTCAAGAATTACATGAAATCAAGTATGTGTAATATCCAGGGCTATGTCTAGTGTCTGGTAGGTTCTCATAGTATTCTTGTCTGCCTTCCTCCCCTTTAGTCAAACAGGGATAAATTAATCTTCAACAAAACGTTAACTGAGACTTACAGTGCCCTCTCATAGGGTCACTTATATTCTTAGAGGAAACTCTTAAAGATGGTGTCAAAATAAATCCAGACTTAGCAAGGACAGCCTTTATTCAAAAGGATTACTGTTGGTGGGGTGTGTCTGTGGGGGTGAGAAATGAGAATGGGGAGGGACTGTTGCAACAGGGAGAATTACTGACCATAAGATTTGCGATTGTCTCAGGAGTTAGGCGAATAAGAGTTTTCTTTTATAAAGAGGAATAAACAAGGCTAGAAAGAATTGTGGTGTGGGGAAGTGGGATGAAAGAGTGACATGACCAGATAGTACATCAGAGAACATTTTACCCTGAGGTCAGCCTGTTCTCTGGAGGGGCTGTCTGCTGGTTGAGGCTGAGAGTGGGTCAAAGTTCAGAGGCTTGTGGGAAGGAGAGAAGTTTAACCAAGTTAATTTCTTTTACTTTTTTTTTTGAGATAGTCTTGCTCTGTCACCCAGGCTGGAGTGCGGTGGTGTGATCTCGGCTCACCGCAGCCTCCACCCCCTGGGTTCAAGCAATTCTCCTGCCTTAGCCTCCCGAGTAGCTGGGACTACGGGTGTGCACCACCACGCCCGGCTAATTTTTGTATTTTTAGTAGAAAGGGGTTTCACTTTCTACTAAAGTTGGCCAGGCTGGTCTCGAACTCCTGACCTCAAGTAATCCATCCGCCTCATCCTCCCAAAGTGCTGGGATTACAGGTGGGAGCCACCACGTCCAGCCAAGTTTGGTTAACTTCTTATTTTGTCCTATTGATCAGTGAGGATGAAACAGTTCAGCTAATCATTTATGAAGCAAAAAATGGGAATTTGGAAGGTGTCTAGCCTTGCCATAGATAAGCAAGGATGCATCTGTGAGTCTTTTCTCAGTCATATGGGGAAGGGTGGTTTTTTGTGCTAAACCATTTTCCACAACACAAAAGGATGTTTGTGCCCTCTCCCTCATTCATATGTTGAAATATTAATCCCCAAAGTAATGGTATTTGGAGGTAGGACCGGGTTAGAGCCCCCATGACGGGATTAGTGCTCTTTTAAAAAGAGAAGAAGACATGGGGGTCTCTTTTCCTATGTGCACACGCCAGGGAAAGGCCGTGTGAAGATGTAATCAGGAAGAGGTCCCTCACCAGAACCCAGCCATGCTGGCACCCTGATCTCAGACCTCCAGCCTCCAGAACTGTGAGAAATAAATGTTTGTTGTTTAAGCCACCCAGTCTCTGGTATTTTTGCTATAGCAGCCTGAATTGATTAAAACAGTAGGGGATGTCTTGACCTTCCCTGTTTTCCAGAAGCACAGGGCTTAGGTAAAATTCAACATTGTCAGTGGTTAAAACTTCAGGATCCGAAGACATAAATCCCAATTGGTGACTTTCAGGTTCTGGTAGGATGTTGGCAGGTAGGTCAGATCTTTCCAATGCTCCTCAGTGCAGATTCTGCTGAGCACCTGTTGGTGGGCCTCTGGAAGGAACTCTGGCAGGTTCTTGGTGGACGAGGCCAGAGGCCTGAGAGAGGAAAGGAAACGGCCATGAGAATAAGATCACCTGCAGCTGGCATGTTCACTAACAGCCTCCTCTAACCAAGTTCCAGCTGACCATACACAGCCTTTTGTTTTAAAATGCAAGTGGAAAAAAAAGATGAGGAAGATTGTTTCAGTTTTCCATGCTTATCCCTTCTCATTGAAAGGAGAATTGGGAGAACCTCATCAACAACCAAACAACATCAACAACCAAACTCTTAGCTGAGCTGAACCTCCCTTCCTAAGGAGGGGAGTATGTCTCTCTCTCTCTCTCTATCTCTCTGTCTCTGTGTGTGTGTGTGCACGCATGCATATATGTGCCAAGGGAGCAGGCTTTTCCTAAACATAGGGATAGGAAATGATAGGAAATGGGAGAAGACCTTATCCCCAGAGTCACAAAGCCCTTCCAGAGCATCCCTCCTTATGGAAGAACTGGGTTGTGGGGTGCAGCTTGCTCAGGAAGGGAGACAAAGGGAGACATAAATGACCATAGTCTTTTTTTCTATTTTGAACGCCCCACCTCTTACAGAGTAAGGGCTCAGTGAAGAGCTGAATATAAAACCTGAGTCTGCAACTTACTATCACGGTGACCTTGGGCAGTCATTTGACTCTGGATGATGAATTTACTTCCTTATCTGGAAAAATGTAGAAAACTTATCTTAAAGGGTCATTAGGCAAAGTGCAGGCCATGTAGCAGGTACTTAACAGATGGATAATAATAAGAAGGGAAGGGAAAGGGGAAAGACACTGACATTCACTGAGCTCTTACTTTGTAAGGGATGGGACATTCAAAATAGATAAGAAGAATATGGCCTCGGCTTCAACCAATCAGATAATGGCCATGGTATTCAGGTCCCTTGTTCCACCAGACATCAATCCCTTAATTGCCAGATATGAGATGGGTGTATGTGTGTTTGTGTGTGTGTCCATCCTGGGGAAAGGCCTGGGTTAGCCAGGGTGGTAGGTGGGTTTAGGGCAGCAGCTATTTACCATCCCATACAGAAGTATTATATTTATGCATTTTCACAACCAGTACAGCCAAGTGGAATATATCACTTAGGGTAGTCCAGAACATTTACTTCCTTCCATGCCCACCTTTGCATTATTGCTAATGATGCCCATGTCTGGTTTGTAGGAAATTCAAGTCATGGTGCAAGAAGAGGAAATGCCTGCCCAGGGAGCTTTCTTTCTAATAGAGTATTTGCCCAGAGTGAGGATTTATACCAGGGCCTATTAGTTCATCAGGTGAGCAAGAAAAGAATAAAAAGTGATTTTAAAAGTTACAAGGAACATAGCCATACAAACACATGTTGCAATGGCTAATCTTATGTGTCAACTTGATTGGGCTGTAGGGTGCCCAGATATTTGTTTAAACATTATTCTTGGTGTGTTTGTAAGGGTGTTTCTGGATGGGATTAACATTTGGATCAGTAAAATGAGTTAAGCAGATCACCCTCCCCAATGTGGATAGGCCTCATCCAATCTGTTAGATGCCCAAATAGAACAAAAAGGCAGAGTAAGAGAGAATTCATTCTCTCTGCCTATCTTTGAACGGGTGCATCTATCTTCCCCTGACTTTGTGACTGGACTCAGATTGGAACTTATACCACTGGCTCTCCTGGGTTTCCAACTTGCTAACTATAGACTGTGGGACTTCTCAGCCCCCATAACCATGTGAGCCAATTCCTTATAATAAATCTCTCTCTTTATGTATATACACTGTTTCTCTGGAGAACCCTAATACACATAGGAAGGTGGGTCCCTGATATTGGCAGAGGTGAGAAGACACTCCCGGAGCCCTTGCAAGGTGTGGTGGCCCATGGTATGTGTGCCTCTAAATGTTGGAGGGGCTTCTATGTAATGTTGGCTCAGGGCCTAGGATTCGAGCTTCTGCCTATCTCATAGGAAACAAGGCCAAGGTGAGTGAGCTGTGCTGTTCCATTGCTGTCCCATCCCAGTTAATCCCCCAACTTGTCTCTTCTCTAAGTACCAGTTGAGGATTTAAAAAGGACTTTTTTAACTTCCTCTCCCATTTTGATGTTTGTTGATCTGATTGGCTCAGTGGTTCAGAAAGCGTTTCCATGATAATACTACTTTACATTTACTTGTTGGTATGCCATTTTACAGATGACAGTGTCAAGAATCACATCATTCTGTCACAGAAAGAGCGCTGACACTGGATGGGGAGGAGGAAAGCTTCCCAGGCTGGCTGAGAAATACCATAGTCACTCTCCCCTCACACATTCCAACCTCAGATATGCTGTGTATTGCACAATTGTCTTGCTTCAAAATTCAATGCCTGCAAACCTTTGGAATGGGGAGCAGTGTGGACAGGAGACTGGTTCTAGAAAGAGGAGTCCCAGGCACAAGACCCAGCTCCACCACTAACTGCCTATGACCTTGGGCAAGACCTAAAACCTTTCTGGGCAACCTCTTTTAGCTGAAACATCATCCCAGGCTTCCCTTCCTGCTTCTGCTCTACGTAGGCACCACCACACTGCAGGCAGAGAAGGACCAGTGACCTCACCCCAGCCAGCAAAGCAGGCCTATTAATAGGGCCCCAGGCTGCTCTGGCTTCCCGTCTTGGGCGCCCCCAGGGCTGGCTGGCGCCTCCCAGCTTGCTCTCCCGCGGAGAACTAGCGGAGCTGACTCCCCGTGCACTTCCGCCTCCCTCTCTGGTCTTAGCCGCCAACAGGAAAGGTGGGCTCCAGGGGAAGCACAGCCTAGAAGAGCAGTGATATTGGCTTTAAGAGGAGAAATTGAGAAGAAAACAAATCTCGGTCCCTTCTCCGCCCTCGCTAAACCTGCCATCTTCCTGGGGGACAGAGGTGGCCCAGACGTGCGAAGAGGAACAGGAAGGACCCTCCAAGCTTTTGGCCTCAGGTGAACCAAGTGCAGAAAGTGGAGAAAAAAGTATCCCTCGCCTAATGCCACGCCCCTTCCTCCCCTCAATTTCCAGTAAAGCCTCCGGACAGCCTCTATATAGCGACTCCCCAAGTCCCATCCACCCCAGACTGTTAGGCGGGCGCGGACACCGCCCGCATTACCCTCCGTTCCGGTCCCCCGCGGGTGGGCGCGCAGCCTTCGCTGCAGCCCGCAGGGTCAGAGGCGGAGCAGACAGCTGGGGGCGCCCCGGCACCAGGAGGGAGTAAGCCTTCGGCAGGCGAGGGCCGTGGATTCCTCGGGGAGCCAGGGCCGCTCACCTGGGTCCGGCCCGGCCCGCTGAGATGGGCTCGGTCTCCTCCGCGCTGGCGCGGTCCCGCAAAGCCGTAGTGCAGTCGGGCTCGTTGCCACCGCAGCCTGAGGCGCCACCGGCTGCTCCCGTTGCTGTCGGAGACCCATTCGCGCTCCCTAAAACCCAGAGGCCGGGACCCCGGCGTGGGGAGACACTCTCCCCTCCCGTAGCCTGTGAGGCACAGCCCGCGGCGAGACATCGAGAAGAGCTGCCGAAGTTGGCGAGGCAGGAGCTGTCCCCGGTGCTGAAGCGTGAGGCGAGTATGTCCCAGCCCTGCTGGCCACGAAGCCGCAGCGCAGCGGGTGAGTTTCCTTACCTTGCTTAAGGATCTCACAGAGCTGCTGCCTGGAGACTTTCTGGGGGAAAAGAGAAAGCGCTATCTCCCGCAGGATTTCCCGTTTCTCGTCCTCGTGTCCATAACTTCTTTTACAAGTTAGGATTGATTTCTGGGTTGAATAGGAGGCTATTTCAGAAGGCTTATCTTTCACAGAGGTTTAAACAGTAGGTGGCAAGACAGTTTACACCCTAAGGATCCCTTTCCCCAGCTTAGTACCGGGGCCGGCACCATGGGGAGAAGCCTTTCTTGTTGTCTTGGAAAGGCAAGGATAAAAGAAGCACCTTTCCCATCTCCTCCCACGGGAATTGGGAAAAGGGCCAGAAATTCCTGCTTGTCCAGACCTAGTTACACATGTGAAAGGACTTGAGGTGTGCAGTTGGGGGAAGACTTGCCTTTAGGGTAGATAACATAGGATAAGTGAAAAGAGCACACACGATTTGAAGTCAGAGGTGGACGTGCTGCTTTCATTGCGATCTTGGGCAAGATACTCCCCCTGTGCCTCCGTTTTTTCATCTGTGACACAGGGATGATAATAATTCCGTCTCACTAGGGAGCTGGAAAATCTGACCACACAATGTAAGTAGAAAGGCTGTGAAAACTGTAAAATACTATGCAAATATTCCGTATTACACATGAACCAGATCTTTGAACATCTTCAGCTGAGGGAATAGTGAAACTTCACTCACTTTAAAAATTTTAGTTTGAGATATTCAAAGATTCCATTTCGTCGGGGCAGATCCTGTTTTGTGCAAGTGGGAGGAAAATGCCTTAGTTTGTATATGTGATTTAAAAAAATCTCTTACACTGGAAATGTTGCTAAATACATCTCTGGACTTTTGGTCTCATACATGAATCCTCACTTCACCCCAAGCAAATTTGTGGTGCTCACGGGGATGGTCTGTTGACTTTTCAAGAAGGATTCAGTAGATTAAGTGGATAGTGAGGGGGACTGGCTTACAGTTTAACTTACTGAGAGATGAGGATCCATATATCCTTATTCCCTTGAAAGTTTTCAAAATATTAAAAGAAGACACAAACACTCTGTCCTTTCAAGGGGAGATTTATCATTGTGAAACATGTTTATTTCTTCCATCCAGAAGACATATCTTTGTGGTATTAATGGGAAGAGAACCAGATCAGGAGTCAGGACACCTGGGTTCTGCTAAGCTCAGTATCCTTGGGTGGGCTACTTACATTTTCTAAGCGTGTACAATCTGCTCTTTTAAAATGAGTACAGCCAGGTGCAGTGATCCCAGCCCTTTGAGAGGTGGATTGCTTGAGCTCAGGAGTTCAAGACCAGTTTGGGCAACATGGCGAAACTCCATCTCTACCAAAAACTCAAAACACTGGCTGGGCATGATGGTGCATGCCTGTAGTCCCAGCTACTTAGGGGGCTGAGGCAGTAGGATAGCTTAATCCCAGGAGGTCGAGGCTGCAGTGAGCTGAGATCATGCCATTGCACTCCAGCCTGGGTGACAAAGTAAGACCCTATCTCAAAAAAAAAAAAAAAAAGTACAAATATAGTTACACCATTTTCTATGCCATGAAACTCAAAGGAAATTATGGAGGCAAAAATGTGTTGCAAATCATAAATATAGTACAAGAGTAAGGCATTATCAAGGAAAATTCATATTTTTAAATGTGCAGATACATATTTAGTTTTTATAAAATCTGTCATGGTCCACCTAATATAGGATGAAACATGGGCTTCCTTTGTGAAACTCATTAATATATATATTTTTTGTGTGTGGGAGATATCAGTTCAATTACAAACATATGTAACCATGAAAGGATATTACCACATTTTTTCTCCTTCCTTCCTTCCTTCCTCTTTCTTTTTTTTTGAGACAGGGTCTTGCTCTGTCATCCAGAGCACTGTCTGCAGTGGTGCGAGCACAGCTTACTGAAGCCTCAACCTCCTGGGCTCAAGCAATCCTCCCACCTCAGCCTCCTGAGTAGTTGGGACTACAGGTACATGCCACCATGCCTGGTTAATTTTCATGTTTTTTGTAGAGACAAGATTTCTCCAGTTGCCCAGTCTGGTCTTGAACCCTTGGGCTCAAGCAATCCACCCATGTTGGTCTCCAAAAGTGCTGCACCTGGCTATTTTTCTTCTTCTGCTTTCACCGGTTTGGGCAGGAGATTTGGATATTGCAATTTATTCACACATTTATAATGCCAGAAAACCAATTTCTAGCAATTTTCATTGAATTAGATTCGTTCTGGATTTGACGACACCTTGGAAATACTTTTAACTTTAACTTTTTGATTATACAAGAATTTTTTTCAATCCCTTCCATTTTATTTCATAAGAAATATATGCAATTAAAAATTACATTCTGAGTTTTATATCACCTAGGATACTTATGCAAAATTATTCAATTTCTATATTTTGATCTTTTTGAAAAGAGTGGTATTTGAGCTCACGTCTTTGAAGAGAGGTGGGTTTAGGTAGCTGGAATTGCAGATGAGGCTCATTTTTATCATCTGTAAAAATGAAATGAATTGTCCTTAGCTGTGAAGCTAGGTAGCCTTTTACTGGACTAGATTGAACTTCTCCAGATATTGTGTGGAATAGCAGAGAACCTGGGAGTAAACTAGTTATGCTGCAATCTAAAACTTGTACTTTATAAGCCAAGATGAATATATATGAATATATATATATGTAATATAATATAATGTCTGTGTGTATAGGTATATATACATAAACAGTATTGCTGGATGCTATTTTATGAGATTGTGGGATGGATGCTTTTATTATCACTTTATAGATGAAGACATTAAGGCATATAGAGGTTAATTAGTCACACAGCTAGTAAATGACATACTTTAAACACAGGTTGTCTGGTTCTAAAACTTGTGTTCTTACCTTTTCTCTATGCTGCTTGTCTTAAATGCTGTGTGCTTATTTTCCGTTTGTTAACTCTTTAGTTTATTTATTTATTTTTATTTTAGTTTTGAGACAGGGTCTTAGTCTGTCACCCAGGCTGGAGTGCCGTGGGACCACCTCGGCTCACTGCAATCTCAGCTCACTGCAAACTCTACCTCCCAGGCTCAAGCGATCCTCCTATTTCAGCCTCCTGAGTAGCTGGAACTACAGGCATGCACCAACACACCCAGCTAATTTATATATATCTATTTTTTGTAAAGACAGGGTTTCACCATGTTGTCAGGCCTGGGCTCAAGTGATCTGTCTGCCTTAGCCTCCAGGCCTGGGCTCAAGTGATCCACCCGCCTCAGCCTCCCAAAGTACTGGGATTATAGGCATGAGCCACTGCACCCGACTTAGTTTATTATTAGTAATGTCTTTTGAAAGTTTTATCTTGTTCCAGCTATGGTCAGAGGAACCAAGGGAAAGTACATTGGTCCTGGAAGGGAGGTGTCAGAGTATTAAGAGAGAAACTGTCACCTTGGGTATTACTGGGATGGTAATTAAAGCCAGGGAACTTGAATGGGAAAGTACAGCTCAGGGTATTAAGTCAGCTGTCTCTCATGGAAATTTAACTGCTTTGAGCCTATGGGATTTGTTGTGTTAAGGATGTTCCACTATTTCTCTGTCATCATGTTGTGAAGATTAAATGAGATAATGTACCAAAGCCCGTGTGGGGACCTGGCATATGTCAGGTGCAGATGTTTTCTAGGTTTGTCTGTTTTCAAAGCTTTGCTTTCAGATCTCACTAGTGGAAAAGAGGGAGCACCTTACCACATTTTCAATGAGAAGTTACCTCAGAACAAACAAGTAATTAAATAAAACACATTACAAACAACAGTTCACAGCTATTCTTTATTGCTTAATAATCTGAAGTTGATTATGAGAGGCTCCTAGCATTTGTTAGAAATTCCTCTGGTTGCAGAGAGATCCTGACATTATTGATTAAAGTGTTTTTTTTGGTTAATGATCTGTGTATTAAAATTATTGAAGCTCTTTTCCTTTTCAGTTACTATCTTTTCTTGTCTTGCTGTTTTAATATTTTGAAAAGATGTGTCAAGTGCTGATTTCAAAGTGTAGCCAACATTCATCAAATAGCAGTGTTAGAGCATTGTCTTGCTGACTCATTGCTTCTTGGTTTCCATCTACGTCTTCTGTGAGTCTTGGTGAAGTTACCACTATTTGTCTCTAGCTGGGTCCTCTCAGATACTAGGATCAGTAGATTTCAAACATTGGTGTTTATCAAAATCACTTGGAGAGATAATTACAGACGCTCAGGCTTGTTGCCATGGGATAGGACCAGAGTCTTAGCATTTTAACCAAATTTCCCAGGTGATTCTATTACCAGCAAAGTGTGTATCACAGTCACCCAGGAGCTTGCTGAAACACACAATCTTGGGTCCTTCCTCTCGACTTTCTGGTAAGTCTGACAAGCAACCTGAGAGTTGCATTTCTTCTTTTTTATTTTTTATTTGTTTTTTGATACAGGGTCTCACTGTCTTGTCCAGGTTGGAGTGCAGTGATGCAGTCACAGCTTACTGCAGCCTCAACCTCCTGTGCTTAAGCAATCCTCCTACCTCAGCCTCCTGAGTAGTTGGGACCACAGGTGGAAGCCACCATGCCCAGCTAATTTTTTGATTCTTTTTGTAGAGACAAGGTCTCACTATGTTGCCCAGGCTGGTCCTGAACTTTTGGGTTCAAGAAATCTTCCCATATCAGCCGCCCAAAGTGCTGGGATTACAAGTGTGAGCCATCACACCTGGACTTGAGGGTTGCATTTCTGACCAGTTCCTAGATGCTGTGAATGCTGCTAGTCAAAGGGTCACAGTTTGAAAACTGCTGTTCTACGAGTAGAAATCACTGGGAGGGCGAGTAGATATTGGGTGTATTGTGTTAGCCATTAGTGAGTTCTTGGGATCTGGGCAGTGCTGTGGAGGAAAGAGATTCTGGATTCAAGTCAGATTATTCTTTATCTAATCTCTCTCCTTCACCTCCCTAGCCCTTTTGCAACCACTCTCTTGCCAATTTCTAAAACATCAGGATACTTATGATCCTTTACCAGTGATGCCTTTAATCTGGGATTAACATTTTAGGGTAAATTTTAGCTTAATTGAAAAGATGACCAATGCGAAAGTTAAACAAAACTTTTGTGATTTTAAAGATTGGTATGTGCTGTCATAAAAAAGAATGAAATCATGTCTTTTGCAGCAACATGGATTTAGCTTGAGGCCATTATCCTAAGTGAATTAATGCAGAAATAGAAAACCAAGTATACATGATCTTACTTATAAGTGGGAACTAAACATTGGGTAGACAGGAACATAAATATGGCAACAATAGACACTGGGGACTAGCTGAGGGGGGAGGCCAGGTGGGGGGGAAAGGGTTGAAAAACTACCTATTGGGTACTATGCTCACTACCTGTGTGACTGGCTCAATTGTACCCCAAACCACAGCACCATGCAATATATCCAGGTAACAAACTTGCACATATGGGGCTTGAATCTAAAATTAAAGTTGAAATTATAAACAAATGAAAAACAAAGATTAACTCAAAAAATAATAATAAACATTGGTGTGTAGATGGTGAAGTAGTGACACCACCTGTGCCTTAACCTTCAACATTTGTAGCACCTGCAACGTGTGTCCCTGCGCTGAGTTAATCTAAATAGACACGAGCAGCCTTCTCAAGCTTAGGTTAGTGACAGGCAATACCGATGAGAATGCACTGTAATGGGCAAGTGTGGGGCCCCTGTGGGTGTGGCATTACCTCTAGGAACTGCTTTCCCCAACACACTTCCTTTCACCTAGGATGCAAGTTGGGGTCCCAGAGTCTTACCAAGGCAGAAAAGTCTCGGGCTCACTTTCTTTTGATTCTCTTTCCTGGCGGTTACTGGATTCATTGCTTTCAAAGTCAGTCTCAATTTGGGGCAGAATCAAGTAACCTGCCTAGCCATCAGTGGTACATTTGCTCCTGCTGGGTGTAAGATGTGGGGAAGAAATGTTAGGAAGCTTCTGTACAGCACTTTACAGCTTATAAAGCCCCTAGACAGCCTCTTTAACATTTGATCTTCACGACAGTTTTCTGAGGTAGATGGGGCAGATGGCTTTACTGTTCCCTTTTAATAAGGGAAGGGAATTTAAATCAACTTTTTACTTATTATTGATGACATGCTTTATCCTAGATCACTTGCAGTTAGACTTTCAGGAGTCCCATGATTAATTCTTCCAGGCAGCCTGGTGTCAGAGAAGGAGGCTCTGGAATCTCGATCATTGGCTCCCATACTTCCTGGCTATAGGCACTAATTTCTCTGAGCCCATTTTCTGATCTGGAAAATGGAAATTGTATTGATCTCACCTAAATAAGGCAATTTATGCAAGGTACTTGGCACATGCCTTGGGACTTGCTAGTCATTTAGTCAATATTGGTTACACACACATTAACGGATCATCCGTGTAGGTGAATCTGATTTGTAATCCAGTTCTCCTTCCACAATGCCATGATGATTCTTCCATGGAAATTAAACAATAACTGGAGTGAGGAAGGCAGGGAAGAGAAAGGGAGTGGGATGAGAGAGAGGCTGAAGGCCGCGGGGAGGCCAGCAAAATCCACAAAGCAGTTCATGTGGCCTTAGAGGGTTCAGGCCCTAGATCACCTACTTCTGAGGTAGGACACAGTCCTACATATTTATGTCATCCTTAGTGTTATATTTTCTGTAATTTACTCAAATTATTCAACCTAGTGCTGTGTGTGTGTGTGTGTGTGTGTGTTAGTTTTAATCCGCCTTCTAGGGGTGAAAACCCTGACTTTGAAAACTACCCCTCTGTGGTGTTCACAGCATCCTTTTGAGAGTCCAAGTGACTTGCTCATGGATAGACTGAGAGCTGGGATCAGGTGAGATCATGGATATTCAGGGCTTTGAAACAGCATGCACACATCAGACACTGATTTGATTTTTGTGGAATGGCTGAGATCAGGAAAACGGACTCTCACATTGAGCCATGGTTGGAAGCAATTGAAGCTAATGAGCAAATCTTACAGGAAACAGATGTGGGCTCTGCTCAAACTTGCCCTTCTCAGATATCACCTCCACTTTAAACTCCTTGAACCTGAGTAAAGATACTTAAAAAAAATATTTTAACCAGTTATTAATTTTAGTTTGTCAAATTAAAAAAAATACAAATAACTTGCATTTGCACAGTTTTCACATTACTTGAACAATTACAATCTTACTCAAATCTCACGACAAACCTTTGAGGTAGCTAAGACAAGCACTATTATTACCACCCCCCCTTTTTTTTTTGAGATGGAGCCTTGCTCTGTTGCCAAGGCTGGAGTGCAGTGGCACCATCTCGGTTGACTGCAACCTCCACCTCCTGGGTTCAAGTGATTCTTCTGCCTGAGCCTCACTAGTAGTTGGGATTACATGTGTGTGTGTATATGTGTGTGTGTGTGTGTGTGTGTATATATATATATACACATATATATACACATATATATATACACATATATATACACATATATATATACACATATATATACACATGTATATATATACACATATATATACACATGTATATATATACACATATATATACACATGTATATATATACACATATATATACATATATATGTATATATACATATATATGTATATATATACACATATATATGTGTATATATATACACATATATATGTGTGTGTGTGTGTGTGTGTGTGTGTGTGTGTGTATATATATATATATATATATATATATATATATGCCACCACACCTGGCTATTTTTGTATTTTTAGTAGAGACAGGGTTTTGACATGTTAGCCAGGCTGGTCTTGAACTCCTGACCTCAGGTGATCTGCCCACCTCCACCTCCCAAACTGCTGGGATTACAGGTGTGAGCCACCATGCCCAGCCTATTACCCCATTTTTACAAATAAAGAAACTGAGGTTCAGAGTAGTGCCAGGACTTGCTCTGGTCACACAGCGGACAGGATGAGTTAGGATTAGGAACCAGATCCTGGCCTCTGTGTGTGCATCTTACATCTCCGCACTGGTGGTGTCTAAGCTGTCATGGTGGAGCACAAGCACCAAGAGCGCAAGAGGCATGCTCTTTTGCATCTATGTTAGCAGCAAAGCCCTGGGTTTTTCCTTCTCAGCCAAGGAAAAATGTGGCCAAGTTGCAAAATATTGTCATTTCCCAGAAGGAGGGAGCCGAAGCCCAGGGCTAGGCAGCCACTGCCAGGAAGGTTGGGAACATTCTTTAGTCTAGAAGTAGCAGGAGCCTGCCGTGCCCTCCACTCACTGCCAGAACAGTAACTAATTTCAGGTTTATTCTCAGATGACTGGATTTTTGTGAAGCTACTAATGAGGTCACCCCATACCCCAAGGGCTCACTCTCCTGAGGGAGCTGAAGTTAACCTCCAAAGGAGACTCTCCGGGTAGGGAGGGAGTAGTTAGAGGGGCTGCTTTTTTGCTCTCTCTCTTTCTCTCTGTTGTTCTCTATACCTACTATTTTTTGAGTACTCTTTTTAGCAAGTTCTGTCTTATAAATATTCTGGAGGATACTAGGAAATTGTTAACTTGAACAATATATGAATTAAAGTAGAAGTCTAAATTCAGTAACAGGCTCTTTCTTCCAAGCTTTGTTCCCCTGTATTTTCTTCTCCCCAGCTTGTAGATTTCAAACTTGCCCATCTCAGATATCACCTCCACTTTAAACTCCTTGAACCTGAGTAAAGATATTTAAAAAATATTTTAACCAATTATTAATTTTAGTTTGTTAATTAAACTAACAGGTTGCCATTTTTTCCTCTGCCAGTCAGAGTACTGGGCTCCCTTACTGATGTCAGAGATCTTCCTAAGAGACCTCAGTAAAACTGAAGACAAAATGGGAAAAAAGAAGCCATTAGATCAGTACACACATAACAGATTCATTTATTCTTCTTGGTATCTGAGTGGGTTTTGCTTGCAGCTTAAATGCTCCAGGAGTCGGGTGGACCTCATTTACATGCTGCTTTGAAGATTACATGCAGGGCAGTTTGGAAAAAGTTTTTCATGCCCTGTCTGGCTGCTCTTTGGGACTTTAATTTTTAATTTTTTGTTTGTTTGTTTGTTTGGGACTTTATTACTTCCTGGATTTTGACACCCTAATAACTCAGTACCTTCTTCTGGTCCAAGAGACAAAAAATGTTACAAATATGAGGGCATCCCTTCAAAAATAAAGCCTCTGTTCTGAAGGAAAAAGTGAATCTTAATCTGGAAATGTGTGCTGCCGTATCTTCCCATATCTGATTATTGTCACGCAAGGATGCTATTTGGAAAGTGACTTTTTTTAATGATTGAAAAAGTGCAAATAAAACAATCATATCATTATATTTCATAGGAACAATAGACGTTAACATTTATTGAGCACTTACCCTGTGCCAGGCATACTTCATGCACCAGCATTAAACTAAGAGGTAAGTGCCATTGTTATCTCCTTTTCTTAGATGAGGACAATGAAGCTTGGGGAATTATCTGAGGTTGCACATCTAGTGAGTACGGGGGTCTTACTTGAACCCAGGTCTTAAGCCTTGTGCTGAACTGCCTGAGACATCAGTAGCAGCTTGAGGCTGATAAAAAAATAATTGGCCAACTTGCTACTGCCATGGAAAGAAATAGTATGTGGGGAAGACCATAGTACTGAGGAAGTTTCCAGAAGTAAGGCTGGGCATGATGGTTCACATCTGTAGTCCCAGCACTTTGGGAGGCTGAGGCTGGAGGATCACTTGAGCCCAGGAGTTTGAAGCTGCAGTGAGCTCTAAATACCACTGCATTTTAGCCTAGGTCACAGTGTGAGATTCTGTCTCAAAACCAAACCAAAACAAAACAAAAACAAACAAACAAAAACACAAGTTTCCAGAAGTACATTTTATAATATTTTAATGTTGCAGTCTAGATATAATTGGCAAATAAATTGATAGGTCAACAAGAGATAGCATTCAAATTACTACGTTGAGTCACATGATTTCTGTTTGGTTAAAGTTGAAATACAAGTAAAATAATAGAATTACAATATCAAGAAAAACTTGAGATAAATGAAGAAAGCGCCTAAAAGATCATCATCTTAATACAACAGATACTTTGATGCTTGCTTATAACCCTCTCCTTTTTTATGTGCACAGTATGATTTTTTTTTTTTTTTTTTACTAAATTGGGATTATAGTACCAAAAAAAAAATAGAACTTTTCCCTGGGAGTTAATATTGCTTATAGTTACACGGGCAGGCTCTGCAGTGAGAGAGATGGAGTTAGAATCTGGGCTCTGCCCATGATTAATGGGGCAAGTTACTCGAACCCTGTGAACTTCAGATTCCTCATCTGTAAAATGGGGATGCAAAAAATTCCATTTATTGAGTTGTTTGTGAGTTTAAGGGTTTAATGCAAAGCTCTCAGCATGGTGCTGGGCACAGAGTCAGTGCTCAACAGGTGTTTTTATTATTAGACATGTGAGATTTTATTAGCAGTAGTGGGATGTTTTTAGTAGGGCTTCCTTACCACTAAGGCTAAGCAGTTATCACTGGTTAAAAAAAAAAAAAAAGTCATCACTTTCTAAAAGAAATCAGTTACAACTGGGATTCACTCATGCTTTGTACCAGCTTTTCTGGGTGCCCTGAGCACCCAGCTTTTTCTTGGTTTGGGGCCTGTGCCACAGAACTGACTATGCTCCCTGGGACCGCTCAGCTCGTGGTAAATGCTTCTCGCAGCTTTGGTCCTTTTGAGCACACAGGCTAGATTAGTCTGTTCTGAGGGAGGTGGCAGCATTTAAAAGCATTGTTGTTCTCCTTAGTCTGTGCTATGTGTCGGCTGGGAGAGCCAGGCATGGGGTGGGTGTTTATGGCTAGCTCCCATATGTGGCGGTACTCTGGGCCTCTGTAGACCCACTGGCGAGTTGCCCCTCGATCTCTCCCAAGGTCACAGCTTTTTACTGTTGGCAATTTCTCCTCATACTGAGATGATACCCGTTCCTCTGCACTCATTTCCCCATAGACCTGTTCTGATTTAGAGAAGTGTGTTTTAACCATACAGACTTGACCCCCAGACTCTTCACTTTTTCCAAAGGATGTGTGCAGACCCCCATCCTGAGCCTGAGCCTTGCCCCATCTCTCACCTGCCCCAATTCCTGACAGCATCCCTGAGCTTCATCTTGTCTGTCATCCCATGCTCACCTTCCCTACACCTTGAAGAGACTGTGGACTGAATGAGAATCAGGAATGGGTGGGTGGCAGGGGATGAGGCTAGCTGATGAAATTGTATGTATAGTTTAATCACAAGTTTAAAAAAAAATTGGCCACATTAAAACCACCATGTCAAAATGGCTGTGAAATGGCCATCAAAATGTCTCGAGGTGCCTAATGCATTGGTCTGTTTCTCAGTAGGGAGTGGCCTCTTGGTGAAACCCCTCCAAGCTTACATTGTGAGTCTCCTGGAGGAACAGGGAGGGGGGATGGCTCCACATCCTTCCCTCTTCCAGGGCAGGGAGTGCCCAGAGTCCCGTCTCATCCTTATCCTTGAATATGTACGTCCGGGGCATTCCCTGAGCACCCACGGAGTCTCTGTGTCCAGGGGGAATCAGAAAGGGGAGGTTCTGGGAGGACTCTCCGACCTTAGATGAGTTATACTCAATGTGTCCTGCTGGCGTGGCCCAGGCCCTTACATGTCAGCACCTGTCAGCTTGTAAATCCATGAGCTCATGACCAACTCCCAGGCTCTAGTGGCAGGCATGTCAAGTCACATCACATCTGAAGGCTGCCTGGGGGAGGCGGGCGTGTGCTGGCATCAGGGAGGGCACCGTTGCCCCTCCACCCTGGTGGAGCCTGGCACCTGGGCCCTCTGTGCTGTGCTCCTGGTCACACCGCCACTCCCCTTTCAGAATTCTCAGCTCCTTTCCCTAAGAACCAGCTCCTGCTCAATTCAGGGAGAAAGGGTTGGAGGGGGCACTCTTCTTTTGCAGGGATTTTATTTACCCTTCACATGACCTTGGAGATGACTAGCCTATAAGCCAGCCAGCCAGAGTTGTTGCTTTTTCCATTCTGTCACTTTTTCCACAGCCACACTAATTGTGTGCTCCCGAGGGAGAAGGAAAGGACGTAGCGCTTTGTTCCCTGGCCCCTCTCCCACCGCCAGCCTTTTGTTCTGTTATCCCCAGTCCTCGGATTCAGGCTCCCTAATGTAGGGAAAGGGAGGAGGGTAAGAGAAGCCGGTGAGGAGGGGCCCCAGACTCTTGCCTGCACTCCAGGCTGCTTCTAAAGGTGTCCCATAATGAAACAATCCCCAATATAAGGCAGGTCCTCTTTTTTTCCTCTTTGAGAAGATTCCTCAAACATCTATTCTTAAATTTAAAAAACATTATTTATTTATTTATTTTTGAGACGGAGTCTTGCTCTGTTGCCCAGTCTGGAGTGCAGTGGCGTGATCTCGGCTCACTGCAACCTCCACCTCCTGGATTCAAGCTATTCTCCTGCCTCAGCCTCCCAAGTAGCTGGGACTACAGGTGCATGCCACCATGCCTGGCTAATTTTTGAATTTTTAGTGGATACTGGGTTTCGCTACGTTGTCCAGGTTGGTCTCGAACTACTGACCTCAAGTAATCTGCCCACTTCGGCCTCTCCAAGTGTTGGAATTACAGGCATGAAACACTGTGTCCAACCATATTTATTTATTTGTAGAGACAGGAGTCTTGCTAGGTTGCCCAGGCTGATCTCGAATACTTGGCCTCAAGCGATCCTCCCAAAGTGTTGAGATTAAGGGCATGAGCCACTGGGCCTGGCCAGAAGTGTATTTTCTTAAATGACCTACTTGAATATACAGACTTTGAAGGGGCTAGAAAAAGGTCCCATGTGTCCTTTTAATATTTATCTTATTACTTTTGTTACATCTATTTAAATATCTCAAGTTGCATAAAATACATTAACTTAGAATATTACTTTTCCATTTTATACTCCATAAAACAATTTTATTGAATCTTTTTACAGGCTTTTTTTTTTTTATCATTGGCATCATTGTTTTCTCTAAAGCCATTTCTGGGTCATCTTCACCTGTGTCTAAGTTGTTTGTATTACTGCACTTTTTGAATCTGTGAATGGTGCTGTCACTGTCACATATTACAAGGGAAGCACCGATAACTGTTTAGGCATCAGTCAGATTCCTCTCTCCACTTTTTGTGAAGTTGCCATTCTGATCAGCTGGAAAGGAGATACTTGATGCTACCAAATGCCAACTTCTTTTAATATGTCAGAATGAGTTGAAAATGGTTTCATTCTCTTTTAAAAAAGCATGCTTGTTGCAAAAATGTCAAATAATGTGGAATAAAGCACTAACAAACTCACCAGCTAAAGATAGCTACTGTGAACATTTTGGTGAATACCATTCCAAGCATCTCTTTAGGCACATATACACATACTGTATATGTATACATTTTATACAAATGGTATCAGATGAAACATGCTATTTTATAATGTAATGTTTTTTACTTTTATTTTGTGGGCATTTTTTGATATAAATATAGTTATACATCTTTTTTTAATGAGTGTTCTGTGTAGGTAGTATAATTTACCCCTCTACCCTTTATTATTTATTATTTTTTAATTTTTCCTTTTTTTTTTTTGAGACTGGGTCTTGCTTTATGGCCCAGGCTGGAGTGCAGTGGAACAATCAGAGCTCACTGCAGCCTCAACCTCCTGGACTCAAGCAATCCTCCTGCCTCAGCCTTCCTAGTAGTTCAGACTGCAGGCACACACCACCACGCCTGGCTAATTGTCAAATTTTTTATAAAGATGGGGTCTCACTATGTTGCTGTGGCTGATCTTGTACTCCTGGCTGCAAGTGGTCCTCCTGCCTCAGCCTCTGAAAGTACTGGGATTACAGGCATGAACCAACGCACCCAGTCCCTCCACCCTTTAATTGATGGATTTGGGGGCTGATTACAATTCTCTCTATTATAAACAATTCTGTGATAAACTTCCCTGGATTCTGAGACATAGTTATAATGACTTCTCTAATCTTATCCAAGGTTATAAAGGATTTTTTCATGCTTCCTTCTAGCTTTTTTAATTTGAAAAATTATTTATAATTTACAGAAGTAACAATCTTTACTATTTTAATCATTTTTAAGTGTACAGTTCAGTGGCAGTAAGTACATTCATACACACTGTTGTACAACCATCTCCAACATCCATCCATAGCATTTTTTTCATCTTGGCAAACTGAAACTCTGTGCCTATTAAACAGTATCTCCCCATTTCCCGCTTCCTGAAGTCCCTGGCAACCACCATTCTACTTTCTGTCTGTAAGTGTGATTACTCTGGGTCCTGCGTGTAAGAGGAATCATATTGTATTTGCTCTTTTGTGATTGACTTATTTCACTTAGCATAATGTCTCAAAGATTCATCTGTGTGGTAGGATGTGCTAGGATTTTTCTTCCAGTGTTAAAACATTTTATTATTAAAAATTTAAAACACACAGCAAGGTTGAAAGAATTTTATAGTAAACACTCCTATCATCTACTACTCAGATACGACCATTAACATTTTATATACTTGCCTTATCACATATCTATTTATCTATCCATCTGTCTACCTATCCTTTCATTTATCTTAATTTTGTACATTTAAAATTAAGTTGCAGGTGTCATGCATTCCCCCCTACGTAAGCCCACAAGCATACCACTAACTAGAGTTTGATATTTGCTGTTTATTTTCTTGTTTTGATGTACAATTTATATACAATAAAATGTGAAAATCTTAAGGGTAGATTTGCTGAGTTTTGAGAAATGCATACGCTTGTGTAACCCAAACCCCTATCAAGGTACAGGCCATTACCCTCATCCCCGTGAGTTTCCTCATGACCCTTCCCAGTCAATCTCCGCTGTACTCCCATCCCTAGGTATAATGACTATTCCAATTTTTTTTTCCGTGCTATGTTAGTCTTACCCCTTCTAGAATTTCCTATAAATGGAATCAATCATACAGCACAAATGCTATTGTGCAAGCTTTCTATGATGCTGCATGTTTCTGAGATTCTCTGTTGATGTGCCTGTCAATAATTCATTCCATTAAATTGCTGAGCAATATTTCATTGTATGACTGTATAGTTATGTCCTGCATAACGAATTTCGGGCAATGATGGACTGCATATGTATGTCAAAGAAGATGCTAATCGAGTTGAAAAATTCTGTTGCCTAGTGACATCACAGCTGTGGTGATTACTCACGTGTTTGTGGTGATGCTAGTATAAACCTACTGTGCTTCCAGTCACATAAAAGTATAGCATATACAATTATGTATACTACATAACACTTGATAATGATAATAAACAACTATGTTACTGATTTATGTGTTTGCTAAACTTTTTTTTTTTTTTTTTGAGACAGGGTCTCACTCTGTCACCTAGACTGTAGTGCAGTGGTGTGATCTCCGCTTACTGCAACCTCCGCCTCCTGGGTTCAAGTGATTCTCCTGCCTCAGCCTCCCAAGTAACTGGGATTACAGGCATGCACCACCATGCCTGGCTAATTTTTGTATTTTTAGTATAAACAGGGGTCTCACCATGTTGGCCAGGCTGGTCTCGAACTCCTGACCTCAGGTAATCCGCCTGCCTCAGCCTCCCAAAGTGCTGAGATTACAGGCATGAGCCACCGCGCCCAGCCGTATTTGGTCTGCTTTCAATGCTTATTTTAGAGTGTACTTCCTCTACTTATTAAAAATAAAGTTACCTGTAAAACAGCCTCAAGCAGGTCCTTCAGGAAGTGTTCCAAAAGAAGGCATTGCTACCATAGGAGGTGACATCTTCATGCATGCTCTTGTCTCTGAAAACCTGGTAGGACAAGATATGGAGGTAGAAGGCAGTGATGTTGATGATCTTGACCCTGCGTAGGCCTAGGATAATGTATTTGTTTCTTAGTTTTTAAAGAAAAAAGTAAAAAAAAAATTAAAATATTTTAGAAATGAAAATAGCTTATAGAATAAGGATATAAAGAAAATAATTTTTTTTTGCACAGCTGTACAATATGTTTGTGTTTTAAGCTACGTGTTATTACAAAAGAGTCAAAAAGTTAAAAACACTTAAAAAGTCTATAAAGTAAAAATGTTACAGTAAGCTAAGGTTAGCTTATTACTGAGGAAAGAAAAAAATCTAAAACAAATTTAGTGTCGCCTAAGTGTACAGTGTTTATGAAGTCTACAGTAGTATACAGTAATGTCCCAGGCCTTCCCATTCACTCCCCATTCACTCACTGACTCACCCAGAGCAACTTCCAGTCCTGCGAGCTGCATTCACAGTAAGTCCCTTATACAGGTGTATCGTTTAAAATCTTTTATACCACATTTGTACTCTTCTTTTTCAAGTGTTTAGCTGTGTTTAGTTCACAAATACCATTATGTTGCCATTGCCTACAGGATTTAGTACTGTAACATGCTGTATAGGTTTGTAGCCTAGGAGCAACAGAAGATACCATATAGCCCAGGTATGTAGTAGGCTATACTGTCTAGGTTTGTGCAAGTGCACTCTATGATGTTCATGCAATAATGAAATCGCCTAATCGCTGTTATTAAGTGACGCATGACTCTACTACGGTTTGCTCATCCACTTCTAATCTTTTTATAATTTGATTTGATTTTCATTTAATTTGGTTTGGAGTCTATCCTGGTGAACCATGTGAGTTAAAAGTCTAAATTTTTCCAGATGGCTATTCATTTGTCTCAACAGTATTTATTAAAATGTCTATTTTTGCTCCATTGATTTGGGATGCTAAATTTATTATATAGCAACTTCCTGTATACACTCGGGCATATTTCTGGATTGTCTATTCTGTTCCATTAGTCTATGAATCAGTCAGGTTAGGTTCCTGGTAGGAAACAGAATTTTGCTCAAATAGTTCAAATAAAGAGTTTAATGAAGGTGTAGTCAGGGTTAAGGGAACCTACAAGGGATGTTGAAGCACCCAGAGACTAGCAAAGGTGGACAGCCATCACACTTGTGGGCCTGAAGGAGCAAGGGGGTGGAATAGAGTTATCAAGGGCCTGTGAGAGCTGGAACCTGGAGAAGGAGGTGCCCAGCAGAGGCAGTGCTATGGAGGGAGCACAGCCACTGTCCGGGAAGCGGAGGAGCAGGGAAGAAATGCTCTCAGCTCTCTCTTCTCTCAGCTTCTGATCTCCTACCAGTGCCTCCCATTGGCTGAACCCATAGGAATCCAGAGGGCAAAGGAGGTGAGGACACAGGGCAAGGCAGAAAAGAGAAGAAAATGATGGGTAGATAATGGCCAAGTGGAGAAAAAGCAGCACAGACCACCTGTCTGTTCCATGCCAGTACCGCTCTGTTTTAACTGTTGAAGCTAGTTCAGCTCATTGCCATCGTTTCCTTCCTCTTCCTCCTCCTCCACCTCCTCCTCCTCCTCTTCCTCTTCTTTTTCTTCCTCCTCCTCCCCCTCCACCCCCTCCTCCTTCTCTTCCTACCCGCCCTCACCCTCCTTTTCCTCTTCTTTTAAATTCAGAGATGCGGGTCTCACTCTGTGGCCCAGGCTGGAGTGCAGTAGCATGATCATAGCTCACTGCACTCTGCCTCCTGGGCTCAAGCGATGCTCCCACCTCAGCCTCTTGAGTAGCTAGGACTACAGGTGTGTGTCACCACGCCCACCCTGGTTGGTTTTTAAAAAACTACTTTATATTGATTTTGTACTGCTGTGTCTTACTGAACTTTCCTATTGTTTGTAGTAGTTTTTTGGTACATTAGCATGAGTTTTCCAGATATATAATCATATGTAATAGTTTTATGTGGTTATTTCTAGTTTTTATGTTTCTTATTTTCTCTTGTTTAGTTATATTCATAATTACATTCCTATTACTCCTGGGACCAGGTTAACTGGTAGTGGTGAGAGTGAGCCTTCTTATTTCTGACTTTTATTAGAATCTGTATACATTTGTGTGTGTATATATAAATATATACATAAGTTTGTGTACATATGCAAATATGCATATATGTATATATGTATGTATACATATAAGGAAAATAATACTATATTAAGGAATATAATATTATGTTAAGAAGATATATGTGTGAATATATATATATGAAATTATTCAAAGATTCCTATTTTATTTGGCTTAAAAATTAACAATAGGAGTTGAGGTTTGTCAAATGTCCTTTCAGTCTCTCAGGAATCAGTATGACTTTTCTCCTTAGATCATTAAATACAGATAATCAATATATTTCCAAATATTGAACCATATCTCCCTTTCTAGAATCAACTTTACTTGGATATGATTTTTTTTAAATTACTTTAATGTTCTGTTGCATTCTATTGCTTAATATTTTATACTGGCTTTTTGCAATGATACTCTTCAGTGAGATTTGTCTTTAGTTTTTACTGTGTGTGAAATATTTATATCAGGTTTTGATATTGATATAACACTGTCATAAAAATAACTTAAAAGTTTTCTTTTCTCTTTTCTTTTCTTTTTTCTGAGACAGGGTCTCTGTCTGCTGCCCAGGCTGGGGTGCAATGGCTCAATCTTGGTTCACTGCAGCCTCTGCTTCCTGGGTTCAAGCGATCCTCCCCACTCAGCCTCCCAGGTAGCTGGGACTACAGGCACATGCCACCATGCCCAGCCTAATTTTTTGTATTTTTTTTTTAGAGATGAGGTTTCACCATGTTGCCCAGGCTGGTCTCGAACTCCTGGGCTTAAGCAATCTGCCCACCTTGGCCTAGGATTACAGGCATGAGCCACTATGCCTGGCCTTTCCTTTTCTTTTTATGCTTTAGAAAAATTCAAATACCATTGAAATTACCTGCTCATTGAAAGTTTGTATAATTCTGCCAGAAAACCCCTGGGCTTGGTTCTTTTTCAGGAGGCAGTGTTCTGACAACTTTCTTCTCCAGAAACTGGACCACTTAAATTTTTGGTCTTCTGAGGAATCTGTAGGCAAATTCTATTTTCTTAGAAAATTTTCTTTTTCATCTAGACTTTAAACTTTATTAATTTAGAGTTGAGTAGTCTTTTATGCCTCTTTTTTAAAATTTATTTTTTATTTTTTTGAGACAGAGTCTCGCTTTGTCACTCAGGCTGGAGTGCAGCAGCATAATCTTGGCCCACTGCAACCTTCGCCTCCTGGGTTCAAGCGATTCTCCTGCCTCAGCCTCCCAAGTAGCTGGGATTACAGGCACCCACTACCATGCCTGGCTAATTTTTGTATTTTTAGTAGAGATGGGGTTTCCCCATGTTGGCTAGGCTGGTCTCGAACTACTGACCTCAAATGATCTGCCTGCCTTGGCCTCCCAAAGTGCTAGGATTACAGGCATGAGACACCGTGCCCGGCCCTTTAATGCCCCTTTTAATTTTGTTTAATGTTTAAGCAGGATGCAGATAAGCTCCACCACCAGATATTTACCAGGGAGTGGGCTGTGCACATTCCTCCCAGGCATCCCAAGTTCCTGATTTCTAGATTCTGCTGTTATTTATCTCTTCCCTCTGTGTGTGGTTGCCTGCACTCACTCCACTGCAGCCTCATTGGATGCTGTCCTGATTCCATCATTCCCCTAAATACCACTGACTCAAGATTGTGAGTGTAGCAGTTAATGGAAGCTTTAGGGATGGAGCAGGTAGGTCACAGTACAGCAGGCAACTTAAAGCTGTATACTACATCCTCTGTTCTTTTTATAATGTAGCCTCTTGGCGTACCTCTTGTTGCTTTGCTCTTTTCTCTTTCCTGCCCAGTATCATCTTTCTTAACCCTGAACATTCTTCTTACTTACTAAAGATACTTCTCTAGTTCTGAGATTTATTCTTACTCCTTCTCCTCCAGATAATATTCTGGAGCTTATCTTTATCTTTTTACAATTAAAAACAGTGAACCCCAGAAACAGTGGCACAAATACAAATCTCTTTGAAGACTTTATCCCTGCAGGTCTGCTGCTGCTTGGGTTTGAGGTCCACACTACCTGTGCAATCTGGGATACTGTACAACAGAAGAGGAGTTGGCTTGGTGGTGGCCTGGGATCCAGGCAAAGGAAGTAGAAGCACTTGCTGGAGTGCTGGATCCTCAACCCAGGCTCCACACATTCCATAGATAAAGCTTCGATGAAATAGACACTTCATCTAAAATTACAAACCTGTAAGGAATCAAGCCACCCTCAGCTGAGATATTTTAAGTGAGAAAAGCAAGATACCTAGAAATGTACGTAGTAGGATCCCATTATTAAGAAAACACACCGGCTCTCTCACATATACATTCTCACATGTACCCCTCTCTCTGTGAGCTTGCACATGATTACATGAGCATCAGCAAAGTTCAGGATCCTTATCAGTTGTTCCCATGGCTGATATGAAGGAGGGCATTGCAGGAAGAGGATCATGGGGGAAGGCAAACATGACAAAGAGGCCTGTGCAATACTGGCTCATGCTTCTTCTTCTCATCCAAGTTATCTCCCATGCAGTGTTTTGATTGGAGGCTGTTCTTCCCTCTGTCTAGCTGAAATTCAGAAATGATAAAATTTGGATATAACACAATTGACAACTTTTTCCTCTCTCTGTCCAGGTGGTTTTATTTTTTGGGACTGAGTCTTGCTCTGTCACCCAGGCTGGACTGCAGCGGCATGATCTCGGCTCACTGCAACCTCTGCTTCCCGGGTTCAAGTGATTCTCTTGCCTCAGCCTCCCAAGTGGCTGGGATTATAGGCGCCCACCACTACACCCCGATAATTTTTTGCATTTTTAGTAGAGGCAGGGTTTCACCATGTTGGCCAGGCTGGTCTCGAGCTCCTGACCTCGTGATTCGCCCACCTTGGCCTCCCAAAGTGCTTGGATTACAGGCATGAGCCACCGCGCCCGGCCTGTTTTTGTTTTTTAACTTCCAGTCACTTGTGCGATGGGGCTGAGTGGTGGGGTGAGGAAGTGACTCCCTTGCTATCGTTGGGAAGTTTCTGAGTTTAATGTAAAGCATCCCTGAGTCTCACCAGGACGCTGTCTATCTTCCAGGGCTGGGAGGCCACAGAGCTGCCTATACAGCTGGTCAGATGCAGGGCCCAAACCCTGTGCAATCCTTGCTCTTCATTTCCATTTTCCATCCAGGTCACATCCATACCATGCAGGGTTTGGACTGGAGAATGTATCTCCCTGCCTCCTTGTCTCAGCCAAGAAACACCAAACAGTGGCAAGGAGCAGCCCACAGTCCCAAAACCATATGCATTACACAATAATTGGAAACCCTTCTGAAAAATATTGCTTTTCATTAACCTTGCTCAGCATTTTATACAATTGGATTTTTCTGGATTCCAATTTTTTTTTTTTTTTTTTGCATTATGGAGGTGTTTTGGTGTAAACATCAATATATTTTGCTGAACAAGAGGAATTCTGTAGCCAGCTTTCAGTAGCATTTTTTTCCTCCCTCGTATACTAGAAATAGAAGTCATCAGTGGCATCTGGGAAAATTCAGTGTCCTCTTAATTGTTCTCTCTGTGGATTGTACCTGAGTGAATTGTATTGGAAGATTTTACTTATTCTCCCCACCAACCTGGAGCCCTGAGGAGGAACTTTCTTTTCTTCTTTTTTAAATTACAGTGCCTGGCACAGGGTTGGGCTCATTGTAGAGCTTAAGAAGTGTGGTGGAGAATTCCCAGAAGGAGCCTGATGGTGCAGGGGAAAGAGGTAGATGAAACCGACGTGCTAGTCCTGTTTTTGCCTCTAGTGTGCTTTTAGGCCTCTGTGGGGTAAGGCACGTACCTTCTCTGGGAATCTGTTCCTTTTCTGTAACATGAAGATACTAATAACTTGTAACGTCTACCTCAGGGGGCTGTTGAGTTTACCAAGGACTGTAATGGACATGAAAGGTTCTTTGAAAAGTATGCTGAGCTACACGGCACAATCACTTATTGCTCTAATGCGTGAGGGATGGGTGTTCATCTAATGGATACACAGCTACACTAATAGGCTTTTGAGTTCCATCCAACCTTTATAGTGGAATACATATCCTGCAAAAACTCTTCTTACACATTCCTAGAATAATTGATAAAGCACAGCAAACATCTTTCTAAATGCAGAGCTGAGCTTGCAGGAAGTTAAGGGAACCTCTCTTGGGGGCCAAAGTAGTAGGCAGGGGTGAGGGGACACTGCTGATCTCAGTAACCCAGGTTTTAACCACTCTGGAGGACAGGACACAAGGCCTCAGCCTCAAGTTAACTGGGAAGTTGCAGGTGAAACCCCTGCATAAATCTAGGACCCTCATGTAGGAGCACGCTAAAAGAAGTTCTGCTCACCAGCAATAAGAAAAAATAACAAGTTAGGCCGGGCACGGTGGCTCACACCTGTAATCCCAGCACTGAGGCCGAGGTGGGCAGATCACCTGAGGTCAGGAGTTCAAGACCAGCCTGACCAACATGGAGAAACCCCATCTCTACTAAAAATACAAAATTAGCCAGGCGTGGTGGTGCATGCCTGTAATCCCAGCTACTTGGGAGGCTGAGGCAGGAGAATCGCTTGAACCTGGCGGGCAGAGGTTGTGGTAAACCAAGATTGTGCCATTGCACTCCAGCTTGGGTGACAAGAGTGAAATTCCATCTCAAAAAAAAAAAAAAAGAAAAAAGAAAAAATAAGTTAATTATCTTTTAATCCTGGGTTTGGGTGGAGGAAATACAAATCTCTTTGAAGACTTCATCCCTGCAGGTCTGCTGTTGTTTGGGTTTGAGGTTCCCACTACCTGTACAACAGAATGATACTGTACAACAGAAGAGGTATGTTACCCTGGGATCCAGGCAAAGGAAATGGAAACACTTGCTGGAGGGCTGGATCCTCAACCCAGGCTCCACACATTCCACAGATAAAGCTTTGATGAAATAAACACTCCATCTAAAATTATAAACCTGTAAGGAATCAAGCCACCCTCAGCTGAGATATTTTAAGTGAGAAAAGCAAGATACCTAGAAATGTATGTAGTAGGATCCCATGAGGAAAGGCAAACATGACAAGGAGGCCTGTGCAACGCCAGTTCATGCTTCTTCTTCCCATCCAATTTATCTCCCATGCAGTGTTTCAATTGGAGGCTGTTCCTCCTTGTTTTCCTGTCTCAGTCAAGGAAAACCAAATAGCTCCAAGGTGTACCCCCACCCCACACGCACATAGAGACATGGGCACGAAGATTATGGAGCATTGCCTCTGTCACTGAATACATAAATAACAGCTATTGAAAAATAACTAGGCTGGGCACAGTGGCTCACACTGAGGCAGGAGGATTGCTTGAGCCCAGGAATTTGAAATCAGCCTGGGCAACAGAGTGAGACCCTGTCTCTTAAAAAAATAAAAAATAAAAAAATTAGCCAGGTGGAGTGGCATGCACCTGTGGTCCCAGCTACCCAGGAGGCAGAGGCAGGAGGGTCTCTTGAGCCTAGGAGGCTGAGGCTGTAGTGAGCTGTGTTCTTGCCACTGCACTCCAGCCTGGGTGACAGACTCTTTCTCAAAAACCAAAACCAAAACAAAGACAAAAACAAAAACACACAGAAAAGTAGTAGAAATTAAACACTTCTGTGGATATCACAATGAACAGCTTCCATTCATTTATGGCTTGCTCTGTGGCAGTCACTTTCTAAATGCTTTATATGTATCTCCTCCTTGAGCCCTCATAGCAACCCTATGGAATAGGCACCACCATGGCAATTCCCATTGCAGCCACGAGAAAAGGGAAGCACAGAGAGCTTAAGGAACATGCCCAAGGTCTCAGGTCCACTCCTTGACTGAGGGGCCAGGAGTCAGACCCAGCAGTTCACTTCGAAGCCCAGGCAGTTAGTCGTTGGGCTAATATGTACATGTGTATGTAGATGGAGGATGTGATGCAACAGTGCAGATTCTTGTGTTGAGGGTGGTAACATGGGTTATTTTTGAATTATTATTATTGTGATTTCCTGTGTCCTTAACCTCACTGTCCTTGAAATAAAAAAGAAAAAAGAAGAACTGGAAAAAAGATATCTTCTATATTTTGTCACTCCTCCCCACCAACCCCTCAGTTCCCAATGCTGCAGGTACTAAATAAGAATGTTACTGCATGCATCACTGAATCTGTTAATATAAAACAAAGCCAATTCAATTTAGGACGATTGAGGGAGCTCCGTGCCAAAGCGTGGGGGTATAAGACGTGCTAATTGAATTGAATCAAATTGAATCATAGAGTAGTTTTAGGATGATTGGAGAAGGGTGAACTCAGCCAATAATTCTACAAATTTAGAGAGGAGACGCATGTGATCGTCACAACCTTTATGCTTCCACACCGCAGGTCTCCTTGAAAGATTAAAGTGATGAGTGATTTTAGTGCTAGTTTACATTGATGACATGACTTCTTCCTTGTGTCTTCAAGCCTTAACATACACCCTGCCCGCTCTCACTGCCCAGGATCCAATGTGGATTATATCATATGAAAAAGTGGAGAAGCAGAGGATTTAAGTGCCACAGTCTTAGGACTCAGAAAAGGACAAAGGGATGTTAGAAATTTGGGGAAGTGGAAATCTACAGTGGAGAGAGGGGGAAATAAATGATGCCTTAAAGTCACACAGCTGTTCAGGAAGCATTGAATCCAGGTCTCCTGGCTAGTGATCTTTCCTCACATCTTGGATTTTAAAAAATGTCTATTTATTAATTTAGTTGCCCTGTTAGAGAACATTAATGGTCAGCAAATTCTGTCCTCCATGGAGAACTGAAATGCTTTTAGAAATTCGTGGGATGATCATGGAGTCAGGCTAGAAGCAGCTGATGATTTAAAAGCTGGGACTCATTAACCTGGGATGGTCCCAGGCTCTCACCTCTATTTCGGGTGGGCGCACCCCACAGTCCTGAGTCTCCTGCCCTGAATGTTGCAGGAATAGGACAGGCAGGGCACACACTAACACATTCTTGCCCTTGTTGGGGCTCCTTGTTGGGGCACCTTCTCATAGCACTTTCTTTGGTCAGACAGGGCCCAACATAATGAACTTTCTTTAACTCTTATCCTGACAATTCACCTTCAGCATCTTTTTAGGCACTCATCTTGGAGGGGGTTTTGATAATAACTGCTACCATTTATTGAACCCAGATGATATGCTAACATTATATAAATACTATTTCTATTTCAGAGATAAAAGAAGCTTGGAGAGGGTGAGTATGATGGTGAATTTTATGTGTTAACTTGACTGCACTAAGGGATGCCCAAATGGCTGGTAAAACATTATTTCTGGGTGTGCCTGTAAGCATGTTTCTGAAAGAGATTGGCATTTGAATCAGTAGACTGAGTAAAGAAGATCACCCTCACCAATGTGGGTGGGCATCGTCCAGTCTGTTGAGGGTCTGGATAGAACAAAATGGTGGAAGAAGGACTAACTTCCTCTCTCTACTGGGACATCCATCTCTGCTTGCCCTTGAAAATCAGGGCTCCTGGTTCTTGGGCCTTCAGACTCAGACTGGGACTTATGCTATCAGCTGTCCTGGTTCTTAGGCTTCCGGGCTTGGGCTAAAACTACCCCACTGGCTTTCTTGGGCCTCCAGTTTGCAGAGGCAGCTTATGGATCTTCTCAGTCTCCATAATGTATGAGCTAGTGCCTCATAATAAATCTCTTTTTATCTAGTGATTATGTGTATCCTACTGGTTCTGTTTCTCTGAGGAACGCAGATTAATACAAGTGAGTATGGAGCCAGTAGAATGTGGTTGTTAGAGCCAGGAATTTGGAGCCAGACAGATCTGGGTTTCACTTTAGGCAAATTACATATTTTTTTAGTGCTTTGGTTTCCTGCTTTATTAAATAGGGAAAACAATATCTACATTTATAACAGATATGAGGATAAATAGATCATGTATATAAAAGTGTTTAGCAGACTTCTTGATACTTAGTAAGTCCTTGATAAATGGAAGATAATATTATTACTTAATAGTATAATCTGTATGCTCAAAGTCACATGCTACCAAATTGATACAAGCCAGGATTTGAACTCAGGTCCAGTTCAAACTGAAGCCCATATTCTCCTACACTCTGCTGAAAGACTGCAGACTCTCTGACGTAGGCGAGTTGCCCCCTTCAAGGTGGGAAGGAAGCTTGTTTGCTCAGCTCAGGAGCCTGGATGTAGCCTCTACTTCTGCTTCTTTTAGGCTGGTAAACTATGTGAAAATTAGCTAAGGCTTGAGCACAGAATCTCCTCGGTGAGGGACACATACATCAGGGAAGCCCAGGGCAAGCTGCGGTGGGACCACACAAAAGCATCAGGACATCTGTTTCTATTTATTTCCTCATCTGGTTTACATTTCTATTTTTTTTCTTTCTTTCTTTCTTTTTTTTTTTTGAGATGGAGTCTTGCTCTGTTGCCCAGGCTGGAGTGCAGTGGCATGATCTTGGCTCACTGCAACGTCTGCCTCCTGGGTTAAAGTGATTCTCCTGCCTCAGCCTCCCGAGTAGTTGGGATTACAGGCACGTGCCACCACGCCTAGCTAATTTTTGTATTATTAGTAGAGACGGGGTTTCACTGTGTTAGCCAGGATGGTCTCGATCTCCTGACCTCATGATCTGCCCGCCTCGGCCTCCCAAAGTGCTGGGATTACAGGTGTAAGCCACTGTACCCGGCCTACATTTCTATTTTTATAAACTTTATAAAAGTCATACTATACTAGGAAAATAGAATATGTCTGTTACTTATAAATACACACATACATACATACATAAAATACATTGGAAGTACATATCAAAATATTTTTACTTGTTCAGTTGTACAATCAAAACACTTTTGAGACCACTATTTTAGATAACAGTGCAAAGAAGGTTATGACCATGACCTTTAACAAAGTGTGAAAAGTATACGGGCAGCCTATGTATGCCAGGAGCTTGGATGGAAAACACATTTTACTCAAGATGTTTTGCCACTTAGGCAAAGTGAAGATGTGTTCTCAGAGTCACAGTGAAGAGCACAGGTCACCTGGGTGACTTTAGCTTGTGGGGTACATGTGACAGTGGGAGCTCATTCAGCAGGAACTATGTCGGGGATAAGGAAGGGAACCTTCTGTATTGTGGCCCTGCAGATACAAATACCATCTAACGGTGTGTCACAGTGTCACTGTTTTGCCATTCATGGCTTCATTTCCATCATCTGGCTTGAGTAGTTTCAAAGTCCAGTCGGGGCCATTCTGTGACAAAATCATAAATGTCAGAGCAGGGAAGAGCCTTAAACACCTTCTAGTCCAGTGTTTTCCAATGTGAACTCTGAGGAACACCAGCTCCAGGAGAAAAGAAAACTTTCCATGGCAAACACATTTGGGAGCTGATGGTTAAACGAAATTAAACTGGTTTCCTCACTGCTGGACTTCTTAAATACTTTGTTCTAGAAATGTGCATTGTAACTCTTAACAGCCAAATCTAGCCTGCAGTATTTTCCGTCTGACCACAGACTCCCATTTTCTTTTTTCTTTTTTTTGCATAGAACATCTCAGTGGGACACAGTTGGGGGAAAATGGATGAGGAAATTCAGATTTAGAGAAGAAGACTGATTTGTCAAAGGTCATGCCTTGAGTTGGAGGCAGAGTTGGGATTCAAATTTAAGTTTCTTCATTTGTCCATTCATGCTATTAAAACCATTTTCTGTGCTAGACACGTCTGTGCCAGGCACTGTGGTATAAATCTAAGACAGAGTCTTTTCTGTTGAGGGCTTTCACTCTTGTTGGGGAATTAATAATAATACGGTGTGAATACAGGGACATATACACAGTGAACTATGTTTCTCAGAGGAAGGAACAATGAAATTTCCAGGTTTAGAGCTCTACCTACTTTATGGGACTATCCTAGGACTTTACAAATGAGAACCTGTTCAGTACATACAAGGATCTTCTATGGACAGAACTGTATCCTCCCTGCACCCCTCTAAATTTGTATGTCGAAGCCCTAACCCACAATATAACTATATCTGGAGATAGGGTCTTTAGGAGGTAATTAAGGTTAAATGAAGTCAGGCCTGGTGTGGTGGCTCATGCCTGTAATCCTAGCACTTTGAGAGGCCGAAATGGGAGGATTGCTTGAGGCTAGGAGTTCAAGACCAGCCTGACCAAAATGGCAAAACCCTGTCTCTACTAAAAATACAAAAGATTAGCTGGGTGTGGTGGCACATGCCTGTAATCCCAGCAACTTGGGAGGCTGAGGCATGAGAATCATTTGAACACAGGAGGCAGAAGTTGCAGTGAGCTGGGATTGTGCCACTGCATTCCAGTCTGGGCAACAGAGGAAGACTCTGTCTCAAAAAAAAAAAAAAAAAAAGTTAAATGAAGTCATAGGGTGGATCCCTGAACCAATAAGACTGTGGCCTTATAAGACGAGGATGAGCAAGATCTCTCTGCCACATGAGGACATAGTGAGAGGCACCGCCCGCAAGCCAGCTGTAGGCTCTCACCAGGACCCAACCATGCTAGCACCCTGATGATGGACTTCCAGCCTCCAGAACCATGAGAAAATAAATTTCTGTTGCTTAAGCCACTCAGTCTATGGCATTTTGTTGTGGCAAAATAATACAGGATCCTACAGGGTCTGACCAGTACAGGATCCCACAAAGTATTTGGATCTATTGTTCCAGTCATTCTAAATCTAAGAATTTATTCTAAGAATGCAATCCAACATGGGGACAAAACTCTGAGGACACACAACCGTGTGTAGGTGATGGCTTGATCGACTATGAGAACCAACTGAGCACACCTCTTCCCAGCTCCTCATCCAGTGATTTCACAATGGTAGCTTGCTAATAGTGACATAGTTCACTGTGTATATGTCCCTGTATTCACACCATATACTGAATACCGTGGAAAACACCACAAATCAGGGCCCCTCCCCCAGTTAAACATTTGCTGGGTAAGGGTGTTCACTATTTGTAATAGTGAAGAATCAGATGCAAACTAAATGTCTAGCAAGAGGAAAAGTTACCCTATGTGCTGGTGATCTGTTTAATCCTCCAAACCCACTTTCCACCCTTACCTAATCTGGGAGGCTGACCTTTATGGTCTGCTCTTACTTTCTGTCTTCTGTTTGGGTTGTGCCAATGAGAATGTGCCGAAGAATGGAGGATGGAAGGAGAGTAATATCAGGTCATTTATTCCCCCAAGTTCCCTTCCTGTAGGGTCACCATTAGCTGGCTGTCCCTCAGCTAGGATCACAGTTCTGGCCGGGCACCGTGGTTCACGCCTGTAATCCCAGCACTTTGGGAGGCCGAGACGGGAGGATCACTTGAGGTCAGGAGTTTGAGACCTGCCTGGCCAATATGGTGAAACCCCATCTCTACTAAAAATACAAATATCAGCTGGGTTTGGTGGCATGCACCTGTAATCCCAGCTACTTGGGAGGCTGAGGCAGGAGAATCACTTGAACCCAGGTAGTGGAGGTTGTGGCCAGCCAAGATTGCGCCACTGCACTCTACCCTGGGTGACAGAGCAAGACTCTGTCTCAAAAGAAAAAAAAAATCACAGTTCCTACCAAGTGATCTTGGAAATCATCCCGTATCAGTTCATACAGATCTTCCTCACTTTTTCTTTTTCTTTTTTTTTTTTTTGAGACGGAGTCTCGCCCTGTCACCCAGGCTGGCGCAATCTCGGCTCACTGCAAGCTCTGCCTCCTGAGTTCAACTGATTCTCCTGCCTCAGCCTCCTGAGTAGCTGGGATTACAGGTGCATGCCATCATGCTTGGCTAATTTTTTTTTTTGAGACGGAGTCTTGCTCTGCAGCCCAGGCTGGAGTGCAGTGGCGCGATCTCGGCTCACTGCAAGCTCCGCCTGCTGGGTTCACGCCATTCTCCTGCCTCAGCCTCCAGAGTAGCTGGGACTACAGGCGCCCGCCACCACCCCCGGCTAATTTTTTTATTTTTAGTAGATGAGGGGTGTCACTGTGTTAGCCAGGATGGTCTCGATCTCCTGACCTCATGATCTACCTGCCTTGGCCTCCCAAAGTGCTGGGATTACAGGTGCATGCCACCATGCCCGGCTAATTTTTTTTTTTTGTATCTTTAGTAGAGATGAGGTTTCACCATGTTGGCCAGACTAGTCTCGAACTCTGACCTCATGATCTGCCCACCTGGGCCTCCCAAAGTGCTGAGATTACAGGCGTGAGCCACCGTGCCTGACCCTCACTTTTTTTTCTTAAACAGTTGCAGATGTTCCATAATTTATTCAACCATGTTCTCTCCTATAGGCATTTAGATTGTTTCCAATATATTGCAATTACAAATAAAGTTGCAATGTATAACCTTGTATATATGTATTTTCATATAGTTTGGAGGTGTATCATCAAGTTAAAGGTCTAGAAATGAGATTGCTAGGCAAATGCACATGTAATTTTTAAAAATTTGCCAAATTCTCCTCTACAAGAGCTGAACCAGTTTGCATTCCCACTAGCAATGAATAAGAACTTGTATTTGCCTCCAGCCTTGACAATATGTTGTCAAGCTTCTAAATTTCCGTCAATCTGATATGTGAGAAATGGTATCTCGGGGTAGTTATAGTTTGCATCAAAAAATTATGGATGAAGTTTAATATATTTTTGTTTAAGTTTTCTGTTCATGTCTTTTACTTATTTTTTTCTGGGTTTCTGGCATTAGTCCCTCTCAATTTTTAAGAGTTAAAAATATATTAGGATATTGGCCCTTTATCTGTTATATGTTATGAACATTTTCTTTTTCGGCTTTGGTTATGATATTTTTTGTCACATGAAAGTATATTTCAGTATAGTAAAATTTATAGACCTTTTCCTTTATTGCATCTGGATTTTGAGTCATAGTTAGGAAGCTTTTCCCTACCTGGAGTTTGTAGAGAAATTCACCCATGTTTTCATGTAGTATTTGGTTTCGTTTTTTAATTTTAGGTCTCTGATCCTTTTTAAGTTTTTCCTTGTTTATGGTGTGAGATATGCATCTAAATCAATCTTTTTCCAAATGGTTATGAAGTTGTCCTTAAGTCATTTGATAAAATGTTCATCTCTTCTCTAAATGATTTGAGATACCACCTGTATCAAATATTAGATTTCCATGTGTACTTTGGACTGTTTTTGCAGTTTGTTCATTACATTTCCCTGTGATTTATTCTTATGCTGGTTTCACGTTGTTTTTATTTTTTTGGCACCAGTTTAAAAAAAACATTTTACTATAACAAACATACACAAAGTTGAAAGAATTTTACAGTGAAACCCATGTATCTGTCTGTATTCTACAGTGAACACTTCATTACATTTGCTTTGTCACATACTTATCCATCTCTTATCTCTCTATTCATCCATCAATTCATCTTATTTTTTCATGCATTTCAAAGAAAGTTGAAGACATTACAACACTCCCCCCCCCCATACTTCAATATGCATATCCACTTTATTTTTTATTTTTGTTTTTTGACACAAGGTCTCACTCTGTTGTTCAGGCTGGAGTGCAGTGGCATGATCTCTGCTCACTGCCACCTCGACCTCCTGGGCTCAAGTGATCCTCTCACTTCAGTCTCCCTAGTAGCTGGGACTACAGGCACGCACCACCATGCCCAGCCAATTTTTGTATTTTTATAGAGACAGGGTTTTGCCATGTTGCCCTGGCTGCTCTTGAATTCCTGGGCTCAAGCAATCCACCTGCCTCAGCCTCCCAAAGTGTTGGGATTACAGGTGTGAGCCACTGCACCTGGCTACATATCCATTTTAATTATGGAAGCTTAATAGTATGTTTTACTCTCTGCTGGGGCTAGTCCACCCTCATAGCTTTTCTCTTTTGGGTTTTCCAGCTATTTTATGATTCTTTTGCCATATAAACTTTAGTATCAACTTATCTAGCTCCATTATTTTAAAAAAGCTTGTTGATATTTTTATTGTGATTGCGTTCACTTTTAAATTAATTTAGGGACTACTGAGTTTTTAAGATATAATACTATGTTGTCTATCCAAAAAGAAAATATGTTTTTCCTGTAAATTAAATTTGAAGGCAAGAAGAAAAAGTAAAGAAAGTAAAATATTTTTTTTAGAATTGTTCAATCAGGAGTGTTTTAAAGTTTTCCTCATAAAGGTTTTCCTGAGAATGCTTTTTATTATATCTCTAACAAATTTTATTATATCTCTAACAAATATCTCTGTCTGCTACTCGTGAAGATCAAGAGTCTGTAAAACAACTTCTTAGCTTTGTAGCTGTAGCTAACTAAAATGTTTCTTCTTGTACTGACCCAGTAGTTTTTTCTCTGTAATTTATAGCCTTACCCCAGGTTTTAGTTTAGGTCATTGGAATAACAGATAAAAACTGTAAGTTCACTTCCCAGCTTGCTGATAGGATGAAGATCAACAGTCTAAGCCCATCCTCACTGGCTTCTGCGCACCTGTCCACCTCCTCTACCACTACCCCCCACCTCACCACCTTCTATCCTAGCAATATGGAATCACATTATTTCCTCACCCATATCCCTTTTTATGCCTTTGTGCCTCTGCTGATGCCTCTATCTGTAGTTTCTTGCCCCCCTCATCTTTCTGGAAATCTTTTACTTTTCTCTGTAAACTCAGTTGAAGAGTCACCTCCTCCAGGAAGCCTTCCCTGACCTCCCAAAGCACACTTCCCCCTGTACCTGTTTTGACTGCTGCACTTATGACATTGTGAGGTATGTGTTTTACATGTCTTTTCCTCCTTGATGTTTGTTTCTCCCCATCTTTGTATTACTAGCATTGAGTACAGTTCTTGGCACATAGCATGTGCTCAAATAGTTATTGAATAAATGAATGATTATAGGCCAGATTTCTCACCTTTTCCATATCGCAGTTGTCTCAATTCATTTTGCCGTTGCTCTAAAGGAATACCTGAGGCTGGGTAATTTATAGAGAAAGAGGTTTATCTGGCTCACAACTCTGCAGGCTGTACAAGAAGCATGGCACCAGATCTGCTTCTGGAGAGGAACTCAGAAAGCTTCCAATCATGACAGAAGGCCAAGGAGGAGCCAGCATGTCACACGGTGAGAGAGGAGGTGAGAGAGGAAGAGAGAGAGAGAAAAGGGAGGAAGGTTCCAGACTCTTTTATTTATTTAGATATTTTTTTCAGACAGGGTCTCGCTCTGTCACCCAGGCTGGAGTGCAGTGGCATGATCATGGTTCACTGCAGTCTTAGCCTCCTGGGCTCAAGCTATCCTTCCACCTCCACCTCAACCTCCTGATTAGCTGGCACTATAGGTGCACACCACCACACCTGGCTAATATTTGTATTTTTTGTAGAGTTGGGATTTCACCATGTTGTCCAGGCTGGTCTTGAACTCCTGGTCTCAAGTGAGCCTCCTGCATCAGCCTCCCAAAGTGCTGAGATTACAGGCATGAGTCAATGTGCCCAACCCAGACTCTTTTTAATAACCAGGTCTCACAGGAACTAAGAGTGAGAACTCACTTAATCCTGTGAGAATGGCACCCAGCCATTAATGAGGGATCCTCCCCCATCACCCAAACACCTTCTAGTAGGCCCCACTTCCAAAATGAGGATCAACCTGAGATTTCAACCTGAGATTTGGAGGGGGCAAATATCTAAACCATATCAGCAGTCCTTCAAATAATTGGACATCCCTGTTACACCTTTGCTTCAGCCTCCTTTTTAAAAAAACTCTTTTGACTGTTTTCCCTATTTCATTCTTTCCAGATAATCCTGTATTGTTTGAAGAAACATTTAATCAGAGAGACATTTCATAGTTTCCCACAACTAGCAGACCATGCACCTAAGCCTCAGGGGTCTCTATGTAGAGGCAGATAACTCGGAAGCTTTATGTGTGCCTATTTCTCAACAGTTAACTTGTCCACAACAGCTTTGTACAATGACTGATCTGTATGATATCACTTCTGAGTCACTAGTAACCTGTATTTTTTCTTTTATCAATCTTAAAAAAGCATGAAGGGTATACATTTCCCACAAATGTTGAACTGTTTGTGGCACTGGGAAAATAGCTCATAAAACATGGTTAAGGGTAGATATAAAATGGAGATGAGTGTTGATGTTCCTGGCAAAAGACAAAATAAGACAAAATATGTGACTTTAGTGTTGGAAAAAATTCAGGTGAGATATTTGGCAGGAAATCTGAAGAGGCCTCCAAATTCAAGTGGCATAAGGATATATTTTTAAATTAAATGTATTGTGAATGTAACCTGGAGTTAGAAAAATATAAATAAACTATATAAAGTCTAGGTCTATGCTTTCTAAAAATGCCAGCTATTTTAGGCTCCTAGAATTGAAGGCAGCATATTTTCTGGAATTACTCAGGAAATAACCACTGAATAGGATGACTGATCCATCCTAGGAAAATGACAATAATTAACAATTGAATTAAGGACTAATAGTATTCCTTTAAGTCATAGCCTTATAGATTAACTTAAATATAAAAATAATTAAATGATAGACTTCAGGCTTTTCTGTAGGTCTCTGGAAACTTAAATATAATAGGTTAGAAGGAGAAGAAGAAATCTGTAAACAAGGTAAACTTTTTATTAGTTCTAGTAGTTTTTAATGGATTCCTGAGGAATTTCTAAACACAGGATTATGTTGTCTGTGAAGGAAGACAGCTTTACTTTTTCCTTTCCAATCTGGAATGCTTTTATTTGTTTTTGTTGCCTAATTGTACAGACTAGAAATTCCATGACAACATTGAATGGAAGTGATGAGAGTGGATATCCTTGCCTTGTTCCTGATTTTAGGGGGGAAATCTTTCATTATTTGTATGAGTTCAGCTGTAAGTTTTTCCTAGATGATCTTCAGCAAGGTGAGGAAATTTTCTTTTATTCTTAGTCTGAATGTATATGTGTGCTTTTTTTTTTTTTTTTTTTTTTTTGAGACAGAGTCTCGCTCTGTTGCCCAGGCTGGAGTGCAGTGGCATAATCTCAGCTCTCTGCAACCTCTGCCTCCAGGATTCAAGTGATTCTCCTGTCTCAGCCTCCAGAGTAGCTGGGATTACAGGTGTGCACCACCATGCCTGGCTAATTTTTGTATTTTTAGTAGAGACGGGGTTTCTGCATGTTGGTCAGCCTGGTCTCGAACTCCTGACCTTGTGATCTGCCCGTCTCAGCCTCCCAAAGTGCTTGGATTACAGGCAAGAGCCACCACGCTCGGCCATATATATGTGCTTTTTAATCAGAATGGATATTAGATTTGGTCAAATGCTTTTTCTGCATTGATTGAGATGATCATGTGGCTTTTGTCCTTAATTCTATTAATATAGCATACTACATTAATTGATTTTTCACATGTGAAACTAATCTTGCATTCCTAGGATAAATCTCACTGGGTTGTAAGGCATAATTGTTTTTATATGTTACTAGATTCCATTTGCTAGTATTTTGTTGGGGATTTTTGTGTCTCTATTCATGAGGGATATTGGTGTAGTTTTCTTTTCTTGTGATATCTTTGGCTTTGATATCAGGATAAAACTGACCTCATAGAATGAGTTGGGAATATCCCCTCTTCCCATATTCTGTTTTCTGGAAGAATTATGTGAAGAATTGGTATTATTTTTCCTATAAATGTTACGTAAAATTTACCAGCGAAGCAACCTAGGCCTGGGCTTTCTATTCTGGGAAGATCTCTACTATGAATTCAATTTATTACTTATAGGTTTAGTCAGATTTTCTAACATGTTTTTGTAAGAATTTCTTCATTTCGTCTAAGTTATCTGATTTGTTGTCATAAAGTTCTTTATAGTATTTTCTTTATAATCTTTCTGTAAGGATGGTAGTGATATTCTCCCTTTCATTCCTGATTTCTGTAATCTGAGTCTTGTCTTCTTTTTTTTGTATAGTTTAACTAAATTTTGCTAATTTTGTTGATCTTCTCAAAGAACCAACTTTTTAAAAATCAATTTTTCTTTATTGCTTTTCTATCTTCTATTTCATGGATATTTCGCTCTAATCTTCATTATTTCCTTCCTCCTGCTTGTTTTGCCTGCTCTTTCTAGTTTCTTAAGGTAGCAGCTTAGGTTATTGACTTGAGACCTTTCCTTTTTTCTAATATATGCATTTAAAGCTATACATTTTCCTCTAAGCATTGCTTTGTCTTTATCCTCCAAATTTTGATATAGTATGCTTTCATTTTCATTCAGCTCAAAATATTTTCTTACTTTCCCTGTAATTTCTTCTTTGGCTCATTTTTTGTTTAGAAGCGTGTTGTTTAATTTCTAAATATTTGTGGATTTCAGATTTCCTATTATTGATTTCTTATAGAATACCATGGTGGTCACAGAGCATACTTTGCATACTTTCAACCTTTTAAAATTTAGTATGATTTTTTTATGCCCTAGCATGTAGTCTGCCTTAGAGAATGTTCTCTGTGCACTTGAAAATGATGTGTACTTAGTTGTTGTTCAATAGAATGTTCTGTAGATGTCTTAAATTGTTTGATGATGGTGTTTGAATTCTCTATACTCTTGCTGACTTTTCTGTCTAGCTGTTTATTCATTATTCAGAGTGGATGTTGAATGTATCAACTACTACTGTTGAGTTGTCTGTTTCTCCCTTTAATTCTGTCAATTTTTGCTTCATGTGTATTGGGGCTTTGTTGTTAGGTATGTATAGAATTGCTATATCTTCTTGATTAATTGACCTTTTCATATAATGCTTTTTTTTGCTCTGGTAATATTTTTGATCCTTAATGAGCCACTTCAGCTCTCTTAGGATTATTGTTTGCATGGAATATCTTTTTCCATTTTTAAACTTTTTAGTTTATTTGTCTCTTTGAATCTAAAGTGTGCCTCTTGTAGACTGTATATAGTTAAAAATTTTAAATGCAGTCTGACAATTTCTGCCTTTTGATTAGAGTATCTAATGTATTCATATTTAATGTTATTATTGATAGGGTTGGATTTGTGTCTGCCATTTTTGCTATTTGTTTTCTAAATTGCTGGTGTCTTTTTTGTTCTTATGTTCCTCTTTTATTGTCTTATTTCCTATTAAAGAGATAATTTTGAATGATTATTTTAATGCCTTTAATTTTATTTTACTATAATTTTTTGAGTTTTATTTTATTTTATTTTTTTCTGACAAGGACTCACTCTGTTGCCCAGGCTGAAGTGCAGTGGCACCATCATGGTTCACTACAGTCTCGACCTCCCAGGCTCAAGCAATCCTCCCACCTCCACCTCAGCCTCCCGAGTAGCTGGGACTACAGGTCTGCACCACCATGCAGGGCTAATTTTTGTATTTGTTGTAGAAAGGAAGTTTTGCCATGTTACCCAGGCTGGTCTGAAACTCCTGGGCTCAAGTGATCCTCCTGCCTTGGCCTCCTAAAGTGCTGGGATTATAGGGATGAACTGGTGTGACTGGCCAAGTTTTTTTTTTTTTTTTTTTTCAATGATCACTCTAGAGCAGGATTCTTCTGCCTTTGCACTACTGACATATTTGGCCAGATCATTCTTTGCTGTTGGAAGCTGTCCTATGCATTGTAGAGTGTTTAGTAGCATTCCTGGCTTCTTCCCACAGATGCCAGTAGCGCCCCCAGGTTGTGACAACCGTAAATGTCTCCAGACATTGTAAAATGTCCTCTTGGAAGAAAAATCATTCCCAGTTGAGAATCACTGCTTTAGGGAGTACAATATGCATCTTAATTTATCACAATCTACTTGATATTAATATTAATTTAATATAGAAATTTTCTCAAATATAGCTCCATTCCCTGCCCTCTACTTTTTATTATTCTGTATATGTGTGTATAGCCTATATATGTTTTAATCCCAACAATATGATATTATAATTGTTGCTTTTTATGTCTTTTATAGAACTTAACAGAAAAAAGGGGAAAAATATATTTATAGAATATTTTATGTTAACTTACATATTTGCAGTCTCTGGTACTCCTCATTACTTCCTGTGGATTTGAGTTATCACTTGGTTTTATTTCCCTGTTTCAATATAGACCAATTCCTTAGGCTCAGAGAGAGAAGACATGAGGATGAAGGATGCTAAGAGAAACTTTGTGTCAGTTGGAATTGAATGGGAATCCTGATTCACTGGGGAGACCTGGAATTTAGACAAGTTTTTCAAAAATTTTGAGGCTTGATTTGTGCATCCCTAAAATTGGAGATATGATAATACCCATTTTTTGAGATAGTCTTGAAGATTAATGAAAATATGTTTTAAATGCCTGATAAGTCGTCATTACTTAACAGATGCTATTATTAGTATCATTCTGCCTGTAGGTTACTTACAGACAAAATTCAGATTTCTTCATAACAATTTATGCCACATGAAGCGGCCAGGTCCCAGGTCTGTGAGTATGCAACCCACCTGGATTGGCCTGGATTGACTTGAACTTGGTGCATCCCATGAAGTGTCATCATTTTCAACTTTCCTTGTTACATAACAAGTCAGCTATCAGGCTGGGCGTGGTGGCTCATGCCTGTTATCCCAGCACTTTGGGAGGCCAAGGCAGGCAGATCACCTGAGGTCAGGAGTTCGAAACCAGCCTGGCCAACATGGTGAAACCCCGTCTCTACTAAGAATACAAAAATTAGTCGAGCGTGGTGGCACACGCCTGTAAGCTCAGCTACTTGGCAGGCTGAGGCAGGAGAATCACTTGAACCTGGGAGGTAGAGTTTGGTGCTGAGCTGAGATTGCACCAATGTACTCCAACCTGGGTGAGACAGTGAGACTCCATAACAAACAAACAAACAAACAAACAAACAAACAAAAACCAAAAAAACCACACACACACACACACACACACACACACACACGTCAGCTATCAGTTTAAAGGTTGTTCCACTGTAGATAACCTGCCTTTCATCTAGCTGATTATATATTTTCCTTAAAATATTTACATCAGTATAATTTGATGGCAATCAACTCAATATAATTTGACATTTTGCAGTTTGAATACAATGCATTTAGCTGTGATTTTCTTTTGGTTCATTCTGGTTAGGATTTACTAGTCAACCTGGCATCACTTTCAATGAAATTTTTGACTTCAGAGTTTTCTGTCCCTATGGGTAGCATAAATTCCAACTCCAAATTCACATGAGTAAAGGCTTGTGATTAAGAATTCTCTAGACGGTTTCCCCCTCCCCTTTTGGGTCCTATTCTACCCAGATTCAAGGCCAAAATCTCTACTGTTTGTACTGTTTGCTCACACTGTAGGGAAGGTTAAAAAATATACACTGTATACACTGACAATAGATTTTTTGTCTTAATTTTTTTTTTTTTTTTTTTTTTTTTTAGAAATGGGACCCATTCTTTCTCACAGGCTGGAGTTGCAGCGGTGCAATCATGGCTCACTGCAGCCTTGTCCTCCTGGGCTCGTGATTCTCCTGCCTCATCCTTTCTAGCATCTGGGACTACAGATGTGCACCCCCATGCTCGGCTAATTTTTAAAAGTATTTTTAGAGACAGGGTCTCGCTGTGTTGCTCAGCCTGGTATGTTGGTTTTTTGGAGGTCCTCTAATCCAGCCTTCTACCCCGTTCTGGCTCTAGGCTTTATTTCTTGTTCTTCCATGTTCATGTGGTCCATAAAAATCAGTCCCTAAACTTCTAGGGATTGACAGATGACTCCAGAGAAGATGGCAGTTTCAGTACTTGCTCATCTCTCTTGATTTATGGTTTCTCCTTGTTCCTGACCTCTGATCATTTCTTTTATTCTCATGCCAGCTCAGCTATGTAAGTGAGAAGAGATTTTAAAAATATCTTACTAGCATTTTAGGTGTTCTGTACCAATCTTTTTTTCTTTGACAACCAAATCTGTCATATTGCTGAAAATAAAAGTCAATGTATTAATTCAGAAAAATAGTCTGGCTATTACATCGGTGTGATTTTGATATTTCTCCAGCACAATAGCCATGAAGAACTTACAATCTATTGAAGGAGGTAACATTAAACTGTTACATACTACATTAATATACGATGGTCATTTATACAGGGTAAATGGGGACACAAAGGCATAAGTGTAGAGGCCAGGAAAGCTTTGGAAGAGCTGACTGGAGCTGCCTTTTGAAAGAAAAAGGTGTCCTCAGCCGCCCCGTCCGGGAGGGGGGAGGGGGGTCAGCCCCCTGCCCGGCCAGCCGCCCCGTCCTGGAGGGAGGTGGTGGGGGTCAGCCCCCCGCCCGGCCAGCCGCCCCGTCCGGGAGGTGAGGGGCGCCTCTGCCCGGCCGCCCCTACTGGGAAGTGAGGAGCCCCTCTGCCCGGCCAGCCGCCCCGTCCGGGAGGGAGGTGGGGGGGGTCAGCCCCCCGCCCGGCCAGCCGCCCCGTCCGGGAGGGAGGTGGGGGGATCAGCCCCCCGCCTGGCCAGCCGCCCCATCCGGGAGGTGAGGGGCGCCTCTGCCCGGCCGCCCCTACTGGGAAGTGAGGACCCCTCTGCCCGGCCAGCCGCCCCGTCCGGGAGGGAGGTGGGGGGGTCAGCCCCCCGCCCGGCCAGCCGCCCTATCCAGGAGGTGAGGGGCGCTTCTGCCCGGCCGCCCCTACTGGGAAGTGAGGAGCCCCTCTGCCCGGCCAGGACCCCGTCTGGGAGGTGTGCCCAGCGGCTCATTGGGGATGGGCCATGATGACAATGGCGGTTTTGTGGAATAGAAAGGCGGGAAGGGTGGGGAAAAAATTGAGAAATCGGATGGTTGCCGGGTCTGTGTGGATAGAAGTAGACATGGAGACTTTTCATTTTGTTCTGTACTAAGAAAAATTCTTCTGCCTTGGGATCCTGTTGATCTGTGACCTTATCCCCAACCCTGTGCTCTCTGAAACATGTGCTGTGTCCACTCAGGGTTAAATGGATTAAGGGCGGTGCAAGATGTGCTTTGTTAAACAGATGATTGAAGGCAGCATGCTCGTTAAGAGTCATCACCACTCCCTAATCTTAAGTACCCAGGGACACAAACACTGCGGAAGGCCGCAGGGTCCTCTGCCTAGGAAAACCAGAGACCTTTGTTCACTTGTTTATCTGCTGACCTTCCCTCCACTATTGTCCTATGACCCTGCCAAATCCCCCTCTGCGAGAAACACCCAAGAATGATCAATAAAAAAAAAAATAAAAATAAAAAAATGAGTCCTCTTAGACACTGCAGTAAGAGGGCAAATCGAATCAACCTCTTTGACGGCTATTTGGCACAATGTTCTTCCAAAGCCTGTGTGTGCCTGGTTGGGCTTGGTGGTTCATGACTGTAACAGCAGTGCTTTGGGAGGCTGAGGCGAGAAGATCACTTGAGACCAGGAGGAGTTCAAGACCAGCCTGGGCAACACAGCAAGACCCGTGTGCCTTTTGGGCTAGCAAACATGCCTCTGAGGAATTTATCCTAAGGAAATAATGTAGGGTGTAGGAAAAAATGTGGATGCAAGAATGTTGACCAAAGCAACAAATTTATCCAAAACAATAAATTAAAAGCAATCTCCATGTCCAACAATAGGGGAATCACTTGGTGGAAAATGGTAATACTTTAATACAAGGAAATATTATGCAACTGTTAAGAATGATATTGTAGAAATGTAAGTAACAACACAGACATAACCATGATATGTTTTTGAGTGAGGAGAACCAGGCTATAGAAATCACATCATTCCATTTTTTAATTAAATAGGCATAGCAAAAGGTCAGGAAGGATATACTCCAAATTATTAACTAAGTGATGAAAATATGCATGGTTTTTATTTTCTTTCTTTTGCAAATCTGTAGGTTCTGATCGCCCTATAGTGCATATATTTTTCTTTGGCAATAATAAAAAAAATTAAAAATAGTGTAAAACCCTCAAGATGCTTGCCTGTAGTTGTGACATTTACAATTTGTAAATATATACATTTTTGTTTCTGGAAAAAAAAAAAAAAAAAAGAAAGAAAAAGGTGGAGGGACAAAGGAAAGAGTGGAAGGAGCTGAGTCAGTAAGGGCATGAAAGTGTGAAACAGGCCCTTTCAATCTCACAACCAGAGCTGCTTGGCCATCGTAGTCTCTGGGACAGGTCCCAGTCCTGTTCTTGGGGTTTCAAGGAGCCCAGACCAGTAGCTTGTTGTATCAGCAAGCAGCAACCTCATGCCTGGTTCTGCTAACCTTGTGCCTCTATTTCTATAATTAGCCTGGTGAACAAGGCCAGTTCCCATCTGTATTACTTATTTCCCATACTCGCTCCAGCATGGGGCTTATCTGACTCCCTGGGGTTTAAGTCTTGCCAAATTCTCTCTGGTTCCCCTGGACATGGTACCACACATGACTATAATCTAGCTCTCTCCCTCCACTCTCTGCCAGACATTGTTCCAGGCACTTTCCATAATGTCCTCTTGTTTTCTTTCCTCAAATGCACTGTAAAGGAGACTGGGTTTGGATTTCAGCGGAACAAAAACCCAGGATGGGCTTCCTACCAGCTTCTGTGAGAGAGCTCTCTTCTCCCCAGCAGGTCCCAATCATGCTTGCTTGTGAGGGACCTTGGTAGGGTAATGGACAGACTCAAGAAGTGGAGTGCCAAGGAACACCCTGATCCCTGTCCCATATTTCAGCCTTTGAAATATTGGAAGTATTTCAAAGGCTGCCAGAAAGAATAAAATTGCAGCTTTAGCCTCTTTGGCATAATGGAGAAGGAAAAATGAAAAACCTTCCTGCCTAAGGCTCCCAGATATGTCTCTAATATAGAACTCTCTTCTGAAACTCAGATCTATATATTCAACTGTGTACTTAGTGTCTCCACTTAGAATTTCAGAGGAGCCTCAAAAATGCAGCAAGTACAAAGGTGAATTCATCTTCTCTCTCAAACTTGGCTTCTCCTTCTCTGCCCCATCTTGATGAATGCCACCTTCGTTCACTCAGATGCCGAAGCCAGGAATTGAAGCATCATCCCTGCCTTTTCATCCCCACAAAAGTCTTATAATATCCCAACTCTGCTTATTTATTTCTGTTCCATTTGCCACTTCCTCATCATCACTTATCCAACTAGTATCCCCGCCTCCTTGGTTCTTCTCCCTTCCAATTTATTCCCCAAACTAGCTAGGGTGACTACTTTAAAATCTCAGTACTCAAAGTGTGGTTCATGTACCAGCACCATTGGCATCATGTGGGAACTCATTAAAAATGCAGAATCCCATTTTCATGGGTCTCAGATCTATTGAATCTGAATTTGCATTAAACAAAATCCCTAAGTAATGCCTGAGTGCATTAAAGTTTAAGAAGCATAATTCTAAAATAAATATCTAATTATATCTCTTCTTTTTAAAAATCTTTATGGTTCTTTACTGCCCTTGGGAAAATTTACCCTCCTTAAAGTACCCCATGTAGCCCTTTAAGCTCTAGTCCCTGTGTACCCATGCAGGTTGTCTCTCCACTCCTTGCATCTGACTTCTCAGCAATGAACTGCTCTCAGTTCTCTCACAGACTGAACTCTGTGTCTTACCCAAGGCCTTTCACATGATTTTCTTTCTGCCTGGCATATTCTTTCTCTGAGACATTTCTTTCTAAAGGAAATCTGTCACCGTACATATCTGATTTAGGTTTTCCTTCCATGTGTTCCCATGGTACCCTATACTTCCCTTATCTTGCAAATTACTTCATTTATTATTATGATGATGTTTACTTTCTCAAAATATATTTATGCAATACCTGTCTGCTTCAGGCTGGGATGTAAGCTGCTGAGAACATCCTGGATTATAGGTGTTATTTTCATATCCATCTCCCCATCTAGACTAGAATCTTTGTGTGGACTGAAACCATGTTTATTTATTTACCTGTGAATCTTTAAAACCTAGCATTATCTTGCCACAAAATGACACTCAGTACAAGCTTGTTAAATACCTGGTGAGCTCCAACTGTATAGATGGTGAATATGGGAGATAAAGGAAATATTTGGTGAATGAGAGGGCTCTTTTTGGCTTCTGAGCAGTCCTGTGTGTGTACAAGCTTCTCAGATGGGTGAGTAACAAATAAACCTTTACTTCCTTTGATCTGATTGTGTTCAAACAGATCTATTCTGAGTCTTTTGGAGACTGGGGAATGAAGGCAATGGGAACTATTTCCTCATTTCATAATTTCAAAGACGCAGAAACTGAGGTTTGGAGAAGTTAAGCAACTTGCCAAGGCTTTCACTGATTGTAAGAGTTGGAGCGGACTCCAAAGGGGTCAACCCAGGAGTGGCTGACTCCAAAGCTTGGACCCTTTCCAGTGTCAGAAACTGAGTAAAAGTCAGGTTGGTCATTTCTGTCCTGACTGAATGAATGGGTGAATCAGTCCATCCATCCATCCAACCACCCATCCATCCTTCCATCCATCCATGCATCCATCCATCCATCCATCCATCCAGCATTCTGATAATTATTATATCAGGCATTTCACATTCAAAAGGCAACTGTCTCTAACATAGAACAGTCTTTCCTGGTCTTTTCCATTGACAGCAGAATCCCCAAAGGGACTTTCCCTTGGTTCCTGCTGTGTGAGATCTGAAGTCTTTTTGCTTCTCTACAGAATGCCAGATCTAGAAGAGACCTCATTAGTGGCCAGCTAGTGCCATTCTTTCTTCTCAACAAGGCTCAGAGAAACAGAGTGACTTACCCAAAGTCACACAGCAATTAAATAGCAGAGCTTGGACTCAAACCTCAGCCTTTGAGTAGTCAGTTCAGGGCTCTATCACTGGGCTTTTCTACCTTGTATACAGCAGGTGTTCAATTAATGCTTGTTGATAGTCTTGTGATTGTTACTTATGGCTGAGAACTCGTACAGTGCATGTAATGACTCAGACCTCAGTCACAGGCAAGTCTCTTATGATTTTTAGTAAGCATAAGAGAAGTTCATGTTTTGAGCGTGATTATCTGTTCAAATTTCTGCAATTAGTGTCAAAGATAATAACTTGATTGTTATTATTAAATGAATAGTCCTGAGATGCCCTAATGTTAATTTTGAACAGAAACATCTGCTGGCTGAGGCCTTGCCTCTTGACTGTATGTGTGTGTGTGTATGTATTTGAATGTAACGCTCAATTGGGGAGATGTGTTTCAGACTTTTCTACCCCCTGTTGTCTTTCAGATACATGAGGAGGAAGCAGAGAGGTCCACAGGGTGGGAGAGGTCTGCCTGGCGACAGTGAGCAAGGAGTAGGGGAGACGACACGGGTGTCGGAGTCGCGTGGACTGGTTCCCATTTCCACTCTGACCTTTGGAACGTTTCTAAATTTTTCAAATTCAAATTTGTAAAGTGGTTTTGATAGTACCTCCTTCAAAGGGCTCCATAAGGAGAAGTATGGGAAGTGCTCGCACACTGAAAATGACTTAGGAACGGGTAGTGAACTGTAGACTAGTAACTGGTAAGGTGAACTGGTAGGGGCTTGTGGACAGGCTAATTTTGTAGGCAGTTATCTAGCTGCCAGCCGTGTTCCAAGGGATGAGCAGACTGAGCTTGGCATGAGACTCCAGGAACAGGCTCTGCCAAGATATCCAGATGGTCAGCATCTGGAGGTCTCTCAGCCTGTGGCACAACTAAAAGCCTTCTCATTTCTGGAGAGAGCTCTGGCAGGACTCAGCTCTGGGGACAGGGATACAAGGTAGGGGGGCCAAGACAGAGCCTTAGGACTCTTTTTACTGAACAGTGAAACAGGGATGAAGATACCAGAATTGGGACCTGTTAGGGACCAGCTCTTAGGGCAGGGCAGAAGCCCTATGAATACAGCTGAGCCACAGTCAGAGCCAAGGTGCTGGATGATAAACCCAGGGAGTCAGGCAGGATGGCGGCGCTTCATCAATTTATCCAGGCTGGACAATGAGCTCCTGGAGGAAGGTGGATTGTAGTGGTTAAGAGAGCAGGTGCTGGGCCATGCTGCCTGGGTTCAAATCCTGGTTCTGCCATCTACCAGATGTGAGATCTTGGGCAAAATAGTCAACCTTTCTGTGCTTCAACTTCTGTGAAATGGAAATGATAATCATATCACTTGCCTTATGGTCTCTTTCAAGAATTCAATTAATTAATTTATGTAAAAATGCTCGAATCAGTGCTTGGCATATGGTCATGCTTGGTAAATATTTAGAGGGTCTTCTATGTTTCAGGCACTGTTTTAGGCTCTGGGAATGTGGCAGGACACCAAGCATAAACTTTCTTCTCTCAGAGAGCCGATATCCCAGTGCGGGGTAGTGGTGGGTAGTGGTGGGGAGATAGATAATAAACAAACATGCAAACAAATATATTCTTTCAAGGATAATATGTAAGGCAGGCTAAGCAGAGAAAATGGGCTGGAGAAGGCTATTTTGGACAAAGTGGCCAGGGAAAGCCTCTCTGCCTAAGAGACTTGAAAAGGGATGTGGATAATGGACGGAACCATGTGGAAATTGGGATGGGCTTCAAAGGGAGCTTTCCAGGTTGAGGAGAGAGTAATTGAGGCCCTGAGGTAGAAGTATGCTTGGGCTTTCAGAGAGCAGTAAGGAGGCCAGGGTGCTGGAGTGGGTGAGCCAGCAGGAGAGGAGGGGTTAGAGCACAGAAGTAGTTGGGGTAAATTCACATAGGCCTGGATGAGTCACGATAAGGATATTGGATTTTATTATAAGGGAGATGAAATGCCATGGTGAGGGTGAGTTGAGCAGAGCTGTGAAACTTCCCCAAGGGTGCAGCGATGAACAGTCTCTCTGGCTGCAGAGTGAAAACGCAGGTGGGGTGGGATTTCAGGTAAGGGAAACGGGGCCAACCTTTGATGCTATTGCAATAGCACAGCCTAGAGAGAGTGCTGGCTTGGACTAGAGAAGACTAGTGGAGAATGGTGGAATGGCAAGAGGTAGTCATCTTCTGCTTGTATTTTGAAGGTAGAGGGATGTGGGGTAAGAATGAAAGAAAGAGAGAAGTCAAGAATAACACCAACACTTTTGGTCTCAGCAAGTGGATAAATGGAGTTGCCATTTCCATATGAAGAAGACTGGGGGAGAGGAAGGCACTGAGGGGGAGAAACAGCCTTCTGTTTTGGATGTGTTATGCTTGAGACATCGAACTGAGGTTGCCAGGAGAGAGGTTGGAACTGGAGGTGGAAAACTAGGTGTGATTCACATGGGTGTGGTGTGCAGTACAGCTGCAAATGGGTCACCTGGGGAGTGACAACAAATAGAGAAAAAAAGACCTCTGCAAACTCAGTCCTGAGGCACCCCTGTGTTAGAGGTCAGAAAGCTGAGGACAGCCCTCACAAGAGGCTGAGAAGGAGTGGCCAGTGAGTTGGGAGAAAAACCAGGAACATCGAGTCCAGAAACCGGGGAGGTGCATGTTTCCAGAAGGGGGTGGAGATCAAGTGTGTCACAGGCTGCAGGAATGAGGTGAGGATTGAGACTTGACCTTGATTTGGGAACACAAGGTCATTGTTGATCTTGAAAATGGCAGCCCAGTGGAGTGGGGAGGATGGAAGCTCAATTGGGCAGGTTCAAGAGAGGATGGAGGCTGGGTGCGGTGGCTCACACCTGTAATCCCAGCACTTTGGGAGGCCAAGGTGGGTGGATGACAAGGTCAGGAGTTTGAGACCAGCCTGGCTAACGATGTGGAACCCTGTCTCTACTAAAAATACAAAAAAAAAAAAAAATTAGCCGGGCATGGTGGCATGCGCCTATAGTCCCAGCTACTCGTGAGGCTGAGACAGGAGAATCACTTGAACCTGGGAGGCGGAGTTTTCAGTGAGCCAAGATCATGCCACTGCACTCCAGCCTGGGTGAAAGAGCGAGGCTCCATCTCAAAAAAAATAAATAAAAAAAAAAGAGAGAGAGAGAGAGGATGGAAGTGGAGGACAATAATTGTAGACATTTACTTTGAGGAGTTTTACTATAAAAGGGAACAGAGAAATGGAGCAGTGTCTGGAAGAGAATATGTGGGAAAACAAGCGTGGGTTTTCCTTTCTGATGGAAGAAACAAAAAATGTGTGTGCTGATGGGAATGATCCAATAGATAGGGGGAAAACTGATAATACAGGAGACAGGGAGCAATGGCAAGAGCTAAGCCTTTGAGTAGCAAAAGGGGATGGAGCTGTGTACCCTGGGCAGGGAATGGCCTCAGACCACAGCTCACACCCAGCAGAGGAGTCCTGGCAACACTGATTGGATGTTTCCCAGGGAAAGAAGCAGCAAAGGCATAGAATCCTGCAGAGAATACAGAAAGACTAATTCCAGGGACCAATGCTAAGTGCCGTTTATAGCTTCAGATTTCTGGACTTAGAAATGTAGAGTGAATTTGATGAACTTATTATCAGAAACCAGACAGGGCAGCCACTAATAGCAGCTGTAGGAAATTCTTGGCTGCCAAATTATGCAGTTGTTCATCAGCAACTCAATTAAAGCACTCAGCCAGCAGTGGTTTGTCAGCTGTGTTTGTATTAAAAGGGGCCAGAGAGAAACCCTCAGGAAAATTAATCAGATGAAAGTCCACCAGTGTGCTTTTTTTAATCCATTCTAGGCAACTCTTGTAGGGGTGGAATTGGGCTGCTTTTTTCAGCATTGCTGGGAACTGACAATCAGAAAGCATGGCCCTTCAAATAACAGACAACTTTCTACAGCTCATGGACAATGGTCTTGCTTTTTTATCCCAAGGCACAGCTTTTTATTTCTTCCTCTTTGAGGATTCTTGAGTGGTAGGAAGGAACCACTTCTGTGCAAAACCACTCTGTTTTCCAGCCCTAATTATGGTTTATAACCTTGCAAACTGGCTGGGATAACTTGTGGCATTGCCCTCAAACAGGATGTTTGGGGATGTTGGTGCTGCCAGGAGCATCAGTGAATCAACATGCCCTCAAGGGTGTCACAGTACAGTGAGTGGGGAGAACAGCCACAGGGAGGAGTCAGGGAGCATGAGCCTTCTCTCAGGGAACTGCACGTCTTTCAGTGGAGCTGGAACTGAAGTGAAATGCAGCTGGAGCAGGAGAGGTAGGTAGGCCAGAGAACGCATTGTAAGTCACATTAAAGAGTTTGGACTTCATAATAAGAGCAATGGGGAGCCTCTGAAGGTTTAAGAAGGTGAGTGACATGGTCAGATTGTAACTGCCTGATAGGTTATTCCTGCTGGCTGCACCAAAAAAGACCACAGCATTGCAATAAAGAAAGAGTTTAATTGATGCGAGGCCAGTGATGCCATGCAGGAGATGAAGTTATTACTCAAATCAATCTTGCTGAAAGTGCAGAGGTTAGGGGTTTTTCAAGGGGAAGGGGTGTAGGTGGCTAGGAAATGGGTACTTGCTGCTGATTGGTTGGGGTACCATCACAGGGATGTGGGAAATGATCCTCCTGCGCTGAAGCACTTCTGGATGGGGTGGGTCTAGTTGGTGGGTCCAGTTGGAGTGATGGGTGTCAGACATGCAAAAAACACTGAAAAGACATCTCAAAAGGCAAATATTAGGTTCTACAATAGTGATATTATCTGCAGGAGTAACTGGGGAAGTTGCATATCTTGTGACCTCTAGAATAATGGCTGGTAATCATTTATGTCTAGCTTTAGCAGAATTCAGACTCCTCTTCTCCTCTTAGCCTGGTGGTCTCTCATTAGCTTTACAAAGGCAGTGGAGTTTTGGGGAAGGGGTATTATAATTTAAACTATAAACTAAATGCCTCTCAAAGTTAGCTTGGCAGCTTGAAGGCTAAAAGCAAGAGGGGGGTTGGCTAGATATCTCCCACTCCCATTGTATCTACTGATACAATTTTTACAAAGGTGGTTTCAAGATCGGCATTTGAGAAGAATCTTTCTGGCTGCTGCTGTGAGGAGTGTGGATTGGAGAGGGCAGGAAGAGTGGTCAGATCTCTGCATCTGCCTGAGTAAGGGAGGAGGTAGAAGGAAGGTGGGGGGCTGACATAAAACACAGTAAATGCACCCAGTTGGTAGGACTCCTAACATGGCTGTTAGAACACAATGCCACAGAAGTAACAGAAATCCAATTCCTTTCAGTCCTCGTCTGGACCACTTGCTCTCCCAAATGTAAATGGTTAAATGCTGCTCCTCCTCCCTTCCAGAAATAGTCTCTCCTTGTAGGGATTAACGGAAGGGATTTTCTTTCTTTGTGGACTCTTGTGCACCAGAAATCACAATCCCAGTCCATGGGCCATTGACACAAAACAAACAAGGAAACTCAGATGCTGTCTCCAGTGGTTTTTCCTCTGGGGCCGCTTGGTTTGCTTGGTGCGAGGCAATAGAGTATAGTGGCGGAGGGCATGAATTTTGTAACTAGACCGACCTGAATTTAAATCCCAATTCCACCATTTACTAGTGACCCTGGGCAAGTTACTTAATCTCTTTGTGTCTCAATTCTCCATTTCTAAAATGGGAACAATAATAGTAACCTGTATCACAGTGTTATTGTGAAGACTAAATAAATTAATATCTATAAAGCACTTAGAATAGGGCTTGGTCATACTAAGATTTATGCCTCAGCTATTATTGATGACTTGGAACATTTGAGGATGGAAGCGCAGGGATAAAATGCTTCTCAATGGCAAGACAAAGCAACTATAAAGAGATACGCCAAAAACTTCTTCCCAATTGAGATACCAAAGAGGCAGTGATGGGGAACCATACGCTACTTAAAAATAGCTAATAGGAAGTGCACATTAATCTAAGACGAGTGTTACAGGCTAACTCTATTGCAATGTATTGTGGTTATAATAGTGGTATGAACAAAGTGCTTTGGGAAAACAGAGGGAAGCATCAATGCTGGCTTTGGTGAGAGGGGTGAGGTGGGGAGTGCGGATAATCAGGTTTCCTGAACTCTTTCCCAGAGATGCAGCTTGGCACACTTGGGACTAATTGGACCACCTCTGGGCAGCTTTCACTTTGCTCAGCTATTGACTGTCCTGGAGTCGTTGTCTAATTTTTTTTTCATTTCATTCCCTAGCCTTACTGGGGAGTAGAACAAGGGAGGGAGGGAATGGCTACAGCAGAGAACACAGTGATTCCTACCTGGGTCCTTGGGAGTACACATGGTGGAGGGATGGGTTGGGTTACTGGATCTTTAGAAAGGGGAAGTCGGCCGAGCGCTGTGGCTCACACCTGTAATCGCAGCACTGTGGGAGGCCGAGGCTGGCGGATGATGAGGTCAGGAGATCGAGACCATCCTGGCTGACATGGTGAAACCCCGTCCCTACAAAAAATACAAAAAATTAACCCGGCGTGGTGGCGGGCGCCCGTAGTCCCAGCTACTCGGGAGGCTGAGGCGGGAGAATGGCGTGAACCTGGGAGGCGGAGCTTGCAGTGAGCCGAGATGGCGCCACTGCCCTCCAGCCTGGACGACAGAGTGAGACTTGGTCTCAAAAAAAAAGAAAGGGGAAATCATACTATTGATTTATCCAAAGAGACATGTTCTTAGGAAGCTGGAGCAAATGCTGATTTAGTCCGTTAGATTAGCTGCCATGGAGGATGCCCCATGGAAAAGAGATGGCCTCGAGCTTAAGGGGAGAGAAAAGGTAGAGGAGTCTCTGGCCTGGTGGATCTACCATGAGCAGAAACCATCCCTTCTGAGGATTCAGGGCTCTTTGGTAAAGACCTTAACTGACCCTGCCAGCAATCCCAGTGGGTGGGCCAGCACAGTGCAGAGACATTGCATTTTGTGAGAATTTGAAAAAGCATGATACCACATATTAATAACAATCTTACTTTATGCATGAAATTAATATGATCCTCCCAAGGGTAAAAATCCATCAGGAATCACATGATTTCAAAGCTGGACTGCAGATAAAATCACAAAGATCTTTTTGCTAATGCCATGTGGCTACATGAGTTCAGCTGGTAAGCAGAACTACGTGCCACTGTTTGTTAGGATTGGTTGTGAATTTTTCTTTCTTTCTTTCTTTCTTTTTTTGACAGAGTCTCGCTGTCACCCAGGCAGGCAGGAGTGCAGTGGCATGATCTTGGCTCACTGCAACTTCTGCCTCCTGGGTTCAAACAATTCTCCTCCCTCAGCCTCCTGAGTAGCTGGGATTAGAGGCACATGCCACAACCCTTGGCTAATTTTTCTATTTTTAGAAGAGATGGGATTTTGCTCTGTTGGCCAGGCTGGTCTCAAACTCCTGACCTCAAAGGGATCTGCCTGCCTCGGCCTCCCAAACTGTTGGAATTACAGGTTGAGCCACTGCACCAGGCCTGGTTGTGAATATTTTAAGGTTCAAATGATATTAGGTCTTCAAGAATTCATCCCTTATGTAAAAAGCAATGGTCTTACATTATCATGGCCCTAGTTTGACAGACGGTATAGAGGCTCAAGGAAGTTGTGTCACTGGCCCAGGCCATCAAGCTGTTGGCAGCAGAGCAGAGGCTAGAAGCCAAGTTGTGTGACCCCTGGTTCAAGGCTTTTCTGAGAACGCTCTAGAGCAGGGATTCTCATCCTGGCCACTGTTGGCATTTTGGGTAGAATTCTTTGATGTGGAAGCTGTCCTAGGCATTGTGGGATGTTTAGCAACATTTCTGGCCTCTACCCAGAAGGTATTGTTGTTGTTGATATACCACCACCACCCTGTAAATTTGGAAAATCAAAAATATCTCCAGACATTGCCAAATGTCCCCTGGGGGAGAGGGGTACAAATTGCCCCTGGTTGAGAACCACTGTCCTATATCATGCCTTGGTGGGGGACTTGCTGGTTGTCTTCTGTTTGCACTCCCGGCGTTAATCCCTTCTCCCTGTTCTGCTCATGGAGGCTGACCTATAGGATTAAATCAATGGATATTCTGCCCTGCGCCTTCCTGCTGAGTTCAGTATATGGAGGAGCTTGAGGCCACTTGAGGCTGGCAGGGTCCTTGACTGAAGGACTATGCTTCTCTCCAAAGAGGTGATTCTACATAGCTCTCTTCTTGGTATTGCCTTCTCTCCAGGCCCCGTGAGCCCAGAGGAGGTAACAACTGGCTGCTAGTAGCCCTGGGATACCGTATGAATCTTAGGATACATCCTCACTCACAATTTTATAAACAGTTCCTTTGAGTCATTCTCACATTACCCTTTTTATTATCTGTTTCCTGATAGGACTCAAGAGATTTCAAGAATCTGGGCAACTGGGCGTCCTGGGAACTCGGTGGTGCTTGTCCACCATCAGAGTTGTTGTGTGACTCACAGTTTTGCATTGGGTCTGTCTGGAGCTGGGCACCATTGATGTAAAATAGACTGATGAGCTGGGATACAATTGAATTCTTGTAATATCAGAGATTCAGAACATCTTCTGTTTTGCTCAAAACCTTAGATAAAGTTTACCTTTTGAACATCTGTTCTGGACTATTGCTGCATAGCAAAGCACCCCAAAGTCTTAGTGGCTTAAAACAACAACCATTGTTATGATTTGATAGATAAGAAATTGGAACAGACAGAGCAGTCATGGGTTGACTGTGCTCCACAATGTCCAGGGCCTCGGGTGGGAAGATGAGAAGGTTGGGTGACTTTAGGTTTGGGGCTAAAATCATGTGGTGGCTCTTTCACTCTGATGCCTGGGCAAGGATGACTGGAAGACTTAGACTACCTCCCCATGCTGCTTGGCACCCTCAGAGTAGTTGAACTTCTTACATGGTGGCTCATGCCACCAAGTGTGAATGTTCCAGCAAACAATTGCCTTTTCTCTAGCCCTGGAGGTCACATAGTGTCACTCCTGTCCATACTATATTGATCAAATGAGTCGTAAGTCTACCCAGATTCAAAGGGAGAGAACATAGTTTTCTTTTCTTTTCTTCTTTCTTTCTTTCTTTCTTTCTTTCTTTCTTTCTTTCTTTCTTTCTTTCTTCCTTTCCTTTCCTTCCTTCTTTCTTTTTCTTTCTTTCCCTTTCTTTCCCTCTCTTTCCCTCTCTTTCTTTCTTTCTTTCTTTCTTTCTTTCTTTCTCTTTCTTTCTTTCATTCTTTCGTCTCTTTCTTCTCTCTCTCCTTCCTTCCTTCCTTCCCTCCCTCCCTCCCTCCCTCCTCCCTCCTCCCTCTTTCCTGCCTACCTCCCTTTCTTTATTTCTCTCTTTCTCTCCATTTTTCTTTCTTTCTTTCTTTTCTTTTCTTTTGAAAGAGTCTCACTCTGTTGCCTAGGCTGGAGTGCAGTGGCGCGATCTTGGCTCACTTTGGCTCACTGCAACCTCTGCCTTCTGGGTTCAAGTGATTCTCCTGCCTCACTCTCCCAGGAGCTGGGATTACGGGCATACGCCACCACGCCTGGCTAATTTCTGTATTTTTAGAAGAGATGGGCTTTTGCCATGTTGGCCAGGCTGGTCTCAAATTTCTGATCTCAAGTGATCTGCCTGCTTCAGCCTCCCAAAGTGCTGGGATTACAGGCATGAGCCACTGTGCCCAGACAGGTCTCACTTTTCTATGGGAGGAATGTCAAAGAATTTTATGGCCATTAAAAAGGTTTTATTGAGATATAATTCACATACCATATCATACAATTCATCTATTTAAAGTATACAATTCAATGGTTTTGGCGAATTCAAGAGTTGCACAACCACTACCATGATCAACATTAGAACATTTTGTCATGATAGAAAGAAATCCCATATCCATTAGCAGTCACTCTTCATTTTCCTCCCAATCTTCTCCCTATACCTGCTCTAGGCAACCCCTAATCTACTTTCTGTCTTCTTAGATTTGCCTATTCTAGACATTTCATACAAATGGAATCAAATAATACATTGTCTTTTGTGACTGGCTTCTTTCACAGTGTAATGTTTTCAAGGTTCGTCCACATTGTAGCATGTATCAGTCAGTACTCCATTCCTTTTTGTGGCTGAATAAGATTCCATTTTGTGGATATACTACATTTTGTTTATCCATTAATCAGTAGACAGACATTTTGGTTGTTTTCACTATTGGCTTTTATGAGTAATGCTGCTGTGAACATTCATGTACAAGTTTTTGCATGGGTGTATGTTTTCACTTGCCTTGGGTATACACTTAGAGGTGAAATTGCTGGGTCACATGGTAATTTCATGATTAATCTTTGAGAAACTGCCAGACTGTTTTCTAAAGTGGCTACATCATTTTGTATTTGCATTAACAATATGTTAGGGTTTTAATTTTTCCACATCTTCTCCTACATTTGGAATGCATAGCATTTTAAATTTGAGACATCTTTGTGGATATGCAGTGGTATGATATTGTGGTTTTGATTTACATTTCCCTAATGGCTAATGATGTTGAGCATATTTTCATGAGCATATTGGCCATTTGTATTTATTCTTTGAAGAAATGTCTATTCAGATTACTTGCTCATTTTTAATTGGGCTACTTGTCTTTTTATTATTGAGTTGTTAGGGTTCCTTGTATATTCTGTATGAGTCCCTTATCAGATGTGTGATTTGTAAATAGTTTCTCCCATTCATTTTCTTGATGATGTCCTTCGAAGTACAGCAAATTTTAATTTGATGAAGTCCAATTTATCTATTTTTTTCCTTTTGTGGGTTGTTTGGTGTCATATCTAAGAAGGTTTTGTCTAACCAAAAATCACAAAGATTTACTTATATTTTCTTCTTTTTGTAGTTGTAGCTTTTACAGTTAGGTCTATGATCTGTTTTGAGTTAATTTCGTGTATTGTGTGAGGAAGGGTCGAACTTCCATTTGGATGTAGATATCCAGTTGTCCCAGAACCACTTATTGAAAAATCTTATTCTTTCCCCATTGAATTGTCTTGGTACCCTTGTCAAAAATTAGGCTGGGCATGGTAGCTCACGCCTGTAATTCCAACACTTTGGGAGGCCGAGGTGGGTGGATCATTTGAGACCAGGAGTTCAAGACCAGCCTGGCCAACATGGTGAAACCCCATCTCTATTAAAAATGCAAAAGCTAGCCAGGTGTGGTGGCAGGTGCCTGTAATCCCAGCTACTTGGGAGGGTGAGGCACAAGAGTCGCTTGAACTCAGGAGTTAGAGGTTGCGGTGAGCCGAAATTGTGCCACTGCACTCCAGCCTGGGTGACAGAGCCAGACTCTGTCTCAAAAAAAAAAAAAAAAAAATCAATTGACCATAGATGTTTGGGTTTATTTCTGGACTTTCAGTTCTAGTCCATTCACCTATGTGTCTATCCTTATGTCTGTACTGCACTGTCTTGATTACTGTACTTTGTAGTAAGTTTTGAAATTGGGAAGGGTGAGTTTTTCAACTTCGTTTGCCTTTTTCAAGATTGTTTTGGCTATTCTGAATCCCCTGCCTTGGCCCTACATGACTTTTAGGATCAGCTTGTTAATTTCTGCAAAAAAGATATCTAAGATTTTGATAGGGATTGAATTGACAGGGGAGTATTACTATCTTAATAATATTAAATCTTTTCGTCCATGAACATAGAATGTTTTTCCATTTATGTAAGTCTTTCAACAATGCATTGTAGTTGTCAAAGTTTTACAAATATTTTATTAAATGTATTTGTAAGTATTTTGTTGCTTTGGTCCTAAGTATTTGTAAGTGAAATTGTTTTATTAACTCAATGGCCAGCCATTTTTTGAAATCACCATGGTACCCATCCATGCCCTTCATTCAGTAAATGCTCGCTGAGTAAGGTATGTATTGTGGCCAGGAAATCTGCCAAGCACTAGGAATATAATGGTCAGCAAAAGCAGGTACAGTACTTAATTACCTGGATATATAAACCAGGGGCAGAACAGACATTAATCAAGTAATAACTCAAACAAGTTGTGATTACTCATAAACTGAGAAGTGCTATGAAGAAAATTTGGTTGCTTAGTGGGCATGTAACGGGGTGCTCAAACTGGCTTGGGGAGTCTAGGGAGGTTTCCCTGAGGAAGTGATATTTGAGTGGAGGTCAGAGGGATGCATAGGAGTTGGGTAGGCAAAAACAAGAATTTTGTTTTGTTTTTGTTTTTGTTTTTTGGTGGGAGAAGATAGGTAGAGGACAGTGTTAAAGGCAGAGGAAACAGAATAAAAAAAGAACCAGAGACTGGAAGGAACACAGTAAGGGTGATGTGATGTGAGATGATGCTGGGGAGGCAGGCAGTGTCTATAGGCCAAGTTCAAGAAGGTGTAGATTTGAGATCAACTTTTTTTTTTTTTTGACTTCCATATATGAGTGAGAATATGCAGTGTTGAACTTTCTATTTCTGGCTTATTTCACTTAATATAATGTTTTCATCTATGCTGGTGCAAATGGCAGGATTTCATTCTTTTTGTGGCTGAATAGTATTCCATATATATCACATTTTCTTTATCCATTCATCTGTTGTCAGATGCAAGATATTCTTATTTATTTATTTATTTATTTATTTATTATTATACTTTAAGTTCTAGGGTACATGTGCACAACGTGCAGGTTTGTTACATATGTATACATGTGCCATGTTGGTGTGCTGCACCCATTAACTGGTCATTTACATTAGGTATTTCTCCTAATGCTATCCCTCCCCCTTCCCCCCACCCCATGACAGGCCCCGGTGTGTGATGTTCTCCACCCTGTGTCCAAGTGTTCTCATTGTTCAATTCCCATCTATAAGTGAGAACATGTGGTGTTTGGTTTCCTGTCCTTGTGATAGTTTGCTCAGAATGATGGTTTCCAGCTTCATCCATGTCCCTAGAAAGGACATGAACTCATCCTTTTTTTTTTTTTTTTTGAGAGGAGTCTCACTCTGTCGCCCAGGCTGGAGTGCCGTGGTGCGATCTCAGCTCACTGCAAGCTCTGCCTCCTGGGTTCATGCCATTCTCCTGCCTCAGCCTCCCCAGTAACTGGGACTACAGACGCCCGCCACCACGCCCAGCTAATTTTTTGTATTTTTAGTAGAGATGGGGTTTCACCGTGTTAGCCAGGATGGTCTCGATCTCCTGACCTCGTGATCCGCCCTCCTCGGCCTCCCAAAGTGCTGGGATTACAGGCGTGAGCCACTGCGCCCGGCAGAACTCATCGTTTTTTATGGCTGCATAGTATTCCATGGTGTATTGTGCCACATTTTCTTAATCCAGTCTATCATTGATGGACATTTGGGTTGGTTCCAAGTCTTTGCTACTGTGAATAATGCCACAATAAACATACGTGTGCATGTATCTTTATAGTAGCATGATTTATAATCCTTTGGGTATATACCCAGTAATGGGATTTCTGGGTCAAATGGTATTTCTAGTTCTAGATCCTTGAGGAATCACCACACTGTCTTCCACAATGGTTGAACTAGTTTACACTCCTACCAACAGTGTAAAAGTGTTCCTATTTCTCCACATCCTCTCCAGCACCTATTGTTTCCTGACTTTTTAATGATCATCATTCTAACTGGTGTGAGATGGTATCTCATTGTGGTTTTGATTTGCATTTCTCTGATGGCCAGCAGACACAAGGTATCCTGTATCTTGGCTATTGTGAATAGTACTACAGTAAACATGGGGGCACAGAAGTCTCTTTGATATACTTATTTCCTTTTCTTTGGATAAATTGCAAGAAGTAGGATAGCTGAATCATATGGTAATTTTATGTAGCTTTTTAAAGGAGCCTCCATACTATTCTCTAAAGTGGCTGTACTAGTTTAGATTCCCACCAACAGTATATAAGAGTTCCCTTTTCTCCACATCCTTGTCAACATTTGTTATTTTTTTTGTCCTTTTGATAACAGCCATACTAACTGGGATGAGATTATAACTCACTGTGATTTTGATTTCACTGATGTTAAGTGATGTTGATAATTTTTTCCATGTATTTCTTGGCCATTTGTATGTCTTCATTTGAGAAATTTCTGTTCCAATCTTTTGCCTACTTTTACATTAATTTGTTTTTGCTGTTGAGATGTTTGAGTTCCTTGTATATTCTGGATATTAATCCCCTGTTGGATGGATGGGTAGTTTGCAAATATTTTTTTCCATTCTGTAGGTTGTTTTCCCTCTGTTGATTATTTCCTTTGCTGTATAGAAGCTTTTTAGTTTGATACAATCCCATCTGATTATTTTTGCTTTTGTTGCCCATGCTTTTCAGGTCTTATTCATAAAATCTTTTCCCAGACAAAGATCCTGAAGCATTCCCCCTAAGTTTTCTTCTAGTAGTTTTACAGTTTTGGGTATTACATTTAGGTCTTTGATCCATTGAGTTGATTTTTGTATAGGATGACATATGGGGGTCTAGTTTCATTCTTTTGCATATAGATAGCCAGTTTCCCCAGCACCATTTGTTGATGAGAGTGTCTTTCTCCAGTATATGTTCCTGGTGCTTTTGTTCAATAAATTGGCAGTAGATACATGGATTGATTTCTGGGTTCTATATTCTGTTCCATTGGTCTATGTTTCTGCTTTTATGTCAGTACCATGCTATTTTGGTTACTGTAGACTTCCAGATTGAAGTCTGGAAGTGTGATGCTTCCAGCTTTGTTCTTTTTGCTTAGGATTGCTTTGGCTATTGTGTCTTTGTGATTCCATACAAATTTTAAGATTGATTTTAAAAAAATTTCTGTGAGGAATGTTATTGGTATTTTGGTAGAGGTTCATTGAATCTGTAGATTGCTTTGAGTACTATGGTCATTTTAACAATATTAATTCTTCTAATCCATGAGTATGGGCTGTTTTCCAATTTGTTTTTATCTTCTTTAATTTTTTTCATTAGTGTTTTATAGTTTTTCTTGTAGAAGTCTTTCACTTCCTTGGTTCCTTATTCCCAGACATTTTATTATTTTGTATAGCTATTGTGAATGGAATCGTCTTCTCGATTTCTTTTTCAGCTAGTTTGTTTTTTGTGTATAGAAACACCACTGATTTCTGTATGTTGATTTTGTATGCTGCAATTTTGCTGAATTTATCAGTTCTAAGAGTTTTTTCAGTTCTAAGAGTCTTTTTTTTGCAGAGTCTTTAGGTTTTTCTATATATAAGATTATGTTGTCTGCAAGCAGGGACAATCTGACTTCCTTCTTTACAATTTGAATGCCCTTTGTTTCTTTCTCTTGACTAATTGCTCTGGCAGGACTTCCAGTACTACGTTGAATAAGAGTGGCGAGCATGGGCACCCTTGTCTTGTTCCAGGCATTCAGTGTGATGTTTGCTCTGGATTTGTTATATATAGCCTTTATTGTGTTGAGATACTTTCCTTCTATACCTAATTTATTGGGATTTTTTATCATGAAGGGGTGTTGATTTTTTTTTTTTAACTAGAGATAGGGTCTTGTTCTGTCATCCAGGCTGGAGTGCAGTGCTGTGATGTTTGCTTACTATAGTCTTGACCTCCTGGGCTCAAGCAATCCTTCTACCTCAGCCTCCTGAGTAGCTGGGACCACAGGCACATGCTAACACACCCAGCTAATTTTTAAATTTTTTGTAGAGAAGGGGACTCACTATATTGCCCAGGCTGATCTCAAACTCCTGGCCTCAAGCAATCCTCCCATCTCAGTCTCCCAAAGTGCTGGGGTTACAGGGTTTCACTATGTTGCCCAGGCTTGTCTTGAACTTCTGGGCACAAGCAATCCACCCACTTTGGTCTCCCAAAGTGCTGGATTACAGGCATAAGCCACCACACCCAGCCTGGAATATCGTTTTTCATCTCTTTACTTTCAGCCTGTCTGTCTTTACAGGTGAGGTGAGTTTCTTGTAGGCAGCATATTGTTGGTTTCTTCTTTTTAATCTATTCAGCAGGTATATATCTTTTAAAAGGTGAATTTCATCTGTTTACATTCAGGGTTATTATTGATAGGTGAGAACTTACTCTCATCATTTTATTTGCTCTTTTCATGTTTTATATGTCCTTTGTTTCTTACTTCTTCTGTTATTGTTTATTTTTGTGGTTGAGTCATTTTCTGTAGTGATAAGATTTGATTCCTTGCTCTTTCTCCTTTCTGTATTGGCTTTACCAGTGAGTTTTATAGTTTCACATGCTTTCATGATGGTCCTACAATGACTTCCAGTTGTAGGACTCCCTTGAGCATTCCCTGTAAGGCTGGTCTATTAATGGTATATCTCTTTAGTTTTTTCTTGTCTGTGAAAGATTTTATTTCTCCTTCATTTCTGAAGGATAGCTTTGCTGGGCATGATATTCTTGACTGGCAGACTTCTCTTTTTCTTTTCTTTTTTTTTGATGGAGTCTCACTCTGTCACCCAGGCTGGAGTGCAATGGTGCGATCTCAGCTCACTGCAAACTCCACCTCCTGGGTTCACACCATTATCCTGCCTCAGCCTCCCAAGTAGCTGGGACTACAGGCACCCGCCACCATGCCTGGCTAATTTTTTTTTTTGTATTTTTAGTAGTGACGGGGTTTCACCATGTTAGGCAGGATGGTCTCGATCTCCTGACCTCATGATCTGCCTGACCGGCAGCCTTTTCTTTCAGTATTTTGAATATATCATCCTGTTCTCTCCTGGCCTATAAGGCTTCTGCTGAGAAATCCACTGTTAGACTAATGGGAATTCCCTTATACATGACTTGACACTTTTTTTCCTGCTGCTTTTAAAATTCTTTGTTTGAATTTTGACAATTGGAGCACCATATCACTCAGAGAGGACCAGTTTGGGTTCAATCTATTTGAGGTTCTTTGATCTTCCTGGACTTAAATGTCCATCTCTCTCCCAAGGCCTGGGAGGTTTTCAGCTATTAGTTCATTAAATATATTCCCTATATCTTTTTCATTCTCTTCTCCTCTGGAATATGTATAATGTGAATATTTGTTCACTTAATTGTGTTCCATAAATCTCGTAGGCTTTCTTCATTCTTTTTCCTTCTGTCTGCCTGTGTTATTTCAAATGACCTGTCTCCAAGTTCAGAAATTATGTCATTTGCTTGAGCTAGTCTGTTGTCAAAGCTCTCAATTGTACTTTTTATTTAGTCATTGAATTCTTCAGCTGTAGATTTCTGTTTGGTTCTTTTTTAATGATATCTATCTCTTTGTTGAATTTCTCATTCAAATCATGAATTGTTTTTCTGATTTTGTTGAATTGTCTATCTGTATTCTCTTCTATCTCACTGAGGTTCCTTAAGATTATCATTTTGAATTCTTCTTCTGGCATTTTGTATGTTTCCTTATGATTGGGGTCTGTTATTGGAGAGTTATTGTGTTCATTTGGAGGTGTCATGTTTCCTTGCTTTTTCATGTTTGATGGGTCTCTATATTAATTTCTATGCATCTGGTGAAAAGTCACCTCCTCCAATTTTATGGAGCAGGTTTTGTAGTGAAAGAGTTATTCATAGGAATGTGTTTTGGGATGTTAGCTCAGTGTGGTGTGCTGGCTTTTGTTCTGGGTGGACACAGTCGTGTAATCTCTGTGTAGTACTAGTGACATTTTTGAGTGTCTCAGTGGTCTAGGCTGAGAGATTTTCTGGTAGCAGTGGTGTGGCTTTGCCCGGGTGAACTCACCAGACTCTCAGATCAGAGATGTGTGCATGCACATGGTGGGTTGACCATCTTGAGGCTGGGGTCGGGGCTACAGATCTGTTACTCTGGCCAGGAGCATGATTGCCCAGTTGGCCTGGGAGCTTGCCTCACAGGAGCCGCCCATGGGGCTATTTCTCAGGCCCAGGACATGGGTACTGGGGCTGTCTTTGCTAGGGTGGACTGTAGGTCTGTTTCTTAGGCTCAGGATATGGTTGCATATCTTCTCGGCTGTACTAGGTATGTGTCTGCCAGGGACAATCCATGGGGCTGTTCCTCAGACCTGGGAGGTGGTCTCACAGTACTTGGCTGGCCTGAGGGTATGTCTGCTGGGGACAGTCCCTGGGCTGTTTCTCAGGCCTGTGATGCAGCCACATGGTTTCTCAGCTGGCACAGGTGCATGTCTGCTGGAGGTGGCCTACAGGGCTGCTACTCAGGTACAGGATGTGGGCTCATGGCTGCTTGGCTAGCTTGGAGATTTGCCCACGAGGGTTGGTTTGTGATACTGATTCTTGGGCCTGGGACATGGGCAGACAGCTATTCAGCTGGACTGGGAGCACAAGGGCAGCCCATGGAGCTGTTCCTCAAGCCCTGATTGCAGGTCCAGGGTCACTGGGCAGGCTAGAAGCTTTTCTACCAGGGGCTTTTCACTGTGGGGCTGTTTCTCAGGCTCTGAGTGTAGGCATATAGCTGCTCTGCTGGACTGGGACCATGTCAGCTGCTCAGAGGCTTGAAGGCCTCTCCCACTTGAGGAAAGCATGTGGCAGTTTAGCCAGATCAAGGGCAGGTTCTGCCGGACTGTTCCTCTGACTAGAAGCAAGGGTAATGGGAATTAATTTTCCTGCTGTGCTGGACCAGAGTCACAGCCCATCCTGGGCCCAAGCTCCATGCTGCTGGGGTTGTGATATTCAGCTACCAGTGTGGGATTGGTATAATGACAATGAAGCCCCAGTGCTGGAGAGGTGCAGCGGCTACTGGCCCCAGAGGAGGGCACACTCCAGAGGTGGCTGTGGTCTCAAGTTGGTGCTGTGCTCTAGCAGAGTGGCTTACAGGAGATAAGTAGTGGGTGGGGAGTGCACACCTTGTGCGCCTCATCTGGAGTGATGCAGCTGCGTGAATTCCCAGCAGTTCTCCAAACTGGGCTCATGGCTTGCAAGGACTGTGGGATTCTCTGGTAGTAAGGGCTGTAGGTGTTTGCAGTGGTAATGGGGCTGGTGGGGATCTTCTGCTTACCTTTTTCACACCATGAGAAGTCCGTCCTGGCTCCAGGCAGATCTTATCCGTGTGGAGGAAATGGGGCTGCAGAGGCCAGTGCTTCCACGCTGCCCTCCTGGACTTCCAGTTACCACAGGTACACTCTAGCACTCTCCCTCCTGGCGCTCCTGTCAAATTGTAGCTGTTTATTTGTTGCCTTGGTCCTTTCTTCTTGTTGAGATGTGCGCCAATCACCTCTAGTCAGCCTTTTGCTAACCAGATCTGTACTTAAAAAAATGAATTTAAATTAATATCACTTTGAGAATTAACTTTGACCATTTTCCAGTACCCAGTAAGCTAATACAGGATATGGAAACCTCAATGGGGAATCCTGCTCAAATAGATGCATCCAGGAGACCCACACTCCATTTATCCACTTTTCATAATAGTGGGTGGCTGCAGTGAGTGTAGATTTGAGAGTTCAGATGCTGAATCCCAGATGTCACTTATTAGCTATATAATAACCTTGAGCAAGTTATTCAGCCTCTCTGTACCTCAGTTCCTCCATTTATAAAATGACAATGATATCAGCATGTAGTCAATAGAATTGTTATGAGGAATAACTAAGTTAATATGTGTAAAACACATAAAACAAATCCTGGGGCATAGTAAGTGGTCATTAAATGTTGCCTGTTATTTACAGGTATTGTTAATTTCAAGAAAAATAGATTTTTAATGAGGGAAGTGCTGATCTTGCCATCAGTAGCTTTTAAGTAGCAGCCAGTGTGAACAGCATCAGCTAATAGTGAAAAAACAAATGTGTGTTTGTGTGGTGTTTAATCTATTTAATAAAGTATTTTAAGCACTTTAGAAGTACTCATTTAAATGAAATTGATATGCCATTTATGCATCATTCTGATCCATTTGTTAAAAAGAAGAGCCTCAAACACACTGCTTGGAAATCTTCCTGTAAGTGTGGAAAGCAATCGAAGTTATTTCTTTAAATACATTTTGAGATTCAGCCTGACTTTACAAGCAGTTCAGATTAATTTAGGTTTCACTTCACAGTTTGGGACCTTTGTATCCTAGGAAATATTCTGGGTTTTAACGCAAGGCTTTGTAGAAGGCAATAGAGGACCATGGTGGAGATGCACTGGCTTGGAATCCCAGCTCTGCTGGTTACTTGCTGTGTGGCCTTGGGCACATTATTTTAGCTTCTTTGAGACTGTTTCCTCATTTGGAAAATGGGGCTAATAATGAAACTTACCTTATGGGGTTAAATAACTTACACTTACATACAATGAGATGATCATACATTTTGGCTTGTTCTAGGATGTTCCCTGATTTTGCCGTGGTCACAATAATAAATATGCCCCCTTTCTAAAAAATACTAATAAAGATGCCCCCTTTCACTTTCAAAGGTGTTCCTGGCTTAGACAATAAATTATGTGGTCACTATATTTATAAAGGAAGCTGAACGGTGCTTGGCACACAGTGAATGCTCTATTGATACTAGCTATTGTTATTATGTGTTTGCTGTGAATGAATTTGCTTCGTGATTGGCTTCCTTCTTCTCCCCCATCTGTGAGCAGCTTCTCTTCCGGAATGGATAGGATGATCCACCATAAAGGTCATGTGTACTTGGGTCTTCCCCTGACTGCCAGGTGCCACCCAGCCACACTGTAGTTGCTTTTGCATTGAGTTCATCTTTCACCTTTGGAGTGTAGTGCGTTTGCTCAGGGGAGTGCAGCAGACGCTGCATCAGCAAAGCAGGAGGCATCGTGGGCTGCTTCTGGTGAGGATGCTTTCTCACCGTGACATCTGCTCCTTGTTGCCTTTGAGAAAAGGCAGGAGAGGAGGGTGTGTACAAGAAGTGTAGGGCCCAGGCAGGTGATTACTGCCCTGCTGTTGGGATTTGGGCTTTTGCTCACGAAATCACCTGCAGTGGACATCTGTGTGGCTGTGTGTTCCTCTCTTTTCAGGCTGAACTCCATCTATGATGGCCACTGTGTGGCTTAAAATATCCAGCAGAATTGAGACATAAAGAGATCAAAGTGAGGGAAAAAATAGTGGGGATATTTTGCTCCTGGTGACTGAAATTCTACATTAATTGACCAAAGCCACTGAGAGAGACAGGGCTGAGATGTGACCTACTCAGAGAAGGTGCATGAGGCATCCAAAGCAACATTTTGAACAGAGTTGGATGCAGAACACTGTCCCTAGGACACCCCCTGAAGAAAGATAGCCAGATTCTCCCCCCATGTCTCTTATATACACCCACACCCACACATGTACAACCACCACACACACACTCCATCCATGCACACACGCCTCTGAGGCATTACACACATCCTCCCTCTGGTTGGGACATCTTTCTTCTCTCCATCTGGGTAGCTCCTTCCTACTCATCTTCCAATTTGCCTGACCCCATCGTTCTCCCCGCCCTGGGGGAGCGCCCTCCTCTGTGCTCCTGCCACATTCCGGCCCCTCTGTTGTAGCACTCACTCTGTTGCATTGAAAGTGCATGTTAACTTGCCAGTCTCCACAGAGCAGAGCCATTTATCCATCTTTGCAGCTCCAGCCTCTGGCACAAAACAGATGCTGTTGAATGACGGACTAAAGAAACCTAGGCTTGAACTCTTTCTAGGTTCTTGAGGAGTAAAGAGCAGACACATTTACTTTTTTATCCAGTGAATATTTCTGAGTACCTGCATGGTGCCAGGCTGAGAGAAGGCTGTTTGGGAGGAGAGCGGCATTGGTAAGGACATGATTGAGATGCACCGTGGTCACTGGTATGAGAAAGAGATGTACAAAGTGCCAGGGGAGCACGAGGCAGGAAAGGAAGGAGGCACTGCTGCCCAGGTGACTTAAGGAAGGTGTCACCAAGGGCAGCTGAGGTGGACCTTGAAGAGGCAGAGATCACAATTTCCCCCAGGGTGGAAGGGCAGAGGGCACAAGGAGAGCAAAGGCCCAGTGGTGGGCATGCGTGGCATGTGCGAGGGTCAGGGGCAGTGTGCGCAGGGCGTGGGAAGGTGTGTGTCACTTCCCAACATATTGCTTAAAAAATTCAGCCACCTAGCAAATGTAATAAAGAAGGATTGCTGTACTCATAAACCATCCAAAAAACAGCTACCCAACCAGAGCATTCTAATTAGCAAAGATGACATATAATCCTGCTGCTTTGGGTGTGGTTCTACAGACAGGGATGAAGGGGCTGGGATTCTAAATGCTGTCTCCAGCATCTCATGGATTAGACATCTTAGGGCATCCTGCCTTTGCACCTACCGTGAAAGACTGCAGATAGGACCTGGAGGCAGAACTCAGCTGGATGCCTGCTTGAGCTCCTACTACCTGTGAGAACCTGCGCAGTTGGCTTCACCCCAGCTTCCCCAACTGTACAAAGCTATGAGTACTGAATGAGGCCTCGGGTGTGAAGGTGCCCTGCATGGTGTCTCACACTTAATAGTTGTGTGTTAAATAAGTCCCTTCTTTTCGCTCCCCATCCTCCCCTTTCCTCCATGCCTGTAAAATAGGATAGAGCTAATACCTCCTTCCTACGATTGTTTTTAAGATTAAATGAATTCGTACCCATAAAGCTCTTCAACCGTGCCTAGCATACAGTAAGTGCTCACTTAGTGTTAGCTGCTGCTGTTGTTGTTATTATTAGGTCACCTCATGGGTTTCTATTGCCTTTGTCTTCATATTTTCCGATCCCAAGTCTTTGAGTTTAGACAGGGAAATTTTATGTCTTCAGAGAGCAGAAGCAAATATACTTTTCTTTCTATCTCCTAAAGGATTTCCTCAAGACCAGCCTCATAATCTGCTGGGCTCAGTGCATGATGAAAATGCAGGGCCCCTTGTTTGTAAATTAGTACAAATTTCAAAATGGGGTCAGAACAGCATCAAAACCAAGTGTGGTCCCTTTTGAGAGTGGAGCCCTGTGCCATCCCACCTGTTACACCCCATGAAGCTGGCCCCAGGTTTCTCCTCCTCCTCCAAAGCTTTGGCTTTACAGCATCTGAATGGACAAGAACCAGAGCAGCGCTGCACACTCTCCACCGCTTCCCTTTGAAGTCAGATCACACAGGTTCACAAAATGAGAAAGACCTCTGCCTTGAGGCAAAGGAGGAAAAAGTGATACTGCCCTCACTTGTGTTTTGTCCTCTCACAACCACTGGATATCTCTCACTACCATCTTTGATAATGGTAACCATGACAACAGATAGGAGTGGAGGGCTTGCTTTAGGTCTCTCATCTTACTAATCATGTTTTGCTCCCAGACACTTTATAGATCGCAAAGACAATTAACGTTTCATGGTAAGCATAGATGTCCCATTCATTGTTTCTTTTCATTCCAGATTGGTCAGCCCCCATGTCCCGTGATCAGGAGAGTGAGTTGAGAGTTGGTCTCTGCCCTCTAAGTGGTGGCCACTGAATACCAAGGGAGAGTCTGGCCTTTGCTGGGCTCGGTGTGGAATTCAGAGTCAGGGAAGATATCGTCCTTATTCTCCCAGAAATCTGCAATCAAGTATGGTGGCCATACTTGGTTTAAAATAAATGCAAATGTAGCCCATCTGTAATTATAGGAGGAGTCAATGGAGGAATGGATGTGCTTGGGTGGGTGCATTGGAGACTTCCTGGATGGGGTGGCATTTGAGTTGATCTTGAAGAATGGATGAGATTTGGATGGGTGCTGGGGAGGAAGGAAGGCATTTCAGGTGGAGGAACTGCATGAGCAAAGGCTCTTCCATGAGAATGGAACAGTTGTGCTGGGAACAGTGAGGAAATTGAGCCGAATGGAGTAGAAGAGACCACAATGATTTGGGTCAAAAAATAAGACAGCCTCTTACATTTATACAATTTATATTTAAATAAGGTAAAAAGAATGATCATTTATAGAAACACAATAAAACATAGTGATTAAGAGTGCAAGCTTTGGAGCTGGATTCATGCGTGCATGTGTTTATTCACTCAATAAATGTTAACCGAGCACTTACTATGTGTGCTAGGCACTCTTGTAGGTATTGGAGACATAGAGGCAACAAGGCAGGCAAAGTCTCCTGCCTTCAGGATTTACAATTTAGTGGGAAAGATAGATGATGAATAAAATAAATGAGTCATATACATATACATATACATATATTCACATATAATATACACATACATACCGTTAAGGAGAACGAGAGCCAGACAGTAAAGTACTAAACACAGATTTTATTTAGAAATTATTGCAATAGGGGAAAAGACACCTCAGTATTGAACTGAGCTCAATTCTGAATACAACATGGAAAAACGGGGATTTATAACCAAGGAGCAGGGTTCGGGGAAAGGGAGGTGGTCGGAGGATGAAAAGTTACTAGGAAGAGACATCAAGGGTAGAGAAATTCTTGCTAAACTGACTTAACTGGATTTTTGCTGAAGGCAGGTGAAAAGCTTATATACCAAAGGTGGGGGATGAGGAATTTGATCATATATCAAGGGCGTCAGATATCAAGGGTGGGGATTCTCACTAAACCACTTTAGCAGGATTCGATGCAGGCCCAGCAAGGACAGGAGCCAAGGTCAAGGCCTAGCTGAGAAGAGAGCTCAGAAGAGCCTAAGTAAAGTTTGGTTGAAGAGAGACTGTTACACACACACACACACACAGACACACACACACACAATGTTAGATGATGAGATGATGAGGTATGCTATGGAGAAGAATAAAGCAGGAGAGGGAGATATGGAATGCTGGATCGAAATCCCCACTTTGCTATTTGCCAACTATATGATCCTGAGCAAATTACTTACCTTTCCTGTGTCTCAATTTCCTCACCTGTAAAATGGGAACAATAGTAAGTTCTCATTCATAGAACGGTGAAGACTACAACACTCCCTGCACCCAGTAGTGCTCAATGACTGTTGGTTGTGCTGCATGTGCCCAGCTCTCTTCCTGACTCTGGGGATGCAGAGTTATCCATGCAGGCTCAAGACAGTCTCTGCCCCACTTTCCACACCCCCACTTGCCCGCTGTCTAGTCTCTTTACAGAGCTCAGCAGAGTTCTTTATAGAGCTCTGATTCGATCCTTACCACAACCTGTGAAGGAGCTGTGGTCTATATTATCAACTCCTCTTGCCAATGAACACACTGCAGCTTGAGAGGGGCTGCTGTTTGAGTCTAATTATATTGTGCTGCTATTTGGCATATTTAGAATTATTTGTTTCCAATTCCCATTCCTTCTGTCTTTTGAAGTCAACATTAAGTTCCGAAGAACAAACATGCCTGTCGGGGTTGCAGAAGGAAAGATACTCTTGTGTTTGGCAAGCTTGTTCTGGAGGGCATGGGCAAAGTCTTGTTTTGGTTTGGGAATATTTGTTAGGTTGTGGACCTGTAATGAACAGATTTTGACAGACACTGCGTGGGAAGGGGAGGAGGAAAACAGAAAGCCAAACATAATAGAAGATAACACAGTGCTGGGAGCAGTGCCGGGCACTTTCTCTTAGGAGACAGTGTAGCTCTCCGGTCCAGAGCATAAGGTCAGCAGGCCTCTGCTGGGGTCACTGCCTGCCCCATGGAAGTGCCCCTGCAAATTGGAAAACTTTAGAATTGCAAATTAGATGTAAGACACAAACTCATGAACACTTTGAGTCTCCAGATGAAGCTGGACACTTCTGAGATCTTGGGCCTAAAGATGCAGATCCTCCCCACTGAGCAGGATCTAAACCCCAGGAAAATGCCAGCTGATGTCTACCTGATAGCTTGGAAGGGCCATTGATAGGTTGCAGGCTCCAGTGATTTACGTGTTACCACAGTGAAGGCATGTACTCACCAGATGGCACTATAGATAAAGAAATGCTGGTGTTAGGTCCTGAAAATCATCTCCAGGTAGGGAAACAGAACGGGGGCTTGTTACAGTGAGTTTGAGGGATCTGCTGATTTCACAACTTTCCCCCTGAGCTGGGCACCCGGTTTAGCCCGCCTAATTCTATTTGAATACCCACTTTCTAAGCCTTTCTCAACATTTTAGTTCCTCCAAAGTCCATTAGTTGAGTTTCCTGTTAAAATGGTTCCATTCTGAAACTAGTGCTCAGAGCAAAGAACAGAAAGAAGACAGAACTTATTTTAAAAAGGTGGCTGAAATTTAAATTCAAATGTGTTTTATTTTATATTTTCTCTGAATTGCACACTGTTCAGCCACAACACAGTCACTTAAAGGTTTTTTTTTTGTGTGTGATGGAATCTCGCTCTGTTGCCCAGGTTGGAGTGCAGTGGTGCGATCTCTGCTCACTGCAAGCTCCACCTCCCAGGTTCATGCCATTCTCCTGCCTCAGCCTCCCAAGTAGCTGGGACTACAGGCACCTGCCACCATGCCCGGCTAATTTTTTTTGTATTTTTATTAGAGACGGGGTTTCACAGTGTTTGCCAGGATGGTCTCAATATCCTGACCTCGTGATCCACCCGCCTGGCCTCCCAAAGTGCTGGGATTACAGGCATGAGCCACTGAGCCCGGCCTAAAGTTTTTATACACAAATGATATGCTCAGAAGTGAAGACAGGCTTTTTCCAGATTAGGAAGGATGTGGTGTGTGTAGATCTTGGCAAAAAATAAGTGGCATTCATCTAGCATGTCCCCTCGAGGAGTCTTCATCTGGTGCACATGCACTGTACTCTCGCTTTTCAAACCCGGGGATGAATTTCACTCTCTTAGCTATGGAAATCAGCCTGGAATACACTTATTCATAGTTCATTTGTAAAGAAAATGAGTTGTATGTATGAAAAGCACATGCGACTGATTCAATATAAATCTGAAAAATCAAGGCTGGAATAGCAGAAGTAGGTGATTAGGTGACCATGGCATATTAAATAAAATAAACTAACAGACCATCAGCTAATTTGCAGGGGTGAGGAGGCTGATGTTTCCCTTCAAAGGGATTCTTGACAGACTGTCCATGGTACTTCTTTTGTGGCCAGAGGAGCTGGAAGACATTTTATAATTTTCACGATGATTTGTGAATATAATTCTATAATGTGCCCATCTAAATGAGATTCTAAATAATTCAAAACACCTGGGTTAAGGAAACAACTATAATTCACTCAGGGCTCATGTCTTCATGGTCTTGTGTCCACTTTTAACAGCTTTCTAGGCAGCAAGGTTTTGTTTTACTAAGCGAGTATTTCTCTCTTACTGTCATCAAGTCAAGATCATTGTAATTAACAAGGAGCCAACCTTTTTTCTCTTTGCTCTCTGAGTGCATGAGAAACACTATGTTGCTGAAAAAGACATTGTGGGGTCTTTGCCAGTGAACCAGTTTCCTAGATGAAAGCACTTCTGATTTCTTGGGGTTCTAAAACCTGAATGTTGGCTGGAGCCTTGGTGATCCTCTGCTCAGACATTTTATCCCTGTCCTCTACCATATCCCTCATGGATCATCCATCCACTTTCTGATTGAGCTGAGAATTATTTTCCATCTAAAAGTGTTTCTTGGTTTCTCCATTGTCTACTCTGTGCATAGGTTCCCCCTATTGTCCAATTATCTGTCAAGATATTATCAGTAGATTTTCTCTCAATGAGGAACACATCCCAGTGAAATGAAAAATGAGAGCCAAATGGATTATACTTTAACATTTGAGAGTATGATGGGAGAACTTTTGGAAATAAATTTGTATCTTAGCTTAAATGAGAGCTTTGAGAAAATCCATCTACTATATTTATCAAAACTTGCAGCTCCTTCAGAGAGTATGTATTGCATTTTTCATTCAGTCGCCATTTGTTGAGTCCCTTCCTTTCGCCAGGCTCTGGGACAAACCAGGGAGTTGCAAAGATAAATAAGTCATAGTCCCTGTCCCTGGGGAGCTTGGCAGGTGAATAAACAAATAACTATGATATGGCACATTAAAAACTATCTTAGAAATAGGAACAAACTGCTAAGGGAACTTAGAGGAGGGAATGCTGAGAGAGTAGTGCCATTTATGTCGGATCTTGCTAGATCTTGACACATGGGGAGGAATTGATAGGATTTGGGGGGAAGCAGAAACGGAGAAAGATTTGAGGGGATGGTGGGGGACACATTGCAGAAAAGGGAGGGGCACTGTAACACTCCAAGGAGTGTGTGCCACGATGCCTTCTCTTTGGTTTCAGTCAAAACCCTCTCAACCTAGCGAGCTGCTGCAGTGGATGTTTGGAGTGTGCACTGCCCCTCTTGGGCAGGGCTGCGTGTTTTCTATTTAAGTCTGCATTGAGGGCTAAGGGAGGCTTAGCCTGCTTCTGGACTGAGATGGTCCCAGCCATCTTGCCTTCCCATAGAATCAGAAGCTCAGAGCTCCCCTTATTAACTGCCAGGGCAGCTTTCATGTTCGCGGAGATTGACTTTCACACTTGGGACTCCCTTTACTTGAGCCAGCTCTGGCTTTCTGCACTGCTTTGTGGGTGAAGGAGCTGTGGTTAGTTACCTGGGACCCTTCTAGGGCTTTAAGAGCTTTGGGGTGTTGAGAGAGTGAGAAAGCCAGGGGTTGGTTCCTGCCAGGGATGAGAGCTCCTGACTCTGAGAGAAGCGACCAGGTGCCAAGCTCTGAAACAAGACGAAGTCCTCCAGAGAGGGAAACTCCAATGGCCACTGAAATCAGAATTGCCTTTGCAAAGAAGATTTGGAATGTAAAAAGAAAAAGCTTAAAGAGTCATCAGGGCCCTTAGGCCTTAGAGAGATCTTCTGGCCCAGGGATAGCAAGTGTTTCATCTTTTGTACTGACTCTCACTGAATGCTGATAATTGTCTGGAAGGCTGGGTTGAGGAGGCTTCTGCACAAATGAGGAAGTTGTGTGTGAGACCAAATTACACATGAGTGGCAATGACTGAGTGAGGATCCATATCTCTCAATTCCTAGGCAGAACTCTGGGACAGGTTGTGTGGCCCTCCCAAACTCATGAGCTTGGGCTCTTCCCCTGCAAGGATTTTTACAAACTTTTTTTTAAACAAGGTATCATTCTGTCACCTAGGGTGGAGTGCAGTGGTGAGATCACAGCTCATTGCAGTCTCGGCCTCCTAAGTAGCTGGGAGTACAGGTATGCATCACCATGCTCAGTTAATATTAAAAAATTTTTTTGTGTGAGACAGGGTCCCACTATGTTGCTCAGACTGGTCTCAAACTTCTGGCCTCAAGTGATTCTCTTGCTTTGACTTCCTGAAGTACCAAGATTACAGGCATGAGCTACTGCACCTGGCCCAAACTTTTAAAGTTAGAAAACTGCAGAGATCTCTGTGTGTCAACTAGATAATAGCATTCCAACAATTGTGATTGATGAAGGGAAAAAGAGGTTTCTCCACATTTATCACTACTGGCCAAATATCTATATTCATCAAAGCTCAAGGAGTTGGCCTGGCATCTGGTGTATTTTATTCTCCTGAAATAATTTGGCAGTTAAGTTTTTTCTGGGGGTTTTAGATGTCCTAAGACTCTACAAGAATCATAGAATCACGCTTTGGGAGGGATCTTGGAAGTCATAGAGGAGAAAGAAAACAGGCAAATGCAAACGGAATGAATATGCCAAAAGTTCTCCTGTTGTTGTCTGTTGCTCCCTGGACTGGGGCCTTCTCTCAGTGATTTTGGTCCTTTGGGATCCTGGGTTGATTTTCAAGAAGACAATAGTTATCTAACCATGGACCTGAGGAGATTGTATTGATGTCATGATATTCAGTTGGGTACACTGGGAGTGAGGAAGTGGATGTTTTCATTTCAGCTCCCAAATGGATATTTCTAAAATAAGACAAATATGAAAAAGAGAAAAATACCTTCTTCTATATCATTTCATAAACTCCTCCAAGCTCCAGTTCCTCTCATGCAAGAAATTTAAAACAATCTCAAAGACAATACACTCAAATAAATTGCAAGGAAAATAAAAAAGAATGGAGGCAATACCTGTAGACTAAAAAGATTTAAAAATATGTTGGTCAAATGCCATCTGTGCACCATAGTTGGATCCAGAATCTAACAAACTAGAAAAAAAAAAAAAACAAAAACTACAGGCAATACCTGTAGACTAAAAAGACTTAAAAATATATTAGTCAAAATAAAGAAAAAAAGAGAGAAGAATCAAATAGACACAATAAAAAATGATAAAGGGGATATCACCACCGATCCCACAGAAATACAAACTACCATCAGAGAATACTACAAACACCTCTACGCAAATAAACTAGAAAATCTAGAAGAAATGGATACATTCCTCGACACATACACTCTCCCAAGACTAAACCAGGAAGAAGTTGAATCTCTGAATCGACCAATAACAGGCTCTGAAATTGTGGCAATAATCAATAGTTTACCAACCAAAAAGAGTCCAGGACCAGATGGATTCACAGCCGAATTCTACCAGAGGTACAAGGAGGAACTGGTACCATTCCTTCTGAAACTATTCCAATCAATAGAAAAAGAGGGAATCCTCCCTAACTCATTTTATGAGGCCAGCATCATTCTGATACCAAAGCCGGGCAGAGACACAACCAAAAAAGAGAATTTTAGACCAATATCCTTGATGAACATTGATGCAAAAATCCTCAATAAAATACTGGCAAACCGAATCCAGCAGCACATCAAAAAGCTTATCCACCATGATCAAGTGGGCTTCATCCCTGGGATGCAAGGCTGGTTCAATATACGCAAATCAATAAATGTAATCCAGCATATAAACAGAGCCAAAGACAAAAACCACATGATTATCTCAATAGATGCAGAAAAAGCCTTTGACAAAATTCAACAACCCTTCATGCTAAAAACTCTCAATAAATTAGGTATTGATGGGACATATTTCAAAATAATAAGAGCTATCTATGACAAACCCACAGCCAATATCATACTGAATGGGCAAAAACTGGAAGCATTCCCTTTGAAAACCGGCACAAGACAGGGATGCCCTCTCTCACCGCTCCTATTCAACATAGTGTTGGAAGTTCTGGCCAGGGCAATCAGGCAGGAGAAGGAAATAAAGGGTATTCAATTAGGAAAAGAGGAAGTCAAATTGTCCCTGTTTGCAGACGACATGATTGTTTATCTAGAAAACCCCATCGTCTCAGCCCAAAATCTCCTTAAGCTGATAAGCAACTTCAGCAAAGTCTCAGGATACAAAATCAATGTACAAAAATCACAAGCATTCTTATACACCAACAACAGACAAACAGAGAGCCAAATCATGGGTGAACTCCCATTCACAATTGCTTCAAAGAGAATAAAATACCTAGGAATCCAACTTACAAGGGATGTGAAGGACCTCTTCAAGGAGAACTACAAACCACTGCTCAAGGAAATAAAAGAGGAGACAAACAAATGGAAGAACATTCCATGCTCATGGGTAGGAAGAATCAATATCGTGAAAATGGCCATACTGCCCAAGGTAATTTACAGATTCAATGCCATCCCCATCAAGCTACCAATGACTTTCTTCACAGAATTGGAAAAAACTACTTTAAAGTTCATATGGAACCAAAAAAGAGACCGCATTGCCAAGTCAATCCTAAGCCAAAAGAACAAAGCTGGAGGCATCACACTACCTGACTTCAAACTATACTACAAGGCTACAGTAACCAAAACAGCATGGTACTGGTACCAAAACAGAGATATAGATCAATGGAACAGAACAGAGCCCTCAGAAATAATGCCGCATATCTACAACTATCTGATCTTTGACAAACCTGAGAAAAACAAGCAATGGGGAAAGGATTCCCTATTTAATAAATGGTGCTGGGAAAACTGGCTAGCCATATGTAGAAAGCTGAAACTGGATCCCTTCCTTACACCTTATACAAAAATCAATTCAAGATGGATTAAAGATTTAAACGTTAAACCTAAAACCATAAAAACCCTAGAAGAAAACCTAGGCATTACCATTCAGGACATAGGCGTGGGCAAGGACTTCATGTCCAAAACACCAAAAGCAATGGCAACAAAAGACAAAATTGACAAATGGGATCTAATTAAACTAAAGAGCTTCTGCACAGCAAAAGAAACTACCATCAGAGTGAACAGGCAACCTACAACATGGGAGAAAATTTTTGCAACCTACTCATCTGACAAAGGGCTAATATCCAGAATCTACAATGAACTCAAACAAATTTACAAGAAAAAAACAAACAACCCCATCAAAAAGTGGGCGAAGGACATGAACAGACACTTCTCAAAAGAAGACATTTATGCAGCCAAAAAACACATGAAGAAATGCTCATCATCACTGGCCATCAGAGAAATGCAAATCAAAACCACTATGAGATATCATCTCACACCAGTTAGAATGGCAATCATTAAAAAGTCAGGAAACAACAGGTGCTGGAGAGGATGCGGAGAAATAGGAACACTTTTACACTGTTGGTGGGACTGTAAACTAGTTCAACCATTGTGGAAGTCAGTGTGGCGATTCCTCAGGGATCTAGAACTAGAAATACCATTTGACCCAGCCATCCCATTACTGGGTATATACCCAAATGAGTATAAATCATGCTGCTATAAAGACACATGCACACGTATGTTTATTGCGGCACTATTCACAATAGCAAAGACTTGGAACCAACCCAAATGTCCAACAATGATAGACTGGATTAAGAAAATGTGGCACATATACACCATGGAATACTATGCAGCCATAAAAAATGATGAGTTCATATCCTTTGTAGGGACATGGATGAAATTGGAAACCATCATTCTCAGTAAACTATCACAAGAACAAAAAACCAAACACCGCATATTCTCACTCATAGGTGGGAATTGAACAATGAGATCACATGGACACAGGAAGGGGAATATCACACTCTGGGGACTGTGGTGGGGTCGGGGGAGGGGGGAGGGATAGCATTGGGAGATATACCTAATGCTAGATGACACATTAGTGGGTGCAGCGCACCAGCATGGCACATGTATACATATGTAACTAACCTGCACAATGTGCACATGTACCCTAAAACTTAGAGTATAATAAAAAAAAAAAAAAAAATATATATATATATATATATATATATATATATATATATATATATTAGTCAAATGCCATGCATAGACCTTAGTTGGACCAGATTCTAACAAACTAGAAAAAGAACCTAGCAACCATTTATGACATTTGGGAGATGATTAGATATTAGAACACAATATTTGATGATATTAAGGAATTGTTCTTTGTTTGGCTTAGTTATAATAATAGTATTGTGGTTGTGTTAAAAAGAAAGACCCTTTATGTTCTACATACATACTCTAGAACATAAAGTATGTAAGATGAAATGACGTGATGTCTGGAGTTTGCTTCAAAATGATACAGGAGGGAGGGAGGTTAATGGGAATGTAGAAAGGACACAATTGGCTGTGAATTGATGGTAGTTGGTGCTGGGAATAGCTAAATGGCGGCTCATTATATTATTGTGTTTAATTTTGAGTAAGTTCAAAAGTCTCAAAAGGAAGAAAAAGAAGAAGGAAGAAAAAGAAGAAGGAAGAAGAAGAACAACAACAACAACAACAGCAAGACAATACAAAGGAATGCCACAAAGCAGGACATGGATAAGCATCACATGAATACAAAGTAAGGAATGTATTATTGTCCACAGAGTACAGGAACTTATTGCTAGCAGAATATTCTAAAAAGAGGGGATTAAAAAATTCAACTTGAGGCTGGCTGTGGTGGCTCACGCCTGTAATCCCAGCACTTTGGGAGGCTGAGGCGGGTGAATCACGAGGTCAGGAGTTCGAGTCAGCCTGGCTAATATGGGTGAAACCCTGTCTCTACTAAAAATACAAAAATTAGCTGGGTGTGGTGGCATGCGCCTGCAGTCCCAGCTACTTGGGAGGCTCAGGCAGAAGAATCGCTTGAACCCGAGAGGTGGAGGTTGCAGTGACCCAAGATTGTGCCATTGCACACTCCAGCCTGGGCAACAGAGTGAGACTCCTTCTCAAAAAAAAAAAATTTCAACTTTAATGAATATAGGAGACAGCTCTAACTGACAAATGCATTACTTAATAGATGTCATAAAGGCCCATTTTGAAAATGTTTTGCTTTAAATGTTTTTAGAAAACACCTCTCCAGAGAGTGCAAAAGTTAACTTTAGCCCACACGTTTCCAAGTGAATTTAATTTTGGACCTCCCTTTTAGGACCAGAGAGGGAGAACTAAAGCCAGACCCATTTCCCTCCACACTCTCCCAGTCCCTTCCTTTCTCCCATCATAATCTATGTCTTTGTGAGAGTAAGTATATTTGTTCAATGTGACACCTGCCCCACTGGCCTGAGGTCCTTAAGAGCAGGGACAAGCCACATTCAACTCCGTGTGCCCTGCCAGGGCCCAGGGCTTGGTGTGCTGCAGGGTTCAATAGAGATGAACTAAACTGAATGGAGTAATATTTGGCCCAAGTCTGTGAACCTTCTGTGACATCCTGAGAAACTCCCAAGAGGCCACAGGTGACTGCGAGGGCTACTTCTATGGAGACACTTGGAAGGGGTCCCTGGCATTGGAGAATGAGTTTGAATTAATCCGCTTTGAAGGGATGGCCCATTGGTTGGTTCTTTGATGGCTAGACACCCTCTGTTGGTTCTGTTAGACTGTCTTCTTCAAGGAGCAGTCTTATCCAAAGCTTTAGTTGTGTGAGAGAAGAGGATTTAGAATACTTGCTTGTTATAAGTTTAAGCAGTAACCAGTTCTTGGTTGCTTATTGATCTTTGATCAGAGTTGGCCAATGTGGGTGAGCTCACCTGTACAGAACAGGGCCCACTCAATGGTGCAGTTAGAGTGACCATGCAAAGTTCTGGAATAGGAGCTTCAATGAGTCACTGGCTTAAGATACATCTTTTGATGGCCATCTGGGGAGTCCCCCTACCCCAGATAAGAAAATGAAGCTGAGTCTATTGTCTATAGAAGGCCACTGTTAAAAAGCACATTTGTGGCTGGGCGTGGTGGCTCATGCCTGTAATCCCAGCACTTTGGGAGGCCGAGTCAGGAGGATCACAAGGTCAGGAGATCAAGACCATCCTGGCTAACATGGTGAAACCCTGTCTCTACTAAAATACAAAAAATTAGCCAGGCATGGTGGCAGGTGCCTGTAGTCCCAGCTACCTGGGAGGCTGAGGCAGGAGAATGGCATGAACCTGGTGGACAGAGCTTGCAGTGAGCCAAGATCATACCACTGCACTCCAGCCTGGGTGACAGAGCGAGACCCCATCTCAAAAAAAAAAAAAAAAAAAAAAAAAAGCACATTTGTTTTTTATTTTTGGTTAGTTAGAGAAAGAAAGTCTTCAAGTGGGTAAAGAGTAAGCTAACATTTATTGAGCACTTATTGTATGCCAGGTATTGGTCCAGTCTCCTTTACATACCTTTCTATCTTTAAGCTATGGCCACCACCCATTCAAATGTTTATGGGACAAAACTGGTCTTAAAACCCAGTCCTCTTTCCCTCATAAAGTCATTTGCAGCCATGAGATGATGGAGTCTGATGTTTGTTTTAGTAAACAACGGTTGCCACACTTACAGTCTACTCTCATGATCATAGTGGCTCTGTGACCTTCATCAGATGTAATAATCTATCTTAGGGTTGGACAAAGGTAAGGGTGCTTCCTTTGTGTGGTTAAATGTACGGTTTTTCTCTTCTGTAACAAATGATCACAAACATAGTGTTTAAAACAACTACATTTATTGTCTCCCAGTTGGGAGGTTGGCACAGCATAGTCGGGTCCTCTGCTGAGGGTCTCATGAAACTATAGTCAAAGCATTGGCTGGACTGCATTCTTATCTGGAGAAGAATCTGCTTTGGAGTTCATCAAAATTATTGGCAGATTTTGTTTCCTTGAAGCTATATAACTGAAGACTCCAGATGTTTGCTGGCTTTCAAATAAAGACTTCTCTGAAATCATAGAGACCACACATAGCTCTTTGCCAGGTGAGCTTCCTTGACATAGCAGCCGACTTCTTCAAGCCAGCAAGAAGAATCCCTGACTTTAGGGAGGGCCCTCGCTTTATTAAGTCAGGCCCACCCATGATGCTCTTTCTTTTGATTGACTAAAGTCAACTGATTAGGTACCTTAATTACATTTACAAAACACCTTTACCTTTGCTATATTCTACTCACACTGAAGGGGAGGGAATTATACAGGGCATGACCACCAGGGGGCAGGATCCACAGAGAATTCTACCTGCCAAAATAAGATTGTTCTTGATTCTTATTCTAATAACAGAAACTGCAAGGTCTATAAAGACTGAGAGGTCAATAAAGTTTCACTCTTCCTTGATTCCTCAAAAAAATCAATACCATGTACTACTCAGATATCAGTTGCACTGTTCAGTACCTCAGCAGAAGGTGGCTCCAATTGTCTAAGGTGTTCTCAGTCTCATGGCTAATCGTGTTCCCTTGGGTGTAGACTGAGGGGTTTCCTATGCTGTGAACCTTGCCTGGCTGGGCTAGATGTGTGGGTGGATTATAGGGAGTAGAGGTGAGACGGATTCTTTTTAAAACAACTTCATTGAGGTGTAATTTACAACCATAAAATTTACTCATTTTTAGTGTGCAGTTCAGTTTGTTTTAGTGCATTTACACATTTAAACTATCATCACAATCTAGTTTTGAAATACTTCCGTTACCCTAAAAGTTCCCTTGGGCTTGTTTGCACTCAATGCCTGTTCCTACAGTCAGCCCCAGATAACCACAAAACTGCTTTCTGATTCTATAGTTTTCCCTGTTCTAGAGATTTTATGTAAATAAAACCATGCCATGTGTAGTCTTTGACTCTGACTTCTTTTACCTTGGATAATGTTTGTAAAGTTCATCCATGTTATTGCATGTATCATTAGTTTGTTCCTCTTTGTTACTGCATGGTGTTTTATTCAGGATTTATACATAATTTGCAGGCCAAGTGCAAAATGAAGATGCCAGGTCCCTTGTTCAAAAAGCAGGAAAACATTGTCATTAAAGGTACCAAAGCACAAAGTTTTTTCCTTTCTTCTGCAGTCTTGTTCCAAGCTTGCCATGGTGTTACTTGTTTGCTTTTTAATGTTTTCTCCCCTTCAGGCATGGAGATAGTCTCAAGGTGAGTGTAGACCCTTACAGGCACCTGGGGGCCCATGACTCACCATGCACACATGTCCCACTGCAAGGTTACCTTTCCCATCAACCACTGGAGCAACGTGCTGTAGCTTGGCTGGGGCCAGGGAAGCTGAACCAGGTATTTCCCTTTTGCAAGGGGCAACTGTCCTAACCCTAAGTGGACAGGAGACCCCCCAGGGTGATGCAACCTCCATGCTGGCATGCACTGGGTACCTAGATCTGGTGCATGTCTTATTAGATTTCACTTACAAAACACAAATTCAAAGATAAATTTATTAAGAATTTCAAAATGGTGACCATAGTACATTCAATCCTAAGTTCAGAGGCCCTTCTGAGTGTGGGGCCATGTGCAACTGCACTGTTGTGTGCCATGAAGTTGGCCCTGATTTCATGTATGACATATCGTTTGCTTATCCATTTACCAAATAATGGACATTTAGGTTGTTTCCAGTTTTGGGCCATTATGAATATTCACTTGTGAGTCTTCATGTGGATGTAAGTTTTTATTTCTCTTGGGATACTTGGGAATGTAATTGCCTGGCCACAAGGTGGGTTTGTATTTAACTTGTTAAGAAAATGCCAAACTGTTTTCCAAAGTGATTATACCATTTTGCATTTCCACTAGCAATGTATGAAGGTTTCTTCACATCCTCACCAATTCTTGTTATTATCTTTTTGATGATAGCCATTCTGCTAGAGGGTGTGGTGGTATCTCATTGTGGTTTTGATTTGCATTTTATTAATGACTAATAATACTGAAAATTTTTTCATGTGTTTATTTACTATCCATATATTTTCTTTAATGAATTGTCTGTTTACATGTTTTACTCAATTATTTTTAAATTGAGTTGTTTATCTTATTGGCTTGTAAGATTTTTTAAAATGTCTTCTGAATACAAGTCATTTCAGTTACATTTTGCAAATATTTTCTCCCAGGATATTACTTTTCTTTTCATTTTCTTAATGGTGTTTTTTGAAGAGCAAGAGTTTTTAATTTTAGTGAAGTCCAATTTATAAATTCTTTTTCTCTTATGGTTCATGCTTTTGGTGTCATCTGATTCTTTTATTACACTCCTCAAGGAAGAAATTGGAAGCCACGGTGGCAGTTGCCACTCGCTTACTTGATTTGAGATACTGGGGAATGGGTGTCTCTTCATTCTATTATAGAAACACAAGAGAAAATGAGGGTGATTTTACACTAACCAGGGTTTTGCAGCCTCTCCCTGCTTTCCTCCCCACTGCAGGTAGGCAGCACGTGTCTGCGAAGGGGCTCATGGGCATTGCTTAGGGATGATTGACAGGAGTCATATCCTGACAGTTCCACTCTACACTTGAGAGGGAAAGACATCACCTGGAAATTTCAGGGATGGGGGATCCTGAGGCCCTGTGTGAGGAATTTTTCCAGAAGAGCTCATCTGTGATCATAACAGAAGGGGCATGGTTTGAGGATGAAGTGCTAGGGCCTTTAGTTATTCTTTGTTTCAAAGTCTGAGTACCATTCAAGGTTAAGGATTAGCATGAACCTCAGTTTTAGCTAAAACTGCAAGTGGGATGATAGATGCAATTCTCATAAGTGATAAAGGGATGACTTGGGAAAATTTTATATTATTAATATCTCTCCACTAGTTTAAAAAATATTTATTGAGCCCCTATTATGTACCAGGCACTGTTCTAGGCCTTGTGGATGCATCAATAGAACAAAACAGACAAAAATCCTTGCTCTCGTGGAGCTTAGATTCCTGGAGAGGAAGACAGACAATACATAAAAAGGGAGGAAAATTATGCTGTATATTAGAAGTGATAAGTGCTATGGGAAAAAAAAATAGCAGGGATTGGAGGAGGACTGGGGATGCTGGAGATGTTTCATATATAAAGGTGGTCCAGAAAACTCACTGAGAAGGTGCTATCTGAGGTGGGAAAGTGATATCTGGGGGAAAGAAAAACAAAGGGAGAGGCCTCAGTTAGTGCAGAAGCCCCAAGGTGATGGTGCCCGATGTGTTCAAGGATTTATGTGAGGTCAGGGTAGAATGAACAAGGAAAAGCGAGGCAGGAGATGAAGTCAGAAAGGAAATCTGGCTAGATAATGTACCCCGTAAACCATTGTTAAGTTTTTTAGTTCTCATATAAAATATACTAGCTGGGCGTGGTAGCTCATGCCTGTAATCCCAGCACTTTGGGAGGCCTAGGCAGAAGGATCCCTTGAGGCCATGAGTTTGAGACCAGCCTGGACAGCATAGTGAAACCTCCCTCTCTACAAAAGAATGAAAAAATTAGCTGGGTGTGGTAGCACATGCCTGTAATCCAAGCTACTTGGGAGGCTGAAGCAGAAGGATTCCTTGAGCCCAGGAGATGGAGGCTGCAGTGAGCTATGATTGCACTAATGCACTCCAGCCCAGGTGACAGAGCAAGATCCTGTCTCTAAAAACAAATAAATAAAAAATAAAAAATTAACATAGAGTGAACTTGAACAAATTTTATACAACAATATCAAAATTTGTATGCCATTTGGGTGTATTATAGTTACATTTTCCTGAAGTTATTTCCAAAACAATACAAGGAATTCAGCATGTCGTTAAATTACAGTTGACTTTTTAAAATGGCAAATGATCCTGGATACTGTGTGGATAATAAAAGATAACAAATTGATCTAAAATATTATTACATAGCTGCCAAGAAAGATAAAAATACTGGCCTATGCATAAACAAATAAAATTTAAATACAGAAATGCATCTGTTTTCTTTGAAATAGGTTTTAAATTAATTAGTGAAAAATAGAGATTGGGAAATTACAAAGGATAATTTATTACAAAGCAGGCCATAAATGAGGAACTATGTTACAATGAAGAAATAGATTTTAAAAGCAACTCACCTGAATATGCAATTTCTATATACAAATAAGATGAACACTTGATATTTTTATGTCAACTTGAGTTGTCGGAGTAATATGGATGTTGATTCAAAGAACTATCTCTCCATGTGCCCTGGGAACAGAGGTTCCACATGTTTGGCAGATGAAGCTTGGACACTCTAATTCTCCCTGTGGAGTGGGCTGGGCTCACCTTTGGTGTTTTGTATCCACAGCCCACCATCTGTGAGTCAGTGAAAGAGATCTGCAAGAGGTTCTACGAATCAGGTGGCAGTGTGACTCTTAGAGAAGTTATGGAACACACAGACCAAAACTCAAATAAATACTATCAATCATTTCAAGCAGAAAGTTCTCCAAGCGTTGGTGTCCTACTTTGTCAAAATTTGACGTTTAAATGTAAAGAGAAAACATCCTGCCTCCCTCAGAAAAACATTTCTGGCTTTTCTTGATGCTGATGGGGCAGATCTAGAAGTAATTCTGGTTAAATTGACCTGTTTCTGCCTTTCCTGCTGTTCACCCTTGCATTGTCCACAAGTCCTTGTTGGCAGCCTCTGGTGGCCGATTCTAGCTGCTGAATAGCAACTGGCAACACTCGGGAGTAACTATTTCACAGGAGCCCTTCTTATTTCAGGAGAAATGCCTGTACCAACTGAGCTTGGGTAAAATCTAACATTTTCCTTTGATAATGATGCATATTCCAGAGTTTAATAAAATTACTTGAACCCTAAGTTTCGCTTACAAATAAACAAGCACAAAATAAATAAGTACAAAAATGTGGGTGGAACATTTCTGCATAAGAAAGCTAATACTTTGGGGTTTTTAGTATTGAAAATACTGCATGTTTGTTAACTTATTTAAGCCTCATAACAACTCTATGAAGTGTTATTATAGTCCCATTTTACAGAATGGGGAAAGTAAGGTACAAAGAGGCCTCACTTGCCCAAGATCACACAATTAGTAGAACAGGAATTTAAATTTAGGTGATCTTGCTTCAGACTCTTCTCCTAACCACTACACCATACTATCACTCATGTAGCCAGATATATAATGCTTATTTTATATAATGCCTGATTATCTTTTAAAAGCAAGGCAAGATTATGTATTTGTTTATATTTGCTTGCAAACATACATATTTAAAACGTATATGATGAAAAACATATCACTTTAGATGTATCATTTAAGGACAGTTATATAAAAGAAAGAATTATATATATGAAGCAAGATAATACATGACTTTGATTTTATATAGGAAAAGTATTTGAAGGTTATTTTTGTGGTGATGTATATATTTCAACAATAATATTTCCTGTTATTGATTAACTCAAGTTGTTCTTCAGAGAGGGATTGAACATATAAAATTCTGCGTGTCTAAATCTCTGCTAGTCTAAGCTTGCTGAGAGCAGAATTGGTGTCTGATTTATGTTTGAGTGCCGGTAGTGAGGACTCTATCAATACCTGTTGAATGAATGAACAATGGAATGGATGAAGAAATATGTCAGCTAACCTTTCTTCAAAGTAATTAGTGTTCATAATATTGATAGCAAACAATCATACATTATTCTATGATTTATTTTCTTAATATATAAATTATTACATATATTTATATACTACTAACCCTCTCTTTCCAGAGTTAGTATTATATAGATACTAACTATGCTAAATGTACTAACTCATTTAATCTAAGCAGCCTTATGAGTAGGTGCTATTATTATTTACCATTTTACACATAAGGAAATGGAGGCAAAAAGTTTAAATAAGTTGCTCAAGCTGGTAAGTGGCAGTGCTAAGATTCAAACTAGGAAGTTTGGTTCCAGAATTCTTGAGCCCAACCACCAAGCTACATGACCTCATGCAAACAGCCTTGAGCTGGCCTTGGCTGTGAGTGTGTTTTCAGTGCTGCAGGGTTACGCACTGATGGATTTTTAATTGCTTGGTGCTTATATGGAAAAAGTACTGGGCATGGACCCCCTTCAGCCCTGGGAAACTCAGACTCAGCATGCCCCTCCAAACTGAATCCACTATGCCCACTCCCGAGTTCCCAAATTAGCTCCTGTTCTGTGCTGTCTCTGTGAGTAGCAACAATAGCCTGTTGTTTGGGCTCTTTCTCTCCAGGTTGCCCCTGTTTCATCTGTGCTCCACACAGCAGTTCAGTGTGATTTTTTAAAAAATAGGCCGGGCGCGGTGGCTCACGCCTGTAATCCCAGCACTTTGGGAGGCCGAGGTGGGCGGATCACGAGGTCAGGAGATCGAGACCATCCTGGCTAACACGGTGAAACCCCGTCTCTACTAAAAATACAAAAAATTAGCCGGGCGTGGTAGCGGGCGCCTGTAGTCCCAGCTACTCGGGAGGCTGAGGCAGGAGAATGGCGTGAACCCGGGAGGCGGAGCTTGCAGTGAGCCGAGATCGCGCCACTGCACTCCAGCCTGGGCGACAGAGCGAGACTCCGTCTCAAAAAAAAAAAAAAAAAAAAGACTTTATTTCTAGAGTAGTTTTAGGTTGACAGCAAAATTGAGTAGAAAGTACAGAGTCCCTACATCCCCTGCCCCTCCCACATCTGTAATCTACCCTGCTATCAACATCCCCCACTGGAGTGGTACATGTGACCATTGCTGAACCTACATGGACACATCATTATCACCCAAAGTCCATAGTTTACATTAGGGGCCATTCTTGGTGTTGCACAGTCTATGGGTTTGGATGAATGTATACTGACATGTATCTATCATTAGAGGATTATGCAGAATAATCTCACTGTTCTAAAAATCCTCTGTGCTCCATCTATTCATCCCTTCTTCTCCCGTTTCCACCCCAACCCTTACTAACCACTCATCTTTTTACTATCTCCATTGTATTTTCTTTTCTAGAATGTCATACTGTTGGAATCATATAGTATTTAGCATTTTCATATTGGCTTTTTTCACTTAGTAATATGCATTTAAGTTTCTTCAATGTCTTTTCATGGCTTGGTAGCTTATTTCTTTTAATGCTGAATAATATGCCATTGTCTGGATATAACACAGTTTGTTTATCAGAGCATTTTTTAAAAACACAAATATGATTGTGTACCCTTTGCTTAAAATCCTTCAATAGCTTTCCTTACAATAAGATACAAATTCCTTCGCGTGTGTTTCAAAGTCTTCACAAAAATAGCTGTGCGTTCCACTCCACCTTTATCTACCCCATGGTATCAGTTCTCCATCCTTCATGAATGTCTCTCTGCTCCTCACAGTGAGAGTCTGTCCTTTGCACACACTGTTCCCCTTGCTTCAGATCCTCCCCCTCTTCTCCACATTCACTCCCTATTCTCTTCCTTTCTTTGGGGGCAACATCAGCATTTATGTAGGTGATCCGATCAATATTGGGAACTCTTTATTTCCTTGACCTTTTTAGCTCTGAAGACATTTTGCTCAACCTGACTAAGTCATCGACGATAACTGCCCCACCTCTGAAATCTAGATTTCAACCATCCTGCTCCCTGATCCCCTCCTATAGTTCCAACTCACATATTTAATGCTCCCACTCTGGTAAGTCCCAGCCTGAATGCAGCCTCTCCTTCACTGCCAGGACCCTCTTCTCATGCCCTTACTTCCCATAAAGCTCATGCCTCTCTCTTTCCTCTATGGTCCTTGCCTAGAAAAAAATCACACAGTGCTGGTTAAAGCTTGCTACCCACCAACTCTGCACCTGCTCACGGGCAGCTTCCCAGTGCTGTAGAAAACACAACCATGCCAGCAAGGCTCATTTCAAATGTAAGACCACAGATCTCAAATGGCCACCCTACACCGCAGGGTGGCCCTACCACAGTTCTCTACAAACATTCTTTTATAGCCCTCATCTTGGCCCTGCCAACCTTGACCCCATCCCCTCCTCCTGCTCTGCCTCATCTCTGTGCTTCTTTTCAAGCTGGAAAGTTCTGTATTCCCATGAGCTCCATTTCCTCATCTCCCAGTCTCTCTTCCACTGACATTTCAATGGGGCTTCTGGGACTCACTCCACTGAAATGGCTTTAACAAAGGCTTCAGTGCTCTGTCTTGTCACGGAGAGTTCCGTCCTCATCTTATTTAACCTCTCAGCAATATGGGCTAATTCTTCATTTTTTGATTATTAAAAAAAATTAAAACTGTGGTAAAATATGCATAATGTAAAATGTATCATCTAACCTTTTTAAAGTGTGCAGTTCAGTAGTGTTAAGTACATTCACACTGCTGTGCAATCAGTCTCCAGAGCTCTCTTCATCTTGGAAAACCAAAACTCTATACCCATTAAACAACAGCTCCGTCGTACCTCTGTCTCCCTGTCCCTGGTAACCACGATTCTACTTTTGGTTTCTATGAATTTGACTACTCTAGGCTCATCGTATAATACAGTATTTGTCCTATTATGACTTTTAAATTTTTTTAAACCTAAAAATTTTTTAAATACTGTATGGAATCGTACAGTAGTTGTCCTATTATGACTTTTAAATTTTATTTTACATAATATCATCAAGGTTCATTGATATCACAGCATATGTCAGAATTTCCTTCTTTTTAAGGCTGAATAAAACTCAATTTTTTTTCTGTTTGTTGATGAATACTTAGCTTACTAATACTCTTTGTGTGTGTGTGTGTGTGTGTGTGTGTGTGTGTGTGTGCTTTTTTTGAGATGGAGTCTAGCTCTGTCGCCCAGGCTGGAGTGCAGTGGCACGATCTCGGGTCACTGCAAGCTCCACCTCCCAGGTTCATGCCATTCTCCTGCCTCAGCCTCCCGAGTAGCTGGGACTACAGGCGCCCGCCACCACGCTTGGCTAATTTTTTGTATTTTTAGTAGAGACGGGGTTTCACCGTGTTAGCCAGGATGGTCTCGATCTCCTGACCTCGTGATCCGCCCACCTCGGCCTCCCAAAGTGCTGGGATTACAGGCGTGAGCCACCGTGCCCGGCCTTCTCTTTGGTTTTTGTGAATAATGCTGCTAGGAACATGGGTATACAAATAGCTCTTTGAGACGCTGTGTTCAATTATTTTGGATACATACCCAGAAGTAGTATTCCTGGATCGTATGGTAATTCTATGTTTAATTTTTTGAGGACTGCCTGTTTTGTATAGCAGTTGTACCATTTTACCTTCCTACCAAGAATATACAAGAGCTCCAGTTTTCTACATCTTTGCCAACACTAGTTTTCTGTTTTTTTGTTTGTTTTGTTTTGTTTTAACTAGTAGCCATCCTAGTGAGTGTGTAGTGATATCTTATTGGGGTTTTGATTTGCATATTCCTAATGATTTGTGTTAGTATCTTTTCATGTGCTTGTTGACCATTTGTATATCTTGTATATTTGGAGAAATATCTATTCAAGTCCTTTGCTCATTTTTTAAATCGGGTTGTTTTTCTTTGTTGTTGTTGAATTGTAGGAGCTCTTCATATAGTCTGGATAATAACCCCTTACTGGATAAATGATTTGCAAATGCTTTCTCCTGTTCCTTTGGTTGTCTTTCCACTCTTCTGATTGTGTCCTTTGATGCACAAGAGTTTTAAATTTTGATAAGTCCAATTTGTCCATTTTTTCTTTTGTTGCCTGTGCTTTCGATGTCATATCTAAGGAATCATTGCCAAATCCAATGTCCTGAAGCTTTTCTCCTGTGTTTTCTTCTATGAGTGTTTAGTTTTAGCTCTTATGTTTAGGTCTTTGAGTTAATTTTTGTAGAGCGTGTAAGGTAAGAGTCCAGTTTCATGTGTTTTCATGTGAATATCCAGTTTTCTCAGCACCACTTGTTGAAAAGACTCCGCTGCCTCGTTTGCTTGCTCCGTGGCTCCTCATGCTCCTGCTTTGACTTCAATGACTAGCCTTCATCTTTTTTTCTCATTGTTTTTTTTCCCATCTTTTTGACCTCTAAAAACTGAATCTCCATTGGCTCAGTACTTGTCTTTCTTCTCCCCCCTCCTTTCCCTTTTCTCCTCTCCTCTTTGTAAGGGATCTCATTCAATCCTGTGGTGTTAAATATGGACAATCCCCAATTATCTATCTCCGTCCCTGATGCTGGACTCTAAGCTCACACACCCACTTGTCTTGATATTTGTAGTCAGATATCTAATAGGCGTATTAAATGCACATTTATTGATTACCCCATCAAAATCTGCCAACTTGTAAGTTTCCCCATCTCCCTCTTTGCAGATCTTCCCAGATAAAGATGTATAGCAGTAAATACCTTTTTAATATAATTTTTTTCATTCAACTATACTAGTTTTGGTTTTCCAGTTATCTTCTCTTGTAGCATGCTGTTCTTTCCTAACAAAGTACTCACAATACTAGTGTATGGTAATTGTTGGTCTACAGCAATTGTTTATCTTCCTGGCTACACTATCACCTTCAGGGTACGTGTCTGCCTTGTTCAAGATTGACTTCCGAGGGCTCAACATAGTGTCTATGGTCCCTAGTAAGTAGTGTCTGCAGGGCACCTAGTAAGGGCTCAATAAATACTCATTGATTGAACCAGTGGAGTTCTGATGGAGTGTGGGGTGGCTTGGAAGGGAGGAGACCAGAGGTAGGGAGCCTCTCTAGGCAAGAGGTTATGAATACTTGAGCTGGGAAAGTAGGGGTGGAAAGGAAGAGAGAGAGAGAGAGAGTTAAGAAACATGAAAGCAGAATCCGTGAATCTGAATGTCTGGGGATGAGGGAGGGCGGGGTGTAAGATGACTCAGGACCTGTGTAGAAAGTATGCTTCAATGATGTGGCTAGGGACTTGTTAAATCATGCTCACTGTAGTTGTTTGTTCAATATTACTTGTTGAAATACTGTCAGCTAAGAACTGCATTAGGCAGTTCCTTACTTGCCTCTAGGGAATTCTCTTTTCTCCTATAACAAGTTTCCTATAGGCAGTTATTGGAATCAAGTGTGCAAATGTCAAGTGTGTAAAGGTTATGAGTTATTTGAATGTAGCAAGGGAAATTCCCTTTTCTAAAAGCTAAAGACTATTTTAAGATCCCAAAATACATCTAGTCTTTTAGGCTCAATCTTTGATCATCTGGTTTTGGAACTTGTTCTATGTTATTTAGCTTTGTTTTTTTCCTTCACAGAGGTATACACATCAACCTAAGTTCAGTGAACTCCCAGTTAAGAGAGTTCCTGATTTGAGCCCACATGATAATTCCCATTTTCATGTCAATTGTAGTAAGATTATGAGACTTATGTTTCTAATCACTAGTTTCAGCCTGTCATTTTTCCATTTTTTACACATTTATTTGACATAATAAGGGCAACATGCGGTAAAATATTCAAATAAGTGTATAAACAATCTCTCTCTAATGGATTAAAGTGGAGATGCTGCTAAAGTTGAACTCTGAGCTGGCAGTGGGCATGATAGTTTGTTGGATAATATATAGAAGATTCTCCCACCCTGAAGTCTCCTTCATGAAGTAGTTGCCTGCTATAGAGGAGTGTGAAAAAAATGGAACTCCACCCACATTTTGGGAAATTTGCAGGCAATCCTATACAACTTCATTAATTAGACTCTCTTGCCTCTATTAGATCCATTTCTTTCCACTTTCTATGCTCATTTCCTTGATAGGAACTTGTTATCGGCTGAACTGTGCCCCCTGATGAATTAATATGCTGAAGTCCTAACTCCCAGTATCTCAGATGTGACTGTGTTGGATATAGGGTCTTTAAAAAGGTAATTAAGGCCAGGTGTGGTGACTCATGCCTGTAAGCCCAGGTGTTTGAGATCACTCTGGGCAACATAGTGAGACCCTGTTTCTACAAAAAATTTTAAAAATTAGCTGAGTGTAGTGGTGCATGCCTATGGACCCAGATACTTGGGAGGCTGAGGTGGGAGGATCACTTGTGGCTAGGAGGTTGAGGCTGCAGTGAGCCATGATCGCACCACTGCACTCCAGCCTAGGTGACAGAGTGAGACCCTGTCTCAAAACAAACAAAAACAAACAAACAAACAAACAAAAAAACAAAAACAGAGGTAATTAAGGTAAAGCAAGGTCACTAGGGTGGGCCCTAATCCAATATGATTGGTGTCCTTATGAGAAGAAGAGATTAGGTCACAGACACACACAGAGGAAAATCATGTAAAAATATAGGGAGAAGATGGCCATCGACAAGCCAAGAAGAGAGGCTTCAGGAGAAGCCAACTTTGTTGACACTTTGATCATCTTGAACTTCTAGTCTCCAGAATTGTGAGAAAATGAATTTCCATTCTTTAAGCCACTCAGTCTGTGGTACTTTGCTATGGAAGCCCTAGCAAACCAATGCAGAGCTATTGGACCAAACACTCCTGGCCTTGGTGAGAACTCTAAGCAAGCTTCACAGAGCCTTCTGGGCCTTAGAGATGGGAGAGACAGTTCCCTTAGGGCCCAAGTGAGGAGCAGAGGATGTGAGTGGTTGGATGACTCATTCAGGGTCACACACTCAGGGAGAGGCCAGACTGTGGACTTGCGTTCTCTGCTTTCCACATTGACCCCTTAGGCAATTTGGACAGGTCAATTTTTTAGTCTGTTTGAGAAAATACTGTTCAGGGCCTAAAATATTGAATATGTCCATATAATCACTTGCAAACAGATGCTTATTCTTTGTTAGATTACATGATGTTCGTAAATATTTCACATGCATGGGCAAAATGAAAGTGGCCGGGAGAGAACAGTGATAGGAGAAGAAAGATTTTACAAATCTTTGCTTAGATTTCTGCCAAGATCTACAGAATACAGAAAAATTAAAAATAATATTTTCTTATTATTAAAGTAGTATATATTTATGGTGTAAAATTTGAAAGACAAAACATTTAAAGAAAGAAATGCATATCTCCCACAATCCTATCATTCAAAGATAACTACTATGAACATTTTGAATGGCTGTCCTCCCAAAATTTTATTATATGCATGTGCAAACATGCATAAACTTTATGGAAATGAAATTACACTGTACACATACTATTTCATAGCCTTTGTGCTGTTTAAAGATATTTTAAGGACCTTTCCCTAAATCATCAAATATTCTTTGCAAATACAACTTTTATGGTTATATTTTAAATGTCCATTATATATTGGACTTTGGGGACATGGGGGGGGAGGGTGGGAGGGCGGGCAAAGGATAAAAGACTATGAATAGGGTGTAGTGTATACTGCCCGGGTGATGGGTACACCAAAACCTCACAAAGCACCGCTAGAGAACTTACTCATGTAACCAAACACCACCTGTACCCCAATAACCTATGGGGGAAAAATTTTTAAAAAGTCCATTATACGAATGTGCCATACTTTATTTAATTAATATCCTAATATTGAGGCAAAAGAAGTCAATTTTCTAATCAAAAATGTGGACAAAGTTTGAGTGGAATTATGTTAAAAAATATAGTTCAGAAAAAAACATTTTTTAAAGGACATATTAATCCAAAATTAAAAAGATCCAAAAAATTAAGGATCTTTATTTATATAATTGCAATTGAAGTTGTTCTTTCTCAGTAATTATGTATTGTCAATGGTGATAGTTTAGTTTTACTGAAAGAAATTTGATCAAAATATGAATTAAATAGGGTAAAATTGATCCTTATGATTTTCTTTTTGAGACTTCTTTTCATTCAATCATTAATTGGTGGTTAATTTTATTTTTACTTTCAGTGTGTGTGCTTGAAAAGGTGTCTGTTTCATGAATTCAAATATAGGTTTCAATACCCTTTCTCCTTTATCTGCTTTGCTTTCTGAAATGACAGGGTCTGGGATATTTTTCAACATTTTCTGAAAATGCCCAGCCTATGAAACAAGTTCAAAAGGCCTAACCCTTAATCCTCGTTAAAATATGGAGGAAATAGGCAATGTTAATGTGTTTATGTTAAAATGGGTAAAACTGCAAGGTTAAAAATCTGCTACATTGCTGCAACCGTCTAGCAGTTGTCAAGGTCTTAGTATATACCAGGCACTTTGCTGTAAGCTGTTTTGTTTAATTCTCACTCTAGTCCCACGATGTAGGTAGTATTTCCTCCATTTATATGAGCAGAAACTGAGTCAAGGAGGCTAAATCAATTGTGGAGGAGTACATAGATAAACGGTGGGTTAAAGCGTGTGTTTTTTTCATTACACAGCACACAATCTTTTGATGATTAGGACAGCTACTCAAAGTTTTTGGACTCCTATAATTAAGCACTCAGTGACAAAGAGCATGTACACGTAGACCAAGTGTGATGATAAAATAATCAGACTTATTTTGTGGATGATTATGGGAATCACTCTGGTTGTTTTGTGGTCCCATACTTATATTATTATGGTACATATCCTTGGGGCTCATGGGTGTGTACATATACGCTTGTTTAAAACACTACATTGAAAGGGACGTGACGATGCCTTTGCAAACCTTTAAAATACAGCCAAAAGTTGGGAGAAAAATTCTGTGATAACAACATATCATGGCCAAAAACTTGGAAAAATGTTCAGAAAATTAGTATTTGTAAATGCAATGATTTTGCTATTTCTCATTCTTTTTTCATCCTGTTTTAACTTGCTTGGCACTGACTCTCTGGCTATGACCTTGGTTTACTTTGACTATGGTTTTGGTTATTTATTGTAACCACATTGCCTTTAGTTGTCATAGGCAAATACTCTTCCTAAGTGTTTTGGGTACATTTTTATTGATGTACAACATAAATACATAAATGCAGACAAATCGAAAAGTACATGTTTATGGGTTTTCATGAAATGGACTCTCCTGTGGAGCCACTGGCCAGATTAAGAAACAGAACATTGTTGGCATCCGAGAAACCTCCTTCTGCTCAGGCCTATTCACCATGGTCCTCCCTAAAAGTATAACTCTCCTGACTTTTATCATCCTAGAATAGTTTTGCCTGTTTTTGAGCTTACTGTAAATTGAATCATAGAATACTGTATTTTGCATTTGGTTTCATTTTCAACATTATGCTTGTGAGATTCATCCATGTTATTGTCTAGTGCATTTTGTTTATTCACTTTCATTTCTACATAGTATTCCTTTGTAGGAATATGTCACAATTTATTTTATTCATTCTCTTGTGGATAGACATTTGTGTTTTCCCCAGATTTTGACTTATGAATAGTGCCCCTAAAAACATTGTGGTATGTATATTCTGGCACAAATGTGTACATATTTCTGTTGGATAAACACCTAGGAGTGGAATGGCTGGGTCATATGGTGTGTGTATATTTAGCTTTAGTAGATACTAAAGCCAAATTAAAAAAAAAAACCTGTTGTATCAGTTTAAATTACCATAAATAATGTATGAGAGGGTTATTTGCTCTGAATCTTTGCCAACACTTGGTATTGTTAGTCTTTTTTATTGTAGCCCTTTGTTGGTTATGTAGCAGTAGCTGATTATCAGGTTTTATTTTGTGTTTCTCTAATGCTAAGGAAGTTGGGCCCCTTTTCATATGTTTATTGGCAATTGATTTTTATTTTTTGTGAAATGCCTGTTCAAATCTTCTGTTCATTTTTTATTGGGTTGTCTGTGTTTTTCTTTTTGATTATAGATGTCTCTGTGTGTGTGTGTATAATGATTTCTATACAATATATAGAAAATGCAGTGATTTCGCTATTTATTATTCCTTTTTCATCTTCACTCTTTCAACTGGATGCTTGGCACTTATTCTCTGGCTATGATCTTGGTTTACCTTGATTACGATTTTGATATACACTGTGTAGGGAGATGGGTGCCATAGTAAAACCTCACTTCCTTCCAAGCCCCAATGTGGGAAAGACCTTTTAGGTGGCCTTGCTTTTAACGGCCCTTGTGGCTCTGAGCCATATCAAGGGATAGGACTGGCCCTACCTCCTGGCCTGTTAGTCTGGACTTTGAAGCCTCATAGTCATAGAATCTATACAATACTATAAACTCAGATTTTTCAGATGACCTTGTTCAGTCCCAAACTTGGGAGTTATTTCCCTTTTTCTCTCCTCCCCAAGTTCTCACTTCTCAAGTACGACTAAGTCCTGTTGATTCTATGTCCAAAATATGCCTCCCATTGGATCACATCGCCCCACTTCCACCACTCACACCTGGATTCAGCCATATCATCTATTCCATGGGCCAATGAGCTGGCTTCCTAACTCGCCTCCAACCTCCACACTTGCCCCTCCAACCCAGACTCTTCATGGCAGCCACAGTGAACTGTTTCAAAACATAAATTTGGAACCCCTACTCAAAGTTCTTGATTCTCCCTGTTATTATTCCTCATGACCTCCATCCTTTCCTTTTAGCACTGATCGCAATTTGTAATGACATGTTTCTTTCTGTCTTTTTTGCATGTCTGTCTTCCCCACTAACCTGTAAACTCCATGAAGGCAGGGGTCAGTCTTGCTTCGCACACCAGCGCAGCTTAATAAATTGTTGGATTTGAACCTAGTGTCTAAGTCAAGGCCACATGTCAATTCTGAATCACTGTCTCAGTGCCTCTTTCAAGTGGTGGCCCAGCCTCTTTTGGATCCTTCTGAGGATGGAGCTTCTCACTATCCCCGAGGCCACCCTGTTTGTATTTAAAAGGAAGGTCACTCACCTAACTTCAGTGTTCAAAGAAGGGTTTGTTGCTTCCCTGTCAAACACAGGTAAGTGAGTTAAGATCTTATTGATCTGAGATGCAGTTGGCCCAGAGTGTAGGTCAAGGTCTTGCCTCTTGCCCAGGGTTTGGAGGACATTGCTGGTCAGAAGTGCTTTGACTTCTAGTCCAACCCCAAGGAGACAGAGGAGGAGGGAGGAGGAACTGAGTGTGCATAAGCAGAAGGAAATCTTCCCAGGGGACCGATGGCCTTGTGGAGTTGTTTTCATTGGAAAACTCTCCTCACTTAGCAGATGCGATTCCCTGCTCTCTGGCCTTAACTTCTGTCCCACCCATAGTGTTTTTAGGGACTTCTGTTCTGGGGACAGAACAAGCTTGGGGATCGATCCTGTTCCCATGCCCTGCCATTGACCTCTCTCTCTGGAACTGAAGTCCAGAGTGAAGCGAATCATGGCCTGGGGCTCGGGAACAGGCCTTGGCCAGCTCTCAATGGCCCAGCTCCTTACTTAAGCAGGGGTTATTAATACAAACTCATCAAAGGGGTAGAAGGGAGTTAGAGATCCAAATGCACTGTGGGAAGAGATAAGACTGCAGTTTGAAATTCTGGCTATATTGAGGCCATGTCCTCAGGGTTTAGCTCGTCCATTAAGTAGTAATATAACTCTGTGATGATATCAATTAATTTGATGTTTTCCCCAGTCTCCTTTGGAGAGTCTGTGCTTAGCACTGCGAGCTCACCAGCAATTTTAGATCCAGCCCAGGAAAGGTCCTCCTCTGTTCTTCCTTTGATTCTAGCCATTTGCAGCCAAGGCAAAACTTACCAGCATAGCTGAGCAAGGCCGTGGAGCCAGAGAGGGCTGAGTGCAAGCTTGAATCAGCCACTTACTGAGACCTTGAACAGTTCACTCACCTTGCAGAGCCTCAACTGCAAATGGAGACAATGCCTACATCTAGAGTCATTGTGAGGATTAAAGATATATGAAGTGTCCAGCACTGTGCTTAGGACAGACTGGGGGTGCCATATGTGATGGCTCTTTATCCAAACAAAATCTCCATTTTGGGAAAGGTGGGCCAAAGATATGTGTTCTGAATCTATTTGGTTGATCTGGGAGATGCTATATTCAATCTTGATTTCAGGGCAACGTCTGCTGAGTTGCTGTAATATTGCCAGGCTCCTTGGCATCCCTGATGGGGAGACAAAGGCAACATGTGGACAATGATTTGAGCAAAGTGCTGGAAACAGGCTCCAAGCCTGAAGCTGTTAGTAATCCATCTCGAGTTCCTTTCCACCGGTTTTCGGCATAAAGGACAATGCAAGCTTGAATAATTAGAAAACCCCACATTCCCTTCTGTATACACTAGTTTCAACCAAGTCCTCTCCTGAGCCCTTTGACCAACACTAAAAATAAAGGGAAAAAGAAATAACAAAGCCTTGAAGAGGATATGCTCATTTTTCCTGGGTAGTAGAAGTATAGATGACCATTATTTTTCTCTTATTAATTTTTCAAAAAATTTAAGTGATAACTTGTTAGCATTATTATCAGGAAAAATACTCCCGCAAACTTTCTGAACTAGAAAACTGGACAAATGAATGGAAGTGCTGCCATACCTCTGTGGAAAAGGTAAACCTACATAAAGTGGCCCAAAGCAGGGAGCAGGAGTCTGAGGCACCTCAAGGTCACCTGCACTGGATTAAAAGCTCATCGGCAATTGAGAGGGAGCTCCGAGGTGGTCTCTGTTGAAGAGTACACAGGGTCTATCGCCTCCATAATAGGTGCCCAGTAAACAATGGCTACGTTGATGTATAAATGAGGCCTCTCCTCTGAGCATCTCAGAGCATTTTGCTTTATCAATTTTCCTCAGTGTGAAAGAGCTGCTTAACTTAGGTCTCCCCGAGAGAGATACTATTTACTTTTTATTTATTTATTTGAGACAAGGTCTCACTCTGTCACCCAGTGGCATGATCACAGCTTACTGCAGCCTTGACTTCCTGGGCTCAAGCTGTCCTCCCACCTTAGCCTCCTGGGTAGCTGGGACTACACATGTATGCCACCACACCTGACTAATTTTTTCATTTTTTCTAGAGATAAGGTTTTGCCGTGTTGCCCAGGCTGGTCTCAAACTCCTGAGCTTAAGTGATGCTCCTGCCTTGGCCTCCCAAAGTGCTGGATTACAGGTGTGAGCTGTCACGCCTGGCCAGCAATACTATTTATTAAGTCAATCATTTGACAAAAATTTATTGATCTCCTAGTGCCAGGTACTGGACATGCAGTAGTGACCAAGAAGGCCATGTCCTTGCCCTTGTGGACCACACAATCTAATAGGGAAAATAGGACATGAACAAGCGAATAAAGAAACAAGCTATGTGGAGATTGTGTAAGCGTTGCAGAGGAGATTCACTGTTGATAATGGAGGCCAGTTAGGAGTTCTCACCTGAGGATGTGACTTGTAAGTTGAGACCTGAAGGAAGAATAGTAGTTAGGCAAGCAAGGGGTGGAGTGGGGATGGGGGGTGGAGGATGGGGTTGTGTTCCAGGCAGAGAGAACAACACATACAAAGATCCTGAAGTGGAAGAGAGCCTGGCTTGTTCAAGGAAGAGGAAGGAGGCAGTGTGTCTGGAGCACAGTGAACATGGAGCGTGGTTGGTAAGGTGAAGTTGGCCAGGCAGGTCTGCAGCAGGCAGATCATGCAGGGACTTGGAGGCTGTGCTTCTGAGTTTGGGTTTATTCTGACTGTAGCTGGGAGCCATCACAATGTTTTAAGAAGGGAAATAGTGTACTCTTACTTGTGTTTGATAATATTTCTCTGGTTTTTATTTGGAGAATGGATTGGAGGGAGGCAAAAGTGGAAGCAGGGAGACTGAAAGGCTATTTAACTAGAACCTTAGTGAGACAGCTTTGTACACCACTAGAATGGCAAAAACAAAAAAGGGCACAAAATCAAGCCTTGGCAAGGATGTGAACAATAGAACTACTCTATACTGTGATGAGAGTGGCAAATGATTTAACCATTTTGGAAAACTGTTTGGTAGGATCTACTAAAGATAAATATATACATCACTTTTGAACCAGAAATTCCTCTCCTGAATATATGCTCAAAAGAAATGCCTACATATGTGCACCAAGAGATGTGAAGGAAAATGTTTATAGCAGCCTATTCATAACACCTTCAAACTGGAAATGATCTAAATATTAGCAGTACAATGGATAAATAAAAGGTGGTATGTTCATCTGAAGAAGCACAATTCAGCAGAGAAAAACGGAACTATGTCTATGTGCAAACAACATGGATGAATCTCAGAAACAGAATTTTGAGTGAAAGAAGCCAGACACAAAAGAAGCCACACTACATGATTCTCTTTTTTTTTTTTTTTTTTTTTGAGACAGAGTCTAGCGCTGTTGCCCAGGCTGGAGTGCAGTGACGTGATCTTGGTTCACTGCAGCCTCCGCCTCCTGGGGTCAAGCAATTCTCCTGCCTCAGCCTCCTGAGTAGCTGGGACTACAGGCATGCGCCGCCACCATGCCCGGCTAATTTTTGTATTTTTAGTAGAGACAAGGTTTCACCATGTTGGCCAGGATGGTCTTGATCTCCTGATCTCGTGATCCACCCACTTCGGCCTCCCAAAGTGCTGGGATTACATATGTGATTCTTTTTATATAATTTTGAAATAGAGAAAATGAATCCATGGTGATAGAAACCCAGATAATGTTACCTTTGGGATGGCAGTGAGTGTCTGGGAGGCGGCATGAGAGGGCTCCTGGGATGCTGGTAATGTCCTACTTCCTGATCCACGTGATGGTTACATTTAATCTGGGTGTGTTCAGTCTATGAAAATGGATCAAGTTGTATACTTACGATTTGGGGACTTTTCTCTATGCACATGTTATGCTTCAATAAAAGATTTCCTTGGAAAACAGAGAAAGTGAGAGAGTATTGCAGTAGTTCACAGAAAAATACATTTGACTTGGGTAAAGACAATAGCAGTCGAGGCAGTCAGAAATTGTCAGATTTTGGCAGTACAGCCAATGGAGGTTATTAATGGATTACGGAGATGTTTCTGTGTGCTCGTGTGCATATGTGTCTTGTGAGCAAGAGAGGCTAAGTAGGAATGAAGATGACTCGGGTGTTTTGCTCATGTTATTAGGTGGATTATGGTGCTATTTGTGGGACATCGATTTTTGCACTAGTTTCCAATGCCTGTTGTCTAGGGACCTCAGCTCATCCCTAGTCAAGAACATCACTTTGGTAATTCTCCCTTTCCTTTTCTGCATCATTCATTTTCCCTCTAGATTGTTATCATTCCCATCAGCATGCAAACATGCTGTTATTGCTGCCACCTTAGAAAAGGTTCTCTTGACGCCTTTTATCTATCAGCTGCTACCCCATTGCTCTGCATCTGTATGCAGCAGATTATCTACAAATAGTTCTCTAAACTCTCTGTCTCCAAAATCTCCCCATTTTCTCTCAAACCTACTCTAATCCAGGTTTTGCCTTTTGTCCTCTGTATAAACTCACTAGTTAGGGTAACCAGTGACCTGAACATTACTAAGTCTAATAGTCAAGTATTAGTCCTTCTCTTACTTGACCGGTCCTAGGCATTAAACTTAGCTGACCACTCTTTCCTTCTTCACCTGGTTTCCGAGGCACTGTAATCTCTGGATTCCTCACTGACTCGCCCTGTACAGCCTCCTTAGCAGGATCTTCTAGTCCTTCCAGATCTCTGAGTATTGACTTGCCCTAGAGTTTAGTCCTTGGTCTCTTATTCTCTTTCCATGTGATTCCCTTGGTTATCTCATTCAGTATCATGGCTTTAAAAACCATCCATATGCCAGTGACTCCCACATTTATGCCTCTAGCTCAGACTCCTGTCCTGCATACCAGACTTGCATATGCAACTGCCTATTCAACATTGGATAGAGTCTAATCTATGGTTGTCTAAATGACAGCTTGACCTTAGCATGTACAAAACAGAACTTCTGCTTTGCCTCTCCAAAGCCTTTTAGTCCACATTTTTCTGTCTTAGTTTTTGGCAAGTCCATCCTTCTTTCTCAGGCCAAAAACATTGAAGTCATCCTTGATTCCTTTTTTTTTTCCTCACAACCGTGTTTGAACTGTCAGCAAATCTTGTTACCTCTTCCTTTAAATTATAATTAGAATCTCACTACTTCCAACCACCTCCACTTCTCCACCCTGATCCAAGCCACCATCATTTCTTGTCTGAATGATTGCAATCGTTTCTTAAATGGTCTATTCTTAGCCCAGCAGCCTGCTAAGTCAGATTATCTCCCTCTTGGGCTCAGAACCCTCCAATGTTTCCTCATCTCACTCAGGGAAAGTAAAAGTCCTTATAATTGTATAATCTGTCCCCTCCTCTATTACCTCTTAGACCTTGTACACAAAAATAGTGGGTAAAACACTGGAAGAGGAATTGGTGGCTACTGCCATTTACTCATTCAGTCATTCTTTCAACAAATGTTTATTGGGAGCCTGCTATGAGTGCTTTTCTAGGTGCTTAGGCTACATATACCTGTGGCAAATTAGATAAAAAGTCCCTGCATCTTAGATCTTGGATTGGATCTTACATGATTTGTTAGAAGGAAATCAGTGTCAGGGGAAAACGTAGAACAGAGGAAAAGGTGTAACAGGATGAGAGAAATCCAGAGTGCTGGGGAAGGGGATGGTGGTTTCAAATAAGGTGGCCTTGTTGAGAAAGTGACATTTGAGCAAAGACTCAAAGGAGGAGAGGGAGACAGCACTGTGGGCAGCAGTGGTAATGAGATCTTCAGGCAGTGGCCTTGTTGAGAAAGTGACATTTGAGCAAAGACTCAAAGGAGGAGAGGGAGACAGCACTGTGGGCAGCAGTGGTAATGAGATCTTCAGGCAGTGGCCATGTTGGGAGTTGAGCAATGGATGCTCTCTTCAGGGTGACGCAGGCTGCAGCTGCCTTGTAGTTCATGTTACCTACAGCCAAGAGGTGGTAGTGGTGGTCACAGTTGAGTCAAATAACTTGGGTCAAAACAATAAAATCTCTAGGTAACTTTGATGAACGTATTATTTGTTAGTGCTCTACTTCTTTTAGAATCAGACTCCCAAAGTTTATTGAGGAACAGTTTTCAACAAGAAGGTTCCTTGGTCAAATAAGTTTAGGAAATGCTCCTATCTTGGAGTTTCACAGAGTGCATCAGCATCTTTCTCTTTTTGAGATAGGGCCTTCCTCTGTCACCCAGGCCGGAGTACAGTGGTAGGATCACAGCTCACTGCATCCTTGACCTCCCAGGTTCAAGCGATCCTCCCACCTCAGCCTCCCTGGTAGCTGGGACTACAGGCATGCACCACTGCACCCAGCTAATTTTTAAATTTTTCATATAGATGAGGTCTTGCTATGTAGCCCAGGCTGGTCTCTAGTTCCTGGACTCAAGTGATCCTTCCACTTTGGCCTCCCAAAGTGCTGGGATTATAGGCATGAGCCACCGCGCCCAACCTTGCATCAGCATCTTAAAGACTCTGAGGAGTTCTGTGGTAAGAAACATGTTTTGTTCTTTAGCTCAGCATTGATTAAGCTTATTTAATTGTGGAATCCCTGCCTTTTTTTAGTAGAACTTTTAGTCAAATTCCACAGAACTATTAACTTGGGAATGCCCATGCAGACAGATTGACACCAAGCAATTTGGGAAGATTTGATTGAATTCTCCCTGGGAACAAAGTGCTTAAAGGAGTTGGAAAACAAAGCTTGTTGCTAGGGTAAGTGGGGTCCTCCGACTGGGAAATTTAGAATAATTATGAGGTTGAAAAAGGCTGGGGTTGGCTTTAGGGTCAAGTAATCATTAATCAAACATTATCCAGAGCTTTCTATCTTGTGGCATGCTATGTGCAAGAATTGGCAAATTTTGTTTCTATAAAAGAGCAAATAGTAAGCATTTTAGGTTTTATGGGCCATATAATAGCATGAGAGCCACTATAGACAATAAGTTAATAAGTGAACATGGCTGAGTTCTGCTAAAACTTTGTTTATGGACATTGAAATTTGAATTTTACATAATGTACATGTATCACAAAATATTCTAATTTAATTTTTTTCAACCATTAAATCATTCTTAGATTGCATATCCTACAAAAGCAGGTGGCAGCCCAGATTTGGCCCATGGGCTGATGTTTGTTGACTCCCGCTCTATGCTCTGTATGTACCTTGAAGGAAGCTCACAGCCTAGTGGGAGACACATGTACAGAAGACCACAGTGTGCGATGGGACAGGTTGTATTAGAGTTCAGCACAGGATGCTTGGAGCTTCCAGAGGAGGAGCTCCAAACCCATGCTGGGGTGGGGGATTTCAGTGGGTTGGGACGGAGAGCTAACACCAAAGGCTCTCTGGACTTTCTGCTTCATCCTCAGGTCCTAATTGGGCATTGTCTGAAGGTTTTGGCTGGTTGAACTCAGGAGTTTCCTTTCCAGACCAGGCATCTGTATTCCCTTAGAGTCTTTTTTCTCATGCCACTCTTTTCCTCCTGGCTCTTTGACTTGGTTCCGTGGTTGACATCTCCATTTGCCCAGAGTTTGTTTTGGGGGCTGGCAACATGCCACCCTGACTGCTGCAGCCTTCTGGAGATTGAGCACATGTTCTCTCCTTTCTGAGTCCCCAAGGCCTCTCTCCCTCAGGGGTGGGTATTTTCCTGCCCACCTAGGTCTGGGCTCCTTCAGTTTCTGATTCACACTGCAAGAACTTCTTGTGGTGGGGTGCTGGAGCTAGCTCAGACTGGCTCTTGAGACCAATTGTATGTCTCAAGACATACAATCTCTTCTCAACTCTGAGTTGAATTCAGTGAAGTCTGATTGGTAGCCTGAAATCTGCCATCGTGGGAGTATTAACACCATGGAAACTGGCAAAGTAAATCTGCAAATACTTGGGGTGCTTTTATTTTGGCTTTTTCTATTCTGGAGCACTTTTTACCAGCACAACATTCTTTGTAAACCCAGGAAAAGTTATTCTTTAAGTTATGATACAATCCTGCTCATGGATCTACAGAATGGTAGAGCTAGGAGAAATTTGATGTTACATGTCACTTTAGTTGGCTAAACTAAAAAATGCCTTAAATCTCTCCCCACCCCTGTATCTTCCTGAGAAATTCCTACCAGACCCTCCCAGTCTTTGTTGGTCCCTTTCCTCAAACCACTGAAGCATAGCAACCCTTTGTGTCACCTTCTGATTACATCTGTCTTTTTGTAAAAAAATAGAGATGGGAGGCTGGGCATGGTGGCTCACGCCTGTAATCCCAGCACTTTGGGAGGCCAAGGAGGGTGGATTTGAGGTCAGGGGTTCAAGACCATCCTGGCCAAGATGCTGAAACCCCGTCTTTACTAAAAATACAAAATTAGCCAGGTGTGGTGGCAGGCGCCTGTATTCCCAGCTACTTGGGAGGCTGAGGCAGGAAATTGCTTAAACCCAGGAGGCGGAGGTTGCAGTGAGCCAAGATTATGTCACTGCACTCCAGCCTGCGTGAGAGAGCAAGACTCCATCTCAAAAAAAAAAAAAAGAAAAAAGAAAAAAATAGAGATGGGATCTTGCTCTGTCACCCAGGCTGGAGTGCAGCGGTGTGATCATAGCTTACTGCATCCTTGAACTCCTGGGCTCAAGTGATTCTCCTGCCTCAGGCTTCTGAGTAGCTGGGACTACAGGTATGCACCACCAGGCCTGGCTAACTTCTTTTTTACGTGTGTAGAGATGGCGTCTTTCTGTGTTGCCCAAGCTCGTCTCAAACTCCTGGTCTCAAGTGATCCTCCTGCTTCGGCCTCCCAAAGTGCTGGTTTTGGGAGGCATGTAGGTCACTGTGCCTGGCTAACATGTCTGTCTTTTATTCAATTATGAGCTTTTTGAACGTGGGCCAGGAATGGCTGCTGTAGAGTAGTGATTAATTGCCAAGGCTCTAGAGCCAGGCTATCTGTGTTCAAATTCTTGTTTTATCACTTATAATCTGAGTAACCCTGAGCAAGTTACTGGATAGCTCAGTTTACTTCATCTGTAGAATTAGGGTAATAGTAGGACATTCCTTATAGAGTATAAGGACTAAATAAATTAATATACATAAAAGTTCCTAGACCACACCTTCCCCTAGTAGGCCTTCAGTGAATTCAACTATTATTACTACTCGTTTTGTCTTTAGTTCCCATCATAGCATCTGGTGCATGTCACATAGCACACATTTAATACATTTAATGTACTTATTACATGCTAATTATGTGAGCAAAAGTGCAAACAGAGGTAGAGAAGAAGTGATCTTTGTGGGCTGGATTAAGGAGATTTGAACAACTGATCGGGTTTGAAATGGGAACTTCTAGGGTTTGTAGAATGTGGATAGATAGGTGGATTAATTCAGGAAGCATTCGTAGAAAAAACCCTGCCCTGGGAAATTTATGCCAGTTGGTAAGTATAGAAACTGAATGTGAAAAATAAATCAGCATTAAGCTGATTACATCTCAAGTTAGTAGCAGACCTGCTATCAAAATTCCATCTCTCTCCTCCCCAGTGTCTGCTGAAGTTTTAGGAATATAATGGATTTTAATTAATTGAACAATTCACTTGAAGAGAAGCAGGAAGAAGTCAGGAATGTTCCTTAACTCTGGGGCATCTATTTTATGCATACTGGAGAAATTAAGATAACAGAGTAACACTCCCACAGCCACCCAAAAGTAAGGGGCATCTATTTTATGCATGCTGGAGAAATTAACATAGTAGAGTAATATTCCCACAGCCACCCAAAAGTAATTTTACAATGGTTTAGAGATTCCAACCCCTTGATTCTTCTCCTCCTACATTTATTGTCATTTTGCCTTTCATAAATTGTTCTTCCTTTTGAAACTCATCTGCGCTGTGTTTTTGTAAATCAAAGCCGGGCTAACAATGCAGGCTCTGCTCTGTGATTGTGCTTAAAGAGAGGCTGTATCACAAAAGAAATGAGGGGTCTTAATTTGTCTTTTTTAAGGACCTGCATAGTTATTGAGGTTGGTGTAATTCTCTTTGAGATTTTTGTTCTTTTGTCACTGAGCGATTGTTCTTCAGCTGATGAGAGTAGATCAGAGCAAGAGATGGGGGACTGCTGTATCACAGGGATCAGGATTGGATTGTGAGATTCACCTTCGTTCTCTCCCCATTCCAAAATTGGTGGCCTGAATCAGGACTCTGTAGTGGGTGACCTAGGTCTGTGATGCACATTTTATTTTGAGTCTCACTTTACTCCTCTGTAAACGGGGATTATGACACATACCTCCCTGTCAAGTGGTCGTGGGTTTCAGGAAGATGCAGCTCTGGTGACAATATAGGACAGAGCCCTAGGGGCTTAGTAGGTGCTCAATAAATGCTTCTTTCCTTGCTCTGCTTTTCTAAGTTTCTTTCCCTGAGAGGCTCAATGTGTTTATATGAATAGTGGAATTTTCCTTAAGCATATTTAAATTGACATGGACATATGAAAATTAACACATATGTGAAACTTTTATTTTGCTTATGTGGAAGTGTGTGTGTGTGTGTGTGTGTGTGTATGTGTGTGCCTAAGCACCTGGTGGGGGCACATGCAGTTGAAAGTGTGACAATATTCCTAGAACAATTCCTTGCATAATCCCTTTAACTCTACCTTTTTCCCCCCACTTTTAAGTTCAGGGGTACATGTGCAGGATGTGCAGGTTTGTTATATAGGTAAACGTGTGCCATGGTGGTTTGCCGCACAGATCACCCCATCATTCAGGTATGAAGCCCAGCATCTATTAGCTATTCTTCCTGATGCTCTCCCTCCTCCCACTCCTCCCACAGGCCCCAGTGTGTGTTGTTCCCCAGTTCTACCTGTTTTCCCCCCTTCCATCAATAAAGCAAATCGACTAACCAAGAGGATAGAAAACCCTTGATATTTGTTACAAGCATGATACTTAAAATTCAAAATATACAAGCAGTGGTCATTGTAAAAATATACTGCACATACAAAATGAAACACAAACCTTAGTAAACTTTACAAAATGTTATTACAAATAAGGATTTGGTGAGGCAAAAATCTGTCAGTTGGTAGTGTGGGGAACTGCTGTGTGACAAATTAATGTTCACTGAATTGGCTTCAAGTTGCCCCACCTATCCCCTCCCCAATTTGGCTGTGTCGTAGGCAGGGAAGCTTTGCTCTGTCCCTAAGACCGTGGGACTCTGGGACCTCTTTTATCCATCCCACTCATTTTTGGACTTTGAGATAAGTAATTTTTACCTATCTATGTTCAAGGGGCATAAAAACTATACAAAACAGAGGGAAAATACTTTTAGTCAACATGAAATAGGTGCAATTACACACTATCTTAAGAAAAATGTCTGTAGGAGCAATTTCACTTCAGAATCCATTTGACTTTTCAGCCTTCATACCCAGAGCGGTCGCTGTTGGGAAGAAGAAAAGTGCAGAGACCTATTGAAGACAGGGTTCCAAGCCTGCTGCTTCTGAGCTCTGTGACCTTGAGCAGATTACATAAGCTGAGTTTGTGTTTCCACCTGAAAGGTGGGAGTCACTGTAACTCCTCACAGAGTTGTGGCAAATGGCATTCTATAGCAGAGTTTGGCCTACTTTTCCCGTTTTGCCTCCCCTAGACCATGGCCCTCAGGATGCAGGAACATGTGTCAGGTGGGGATCAATCCAGGGGCCTGGGGGAGATCCCCTAACTTTCCCAGCTGGTTCTCCGGTGATGGCTTGCCCACGGCCCAATGGCTCCAGTCCCTTCTCGTGCTGGCTGGAGGGAGAAGAGTCAACAGCACCCAAGGGCACAGATGCCATCACTGGGGGAGTGTAGCAGAGCCCTTGGGAACACCAAGTCAAGGGGCAGGGGCAGGGTGGAAGGCCCGCCATGAAAGGGCTGGGCAGGGAGCGCACAGGAGCAAAAGTCAGGCAGAGGAGCTAGTGAAGTGTCCGAAAACGGTCTCCAAGCACGTGGCGCTCTGGTCATCTCCCTGCACCTCACAGATCACGTTTAGTTTCTTTACGGAAAGAGGCAGGCGTCGGGAGCAGGGAGGCTGCGGAGGACTGCAGCTCCCGGGTGACGGCGTGGAGGGCGCGGGAGAACGAGGGACATGGGTCAAATCCTCCCGCCTGCTTCCTCTGCCCTTGCAACAGCTTAAGGGAGCACGGACGTGACAATCACCACCGGTTCTTTTGAAATGATGAGAAACCAAGTCTCAATGCACCAACGCTGATTTCAGCCATTGCGGAGCGAAGATTTAAGTCCAGCCCTCCCGAACCTCAGTCCAGAGCCTGGAGTTTCCTAAGCGTTTCCAGTGCCAGAGCCCCAGCCAGGAAGTGAGCCGTGTCGCCCTTCCCGTAGAGGTCTTGGTCACACAGAAGGCCTCTGCCGTGGCTCTTTTTGTAGGTAGATACGCGGGCAAATGTAATGCATCTTAATGTCCTCGTGACCAACTCTGTCGTGATTTCTCGCTTTATTCCTGCTCACGCGCGCAGCCCTTCACCCATGTCACCGCTGGCAGACAGAGGCACCTGCGTCCTGGTGAAAAGACACCACGCTGCCCAAGAAGGCTTGTGCAGTTTTCAGAAAACTCCCCGCTCGCAGGTCCCCTTTCACTTCTTCTGGGTCCCTGGCCACCACACCCTTTTGTGTTCCTACTGCCCTTCTGTGCGTGGCGGGCACCCAGCCAGCGGTGCAGGCTGTAAGCACAGCTGTGTAGACCGCGGCGGAGGGAGAGCCGCTCCCTAGAGGGCGAGATTTGGGCAGGAAGAGCCCGTGTTTTCCCAAAATGAGGTTCCTGGTGCTTGGGCTGAGCGGTTTGGGGAATGTTTAGAGGGAGGGAACCCCTCGAAACATGGTGAGGCCATTCGGGGTTTGGAGGGATTTTATCACACTCAGAAGGGGGGTTTGGTTTGGATTCTACGTATCCACAAGTTGCCCCTAGGTGTGGGGCCCTGGCAGCTGTGGAATGTTGCTAGAGAGGTATCTCCCTGCCGAATGTCCCTCCTTGTTTATGCTTAAGGAGCACTGCAGTCATTAAAGCTTTTAAAGGAAGTTTCTTCGGAAAATTCAAGGGTTAGAACAACTTTATGAAGTGTTGTTACGCATTGGAAATAACGTGGGCAGTCTGGTGCTGGCACCAGAGCTAACTAGTTGTAATTGTTAGGGTTACCTTTTCCCCTCTCTGACCCTGTCTCTTTATGGTAAGGCATCACACCCTCCACGGACTATGTCAAATGAGATAACGTATGAAAGTGCATTAAAATGAATAAAGGGCAAAAACATGGTGACAAGGACACAATGATACCAACAGCTGATATTTACTGAGTGGTTACTGTGTGCCAGACACTGCTCTAAGCACCATTCATGTATTAAGTCACTTAGTCCTCACAACAGTCATATGAGGAAACTGAGGCAGAGCCCAAGGTCATGCAACCAATAAGAACAGTGCCAGCATTCGTCCCCAGCAGGTTGGCTGTGGAGCTTGCACTGTTCATGTCAATATTTTACTGCGTTAACATGGCTATGGGTAGGATGAAAATGACATGAGTATGGTTATGATGAAAATGACACTAATAATGTAAAAAAAAAAACTATCACTTTCTCTCATGTCTTTTTATCACTCTTATCTAAAAAAAAAAGACAATGTTATCTCCTTCAGGAAATTGTGGGCCAGGGGAGTGGGTAGAAAGGCCATCAGAAGAGGGTATCTGGAATTTTACACCCTCTCAGTAGACAAAGAGAGGCAAAGGTGGATTGAGCCTTTGAGAGGACGGGTCTCCATTTAGACCTCATATCCACTTTACTGGGGCTGGGCCTCAGTATCTTCATGTGTGTAATGGGAGTTGCTGTGAGGCCTAAATGCGATTCTGTAGGTAAAAGAGTCTGGCACAGTAGCTGGACCACGGTATAGATCCCAAAAAACATGAGTTGAGAATAAAGAAAACTACCAGAGAGGTCCACCAACTCTTCTGTTACTTCTTTCAATCTAATCATTAAACTAAGACCTAATCTTTACCCTTTTCCATTTCTTGTTCTTTCCAACATGTGGTCTTGCATTCCTGGCATACTGCACAGTTCTACTTTCCTTGTGATTTGCTTCAGTTGTCACGCATTTGGAGTCAATTCCTCAGGCGTGTGTGGAGCGCTGGCTGTGTCAGTGGCGGTGCCCTGTGCTTTGGAGGAGGGCTTCAAAACTAGAGGGAGAATAAATTAAGTCAAGAGGTGACACATGAGGAAAGAGGAAACCAAATTGCCTCTCATTCTCACAAATGCTCTTTGTTGGCTTGAGAGGCAGTGTGTTAAAAATGTGGTTTCCAAATGCATGTGCAAGAATTTATCACAATGAAAAAAGTACCTTTTGGTAACTTAAATGCCTGACAAAAGCATCTCAGCATTAAATCATTAATACTCCCACCTGCTGCCAACTATAACTGCTTTCTTTTATCATGATAATACAGACTGTCTGATTCTCTGGTAGAGTTTTTGGGCAACAGTGTAATCAACATCGGGAAAAACTTGCTTGTAATTCTGAGATTTCAGTCGTCTTGTCAATGTAGAGACTTTGTGCTTTCCCCACACATGAAGACTTTGTAATTCATGATCATTATTTAGAACTTCAGTCTCATGCAAGTCTGTGATCTATTTATTTTGGCATCAGCTTGCCGTGTATGGTGATTATGCCAAATATTTTCTAATAAAGTACCGATATACAAGGTATCGCATGCTGGTGGTATGGTAGCAGGAGTTTTTCACTGGTCCTGGTATGATATGGAAGAATGAAGACCCTTTTGCAAAGAGGAGCATGGAGTCTTTAGACGGCAGATGTGCGTTCTTGTTTATTCTATCGTTGGTAAACATGGACCATCTCATACTGATGTATGGAGAATAGTTACAGTGCATTCCTGACTTAGAAAGTTGACATGTAATTTCCAGGTTTCTTCTTAAACTACCACCAGAAATAGAATATTCATGTATTCATTCATTCAACAAGTATTTACTAACCACCTACTTGATGCTAGGCTTTGTTCTAGGTGTTTGGGATACATCAATGGTCAAAACGGACACAGCCCTCATGAGGTTTACAGTCTAGTGAGAATATCAGATTGGATGATTCATTGATCTGGCTTAGGACAATTTAGTTTAATATTTATCTTAAATTATAAAACATATATATATTTTTTGAGATGGAGTTTTCGCTCTTGTTGCCCAGGCTGGAGTGCAATGGCACGATCTTGGCTCACCACAACTTTGGCCTCCTGGGTTCAAGCAATTCTCCCACCTTAGCCTCCCGAGCACCTGGGATTACAGATATGCACCACCATGCCCGGCTAATTTTGTATTTTTAGTAGAGACAGGGTTTCTCCATGTTGGTTAGGCTGGTCTCGAACACCCAACCTCAGGTGATCCACCCACCTCGGCCTCCCAAAGTGCTGGGATTACAGGCGTGAGCCACCACGCCGGCCAAAATATTTTAAACAAAGAAAAGTACAGGAAGTAATTTAGACATCTATGTCTGTTTTGATAGCTGACTTTAAAAATGTTTATTTTTCTATTTTCTAATTATGAGCATGCTAGAAAATTTGGAGGATACATATAAGAAGAAACTAAATTATAACCAATGTTCCTGGGTAGGAAGCCTCCAGGGTGCAGTCAGGATATGTTCATAAGAACAAACTTGAACTTGCTGGCTTTGGGAAACCAAGTAACCTATAATCCCAGCACTGGAATATAATCACTGTTGCATTTTGATGTGTTTCCTTCCTTCCTGTCTGCTGTCTTCCTCCTTTCCTCTCTACCTTCCTTCCTTTCAATTTGCAATTTCTTTTTAATTCACAATTTAAATATTTTTTAAGCACCAAGCAGGCAAAAATCACCCCAAAACAAAAAGCCACATCCCTGGGCTGCATTTGATCCCAGGGAAGCCAGTTTGCAACATCTGATTTAAACTTTTTGTCCTTGGCTATTCTGTCACTCACTGGGCTGTTCTTGCTCACCTTCCTGTCTTTCTTTAGTGTATTTTCTTTTTGACATAGTTGAGACTCTATTGCATCCTACTTTGTGTTTGCTCTTTTTCCTTAACATTTTGTTCTGTGACATTTTCTTCAGAACTCCAGCATCCTTATCATTGTCATCATTGTCAGAAGCCACATCCGAGATATAAAAGTGGGGTGTGTGTGTGAATGTCTGTGTATGTGTCTGTGTGTGTAGCTGTATCTGTGGCGATGCATGTTTGCTGGTGATAAGGAACATATTTATTGTCCAATTTGAGGTGAATAAGCTGGAAAAAAGTTCTAGATGAATTTAGCCACCAGTGAACAACAGATGGAGGAGCATGTCTCTATTATAGGTCATTTCAGCAAATAGCTGGATCTACTCTGTAGGTCTGTGTTCCCTTTTGGGCTGCCTGTCTATTCTTTCTGGTTTCAGCGTTCTTGGTGCTCTCGGTAATTCTGTTGCCAAGGATGCCACTGAGAAGAGTTACCTTCTCCAGGGATTTAAGAACCACAGTAAGAAAACCTAACTCTATAATTCCATTCTTTGTTACTGAGGGCTTGAAATGAGATGCATGAATACTAAGCACAGAGCTTAACCCATGATGGCCTGACTAAGGCTGGATCCCCTAAGAAACCACATTCCCTTCCTCATGTGTGAGTGCAAGTCCATGCCAGCTCTACCTGTAACCAGTTATCCATCTGGGACTTATCGCTGTGCAAGTGGTAACCTGGGATGCTCTGTATTTGTTTTAATTGCATGTTCCCCAAATCCTCATCAGGAGTCTTTGATGTGACAAAGTTTGCTGGCCTGCTAAATATTAGTGACCAAATTTTTCTCTGCTATTCCCTTTGTCTCTTAATGAACTAGAATTTTTGTATTTCTGGGTACAGTATTTATGTTTTCTAGTTAGTGAAAGAAAAAAAATCATGTTACAAGATAATGCAATTTTCACCTCCTCAGTAAATTATATTTTTGTCTTGCTTTCTAATGCCAGAGCTGTAATATAGTATTAAAATTGTTGATATATTTAAACCTTCTGTAAGTGATAACAACAATAAGCCACATAAAAAGAGCCTTTCTGGGGAAAGTGGGCCCACTTTATTTATTTTATTTATTTATTTATTTTTTTCATTTCTCATTTACTTTTATTGGCTTAGTAGTAACTAATTCTACATCAAAGACAAAAACACTGAGGATACAAAATAGCAGCTACTTAGGAATGTTTTTGGTTTCACATTTGGGTACCTAGCATCTTTTATTTTATTTTATTTTATTATTATTATACTTTAAGTTTTAGGGTACATGTGCACAATGTTCAGGTTTGTTACATACATATACATGTGCCATGTTGGTGTGCTGCACCCATTAACTCATCATTTAGCATTAGGTATATCTCCTAATGCTACCCCTCCCCCCTCCCCCCCACCTCATGACAGTCCCCAGAGTGTGATGTTCCCCTTCCTGTGTCCATGTGTTCTCATGGTTCAATTCCCACCTATGAGTGAGAACATGCGGTGTTTGGTTTTTTGTCCTTGCGATAGTTTGCTGAGAATGATGGTTTCCAGTTTCATCCGTGTCCCCACAAAGGACATGAACTCATCCTTTTTTATGGCTGCATAGTATTCCATGGTGTATATGTGCCATATTTTCTTAATCCAGTCTATCGTTGTTGGACATTTGGGTTGGTTCCAAGTCTTTGCTATTGTGAATAGTGCTGCAATAAACATACGTGTGCATGTGTCTTTATAGCAGCATGATTTATAATCCTTTGGGTATATACCCAGTAATGGGATGGCTGAGTCAAATGGTATTTCTAGTTCTAGATCCCTGAGGAATTGCCACACTGACTTCCACATGGTTGAACTAGTTTACAGTCCCACCAACAGTGTAAAAGTGTTCCTATTTCTCCACATCCTCTCCAGCACCTGTTGTTTCCTGACTTTTTAATGATCGCAATTCTAATTGGTGTGAGATGGTATCTCATTGTGGTTTTGATTTGCATTTCTCTGATGGCCAGTGAAGATGAGCATTTTTTCATGTGTTTTTTGGCTGCATAAATGTCTTCTTTTGAGGAGTGTCTATTCATATCCTTCGCCCACTTTTTGATGGGGTTGTTTGTTTTTTTCTTGTAAATTTGTTTGAGTTCATTGTAGATTCTGGATATTAGCCCTTTGTCAGATGAGTAGGTTGGGAAAATTTTCTCCCATTTTGTAGGTTGCCTGTTCACCTGATAGAAGTTTCTTTTACTGTGCAGAAGCTCTTTAGTTTAATTAGATCCCATTTGTCAATTTTGGCTTTTGTTGCCATTGCTTTTGGTGTTTTAGACATGAAGTCCTTGCCTATGCCTATGTCCTGAATGGTATTGCCTAGGTTTTCTTCTAGGGTTTTTATGGTTTTAGGTCTAACATGTAAGTCTTTAATCCATTTTGAATTAATTTTTGTGTAAGGTGTAAGGAAGGGATCAAGTTTCAGCTTTCTACACATGGCTAGCCAGTTTTCCCAGCACCATTTATTAAATAGGGAATCCTTTCCCCATTTCTTGTTTTTGTCAGGTTTGTCAAAGACCAGATGGTTGTAGATATGCATCATTTTTTGAGGGCTCTGTTCTGTTCCATTGATCTATATCTCTGTTTTGGTACCAGTACCATGCTGTTTTGGTTACTGTAGCCTTGTAGTATAGTTTGAAGTCAGGTAGCGTGATGCCTCTGGCTTTGTTCTTTTGGTTTAGGATTGACTTGGCGATGCGGGCTCTTTTTTGGTTCCATATGAACTTTAAAGTAGTTTTTTCCAATTCTGTGAAGAAAGTCATTGGTAGCTTGATGGGGATGGCATTGAATCTATAAATTACCTTGGGCAGTATGGCCATTTTCACGATATTGATTCTTCCTACCCATGAGCATGGAATGTTCTTCCATTTGTTTGTATCCTCTTTTATTTCCTTGAGCAGTGGTTTGTAGTTCTTGTTGAAGAGGTCTTTCACATCCCTTGTAAGTTGGATTGCTAGGTATTTTATTCTCTTTGAAGCAATTGTAAATGGGAGTTCACTCATGATTTGGCTCTCTGTTTGTCTGTTATTGGTGTATAAGAATGCTTGTGATTTTTGTACATTGATTTTGTATCCTGAGACTTTGCTGAAGTTGCTTATCAGCTTAAGGAGATTTTGGGCTGAGATAATGGGGTTTTCTAGATATACAATCATGTCATCTGCAAACAGGGACAATTTGACTTCCTCTTTTCCTAATTGAATACCCTTTATTTCCTTCTCCTGCCTAATTGCCCTGGCCAGAACTTCCAACACTATGTTGAATAGGAGTGGCGAGAGAGGGCATGCCTGTCTTGTGCCAGTTTTAAAAGGGAATGCTTCCAGTTTTTGCCCATTCAGTATGATATTGGCTGTGGGTTTATCATAGATAGCTCTTATTATTTTGAGATACGTCCCATCAATACCTAATTTATTGAGAGTTTTTAGCATGAAGGGTTGTTGAATTTTGTCAAAGGCCTTTTCTGCATCTATTGAGATAATCATGTGGTTTTTATCTTTGGTTCTGTTTATATGCTGGATTACATTTATTGATTTGCGTATATTGAACCAGCCTTGCATCCCAGGGATGAAGCCCACTTGATCATGGTGGATAAGCTTTTTGATGTGCTGCTGGATTTGGTTTGCCAGTGTTTTATTGAGGATTTTTGCATCAATGTTCATCAAGGATATTGGTCTAAAATTCTCTTTTTTGGTTGTGTCTCTACCTGGCTTTGGTATCAGGATGATGCTGGCCTCAGAAAATTAGTTAGGGAGGATTCCCTCGTTTTCTGTTGATTGGAATAGTTTCAGAAGGAATGGTACCAGCTCCTCCTTGTACCTCTGGTAGAATTCGGCTGTGAATCCGTCTGGTCCTGGACTTTTTTTTGGTTGGTAAGCTATTGATTATTGCCACAATTTCAGAGCCTGTTATTCATCTATTCAGAGATTCAACTTCTTCCTGGTTTAGTCTTGGGAGGGTGTATGTGTTGAGGAATTTATCCATTTCTTCTAGATTTTCTAGTTTATTTGCATAGAGGTGTTTGTAGTATTCTCTGATGGTAGTTTGTATTTCTGTGGGATCGGTGGTGATATCTTCTTTATCATTTTTTATTGCGTCTATTTGATTCTTCTCTCTTTTCTTCTTTATTAATCTTGCTAGCGGTCTATCAATTTTGTTGATCTTTTCAAAAAAGCAGCTCCTGGATTCATTAATTTTTTGAAGGGTTTTTTGTGTCTCTATTTCCTTCAGTTCTGCTCTAATTTTAGTTATTTCTTGCCTTCTGCTAGCTTTTGAATATGTTTGCTCTTGCTTTTCTAGTTCTTTTAATTGTGATGTTAGGGTGTCAATTTTGGATCTTTCCTGCTTTCTCTTGTGGGCATTTAGTGCTATAAATTTCCCTCTACACACTGCTTTGAATGCGTCCCAGAGATTCTGGTATGTTGTGTCTTTGTTCTCGTTGGTTTCAAAGAACATCTTTATTTCTGCCTTCATTTCATTATGTACCCAGTAGTCATTCAGGAGCAGGTTGTTCAGTTTCCATGTAGTTGAGCAGTTTTGAGTGAGTTTCTTAGTCCTCAGTTCTAGTTTGATTGCACTGTGGTCTGAGAGACAGTTTGTTATAATTTCTGTTCTTTTACATTTGCTGAGGAGAGCTTTACTTCCAAGTATGTGGTCAATTTTGGAATAGATGTGGTGTAGTGCTGAAAAAAATGTATATTCTGTTGATTTGGGGTAGAGAGTTCTGTAGATGTCTACCAGGTCTGCTTGGTGGCAGAGCTGAGGTCATTTCTTGGGTATCCTTGCTAACTTTCTGTCTCATTGATCGGTCTAATGTTGACAGTGGGGTGTTAAAGTCTCCCATTATTAATGTGTGGGAGTCTAAGTCTCTTTGTAGGTCACTCAGGACTTGCTTTATGAATCTGGGTGCTCCTGTATTGGGTGCATATATATTTAGGATAGTTAGCTCTTCTTGTTGAATTGATCCCTTTACCATTATGTAATGGCCTTCTTTGTCTCTTTTGATCTTTGTTGGTTTGAAGTCTGTTTTATCAGAGACTAGGATTGCAACCCCTGCCTTTTTTTGTTTTCCATTTGCTTGGTAGATCTTCCTCCATCCTTTTATTTTGAGCCTATGTGTGTCTCTGCACATGACATGGGTTTCCTGAATACAGCACACTGATGGGTCTTAACTCTTTATCCAATTTGCCAGTCTGTATCTTTTAAATTGGAGCATTTAGTCCATTTACATTTAAAGTTAACATTGTTATGTGTGTATTTGGTCCTGTCATTATGATGTTAGCTGGTTATTTTGCTTGTTAGTTGATCCAGTTTCTTCCTAGCCTTGATGGTCTTTACATTTTGGCATGTTTTTTCAGTGGTTGGTACCAGTTTTTCCTTTCCATGTTTAGTGCTTCCTTCAGGAGCTCTTTTAGGGCAGGCCTGGTGGTGACAAAATCTCTCAGCATTTGCTTGTCTGTAAAGTATTTTATTTCTCCTTCACTTATGAAGCTTAGTTTGGCTGGATATGAAATTCTGGGTTGGAAATTCTTTTCTATAAGAATGTTGAATATTGGCCCCCACTCCCTTCTGGCTTGTAGAGTTTCTGCTGAGAGATCCACTGTTAGTCTGATGGGCTTCCCTTTGAGGGTAACCCGACCTTTCTCTCTGGCTGCCCTTAACATTTTTTCCTTCATTTCAACTTTGGTGAATCTGACAATTATGTGTCTTGGAGTTGCTCTTCTTGAGGAGTATCTTTGTGGCTTTCTCTGTATTTCCTGAGTCTGAATGTTGGCCTGCCTTGCTGGACTGGGGAAGTTCTCCTGGATAATATCCTGCAGAGTGTTTTCCAACTTGGTTCCATTCTCTCTGTCACTTTCAGGTACACCAATCAGACGTAGGTTTAGTCTTTTCACATAGTCCCATATTTCTTGGAGGCTTTGTTTGTTTCTTTTTATTCTTTTTTCTCTAAACTTCCCTTCTTGCTTCATTTCATTCATTTCGTCTTCCATCACTGATATCCTTTCTTCCAGTTGATTGCATTGGCTCCTGAGGCTTCTGCATTCTTCACATAGTTCTTGAGCCTTGGCTTTCAGCTCCATCAGCTCCTTTAAGGACTTCTCTGCATTGGTTATTCTAGTTATCCATTCATCTAATTTTTTTTCACAGTTTTTAACTTCTTTGCCATTGGTTTGAGTTTCCTCCTGTAGCTCGGAGTAGTTTGATCATCTGAAGCCTTCTTCTCTCAACTCGTCAAAGTCATTCTCCGTCCAGGTTTGTTCAGTTGCTGGTGAGGAACTGTGTTCCTTTGGAGGAGGAGAGGCACTCTGCTTTTTAGAGTTTCCAGTTTTTCTGCTCTGTTTTTTCCCCATCTTTGTGGTTTTACCTACTTTTGGTCTTTGATGATGGTGACGTACAGAAGGGTTTTTGATGTGGATGTCCTTTCTGTTTGTTAGTTTTCCTTCTAACAGACAGGACCCTCAGCTGCAGGTCTGTTGGAGTTTGCTAGGGGTCCACTCCAGACCCTGTTTGCCTGGGTATCAGCAGCGGTGGCTGCAGAACAGCAGTGGCTGTAGAACAGCGGATCTTGGTGAACCGCAAATGCTGCTGCCTGATTGTTCCTCTGGAAGTTTTGTCTCAGAGGAGTACCCAGCCGTGTGAGGTGTCAGTCTGCCACTACTGGGGGGTGCCTCCCAGTTAGGCTGCTCAGGGGTCAAGGACCCACTTGAGGAGGCTGTCTGCCCGTTCTCAGATCTCCAGCTGCGTGCTGGGAGAACCACTACTCTCTTCAAAGCTGTCAGACAGGGACATTTAAGTCTGCAGAGGTTACTGCTGTCTTTTTGTTTGTCTGTGCCCTGCCCCCAGAGGTGGAGCCTACAGAGGCAGGCAGGCCTCCTTGAGCTGTGGTGGGCTCCACCCAGTTTGAGCTTCCCGGCTGCTTTGTTTACCTAATCAAGCCTGGGCAATGGCAGGCGCCCCTCCCCCAGCCTTGCTGCCACCTTGCAGTTTGATCTCAGACTGTTGCTGTGCTAGCAATCAGCGAGACTCCGTGGGCGTTGGACCCTCTGAGCCATGTGCGGGATATAATCTCCTGGTGTGCCATCTTTTAAGCCCATTGGAAAAGTGCAGTATTAGGGTGGGAGTGACCGGATTTTCCAGGTGCCATCTGTCACCCCATTCTTTGACTAGGAAAGGGAACTCCCCGACCCCTTGCACTTCCCAAGTGAGACAATGCCTCGCCCTGCTTCGGCTCACGCACAGTGCGCTGCACCCACTGTCCTGCACCCACTATCTGGCACTCCCTAGTGAGATGAACCCGGTACCTCAGATGGAATGCAGAAATCACCCGTCTTCTGTGTCGCTTATGCTGGGAGTTGTAGACTGGAGCTGTTCCTATTCGGCCATCTTGGCTCCACCTCGGGCCCGCTTTATAAAATTTACATCACAGTGGTAGGCTCAGGTGCTTTGATCGTGTGAACCTGGGCTTAATAAGGTAGAAAGGTTCCAACTCTGATGTGGCGACAGATCATGACCTCAGTCCTGGGCATGCAGCAGGGTTTAACCATGTCTCCATCTAGTAAGTTGGTGGTCAGATTGAGTGAAAACAGTGGAGAGGATAGGGTTTCAAAGTATCTGTGTTTACCAAACCTTCTTTTCTTTCCTAACTTCATTTCCCAGATGTCACCCACCCCTTGCAGTTTAGTGGGGCCATATGACTAATTTCTGGCTAACAGAATGTGGGAGGAAGGGATGTGTGTTTATTCCATGCCTGGTTTCTGAAATTCTTCACAGTCTTCCACCTTTTTTCTCTTCCTCCCCTGGCCAGCTAGATGCAGAGGATACAGAGAAGGATTCTGAGGGTCTAGGTGCTGATGAAGCTATGAGATGAGAGCCAGCTTAGTCCCTGAATAACTCCATAGGCCAAAACTCCACATCCTGCTCCCCACAACCTATATTGGGCTTCGTAATGAGCAAGAAAAAAAAAATCTTTATTGTGGTGTTAGGTCACTGAGAATTTGGATATTTGTTACAGATGCAAACTATCTGCACATAGTAGGTGTACAATAAATGACTAAGTGCTGTTTTTCTTGATCCTGGGAAGCACAGAAGGTCTGAATCCTCTCCAGGAAGTCAGAGGTGAGAAGAGTTGATAGAGCATGTCAAAGCCAAACCCTTGAGAGAGTCCGGAATCAGATTGGGAAACCAGATGCATTTCTAATGGCAATTTGACACTGGCTCCTGATGTTTCTTAGAGGATTAAGCCCCAGGTGCTCACAGGTAGCTTTATTGGTTGCTTTCCCTTCTCTGACTAACTTCCCCACTCCCTTTCTGATACTTCCTAAGTCCTCTTGTATGTGTTTTATGCTTCCCACTCCTTACAGGAGAAGGTCCAAACTTCCCTATGTTCCCCAGTTTCCCCCAAGATTCTGTAGGGCCTGATGAGCCAAGGTAAGGGGTTTTTACTTTATTCTAAGTATCAATTTTTCTACAGCGACAGGGAGTCACTGAAGTATTTTAGGCAAAGGAAAGACATGACTACATTTTTATTTAAAAAGATCTCTTTGGCTCCTGGATAGACAATGGCTTGGAGCAAGAATGCAAGCTGGCTGTGGAGGTGAGAGGCTGTTGTGATAATTCATGTGAGAGACAGTGGGAGCCTGGACTAAGGTGGGGTCGTGTGTGGATAGGACCAGACAGATGCCAGATATATTGAGGGAACATTTCTGTGTGGACTTAGTGACTGTTTAGATGAAAAAGACAGAGGGAAGAGTAATGACTCACAGGCTCCCCAATTTGGTTGTGGAGCAGTAGGGAGGACCATTTCCAGAGATGGCACTATTGGATTGGAAGAGTGAGGCTTTGATAATATTCTGGAAGTATTATGACCAGGAACCCAATTTACGGTATTAGCCCGTTTTCATGCTGCTGATAAAGACATACCCAAGACTGAGTAATTTATAAAGAAAAAGAGGTTTAACGGACACACATTTCCACATGGCTGGGGAGGCCTCACAACCACGGTGGAAGGTGAAAGGCACGTCTTACATGGTGGCAGACAAGAGAGAATGAAGGATCAAGTGAAAGGGGTTTCCCTTTCTAAAACCATCAGATCTCGTGAGACTTATTCACTACCATGAGAACAGTGTGGGGGAAACCGCCCCTATGATTCAATTATCTCCCACCAGGTTCCTTCCACAACACGTGGGAATCATAGGAGCTACAATTCAAGATGAGATTTGGGTGGAGACATAGCCAAATCATATAAATGCCTGACCGAGGGACTGAGCGGGAGCAGCATTCAGCCCAGGCCCTGCTCACTGAGCTCTGTTTGTCCTGGCATGGGGCTGCTTCCACCTTGGAGAAGGGTACCCTTTCCTAACTCTCACAGAGGTGCCATATGGGCTCTGCCCAGGAGAGACTCTTGCCCTAGTGAGTTGGGCCCAAGGAATGCCTGAAACTCTAACGAGTCAGATGAGAAATGCTCCTTCTACAGGGACAGCTGGAAAGAGGGTGGTAAAGGCTAGCCTGGCTTGACAAGTGTGTAGAAGCTTTGTCTGGCTCCCCTAACACCCCAAGGGAAACTCTGGAGGAAGGATAGGAAGAGGAAGATTTCAGATTTGGATGAGTCAAGGCCAAGGTGACTGTAAGACCTACTGAAGAAAAAAAGATCACTATACTTGTTGCTTAGTGATCTGGGCTAGAAATAAATATTTTAGAGTCATTAACAGAGCTGGGAAGAGCAAAGAGGATTGCTCAGGAAAGAGGGAATGGAATGAGAAGGTAAGTTTCCCTGGTTAACAACAACAGAAAAGGCATTGGCTGCAGAGGTAGCAGGAAAACCAGGAGGAAGCTGTGCCCTGGATGCCCAGGGAACAGAAGACATCCTAGCTGATGCAGCAGGTTCACAAGACAATATGCATTATGAGGACCACAATGCATCTGCTGAATGAAGTGAAGCATAGCTGACAGAAGTATCATGGAATGGGGAGGGTGATGGAGGCTGGGTCTTATGAATGGAAGAGTGATTGAGCAGGCGCTGTGCAAGCCCCAGACTCTAGCTCTCAGAAAGCCCATGAGTTTCTGCAGCTCACCTGAGTGATGGAGACCTAGAACGTCCGGTCTCATTGCTCACAGGGTGATACTTTTGGGCCTTAGGCCCAGGGTTGAGTGAGCTCTAACCCTGTTCCTCTTGCCCCTGATTATGGATTAACTTAAGCACTCTGTAGAAAACAGAAGCGCAAAAGGGACCTAGTATGCTAGTGATGACGACGATGTTAAAAATAATAACATTGTCATGTTATAATAATATATATGACATAATAATAATAAGTAAAATTGAATGTTTACTATGGGTTGAGTCCAGGGTAAGTCTTTTACATACATTATTATAACTCACACATTTCTTATGAGATAGGTATTTTATGTCCATTTTACAAAAGAAAAAACTAAGACTCAGAGAGGCTAAGTCATTTTTCTAAGATCACACAGCTAGCAAGTAGAGGAGCTTTTTGTTTCATTTTATTAATTTTAAAAGTTATTAACCTATTTGCCGTGGAGCCGTGTTTTGAGGAAACAAAAAGAGGAGCTTTTTGTTTCATTTTATTAATTTTAAAAGTTATTAACCTATTTGCTATGGAGCCATGTTTTGAACTTGCTCTAAAGCTCATCACAGAGAAAGACAGAGGATGAGTGGAGAGAGGGAATGGCTAATGGGGCTGGCTGTCCTACCCCAATCCCATCATCTCCTGGCCACACAGCCTTGCATTATACATCTTTGTTTACTTTTTAATTCATAAATGTTTTAGCGAAGGCTTACTCTGTGCCAGGGCCGAGGATGGAAGACCCATCTCTGCTACCCGCAGACCATATCCTCATGAGGAGATGGGCAGGCAAACAGGCAGTATGAGTGCAGTGTGATGATTTTATGATGGGGACACAGAATGGGATCCAGGGGAGGCTTCAAGTCGGGTGGTTACCTCCCCTGAGGAATGTCAGGCAGAAAATGCTTTCTGGAGGACCCGGGAGATTAGCAGATACCTGAATGGTGAGGAGGGAGGTCTCTAGGCAAACCTGGTTGGCTGAGGGGAAAGACAATTCCAGGCTTGGTAGTCTGGATTAAGAAAAAGAAATTAAAAATAGTTGTTCTGGTCTCCCTCACCCCCACTGCAGAAAGTTTCCACTTATAACTCCTAACTTCAAAGGCTATGATAAAATTCTCCCCAAACTCTTAATGCAAAACAAGAATTTAATTTACTGTAATTTGCTACATTATGTTATGGGGAGATCTTTGGGGGCCCTTAGCTATTATTTTCTGAGACACTAAAGGCAGGTACTTAAGGATAGTCACTTTCACAGATGCATGAATAATATGTAAACTCAAAAAAAGTTGAATGAACAGGGAGCCAAAGAAAAAAATTGCCCCTTTGTGGAAATAGAATTTGGTAACCTCCATCAGGGCCTTCTGGGTACGTTTTTGGCACCTTTTTTGGGCCCTCAAGTATGTAAGCACACACTTTTTATCTTCCCCGTTTAATTAGATTATCTCTGCCATTCCTGGGTCTAATTTATTTGAGAAACAAAAAAATGGACTATAGGGAAGCAATAAGGTAGAAGTAAAATGAAACAGAGGAGGGTACTGGTGACAGCTGAAGAGGAACTGCATCCAGAAACACAGACTTTCTGTGACTGTTTTCTCATTCTGACACCCAGTTCCAGGGACTGTTCTAAGACTTACTCTTCCTGTAAAAATTCTAAAAGGCAGGGACTGTTTCTTGGTTAGCACAATGCCTAGTATATAGTTGGCACTCAGTAAATGTTAGTTTAATTCCTTCTTTTCTCTCTTCATTTCTTCGTCCTCTGCTTCCCTTCTTGAAGGGAGTCTGTTTGGTAGATTAGCTAGAACTCTTGGTTTCAAGCAATAGCAACTCACATTGGATCACTCACAAAAGGGACTACTGTATAGTATAAGGGTAGTAGGGTATCTTATGGAATTTGGGAGGAGCTGATTTTCAGATACCAGCTGGAACTGGACCTGGAATGAACTGGGACTTTTTCTTTACCTCTCACAATTCCTATTCCCAGAAATGGTATTCATTAGCCCAGTTTGGGTTCTATCAATTACAGCCAAAGGAGCAAGGTTGCAGTTCAGAAACTTCATTGCCTGCAGCCAATGATTATATGAATGGGAAGAGGCCCTTTCTAGAATTTGGAATGGTTGTTAGACAGCTGGATAGGTGTCCATGAGGTGTGTGCACGATGCTCTTATTGGGGCAACTTGGGCCTACAATTCTTGGACTATTGGCTGTTGGGAGAATCCAAATAGTAGGTAGCTTCCTACCTGAGAATGGTTGAAATGCATTAGTGAGATGTTGAGGAGCTGTCTTCTCTCTAGCATGAAAAATAAAAAGATGTTTTCTTAGAAACTATACTTTTTGATACATTCTATATATGTTGTCTTATATTTTTCTAGAACTTTAAAAGTGAAAAACCAATGAGCAACAAGAACTTGCCATTAATATCCTTTCTCTTATATAGAGACATGTAGTAGAATCCACCATCAGATCCACAGAGCAAATCAAAAGACTTGATATTAGCACTAGAGTCAGAGGAGCATCCTGCCAGATTCTTTTTTATATTGTGTCATATACTGTTGTTATATTTGAAGGACATTATTTAATCCTATGAACTGATGTAGGTAATGAGTTCAGCTCCTCCTCTACTTCCTTGCAGTGAAGTCAGGATCACACATTACTTCTTGGAAGAAATTAATCTTAACCTAATTAGTCTTAGCTATTGACTGGATCAAACAATTATTAGGGATCTTCTTCCCTCCTTGTTTCCCTTGTTTGTTAGAATGCACTCTGAGTCCTTCCTTGTTAGAATCCATTCCAGTAGTTAAAAAAGATAAATTTCTTTCCAAACCCAAATGTTAAAGTAAATATAATAAAACTAGAAGTTACCCAAACCCTGACAGATGTAAAGTATGCTTACTATAATTTTAGGAGTCAATAAGCATTTTATGTAAAGGGCCAGATAGTAAATATTTTTGGCTTTGCAGGCCATATGGTCCCAGGCACAGCTACTGAACAATGGCTTTGTAGTGTGAAAGCAGCCAGAAAGAATATGGAAATAAATGAGCATAGCTATGTTCCAATGAAACTTTACTTGTGGATACTAAAATTCAAGTTTCATGTAGTTTTAATGTGTCACAGAATATTATTCTTCTTTTCATCTTTATCAATCACTTAAAAATATAAAAGCTGTTTTTAGCTTGCAGACGCCACAAAAACAGGTGATGGGCCAGATTTCATCTGCAGACATTAATTTGTCAAATCCTGCTCCAACTACCAAAGCAGATGATTGACACATCTGCTTGTCTGTCTTGGTTTAGTTTTCTTACTTCCCAGGCTTTCTTGAGTGAGCGATTCTGAAAGAGCAAACAAAAGCCGTGCTTCTTTTGAGCTCAGTCTTGAACTCATTTTTTCTTGACTTATGTAATGTTAGCATTCAACTTCACTTGGTTTGGTGTGAGAATCCAAAGGCTGAAAAGGCTGCTTTAAGAGTTTGCACTTGAAGCAGTGCGTTTTAGTAGTTCTGTAGGTGTACAGTGTCTAAAACCAGGGAGAGAGATAATGATTCTGGGGAGAAGCAGTTTAAAAACAGTTCTAATTATTCAGACAAGTTATTTTTACCAGACTTTAGGGGACAGAGAAGTGATTGCATTTTTATTATTTTCATAGGTTATATTTCAGAAAGCTTTTCTGTTAAGATGATTAAATACCAAGTTTTAATTTCACTCACTTACGCAAGGAAAAATTTCCATTGCAATAGACTTTTTCTTTTTTCTTTTTTTTGATAATTTACTACAGGAGACTCAGGGCTTTCAGGTTCCTCAGCTGAGGACTTATTTTGGCACAAAAAAGACATGTGCTTCACTTAAAAGCTTGGGAAGATGGGAGAAATACAGGGAAAGGGGAACTATAAGAAACCTTTGGTGGTTACTATATTAAAAAATACATAATATTAAGGTCAGGCATGTGTCTCATTCCTGTAATCCCAACATTTTGGGAGATGGAGGCAGAGGGTGACTTGAGCTCGGGAGTTCGAGACAAGCCTTGGCAACATAGTGAGACCTTGCCTCTACAATTTTTTTTTTAAAGCAGCCAGGTGTGGTGGCGTGTATCTATAGACCCTGCTACTTTGGAGGCTGAAGTGGGAAGATCACTTGAGCCCAAGAGGTCGATGCCACAGTGAGCCATGATTGCACCACTGCACTCCAGCCTGGGCAGCAGAGTGAAACACTGTCTCAAAAACAAACAAACAAAAAACCAAGCCCACATTATATTACATGTAATATATTATATATAAAATGTTACATATAAAAATTCTCTTCACCTATAAAATTAATGGTGGCAACAATAACTAAAATACGTTATTTTTGTCACAGAGAAGAATTTTCCGTGCAGTCTACATAGTAAGATCTGGGAGTCAGCTAGTGATTGCAATAACTGGAAGCATACACTGTGCCTAGGTTTTATGCACTTACTCCTACTTAATCCTTATTGTCAGAGGAGGAAAGTAAGACTCAGGGAGGTCAAGGCCATGTAGCTGGTAAGTGGTGGAGCCAGCTTTCAGACCCAGGTCTATCTGTGAGCAGAGCCATTTTCATGCCTCCAGGTTGTAACAGGTTCCAGGCATGGGTATTACAGTCTCAAGGACTACATGATGATTTTGAAACACCCCTGACTGCATGCTGAAATATGCCATTCTATGTGGCATGAGGTTCATGACACTGTTGGTTGCCTTTGTGATTAATTAATCTCGCTACCAACCTAACCAGACCATGTGAATGTGGTTCTAGGTCTTTCCTGAGAGAATTTATAACTGAAGTGTCAACTACATACACTCTGACACAATTCCATTTCTTTAAAAATACATGGTGAATTGAAAAAGATTAAATTCCTGGGACATGCATTAACCTGGGTTCCAGTAGGCTTGGGGGTTTTAATGGGCCCCCTGAAGTTGTATGTAGAATATTGTACATGTGTGTCTGTGTGTTTTTTTTGGGACAAGGTTTCTAATCTTCATTAGATTCTGAAGATATGTGGAGCCATTACCCTCTAAACTGAACTGGAATCAATTAAGAATATACCTGGTTGATTCTTATTATTGGCAAGTGTTCGTTAATTGTGTCAAATTTCATCACAAAAATGAGGCTAAATTAATTGTAGTCTCACAATAGCTTGAGCACAGAACCCTCATTCCACATTGTTATACCGTGGACTCTTCTGTGTGACTCAGCTCTGGTCTCTTTTCCCGTGGGCATCTGCAGCCCCTGATAGCACTGCAACTGTAAATCCTCAATAATTGCTTGCTGATCGGTGGGAAAAATTTTCCCAGTGTAAGCCTTGCCTAACTCGGTCATTTCAGGCACTGCAAAGGCCAATGGCTAACTTGGCATCGTCATAAAGTGAAACTTCTGCCTCCAAAGTCCGCCACTTCCTTGTGTAGCACTTTTCTCAAGCCCCATGCAGCCTCAGTTTCCTCCCCTGTAATAAGAGCGTCAGCTATGGGATTGGTAAGATATCTTCCACATCAGCAAATTCCAGGAGTCTATCACATTGGGCAAACCCAAATTCGAAAGGACAGGACAAGCTATTTGGAATGGTTGGTAAGGGGCGAGTTCTAATTCGATTGTACATTTCACATCATAGAGCCTCCGGTGACTTTGACAATTACCTTCCTGGCAGGGACAGTGGAGAAGAAACACTATCGGGGCTCCAGGCCAGTGCTGGGGGCAGTGGCTAGAAGGAAGTGGGCGTGGCGATTTTCCCGACTTCCTTGTTTGGAGTAAACTTCGGCAACATCTCATGGCTGAGGGGTTTGCCTTTCCATCTGTTGATGTGCTTTCTGGAAGCTCCCCGGTCTGCCAGAGAAAACATATCTAGAAGACGCACGACGCCAATTCAGCCATTCCCTTGGGTCCCCAAATCCCCCCAGCCACCAGAGACGGAAGGAGAAGGTGAAGTAGAAAACAGACTTTCCTGTGGCGCGCGGGATCCGCGGCTGACAGAGAGTAGCGTGGCCAGGCAGGGATCTCCGCGCCCACCGGTCAGCCCCGTCCACGCGCTCGGGCGCGCGTCCTCCCTTCCTGACACTCCTCTCGCCGCCTCTGGAACTCGGCTTGGAGATGGGGCAGTCGCGACGGCTCCTGCCTCCGCCGAGCTCCTAGCGCTTTAGCTGTTGACATTGGGTCCCCGCTGTTGTCTCCAGGCGCTCAGCTGCCAGCGCGCGGCGGGGCTGAGAGTGACAGCGCGGCGCGGCCGGGGGAGGATTCGCCGCCGAGCCCCGGGCTGCTCACTCCGCCGTGGGGGGGACCGCAGACGCCGCTGGTCTCGCTGCGAGGCCCCTGCCCGGCCGGCCGAGCCATGACGGACGCCGGCAACAGGAAGGAGGGCTTCAAAAAATGCCGGAGCGCCACTTTCAGCATCGATGGCTACAGCTTCACCATAGGTGAGAACTTTCCACCCCTCTCGGACTCCTGGCTCGGGCAAACGCCCTCTCCGGTGGCGGTCAGAGTTCCTTTCTAAGCGGGCAGGGGGAGCTCAGGGGTCGGGCTGGGGCCGGAGGGTGCTCTCCGGGCGGGAGCCCCCGGGAGCGGCGACTGGGTCGGGACAGAAGCCGCACCCTGGGCTGTCCCCCCCGGCACCCCTCGCGGGCTCCGACCCGGCGTCGCGCGGAAGCTGGTTTTCAGCATCACACCTCCCCGAACTGCTCGGTTTCCTGGCTGCGATTTTAATAAGGCAGGCCGGGGGAAAGGAGGGGTGGAAATAGGGCTGGAGACGCTGCGATGGAGAGATGAAGATAGTGCCGAGAGAGGGAGACAGAAAGCGACAGGAAGATGTGGACATGATAGAGACACACAGACAGAGCGGCAGGAACATCCAGACACGGGGACACTGATAGAAACACCTAGGCCCCAGAGATAGAGGCGGACGTCAAGACAGACTAATAGAGTGACAAAGACGTGGAGACAGTGACTGAAACAAGAGAGGAGAGGCTGAGAGAGACAGAGACCGGGGAATTCAGAGAGAGAGGGGAGAGAGAGAGAGAGAGAGAGAGAGAGAGAGAGAGAGAGAGAGAGAGGGAGAGAGAGAGAGAGAGAGGAGAGAGAGAGAGAGAGAGAGAGAGAGAGAGAGAGAGAGAGATTGAACAATAGTTTCTATAAAAGTTGAAACAAAGGAAAAGGGACACATGAAGAGAGAGAAGAGAACAGAGAGATTCAGAAAAATAAAGCAGAAAAAGAGGCCAATTCAGTCTGAGAGAGAGGCCGCAGGGAGGGGGGATCATATGTCATGCTACCCAAAGTATTTGAGAAAAAGCTGTGGTGTCTCTGAGCTGCAGGTGGTGTTTCCCTCTCCTGCCCTTGGGACTCCCAGTGGCTCCTGTTTTCTTTCCCCCAAAACCCTTCACCAAGAGGGGGACCAGAGGGGGTTTTGGGGACCTTCAGGGAGCAGCAGGACCACAGGGTTGACCCTCTGGAGGCCTAGCATTTGAAGAGGTGGGTGCTTGATACTTCTACCTTCCGCCCCATGCTGTGACTGTTTTGAAACTACTTGTGAGGGATTGCCTCCACATCTTCCTTGGAGGTGAGTAGAACCCAAGTCTCAGGTGGAGCCCTGGAGGCCTGCTTTTTGGGACGTCAGCCTTTGGAGAACAGCAGGATAGAGGCAGGAGCCACTCTGATTCCTACTTTTGGAAGTACTCAAGTACTTCCAAAAGTACTGTGGTCTTAATCTGAACTGAACCCCAAAGATTTTGAAAATGAGGGGGTAGATTATTTTGCTTTTTGTGGGCTGTGTCTGCTTGGATGTGTATCAGGAAAGTACTAGGGCCAAGAAGAGACCAAGAAAAGGAGCTCATCTCAGGGCCTCTTTTGTTCTCAATAAAGTAGCCCAAGGTTTCTGGGGCATGGACTGAACACTTGCCCTTCTCCAAACGTACCAAATCCTACCCATCTGAGCCTTTGCCTAGGCTGTTCCTGCAGGCAGGAAAGCCATTCCCTCAACACAGCATTGAGAAATCTTGTCTATGCTTTAGATCCCAGCTTTCACTTTCCACGTCTTCCACTCTCCATCCCCATCAGAAAGAATTTCTCCCTTGGCAATCCCTCCAGTCCCTGAGTTCTCCGTTGGAGCTCACACCCTGCCTTGAATCAGTTATTTAGGCACCTGTTGGTAGTCCTCATTGTATTAAAAATTCCTTAAGGATGAGACTGCTTATGTATCTTTCCCTGTCAAATGGTGTTGGTGGGTGCTAAGGGAGTGCTTGTAGAAAAGAATTAAAGGTTGCCAAAGTCAAAAGTATTTCATTAATAGATCATTGTCATGTTAAATTGGTTTTCTTGACTCTGGTAAGAAAATTCTCAAAAGTTATACCAGGTTGTCCTTATGAGATCTTATCCTTCAAAGTGTGGCTTTCTAAAATCCAGGATCATAGTGTGGTCCTCCTCTTCCTGACATTTTCCCTTTCTGTTAGAAGAGTTGGTCTAGCAGATTGGTATGGTCTGGTGGTCAGAAGAGACTCTAAAAATGAGCTGGTCGCTTCCAAGTGAGATAGCTGCCAACTTATTTCAGATTGCTGAGAATTTATTCATTCACTTCTTTCTACTTATTCTTCTTCCCTCCCCCTTTCCACATTTATTCAATTTTACTATACTAAGAGATACAATTTAGCACAATGCCTGCCACACGGCAAACATTCAATAAATGGTAATTGTAATTATTCAAGGCACTAAGCTAATATCATGGGGAGTTTATGAAGATAAATCAGACTTAGAATCTGTGTTCAAGGAATTTGTATTCTTGGGGCAATGTGATATGTTCATACATAACCATTTTAAAAAGCAGAAATTAGTAAGTTGCTAGAGAGGCATTTAAGAAATTTTAGGCCAAGTTTAGAAAATACAATAATAAAAAAGGAAGAAAGAAAATCAACTGTCATTTTATCATCCAATGCTAAATATTAATATTTCTTGTATGTACTTCTAATATGTACATTGTTTTTACAAAATGAAATCAGAATGTTTGAAAAATGTGTTATTTAAAAAACCCTTAGTTTTGTTTCATGCTATATATAAAGTATTTAAAAAATCAACTTCCTATTGTTGGCTATTTAGGTTGCTTTTAATTTTCACCATGATAAACAGTGATAAAAAACTAAATCTTTGAGTATATCATAAGTACATTTTTTTTTTTTTTTTTTTTTTTTGAGACAGAGTCTCGCTCTCTCACCCGGGCTGGAGTGCAGTGACCCGATCTCAGCTCACTGCAAGCTCCGCCTCCCGCGTTCACACCATTCTCCTGCCTCAGCCTCCGGAGTAGCTGGGACTACAGGCGCCCGCCAACACGCCCTGCTAATTTTTTTTTGTATTTTTAGTAGAGGTGGGGTTTCAGTGTGTTAGCCAGGATGGTCTCAATCTCCTGACCTCATGATCCACCCACCTCGGTCTCCCAAAGTGTTGGGATTACAGGCGTGAGCCACTGCGCCTGACCCATGAGTACTTCTTAAAGAGAAACTTCTAGTAGCTTAATTGCTTAGTCTAAGAGTATGAACATTTTTAGGAACTTTAAAACGTATTGCTCAACTGCCTTCTGAAAAGATTTACCAGCTTCTACTCCCACCAGCAATGTTTCGACAGCTCTGAAAAGTAGCTGTTATGACCCCTGTTTTAGGAGAAGAAACTCCCAAGACTCCAGAGGAAATAATTTGCCAGAAGGCACACAGCTAGGTGGCAGAGTTGGATTCAAACCACATCTGCCCTGACCCGTCAGCCCGGGTTTGTCCCACACATCATGCTGCCTCCCACAGTGGACTTTACTTCTGCTGGAGCCTCGGTACTAGCCCATCATTCTGCAGCAGAGGGATCTGGGAGTTTGTTAACTCTGCTTAACCAGCCAAGGCTGGAGCAAAACCAGAAAGAGATGAGACCATTGCTGCATGTGGGACAGGGTGGGGTTGCTGCTCCCTGGAGGAAGATCAGGTAGAAGAAACAAGGTTAGTTAATCTGCCTCACTGGGCTCCCTCAGTCCCATGCTTCCCTGTCCCAGGGCAAATTATTTTGCATCCTCTTTATGTAATTTTCTCAGGTCATGAAATGGGTATGTGGTCAAAAGGTCTTGGAAACAAGACTAAGATTGAACACATGTCACATTCAGAAGTGCTGACTTTGAAAGCGCCTTGATGCTTTGAGAGTTCCATCCCTGGGAAACCATTGAACTTATTATGATTGCGGCAAGTAATTATCCTGATGACATAATTGAAGGCCATATGTGGAAGTGCAAGTGTAAATTGACTCTGGTGAGGTAGTACTTGTGAAGGAGCATTTGCATATGAAGTGAATGATTGGGATGCGTAGGTGCAGTACCTTGTATTTCAGAAGAACTTTCCTTCTGGAGTTTGGATGTCTATTTGGGTTTGTATTAAGTCATTCACAGATTCTTGCTCTCTCCAGAAGGCTGCCTGAAATACAAACAAACACCTCCCCCTCAAAGTGATGTATGTCTGCCAAAAACAAAAGCACATTTTTTCTTTTAAATCACCTGAGTGGGCCCCACTTGATCTCTTTTGATGCTCCTCCCTGTTCATTTTACAGATGAGAAAATGGGGCTGAGGGAGGGCCCATCATTTCCCTCCTGCCCTCAGTGATGACCTGCATGGTGTCAGAAGGAGGTGGGTGAAACCAGAGACTCAGAGGGATGTGAAGTTAGCGGAGTGAATGTCAAAGAAGCTGCTTCCTTCAAAAATGAACCTATTGGTGTTGTGGAAAATTCTAGGCCTGTACTGAAGAGGTGTTGCTAACAGAGATGTGTTTCCTGTAGCAACAGCCACTGGCTTTTCTGCCTTGTGTTTCCCTCCTTGGGTTGTACCAGAGGAGGAAAAACAAGAAGCCCCTAGACAGCAATCGGAGGCTTGAGGGGCTGGGAGTGGGGGTTCCCTGACCTACCCTTGGACAGCAGGGGACGGAGGCTAAGCTGAAGGGAGGAGGTTTGCTCCTGGATGCTCCTCTCAGAGGGGATCTGGGCAGGCAGGGCTCGGTGGGTGGCTGAGGTCTGATTGAATTGGCTGCATACACTGGGGGTGTGGCCCACTCTCCAGCCCTGGCAGAGAGGCCCCCGGCCTCCCCTGGGGCATATGGTTGACGACTTTCTGAGCCCAGACTGGTCTCTGTGCTCTCTCAGCTGAGTGTTTTGTCTGCCTTCCATCTGCCTGCTTAGACAAGCAGGCAGTCTGGGTGGAAACAAGAACTTTGGAGCTTTTACACCTGGTTGGGAGTGATGGCAGGGAGCAAAGAACCCAGTAAGGATTCCAGGTAAAATATTCTATGGCCTCCTCCCAGTGCTCATGGACCTACTTCTCTCCCTCAGTCGTATCTCAGAGTCAGTCAGGTGCGGCAGGGTGTGGGAAGAGGAGTCTGCAAACGGAGGCTTGCAGTCTCTGCTCTGCTGTTCATCCTCTTCCATTCTGCACCATGGGCAAATCACATTATCTCTGAGCCTCTGTTTCCTCACATGTAAAATGGGGAGTAAGATCCTTAGGTTATGGCAGTATGGTGAGGATCGAGTGAAGGTATGCATGAAACAACTGCGCTGTTAACTCTAAAATGCCCTCCAAATGCTGTTATTAGGGAAAGTTAATGCTGGTTAAAACCGGTGTATGCCACTTCACAGCATTTGCACTTCGACCGAGAGCAGCCCTGTCTTTTGCCTGAGGAGCTCTCACAATGGAGTTGCCATTGTCAGCAAACAATTAGAGTGCCCGCTTTTAGGGGGCCAGCTGAGAGGTTGTATTTGCTGTGGGAAACCCTGGGCTTTGGAGTCACACGCAGATTTATCATGCCCATTAGGTGAGCCATTTAGCTTCCCTCAGCCTCAATTTTCTTCTCTGAATAAATGGAGGTGGTAACACCTTCCTTGTGGGTGAACATGGCCAGGGGAATGAAGGGCCATGCACAGTGCCTGGCTGTCACCCTGTGGGTGTCTGTTCAATGTCCCTTCCCTTTGCCTGAAATCATACTGTGAGTAGAGCTGGTGCTGGCTGGGAGTGGGTGAGCATCAGTGGTGTGATCCCCAGGGTTTGTGGCTGCACTCTGTGGGTGGGCAGCCAGGATGCCCTGTACAACTGTGCTGGCCCCTGACACCAGATGAGAGTAAGAGTCAAGTGGGTACTGGGCACACTGCTGCCCTCCTATAGGCTGATGCACTTTCCGGAGCCACACAGTGTGCCTGGCGTGTCCACTCAGCCTCCACAGACCTGGACAGGGTCCACCTGGGGCCATGGGGAAGTTGGGAGTGGTGGAGAGAATAGTAATGAAGGAATGACGGTCCTGAGCTGGGCTTCGGGATTGGCTTGGAACACAGCAGGAGGAGGGGACCAGGATGGGTAAATTGCACTGAGTAGAGTCCAGAATATAACAGTCTCTGGAGTCAGACACTTGTGGTTCAAATCTAGAACCCCATCTTCCTTTTGCTGTGATCTTAGAGAGGTGGCATTTCATGGCTAATGTTAAGACTCCTAAGCTGTAAAATGGACATAATAAATAGTGTCTACCATGCTAGAGTAGCAGATCAAATGGGATAGTGCAACTAGAACACTTACTAGGGCTGATTTATCCACTGGGTACAGTAAGCATAGTGATCAGACTGCAATATTTTTAGGATTCTGAAAATATTTTAATTTCTTTTATAATTGAAAGAAAAAATAAACTTTTAGATTGAATAAAATATTTTACTTCATAGAGTTTTAGTCAAGCTCTAAAGATCTGCAGTACAATGTCGTACACCTAAAAATTTGCTTAGAGGGTAGATCTCATGTTAAGTGTTCTTACCTCAACAAATAATAAAAAAGTTAAGAAAACTTAACATTATTATATTCTTCATTTCAATGTAGTCCTAAAATATATTTTAAATTTTTAAAAATTATTTTTTTATGGAGGAAGGGAACCACAAAAGCAAAAGTTTCTAGGGCCCATGAAAGTCATAATGAAACTGTAGCTTCTAGCACAGGGCCTGGCACAGTCAAGACATTCAAAATTGTGAACTATTATTATTGGTAGGTTAATAAATATTTGCTGAACATAACACTGAAGTAGACATTGTAGAAGGGCGGGGGAACCACAGAGGAGAAAAGCACAGACTATTAGAAAACACATACTGGACTCAGAGATGGGGTTAGCACCTTACTAACTTGCTCTTTGATCCCGGGTAAGTCACTTAACCTGGGCCACAATTTCTCCATCTGTAAACAAACTGGTTAAGTAAGGAAATCTCTGCGATTCCTGCCCCTCCCGGAAGAGGTGAGCTTCAAGTCTTGACCCTGGCCTTCTCAGAGTAGGTGAGATGCTGGGGAATGGCTAAGTGAGGTACACTGGGGATTTGTGATGGATGCTTTGTAGAGTTCAGACCAAAGAGGAGGCAAACTGCGTGCAGGACTAGTTAAGAACTCAGAGGTGAAATTATTCATGAAGTAAGCATACTAGGCTTTGTGTATACAGCATTGTACAGTTTTCTTACTTATAGTGACGTTTAATAACCACTGAGCTAAACTCAAGAAAGGACCAAAGGCAAGTCCATGTGTAGCTGCTTGGGCATTCCAGCTATTTCACCTATATGCTAACTATCAGATTCCAGTGGGAAATGGGGACTAGCTGGAGATTTCCAAGTGTTTCTGAGTGCCTGCAGGGCTAGCTCCATTCTGATGTGATATGAAACCTTTTTGGCTTCAATTCATGCTGCTATATTTGTTAGAAAGAATAAATGTAAGAATGAATAACAAATTAATAATAGATACAGAAGCATCTAACCTGGATCCTGCTTGATAAATGCTTGTTGGATTTGAGAGACAGTCTGTGCAGAGGTTAAGAGTTGGATTCTGGAGTTTGACTGCCTTGGTTGAATTTTGGCTTCACAGTTTATTAGCTGTGTAATTTTGGACAAGTTACTTAACTTTTCTGTATTTCAATGTGCTCATCTGTTAAATGTAGACAATTATATTACCTACCTCCTAGGGTGTTAGAGGAGTTAATACACATCAAGCACTCAGAATAGCACCTGGTACAAAGTAAGTTCTACGTAAATGTTTTTATTATTATATATTTATAGTTTATATCCATTATAAGATATTTTCATAATATTATTAACTTGAAAATAATAATAACCAACTCTGAGTCCTGCTTGATCAAATCACCATATATACTGTTGTTTGAAAAACTGTAAGGATGACTTTGTCTTCTGCTTTCTGTTGTTCAAAATTGGCATTTTTCATGTGCTTCACTTTTGTGTCTTTGGGTAATGATCTCTTGATACTTTATGGTTGTTCTTCATGGATCCATGTGTTCCCATTTCCTCAGCAGGTTAACATCTTTCAGGATTTACTGTGTCACTTGTGATGGTTTTGCAAAGCGAGTCCCTAGCTGCCAGGCCCTTGTTAGAATGTTAGCTCTCCTAGGCCAGGATGCCAGGTGGAAAGGCAAGTGATACAGAAGACCTGGGCTCTAGACCCAGTTCTGGCACTTCCTATCTCTGTGGCTGGGGGAATGATCATTCACCTCTGTGACCCCTGAGGCCCTCATTAGTAAATGGGGATAGCGATTCCTTCTTTGTTGCGTTGTTGGGAGGGTTCAAGAGGTTGAGGAATGTAAGAACCCAGTGTGCTCTAGGTGCCTGTTAATTGGTAGCTGTTGGTTGTGATGATGGAGGGATTCTGAAATCAGGGTGTGGGCAAGACTTCCAGACCCACAGCTGCTTCCCTGGACTGTGCTCACCCGCCTGCTCCTGGCTGCCTCTGCCAACCCTCCACCAGCCACTTATGTAGCATTCTGGCACGGCTGCAAGTCTGTCTTTGTTTTAGGGTAGGATTTCTGACCAGGCCAGGGATCTGGAGTGCCTGTCTCAGCCAAGCCGGGTGCTTCCAGCTGGGTTGGGGTAATTGGTGCCAGCTGCTTTGGGGAGAGCTGGTTGGCACTTCCTGTGCTGCTGGCAGACAGGCACTGGAGTGTGTTGGGACCTTGGCCTGAGAACCAGGCCTTCCCCAGGGGACCCTGGGCAGGCTTGGAGGCAGAGTTGCTAGAAGTTGATTTTCACTTGGTGGAAGGCAGTGTCTTCTGGACAAGGGTCCAAAGCACCCAAGACTCTGCCCTGGAGTATTAGGTCACAGGTACTGCTGCCAGAGTTTGAGAAGAAACCACATTGCAGGAATTGATTTGCTGACTTTCTCTCTGCTTCCCCAAATGGCTGTGCTGCTTCTCTTTGTGGTAACTTCATAGAGTGGCTCAGGTGCGATTCCACGGGCTTGGGGAGGAGAAAAGGAGAAGAAACCCCTTCTGGACTTGCATGGACTAGTAACCACCAGCATTATAGATAGTCTAATTCAGCATTCACAAGCTGAAATTAGACAGATGGAGAAGTGACTTGCTCAAGGTCAAAGTAATAAGTAAGGGTTTCATTGCAGTTCAACTACAGGGCTCTTTCCTGGCTTAATTTTTTTTTTGGTTTTGCTGTGTTGGAACTGCTGAATTACATATTTCATTTCTCAGAAATATTGGCTTTTAGAGATTATCTCAATAAAATTTTTGTAGTGTATATGGTGGAGAGAATATTCCTTCTTTATCTTTGGACAAAACAAAATGTGAATTGATAAGTTGTTATGTTCACCATTTATGAAATAGCTGACCACTTATTTATTTAGTTAGCTTTTAGAGACAGAGTCTTGCTTTGTCACTTAGGCTGGAGTGCAATGGTACGATCACGGTTCACCACAGCCTTGGCCTCCTGGGCTCAAGCGATCCCCCTGCCTCAGCCTGCCTCTGAGTAGCTGGGACTACAGGTGTGCACCACCATGCCCAGCTAACTTATTTTTATTATTTCTAGAGATGGGCTCTCACTATGTTGCTCAGGCTGGTCTTCAACTCGTGGGCTCAAGCGATCCTTCTGCTTTGCCCTCCCAAAGTGTTGGGATTACAGGCATGAGCCACTGTGCCTGGCCTCTGACCTCTTTTTTTACCTTTCTGAATCTTGTTTGTTAATTTTGTAAAGTAGGAATAATAATATCTACATATGATGTGACATATGTAAAGTTCTAGCCCAGTAATGACAATTGCAGGTGCTTATAAAAATATTGAAAAATACTGACTCCTTCCCCTTCCCTTTTCTTCTTCCTAGTTCATGCCAAACCTGAAGGTATTTCTGCTGGCTTAGATGTTTGCCTAGTCATCACAAATAGGGGAACCCTCCAGCCCTTTGGAAGTTTCATCTCTCTGAGAGGCCCCAAGAGAAAGCTGGCATTGTTTTTCTCTGACTTTGGGCCCAGGGAACACACATTAACGCCATAGGATTTAAGCAGTGAGTGGGAAAGTGAATGGAATTCTTTTTTAAAGTAATTAGTTTACAGTTTCTCAGAAAGGTCCACTGTATCTAGTGACTCACCTTAAACAGTTGGAAACTACTTTAGCTTTTCAAATTGTATCGAGTCAGTTAATATTGGAGAGGAATCAGTCATCTCTTAAAGAGGGAACCAGCAGCACTTGAGCCAGACTAGATCCCAACCATCTGCTGGGCCCCACAGAAACCCAGTTTTCCAACAGGATGCATTTTCTTTCTTTCTCATCTGGGTCATTCATGAGGCCAACCGTTTAAGACAGTGAAAAGTGTTTAAAAGGTGCAGAATTTAGTCCAGTTGTGTAAGACTGTAAGCCTGGTCTTAGTGACTATTTCAAGGAGGCTATTTTTTGGGGTAATTATGCAAACTATTGCCCCCATGTTGCTGATGATAATGAGAGGCTTTACTATTGGTAAAGCACTTTCCCAAACATCAGCTCATTTGATGCTACCAATTCCCCTGAAAAAGATCTATGAGCAGCTCCATTTTACAGGTGGAGAAACTGCTACTCCAAGAAGTCGGAGTGACTCGTTTCAGAACCATGACTCCAATCTAGTTTCTACATTTTGTTTTTTTAAGACGGAGTCTCACTCTGTTGCCCACGCTGGAGTGCAGTGGCATAATCTCAGCTCACTTCAACCTCTGCCTTCCGGGTTCAAGTGATTCTCCTGCCTCAGCCTCCCAAGTAGCTGGGAGATGGGGTTTCACCATGTTAGCCAGGCTGGTCTCGAACCCCTGACCTCAAGTGATCTGCCTGCCTAGGCCTCCTAAAGTGTTGGGATTACAGGTGTGAGGCACTGCGCCCAGCCAGTTTCTACATTTTTGAAAGCTTGGGCATCTGAACTAGAAACCTGGGAACCATTGTAGATTCCTTTTCCTGTGCAGATTCCTACCCTCACGTCATCTAATTAGTATTTAAAGTCTGTAGGCTTTTTGATCCTGCTGCCCTTCCATTTAAAACCCAGGAGGGAGATTCCCATTGCATGCAGGATCAAGCCCACATTCCCAGGTAGGACCCATGGGCCTTCCATGACCTGGCCTTTGCTTTTCTCTGGACCCGTACTTTGCAGTGCCCTGCCTGCGCATGGGTCGTAACCACTCACTTAGCCTGTCTTTATGGAGTGCATTCTTTATGGCAGCGATTGTGTTAGGCACTAGGAATACTATGTGAGCAAACAAGCCAGCCCTGATGACATGGTGATGACAGCCTAGTGGGGCCCACAGACATTGGTATAACTGTGCTTAGTCCTCTGATGGCAAGGCCAGGGTGCTGTGGTCATGCCCAGCAGGGGTATCTAATTTGTCTGGGGATTGGGATGGGCTTCCCTGGTGAAGGGTGTTGGGGAGGCGATGGGAGAGCCTCCAGGTGGATCAGGCAGCCTGTGCAGAGGCCCTGTGGCTGGAGGGAGGAGATGGGCTATTGAGGGCTGTGAGAGCATTAAGAAGAGGCTGGAGAGGTGATTATATGAGGTCTTACAGGCCCACTGGAGGATTTTGGTTTTTTTCTCCAAGAGCAGTGGAAGGCAGTTTGGTCATTTTAGGGAGAGGGGACAAGATCAGATTTCTGTTTATAAACACACACTCTGGCTATGCTGTGGAGAATCAGTTGTTGAGTATTTGCTGAATGTTCTTGCTATTATGTGTTAATAATAACTAGCCATTTCTGTGTGGCCTGCATTCTTCCTCTCTATCTGGGCCTTCCTGTAGCCTTCTGGGTATTAGTTCTCTCTTTCAAACAAACCAGGCAAACTTTTAGGCTGCCAGAGCAGTAGGTGGTCCTTGGGGGCTGGAGGCTGTCTTAATTTTCCTAATTACTTAATTCATTTTTTAACAAAATGAAGATAGCATTATTAATTTTATTTGCCTATAAAAACGATCCATATTCATTTTAGGCACTCAGGAAAGAAAACCTCATTATCCAGAGATGACCTCTGTTAATATCCTATCCTTGGTCCACATACTATTCTATTGCAGTTCTATTTAAATGGGATCATACATGTTGTTCTAGTACCTGCTTTTAAAACTTAATTGTATATATGGATATTTTAAATTAGTCAGCTCTCTTGGTCTCTCTAACTTAGTGCCTAGGCTCTCTTTTGTGTTTGTATCAGCTTCCCTAATCCTGAATGCCCCATGAGGCAGGTGAAACTTTTCTGAGTATTTTACAGCATGGCCTATTTTGGCAGAGGTGTCTCACCAATTATATGCACACATATTTTATATACAAACACACACCCCTTCCACACACCATGTATACTACTATTTTCTTTGTAGTTGAGTGTTTGCTGTATGCCAAATGCTCTTCTAAGGGCTTTGTAAGCACTAGCTCATTTAATTTCTCATTTTCGGATGAGGAAACTAACGCACTAATCCAGGGAAGTGGAGAGATCTGGATTTGAATCTGACACTACATTGGTTATCTGAGAGCTTGATTATGCATGGGACATGTCAGAGGGAGTGCCCTTCTTACACCTGTGGGACATATCTTCAGTAAAAATCCAAAGCACTTTTGGGACATCTATCATCTCCTCTTAACATCCCAATGAGAGAGTTTATGACTTTATAAGCGGGAAACTGAGTATTAAGTTCTTAGAGCTAGAATGTTTCTTACAGTGTGTTTCAACAGAAAGCTCAAACAACCGCTCATTCCTTCCTACATTTTCTTACAAACATTAGTTAGTGCCTACTGACCTCCCTGCAAGTATAGGAAGATATTAAATAATTTTCTCATCCTTGAAAAGCATGTGGGCTTGTGGGGAGACTGACACTGAGAAGTAACATGCTGAGGCCAAGTGCTGTTTGAGAGATTTATAAAGGATGAAGATAATGCAGGGGGAGGGGTTGGCAAACGCTTGGACTTAGTTTTTTCCACTCTTGTTTTATCTTTCCCTCCCTTCCCCTCCCCTTATTCTCTCTCCTCTCCTCTCCTCTCTTCCCCTCCCCTCCCCTCCACTCCCTTCCTCTCTCCCCCCTCTCTTCTCTTCTCCCCAGTACCACTCCCTTCCCTTCCCCTCTCCTCCCCTCTCTCCTTCTTTCTTCTTCTTCTCCCTTCCTTCCTGTTCCTTTTCTCCCTTTCTTTTCCCTTTCTTCAGCTTTATTGAGGTGTAATCTACATATCATAAAATTTACCCATTTTAAGAGTACAATTCAACAAGTTTTAGTGAGTTTACAGTTATGCAATCATCACCATGTATAAGTACTTCATTCTATTTTATTTTGAATAATATTCCATTATGTGAACATATACATTTGTTTATCCATTAACTAATTGTTGGACACAGGTTGTTTCCAGTTTTTGGTTATTATGAATAATGCTGCTATAAATATTTACATACATGTCTTTGTGTGGACATATGTTTTAAGTCTCTTGGGTAGGTTCCTAGGAGTGGGATTGTTGGGTTGTATGGTAAATTATTGTATAACATTTAGGGAACTGCCAAACTTTTCCAAAGTGTCTGCGCCATTTTATGATTCCACCAGTGATGTATGAAAGTTTTCGAATGGAGTTTTAAAGAAGAGGAATCAGCCACGTCAGTGGTTCTCAAACGCTGCAGCAACAGGGCTGGCTGCATAAAAACCAAATGGAGAGTTTGTTAAGGATTTCTGGGCTCCATGCTCCGAAGATTCCAATTCCATAATTGTGGGTTGGACCTGGCAAGTGCATTTTTTTCTTTTTTTCTTTTTTCTTTTTTTTTTTTTTGAGACAGAGTCTCGCTCTGTCGCCCAGGCTGGAGTGCAGTGGCACGATCTCTGCTCACTGCAACTTCTGCCTCCCAGGTTCAAGTGATTCTCCCACCTCAGCCTCCCAAGTAGCTGGGATTACAGGCACCCACCATCATGCCTGGCTAATTTTTGTATTTTTGTAGAGACGGGTTTCACCATGTTGGCCAGTTGGTCTTGAACTCTTGACCTCAGGTGATCTGCCCGCTTCAGCCTCCCAAAGTGCTGGGATTACAGGCGTGAGCCACTGTGCCCAGCCTGGCATGTGCATTTTTAGAAAGGTCTCTAAGTGATTCTGCTGTGTGCCTTGTTTAGGAATCACAGAGATGGATGAGGTTGGGGATGGGATGGACAGGGGAGAAATTCTGGGAACATTCTAGACAGAGAAAACACCATGTATAAGAGTAGTGTGATATGTGAGGATGATAATAGCAGTAGGTGTGGCAAGAGAGAGGGCAGTTAGGAGACTCTTGCATTGGTCAAGACTTAATAAAGAAGCAATTAATTCATTGACATTTCTGTGTAGTTTTCTGTGAAACTTTTCAAGGGGAACTAACTTTATTTGGAATACTAGGTACTAGGCTAAGAGTTTTATGCTTAATTTTCCAACTCTTTTGACTCATTATTATTCTCAGTTTATAGGTGAGGAAACAGAGGCTTAGGAGGTTAAGTAGTAGAGCTGGGACTTGACACCAGTTCTGTCTGGCTCCTTCCACCATAGCAGTTTGCCCCTATTCTATGCAGAGCACCAGTGCTAGTGCCATGTGAATAGGGTCTTGGGATTTCATATTCATTGTAGGAGAATTCATTATGCATATTTTGCAATTGATTCTCTGGCTTGCTGTGCAGTCAGTCCTATTTGCCCTTCTTTTCTATGGGTTACGGGTGTATTAGATTTTCTCTAATGGAAATTACAATATTTAAATGTTCTAGGAGGATGCAAAATAAGATACCTTAGTTAAACACCTTGAGGCTCTAGTCTTTGTTGGTGTTAATAAATGTCCTCGGGATGCTTCTTCCCGCCCTGGTCCCTGTTGATCAAGGTAGTATTTACTGACTGCACCAAAACTTGACCCTGGTCCTCTGGTCGCAGTCAGTCTGAGCGCTACAGAAATGGAAGATTAAAGCCCTCTGTGAATCAGGCATTGGAGTTCTGCGGTATGGCTGTTTTCAAATTTGGATGCGTGATGAAGGGAAACTTGTAGTAATTACTGAACAGATGCCCTTAATGAGGTCTCTGCTGGATTTCCAGCTGGCAGCAAAGCTCTGCATTGGGACGGGACCGTTGAAGTCACTGGATCATTATGTGACATCACATCCTCCTCTTGTTGTCATAGCAGCTGTAATCATCCCACTGAAAGTGTCCCTCAGGGTGATGGCAAGCCACATCTTTCTTTTAATGTGGATCCATGGTGCTTTCTTTCATGCTAAGGAGAAAAAGAACTGGCATGCCAATGCTCTTCAAAAAGAGAAAAAGCTTAATTTCAGCATGCTATTACTACCATTGTTACTATTTTAACAATTATTATGCAAGTTAAACATATGATTGTGGAAAAATTTATAAAATAGGGATTGGCAAAGAGAACACAAAAATCCTACCTGTCATACCAACATGTAGACAGAACCACTATTAACATTTTGGTGAATATCTTCCCTGAACAAAAAAAAAGTTGTTTTTGCTTAATGAATGTACATTTATTACTATTTTTTCAAATATGGGACCATTACTGTATTGTAGTTTATTTTTCCCATCTAACAATGTATAATTAATGTCTTTTCATATGAATATTCTTCTTCATCACAGTTTTTAAGGTATCACGATTGATTTAGCTGGTCCTCTATTGTTGGGTGCTTTAAGTTCTTTCTGCTTTCTTGCTGCCACAAATAACATTACAGTAACTATCATTGTCTCTACATCTTTATAAATCCTTTTTGCCTTAGGAATTGTTGAGTAGAAAGAATTGACTATATTTGACACATTTGAAATGTACATTCTAAACAACTCCCACTCTCCAATGTCTTACCAGTTTGCAATTCCACACGTGAGGTTTGAGGTTTCATGTTGATGTTATGAACATGGGATTTTAACCTTTAAAGAGCCATAACTTGATAAGTAAAAAATGGCATATAGGCCGGGCACAGTGGCTCATGCCTGTAATGTCAGCACTTTGGGAGGCGGAGGTGGGCGGATCACGAGGTTAGGAGATCGAGACCATCCTGGCTAATACGGTGAAACCCCGTCTCTACTAAAAGTACAAAAAATTAGCTGGGCATGGTGGCGGGCGCCTGCAGTCCCAGCTACTCGGGAGGCTGAGGCAGGAGAATGGCGTGAACCCAGGAGGCGGACTTGCAGTGAGCCGAGATCGTGCCATTGCATTCCAGCCTGGGCGACAGAGAGAGACTCCGTCTCAAAAAAAAAAAAAAAAGAAGACATAAAACTGTTCTGTTATTTGACTACTTGTGAGATTGAAACTGTTTTGTTCCTGTGTTAATTGACCATCTATCTATCTATCTATCTATCTATTTTTTTTTTGATGGAGTTTGGCCTTTGTTGCCCAGGCTGGAGTGTGCAATGGCACGATCTCGGCTCACTGCAACCTCCACTTCCTGGGTTCAAGCGATTCTCCTGCCTCAGCCTCCCGAGTAGCTGGGATTGCAGGCAGGTGCCACCACGCCCGGCTAATTTTGTATTTTTAGTAGAGACAGGGTTTCTCCATGTTAGTCAGGCTGGTCTCGAACTCCTGGCCTCAGGAGATCTGCCTGCCTCTGTCTCCCAAAGTGCTGGGATTACAGGTGTGAGCCACCACACCCGGCCGACCATCTATATTTCTTTCTTTCTTTTTTTTTTTTTTATTATACTTTAAGTTCTAGGGTACATGTGCACAACGTGCAGTTTTGTTACATATGTATACATGTGCCGTGTTGGTTTGCTGCACCCATTAACTCACCATTTACATTAGGTATTTCCCCTAATGCTATCTCTCCCCGTCCCCTACCCCATGACAGGCCCCAGTATGTGATGTTCCCTGCCCTGTGTCCAAGTGTTCTCATTGTTCAACTCCCACCTATGCGGGAGAACACGTTCTGTCCTTGCGATAGTTTGCTCAGAATGATGGTTTCCAGCTTCATCCATATTCCTAGAAAGGACATGAACTCATCCTTTTTATGGCTGCATAGTATTCCATGGTGTATATGTGCCACATGTTCTTAATCCAGTCTATCATTGATGGACATTTGGGTTGGTTCCAAGTCTTTGCTATTGTGAATAGTGCCGCAACAAACATACGTGTGCATCTGTATTTCTTTAAAGAGACTCATGCTCTACTGCCTGTGCTAGCTGTGCAACTTATTTCTTTTATAAGTAGCACATTGCTGCCTTTCACTAGTTTTTCTGTTGGGGTATTTCCTTTAGTTTAGTTTTGTTTTGTTATAGGCAAGGTCTCACTCTGTCGCCCAGAGTGTAGTGGTACCACCTTGGCTCACTGCAGCCTTGAACTCCTGGGCTCAAGTGATCCTCCTGCCTCAGCCTCTCAAAGCCCTGGGATTACAGGTGTGAACCACCATACCTGGCCTGACTTCCTTTAATTTATATGAAATTTTTATATATCAAAATTAAAAATAAAAATTAAGGCTATTCAGCCTTTGTGATATTTGTTGCAAATAATTTTCACAGTTTGCAAATAGGCATTTTAGCCTTGTTTATGTTCAGATGTTAAATTTTTAAATAAGCCTATCAGTTTTATTCATTTATAATTCATGTTTAGAAAAACTTCTACATTGAACAGATTTTGAAAATATGCATCAATATTTTCTTCTAGTACTTTATAGTTTTATTTTTATATTTAAATCCTTACTTCATCTAAAATTCATTTTGTAATAAGGTAGAGATTTAATTGTTTTTTCCCTAAATTTACCCATTTTTTTCTGCACTGATTTAAAATATTAATTTAATAATACTAATGTTACACACACATACATATTTGGGTCTGCTTTTGGAATTTCCTCTTTATTTTTAAATTTTTTTAGAGAAAAAGTCTCACTCTGTTGCCCAGTCTGAAGTGTGGTGGCATGATCATAGCTCACGGTAGCCTCAAACTTCTTGGTTCTAGTGATCCTCTTGCCTCAGGCTCCCAAGTAGCTAGGACTATAGGTGTGTACCACCACACTCTGATAATTTTTTGATTTTTGTGGAGACAGTCTTGCTGTGTGGCTCAGGCTGGTCTCGAGTTCCTGGCCTCGAGCAATCCTCCCGCCTCAGCTTCCCAAAGCAACAACTTCGCCCAGGCTATTTTTGCTCATTTTTATTCTTGATGGACTTTTAATTTGCCAGTTTTCATTAGAAAATTTTTAGACTTTTTGATAGGGCTGTAGTCAAGAGCATAACTGCAACTTTCTATGTGGTCCAATTCTAAATCAATTTTTGTACATGTTTCATGGGCGCTGAAAAATAGAGTATGTTTCTGTTTTCATATGTATCGTCAATGTATTTATTAAATTAATTTAATTATGTTGTAATGATATAATGAAGAGTCATTATCCAGATTAGTAATTACATTAATACAATTATTTAGCTTTTTCTCTATTTTTTGGCTGTTTGACCTGATGAAGACAATTTGTTTATTAAAGAATTATCCTAATATAATTTTTTCTTATGAATTTCTTCTTGTATTTCAGTTTTAGCTTTATACATATTTTAGTACACTATAACTTGTTTCATGGAATTTATGAGAATTATATATTCACTATCAATTTTACTGCTTTCCAATATAAAATTATTGGGTAAGTACCACTAAATGGTATTTACCACTGTCTTTCTACAAATTTACAATATCTTGTGTGTATCTCTGTGTGTGAACATATTATATTCTCATTGTTAAAAACTCAACCAGACCAAAGCATTAAAATCTCCCCAAATCTACTTCTGATGTTTTAGTGAATCCCTTTTATATATTCTATTGGGTGTGTGTGCACATGAACACACACATTCACAATTTGCCGTGGGATCATTCTGTGCATGCTGTTGTGATAGTCTACATTTTTTTCCCACTTACAAATATGTCATGGTCACCTTTCTGTTGCAATAAACATAAAGTTGAATAACCATTTTAAATGAAGTTCTCAGTTCAAAATGTTTACACTTTTCATCAGACCAAGAAATTAGGTTTTTGCCCTTATATATTTATTTTACTTTGCTTTAGGTACAGTATTTTGTTTTTTTGACCCGAGTTTATAGTTTCAAAATTTTTAATAGAGGAGATTAATGTAATTGTTATAATTATTATATTTGCTCTTATTTCTGGCATATCAGCATTTTCTACTTGAAAGATGCTATGTTGCTCTTTCCTTTATGTTTTCTTTTTTGGTATATAGATTATATTTTCTTTTAAGTTTTATTTTATTTTTAATTGACAAATAATAGTACATATTTATGGGGTATAATGTCATATTTCAATGCATGTATATATTGTATAATGATCAAATCAGGGTAATTAGCAAATCTTTCACCTCAAACATTGATCCTTTCATTGTGGTTAGAACATTCAGCATCCTCTTGTGTAGCTATTTGAAATATACAATGAATTATTGTTAACCACAATCACCCTACTGTGCAATAGAACACCAGGACTTATTCCTCCTATCTAAGTGCAACTTTGTACCTGTTGACCGACCTTTCCCCATCCTCCCTCCCTGGGCTATATTTTCTTTACCTTTTATCTTTTCTAATGTTTGGAAGACATATATTCTAGTGGTAGTTATTTTTAATTTTTCAAAAATGTTCTTTGATTGGCCTTTTCAGATTGTGAGAGTCACTTGTGAAATGGCACCTCTGGTGATAAAGTGTTGAACACACTCTGTCATCCTTCCTACTTGCTACGCTATGTTAGTGTATTTGATTTTGGCTTTTCTATCTGATCAGTTTTTATATTTGAGTTTGGTTTTTCAAACAGCTTTATTGAGGCATAATTTGCAATAAAATAAATTCCTCTTAAGTATACAATTCAATGATTTTTAGTAAATTTTCAGAATTGTGCCACTCCCACCACTATCTAATTTTAGAACATTTCTCTCACTCCCCAAAGAATCCTCACTCCAGTTTTTATTGAGTCCTCTTTTATATCCAGCTTTCTGCCAATTGTTTATCTTTTAAAACTAGTTTTATTTTTCATTATCGGTTACTTTGTGCCCTTTCTGGACAACAAATTCAAGAAGCTTTCTGGAAGCTCCTGTGTGTCTTAAGAGCTTGTGTATCTGAACATCCCTTTTCAACATGGCAGATACATGAAAAATTACTGGATCATAACTTTTTTCTTCTTCAAAATGCTATAGGCATTGAGACAGCATCGCCTTGGAGCTAGTCCAGCACTGGAGAAGTCTGAAGCCTGACTAATTTTCATATTTGCTAGGCAACCTGGTTTATTTGCCTTGGTGCTTATAGGTTTTTAAATTAAATTTTATTTTAAACTTATCCTTGTAAATAGTTTGTAAGCATGTGAGTAGATGTGAATCTCTTCTAATGGATTTTTCAGAAAACTAAAGGCCCATTTGATCTGCTTATGCAGTTTGTCTTTAGGTGAGGAAGAATTTCTTCTACTGTATCTTTGATTATTACTTTTTTTCCATTTATTCTGAGTTCTCCTTGAGGAACACTCATTTTTCTCATATTGACTTTCCAGTCTTTGTCTTCCACAACTAGAGTCATTTTAATTTCCAGTTCTTTCCCTCTATATTCTACTAGAACTTGGAGAGTCTGTTTTCCACACCACTAAATAGATTTTCTATAGCATCAGTTTGGTTCTAAACCTGTTTCCAATATGTATATTACTTCTGTAATCACATTATCTTCTTGGAATCCTTCCTTCTCTCCTGCATTTTTTTTTTTTTGGCAACTCGTTGTGTTTAATTTCCATCTGCCCGTGTTTCAGCTTCTTTTTTTTTTGCTATATAATCCAATTCCCTTTTCACACTTGTGGCATATTGGTATGCACTGCTCCCAGTCCAGTTTCCTGTTTCCATTAGGACATCACCGGTGTGTCCTGCTCTAATGAAGTGGCACCTTCTATCTCCTCCCACTGCCTGATTCTCTGGTACTCTGAACATGGACAAGCCAATTTCCAGTACGTGTTGTTATTAGGGTTCATCGTGATGGTATATTGCCTTTATCTAAGACAAATGTGTTGTGCTACCATCAAGTCTCTTCTTACCCACATTAGTGTTATATTTTCTAGAATTTGTGGTTTCTGCTTAGATTTGGAAGAGGTGGAGATAGAGTTAGGGATGAGGATAGGAGAACAGACATGAAGCTGAGGAATGAAAGAGGAGGTTTGAAGCATCTTTCTCTTTCTTCCTTTTGTCTGGTGACCTCTGTTTTATTCATCGAAGCCAGACTACATCAAGAGCTGAAGTCTCAGCTGCTGGTGTTTTAATTTAGTCCTGTCAGTTGCTCCCAGGTTCTAGTATTAGACTATGATCAATTTTAGTTCTGTTATTATTTTTAAAAATCTTTTTCTATGTTTTTGTTGCCATTTATCAGAAGTATCTGCTTTAGGATTTGTGGCTTTATACCATTTTGGGCCAGATCCATCATATCTCATTTTACAAAGCTTCTGTAAAAATTTCTAAATGCCCATTGGCAATTTGAGAAGACTTAATAAAAGTGGGTTTATAGAAGATTAAAGAAACTATTCATGTATGAGTAGTGTCATATGTTGCTTATTGTTGGAAAACTTAGCATGCATACAGATTTTTTTGTTTTTGTTTTTTGAGGCAGGGTCTTGCTCCATCACCCAGGCTAGAGTGCAGTGGCATGATCATGGCTCAAGCCCATCACGACCTCCCAAGCTCAGGTGATTCTCCCACTTCAGCCTCCTGGATAGCTAGGACCGCAGGTGTGCACAACCATGCCTGGCTAATTTTTGTATTTTTTGTAGAGATGGGGTTTTGCCATGTTGTCCAGGCTGGTAACTCCTGGGCTCAAGCGATCTGCCTGCTTTAGTCTCCCAAAGTGCTGGGATTACAGGCATGAGCCACTGTGCCTGTGCTGCATGCAGCTTTTGCGTGATATGGGGTATAGGGATTTTTTCCCCCTTATGAATGAGTCTAAGAACAGAGTAGTACACAACTGTCTCATAAAAGCCAGGATTTTGTTCTTTCTGTCTTATAAAAACCTTAATTTCCAGTTATTTCTCCAGTTGGTGGTAGTAGTGATCATAGTAACAGTAACTGATATGTATTGAGTGGTTCTTGTGGACCGGGTGCTATGTCACACCTTCACAGGCTCATTTAATCCTCACAACATCCCTGTGAGATAGTTATTATTATTATTATTATTTCCATGGAAAAGATTAAACAACTTTCTTAAGATCACAGAGCTCACAAGTGGCGAGCCAGGGTTGGAATCCAAGCTCTGTGGTTTCAGAGCTGCAACACCTGATCATCACGCAGAACAGTCTTGCAAAGAGCTGCCTTTCTTGCAGTCACCCAGCCCCACTCCTAGATCCTCAGGTTCCATTCAATCTCTAAACTATAGGATTTAATCAAACTGTTTGATCTTGGGTTGAAATGCCTCTTATTTGTGCTAACATGAGAGCTGAAGGAGATGTTGTATGTTTGGGAAGTTTAAACGTTTTTTTCTTCCTTGTTTTCTGAGTCATGATTACATACCAATTAATATCTAGGTAGGAAGAAATGCACACTCATTCAAATCCTGTTTATGCTTGTTTTTGTCACTTCTAATACCTATTTCTTCTCTTTGCCTCAGTTTGCTTTGTTGTAAAATTGGGCTGACAAATAGTACCTATTTCTTAGAGTTATAGTGAAAATTAAAGAGCTAATACATGTTAAGTATTTATAGCAGTGCTTGGTATATGGTAAATAATCAACAAAAATAGTTATTGTTGATATTATCAGGAATAGTATTGTAATACAATTTTCTGCTTACACTATGGCCATTTATACCCAAAGTAAATGAAAATATGTTTGCATTTTCATAAATTGGATATTGAGTTTTATCTATCTTGCAGTTCATAATTAAAGTATGCCAACTCGATAAGCTGGTATCTACAGTTACAGGGTCATACTAAGTGAGCATGCTTCTGTATTATGTCATCCTGTTAATGAATTTTCTGGATGTTTTCAGCAATGGGAATGATATCTTGTCTTAGACATTCAGTTAAACAGAAGAACAAGTGATTCATCAACTCTGTGTGGTCGTGGGGTTTGGGAGTGTGTGCATAAATGAACCACAAGGGGAACTACACATTCACTTAATTTCATTGCCCTTGTGCAACCACAACCCATTTCCAGGACCTGTTTGCAGGTGCAACCTGAAAGACTTAAGGCTTTTTTTTTTTGGTTTTATTTTTTTTTCCCTGATGTTCCTGCTAACTTTCAGGTAGGGGAGGTCTTAGACAGAGGCTGGATATGGAAAGGAGGTGGAGCTGTTTTCCTGCTGCTGGTATTTGTTTGATGTCAAACTCTTCCCTAAAATGTGCTTTTATGTTCACTGGCTTCTCACTTTTTGTTCAGCAAGATTTACTGAGAAAGTGCAAAGTATAGGCCATGGAGAGAGTGGTCACTGGTGTGAGTGACTATGCAGGTGATGTGCCTACAAGCTCATCAGGAGCCTGCTTGGCTCATCAGGGCCACTGATGTCAGTAGGGGCTGGGTGTGGGCATCCTGCAGAGAAGTTTTTATTCAGAAGTTTTTTTTTTTCCTCATTAGCTTGGAAATACATGTCAAAGTGTTCGAGGTCTTATCTGATGACATGTGTGAGCTTAGTTTCTTTGCTAGCAGTAGAAAAGGCATCTATATAAAAGAGAACATTTTTACATAGAACTGCAGCATCTTTAGGGGAAGCCCCTGTAGATTTTGGGTAAAAAGTTCTGGGTTTTAGTCCTAGATATGCAACCCTAACTGTGTGACTTCAAGCAATAATCTCTCCAATCAGGACCTAAATTCTTTATTTATAAAAAAGAGGAAATTTAATTTGATCAGTGTGTTCTAGATGGTTCTGCAGAAACTTAGCGACTTGTAGAGTTGCTTTAGAAATTGGGCAAACATTTGATTCAAACATCAGTCATGAAATATATTTGTACTTAAAAACATTATATGCATGTCCTTGTTTTATGAACCATATCAATTTTCTTAAGCACGTTAGCAAATTGTAAACACGTTAATTTATGTTGCAGGATGAGCTATTTTTCTGATTCATCTTGGAATAAAGCTTCTCCTATGATTTCAGTTTCTTTGAAAAGTATCCTGAGATTGCAGGGTGAGTGGTGAAGCTCATCCCTACTTTCAAGTTTGTCCCTACTTACCAATCAGAAGTTTCTCGATTCTGTGTAACTAACACACATCAGAGAAATACAATGGATGCTGAAGCTGATCTAGTCATAACAGTCCTTAAACCCTGATTTAAAATTTTTCACATCCAACAAACCATCTAATTGGTCTCACAGACCCACTTCATAATATGAAAGTTTTCACTTGAAAAATAAACTATCTATTAGGTGCGGTGGCTCACACTTGTAATCGCAGCATTTTGGGAGGCTGAGGTGGGAGGATCCCTTGAACCTAGGAGTTGAGACCAGCCTGGGCAACATATGGAGAACCTATTTCTTAAGAAAAAAAAAAAAAAAGGCCAGACATGCTGGTGCACACCTGTGGTCCCAGCTACTGGGGAGGCTGAAGTAGGAGGATCATTTGAGCTCAGGAGTTCAAGGCTGCAGTGAGCTGTGATCATGCCACTGCACTCTAGCTTAGCTGACAGAGCAAGAGCCCGTCTCAAAAAAAAAAAAAAAATTAAAAAACTATCCTAAATAAATGCCATTATATCCATATTGGGGTTCTGTGTAAAATTTCATTTGAATGAAATGTTCTACTGCTAAAAATGTTTGAGAGGTTATACTAGATGTTTCTAAGACCCCTTCTAGTTCTAGAACTCTCTTAAGATTTAACTATCTTCAAGCTTTCCTGCTGTCCTCTGGTGTATGTTTCTGCCCAAGCAATCCTCCATTCTCCACTTTTGTAATGAGAATGACACTCAAGTCATGCTTTGAGATCTCTGGAAAAGATGCAGCAGCGAGATTGTTATTCTAACTGCATTGTTCTCAGGAACCCAACAAGGTAGGGGAACAATTTAACCTCAAGCACAATTTAAAAATCATCAGTGTTTTTAAATTTAAAACACTTTTACATTTGATTTCTCTGAACGAGGCTGCCACATTTATGGTGTTGACACAACTGATTTTGGTGATGAGTCAGTTGGCATCATGCTGACTATAGACACACCTATAGCTGCGGTACCCCCACAAATCGGTGTACAAGTCTTTGAAGGCAAAATTCAAACTTTACCCTCTGGTTCTCATGGACCTCCTCTTCTGAAAACCCCCATGCTCATCTGTCCTGCCACCTGAGCCCTGAAGTGAATACTGTCTCCCTAACAAACAAATGCAAGGAACCATGAAGGAAGTCCAGTGGGGTCTGAAATTGAGTTCCAGTTCCCCTTACTGTGATAACCCTATGTCTACTGTGGCTAAAGAAATAGTGGGATGACTGTCCTTTGGGGTAGCCCAGCCATACTTTTACTTCAGAAGTGCTGTAATTACAGGAAGTTCTTGGTTTATGTTAATACATTTGCTCAAAGCACAGGACCAAGACTTTTTCAATTCATTTTAATGGACATCTTTGCTTTTCTCTAATATGCTTTGCAAAATGCTGGCTGCCTATTTCCCTGGTTCAGGGGACTGATATGAGAGGCTGAACACTACTGTCTTCCCTCTCACCGGGGCACTCTTTGTCCTATGTCTGTCATTGTGAAGATTGTAACTACTCTTCTTTTTTGTAACTAATATTATTTGAGTGCTGTGCTAGAAGTCACCTCCCGGGTATGCCCTAGCTGAAATAGATTTCTTCATCACCAGTAGCTAGAGCACTTCTTTAACAACCTGAAACACCGTCACCTCCATCTCCATTTCAAAGCCAGTGCTATAGAGGTTGATAATTATTCCATACCCCGTATCATAGGGTTAACTAAGCATATGGTAGATGCTTAATAAATACTTGTTAATATTATAGTATAGACCCATTTCTTTTTGCTCAATGCATTCTTTTCCTTTGTCACATTCAATATTTATACACAATAAGAATAGCTCTGCAATTCTCAGCTTTTGTTTTCCAGTTCATTGCTTAATGGTGGCAATATGGCTGCCTCAGCAGTTATTTCCTCAAATCTCATTGACTAGAACTGGGTCACATGCACACTCCTAAATCAATCACTGGCTTAGTGGAAGGGGGTGTCACTATTGAGTTAGAACAATCGTTAAGTCATTTCATGGGACTGGGTCCATTGCACCCAAACATAGAATTCTGTTTGCTAGTCTTTGAAGGGAGAATGGCTGTTGATTAGATAGCCAAGAGTGACACGGGCAACTTAATTTTTAATATTTTGCTGGTCAAAAGTCAAAGTTTTTACAGCGTAATAAATCTCACTGAAGGCAATAAACATTGGCTTTGAGACTCTATTGATTTGTGCAAATGAATGTTTAGAGTTTCCAGAATTCACTTAAGTGGGAGAACGACATCTTCATTAGTTCAATGAGACGTCACTTTTTTTCTGAAATTCCCTTGTGGGACAAATGGATATATATGTACATGATCTAGTCTGGTAGGATGGTTGGAATGTTTGTCCTAGACGTTTGAGGATTTAATCATTTCTTAGGCCAGCTGCATTTCCCAGCACAGGCCAGTCAAGCTGGGTTGCAAGGGCTACCACTGAGTCTGGGCCTCAGCCTGTTGGCTGTGCCTCCTCACTATTCACTGCGGGCCCCATTGCAGTTTCACCCTCCTGATTAGTTTTCATTTCTCTGGCTGATCACACAAGGCATCTTAAGATTCAAGGTCTACAGGTGCTACACTGTCCAATCTACCGACCCAAGTTAATGAGCTTCTTCATTTCTCAGGCAACGTCCTTCCAAGGCTGAGCTGCTGCTGCAAAGAACAAGTGAGACAAAGTGGAGGTGACTTATTGGCATTTGTTGTAACTAACCCAATGGCAGAAAAAACGGGTTGCAACACCCCAGGAGTTCCTAAGCAAGACAGCCCAGTTTATCTCCCCAAAGTCTTCCCTTCATGGCATCTTCCTGTATTTGCAGCAAAAAGTCCTGCTGCATGTCTCTGTGGATGTTCTCCAAGGTGGAGTAGAGAGATCACAAGGCTGCCCCTCTGGCTCATGTTCATTTTCTTTGCAAACATTTGCCCCATGTGTTATTATTATTATCATAATGTGGAGGCCCTGTTGCTAAGACTGAGAGGGATGGTGCAAAACCTGTAACAGGTGTGTGAACTTCGTCCTGTTTTGTCTGTTTGTCAATAAGTTCTTCTGGGGCTGTGAGTTTTCTACATTTTCACAAGAACGTTACTTAATTTCTACTAACTAATCTGCTACTATATCTTCTTCCAATATAGTAGATTTCCTTCTAGTAAAAACTACCCACTCACAGCATTATTCCTATTTTGGATATGATCGTGTTCCTGGGTTAAATATTCTTATTTTTAAACTTTTTCTCCCCTACACTTCTCTTTAAGAAATGATACCTCTTATTGTTTATCTGTTCTAGAATAGCGTGGCATTACATCTTCATATGAAATTATCTAAAGGAAATAATATGTATCTAATTTAGCACAATAATATGTGCTGAAGTTAAAAAACAAACAAAAAGCAAAACTCTTTCCACTGGCTCCATCCCTGTCAAGTAGATTAGACTGTCCAGAAGACTTGCCCAAGGTGGCTGACATTGTGGAACAATTCTCAAAAGTTATCTGATTTAACCCTCAGCAGAGCCCTGTTTGTTTGTTTGTTGTTGTTGTCGTTTTGAGATAGAGTCTCGCTCTGTCACCCAGGCTGGAGTGCAATGGTGCTATCTCTGCTCACTGCAACCTCTGCCTCCTGGGTTCAAGTGATTCTCCAGCCTCAGCCTCCTGAGTAGCTGGGATTACAGGCTCCCGTCACCATGCCTGGCTAATTTTTTTTTTTTCTTTTTTTAGTAGAGACGGGGTTTCACCATGTTGGTCAGACTGGTCTCAAACTCCTGACCTCAGGTGATCTGCCTGCCTCGGCCTCCCAAAGTGCTGGGATTACAGGCGTGAGCCACTGTGCCTGGTCACAGAGTCCTCTTTGTATGTCCATTTTGCATTGGAGGAAACAGAGGCACAAGGTGGTTAAGCTGCTAAATGGCAAAGCTGGAATTTGCATCTGGATCCCACGTGCTCCAGAGCCCTCTGCACTGTGTATCCTCATGCCCCAAGAGATCCCATCCCCAGATCTCTAGGGTCACAGCATCCAGCCCCTGTCCGTAGGCTTGGGGCGCCTTGGGCCTCTAGGCCAGCCATTATCTTCTTCACTATTCCTAACCAGCTCCTTACACGTAGAGTTTCAACTTGTCCTGTACAAAGTCCTTTCCTCACAGCAAGCCACTGGAAACCAACCTCCTTTTCTAACGGTCTTTGGGGTGCCTTGATGGGTGGAGTGGTCACATTTGAAATTAGCTTGACTTCCTGAGAAGCCTTTTATATTTTTCTATTCTTGACTGATTGTGTATATATATTCTTACACAATCATCTAGAGAAAAAGCATTTTCTTGGGCCTTATAACCTCTTGCAGATTTTTCCTTTTATATCACCCAGTGCTACTTGTTTATTGTAAAAAGAGAAAAAAAAAAAGAAAGAAGGAAAGAAAACACAGTTGCGCCAAAAGAAAAATAAATGAAATCACTCTAAATTTCACCACCTAGAGAGAAATACTGTCGGATTTTGGAGTATATTATTTTAGATTTTTTTTTACAAAGCAAACACTTGCATGTAAAATAGAACTATAATATACATATTATTTTATACTCTGTTTTAAAATCCTTAACTTTTCAATTGGGTGCCCTACTTTTATCACTTAACAATACCACACCTGTAATCCCAGCATTTTGGGAGGCCAAGGTAGGAGAATTGCTTGAGGCCAGGAGTTTGAGACTGGCCTAGTCAACATAGCAAGACCCCATCTCTACAAAAAATAAAAAAAAATTAGCCAGACATGGTGTTGCATGCATGTAGTCCTAGCTACTCGGGAGGTTGAGGTGGAAGGATTCTTTGAGCCCAAGAGTTCAAGCTTGCAGTGAGCTAGGACTACACCATTGCACTCCAGCCTGGGCAACAGAGTGAGATGCTGTCTCTTAAAAAACAAACAGGCCGGGCACGGTGGCTCATGCCTGTAATCCCAGCACTTTGGGAGGCCGAGGCGGACAGATCATGAGGCCAGGAGTTTGAGACCAGCCTGGTTAATATGGTGAAACCCCGTCTCTACTAAAAATACAAAAATTAGATGGGCATGGTGGCATGTGCCTGTAGTCCCAGCTACTCAGAAGGCTAAGGCAGAAGAATCGCTTGAACCCGGGAGGCAGAGGTTGCAGTGAGCCGAGACTGTGCCACTGAACTCTTGCCTGGGTGACAGAGCGAGACTCCATCTAAAAAGAAAAAACCAAAAAACCGAAAAACGAAACAAAACAAAACAAAAACATCAAAAAAATATATCCTACACTCCCTGCCATATGCATATATACAGATTCACATCATCATTTTTAAGAGGTGTACATTATTCCAGTATAAACTTATTACTGGTTATTTTAGCCAAGGTTTTGCTACTCATAAATGTGGTCGGTGGATACTGGTCTCACCTAGAAGCTTGTTAGAAATGCAGCATCTCACCCCCCCTGGCTCAGAATCTGCTGTTTTCACAACATCCTCAGGTGGCTCATGTCACATTAAAGTGTGAGAAGCACTGGTTTAAGGCAGTCTTCATTGAGCAACATTGAGGTTGCTTCCTGTATTTTAACTATAAACAACACTATGGTGAACATTTAGTGGGCATCTTTAAGAAGGCCTCTGTGCTGCTACTGCCACAGCTGTTGTGACAACATGAATTCAGTTTGAGCGACTTGAGTTTTATAGCTCACTGCCTCTTTCAGGTCTCATGGTAAAGACTTTGTAAATTGTGAGAGGTTCTTCTGTATTAGAAGAACTAATAACTTATTATCAGTTATTCTGGTAATAAATTAGCTATCTGGTCCCTTGATCTCTCTTGCCCCCTCCCTGGACAGCATTCAGGAATTCTTTCATATGCATGCATTTGAGGACCCAGGAAGAAAAGGGGTATGGGGATGTAAAGTTCAATGCTATTAGCTAGTGAAAAGAGGCATATTTTTTGGAATGTTACCTATTATCCTAACTGCAGCTAAAAACTATAATAAATTCATTTTTTCCCTTCCAGTGAAAGGCTGGAGCTCAAATCATTGATTTTAAAAACAACCTAATGAATTTCACCGTAGGCAATTTTCCCTCATTTTCTCTTTGAGCCTCTCTGTGGGAGATCAAGCTCATTAGTCTCTATTTTCTATTTTACATTTATTCAGTTAACAAATATTTATTGTGCATCAGCAGCCTTAAATCTCTTTTGGAACAAGGTAAGGTAGAAATAAGTAAGTACAGAGCCCTTACTTTGTCTTTCTTGTGTCTTTATGTGCTATGCTTTATATATATTCAATCCTCCTATCATTCCAGAAAGAAAGGTATCATTAGTCTCATTTTCTAGTAGAGAAACTGAGGCGGGAGATGTGGGTGATTTGCTCACAGCCAAGGGGTCAGTAAGCGATGGGGCCAACACAGCAGTTAAACCCAGGTCTGACTCCAAGTCCTGCCCCTGTAGTCACCAGACCACAATGAGCAAGACACCTTCTTGAGCCTTTTGGAAAATGCAGCAATGAACCATTCAGAAACTTCAAGACTGAACTGAACTTCAATTCCTGACATCAGGACTTAGGCTAAGTATCTTGGAGCTGGGCCTAGGAATGGACCTCCACATTTGGGTTCCAGGCCTGGTGTGACCCGCATGGCTGGTGGGTAACCCCCGACGTTGCCCTATGACCACTGCACCTAGTGGCTGATCCTGTTAGCAGTGCCAGCCTGACTTTTCCTTCACCAAAGATCACGAGTGTCACTTTCAGCACAGTCGTCCTCATTAAGCTTCTCTGAGCCTGTTTCCAATTCCGTAAAATGGGGAGAATAATCCCCAATTCCTAGGAGGGCTGTGATTATCATAAAGAATAATCCCTGTAAAGTGCCTGTATGCTCCATGGATGGAGGGGTCATAACTGTGGTTTGTGTCTGAGGCATGCATGGCCTTGGCTGGACAGAGAAATGAGGCAGTGACTGGGAGAAAAAGAAGTCATTTCTGAGGGGGTTTCATCTCATTGTGATGTTCCATGCCTTCCCTGTCACTGCCAGGGGTGCTAGAGAAGAGACTTACTTTCAGATGGTTGGGGTACTGTCATTTGCTGGGCTGTTAGAGAGAGAGAGAGAGAGAGAGAGAGAGAGAGAGAGAGTGTGTGTGTGTGTGAGAGAGAGAGAAAGAGGCTGCATTTTCTGTAGTTTGAGGGAAAGACCTCACTTCTGCCTTCTTCCAGAAGCCCTCCTTGGCCCCAGTGCTTGATGGGTCACCCCCTTCTACCTGACTCCACTTTCTTCATCTGTTCCTTACGTGGACGTGCCCCCTCTTTTCACTCCACATGTTCTGACTGTTCCCATTCCTTCCGAGGTGTTTGTGCCACCTGTGCGCCACAGATTCCTGGAGACATCTCCCAAACTCCAGAGCCATGGCCTGTGGGACAGCTCCACCCAGTGTCCCTTAGACGTGCTTCCTCTCTGCCCTTAGGTTAAAATCCCCTAACCTCAGCCTGCCAGGGGGCCTTTGCATTCCTTTCTGACCCGGTCTCCTTGCACTCAGCCTTGCTCAGGGTCGGGTCTCTAACGACAGGGAGGGTCATTGGCCAGGGGCCGCCGCTGCTCAGGGCTTTGGGTCGAGGCCCCGCCTATCAGGGCTTGGCCAGGTGGCAGGGAAACTGAGGCAGGCGAGTCCCTGGGACACTCTGAACTCCTCTGACTGCTGACTTTGCTCCCAGACGGCCTTGCTGGACCGTGAGAATGCCGGGTGGTCTAGGGGGCTTCCACCCAATCTTCTCTTCCTCTCCCTCTTCCAGCCTCTCCAGCGCACCCCCCCACCCCGCCCCCGCCACTTTATTTGCAGGCATTGCAGCTCTGAAATCTTTGCACATTTAATCCCATCTTGGCATCTGAGGACCGAGGCTAAGACACTCTTGTTGGAGCTCATTTGCACTCTGTCTTTGCACTGCCCCCTGCCTTGAGTGTTCATCCTCACCGCCAGCTCCAGCTCCTGGTTCAGGTCTCTGTTTAAGGGCCAGAACCTCAGAGAGGCCTGCACTGACCATTCTGTCTGAAGAAGTCCAACCCTTACCCCTGGCCCCAGACCTTATCTATCACATCATGGATTTTAATTCATTCATAGCTTATCTGAATTATTTTTATTTGCCAAACTTGTATTTTGTTGTTTATTCCTCTCCCTCACCCATCAATTAGCATGTAATCGCCGAAGGAAAGGCTTTTTATTTTTTTTTGACGGAGTCTCACTCTGTTGCCAGGCTGGAGTGCAGTGGTGTGATCTCGGCTCACCACAACCTCTGCCTCCCGTGTTCAAGCGATTCTCCTGCCTCAGCCTCCCGACTAGCTGGGACTACAGGACAGGGATTTTGTCCCACTTGTTCTCAACTGGGTTCCAGGGCTTATGGCAGGCTCTCAAAAGGCGATTTCTTTTTTTCTTTTCTTTTTTTTTTGAGACGGAGTCTTGCTCTGTCGCCCAGGCTGGAGTGCAGTGGCGCGATCTCGGCTCACTGCAAGCTGTACCTCCCAGGTTCACGCCATTCTCCTGCCTCAGCTTCCTGAGTAGCTGAGACTACAGGCACCTGCCACCACACCCAGCTAATTTTTTTTTTATTTTTATTTTTAGTAGAGATGGGGTTTCACCATGTTGGCCAGGATGGTCTCGATCTCCTGACCTCATGATCTGCCTGCCTCGGCCTCTCAAAGTGCTGGGATTACAGGCGTGAGCCACCGCGCCCGGCCACCTTTGCTTCTCTTGATCATCTTCCTTGGTATTATTCTCCTTCCCTCTTACCCCCACCTGACCTCCCACCTTGTAGGGGAGGTCTTCCAGATGTTCCCACAAATTCATTAGGAGCTTGTCCAAATACCACCTCTTTCATGCAGCCTTCCCTGATTGCTCCATTGGAAGTGATGTCTTCCTTCTGTGAACATGCGTAATACCAAGTGTTCTTCATTTCTGACAGCTACCAATCTGACACACTGTAAAGCTATTTGGATACGTATATGTCTCTGTTGGTCAGGATTCTTTTGGTTGCAAGTAACAAGGGCTAAACTCAACTGATTTTGGTGAAAAACCTAATTTCTTGACTCATGAAACAGAAAGAAACTAAAAAGTAGCCTAGCTTTGGCATAGTTGGATTTAGTGGCTCAAATTATGCCCTCAACGTTTGTTCCCTGTCTCTCTTTTTCTATCTGTTGGCTCTACTTTCTTTTGTGTTGGCTTTACTCTCAGGCAAACCCTGTCTATATAGTGGCGTCCATTACATTGCCCTTAAAAGAGAAAGAACATTTTTCTCTTCCTGTTATTCCAGCTTTAAGTCTATGACACAGTCCTATTGGCCTGAATTGGATCATGTGCCCATCCTTGAACCAATCACTATGGCTGGGGGACAGTTGGATGCATGCATTGGCCAGGTTTAAATCAGGTGGCCACCCCTGGAGCCGAAGGATAGAGCAGCTTCACTCAAACCTCATCAACTGAGAGAGATTGTATGTGCACTGCCCAAGATTGCTCATTACATGTTAGTAGCATTATAAATATCTGGGCTAAGGGGTAGTGAGACAGCACAAGGTGCTAGTGAAATAAATTCCCTTCCCTTTTGCTACTTTCTTGCTAAGGTTGCTCTCTCTGGAGTGGCCACTCTGTCTGTTTTGTTAACTGCTTGAACCCATTACTACCCTTAATTTTATATTTCTGAGTGAGTTCTATCACAAACTGGACTGTTGCCATTGCTTCTTGGCAAAGCCATCTCAGATTCCAAAGGGAAATGTAATTTGGCTTAAAAGACAATAGAGGACATTGTAGTGTGAAACTGGGGGAACAAAAAAGGATCTGTTTGGGCATTTTGGAAAAGCCTTCTTGAAAAGGAAAGGAGAAGTGCAAGAGGCTCCTCAGTAGAACTTTCGCTAGGCCATATGGTTGGTTGTTTTCTGGCTCCATGATAGGCTCAGACAATGTGGAGGCATGGGACATCTTGATTCATCACTCCAGGACAGATAGAAGAAAGGGTCAATGTGGGCACCGAATCCAGTGAATCTGTTTGGATAATTGCTAGTGGCCTTCATCAGCCACTACTTGAGCATTCCACATGGGCTGCATTCAACCGAAGTTCTGGATGGCACAGAGTATTCCTGCATGATGTCTCCCATCCCAGTGGACACTCAGTTTGATGAATAGACCTAACACTTGGATCCATTTTGGAGAGAACCAGAAGCTAGCCATGAAAATAGCAGAGTGTAAAAGGCATTGGTTTTTAAGTCAGATGGAACTAGGTTTACATTTCGGTGTAGTCGCTTGGTAGATGTGTGACTCTGAGCATATTAACTAATCCCTCAATCTATAAAAGGCAATAAGAATACCTACCTCAAAGAGCGGCCATAAAGGGTCATTGAGATAATGTATATGAAGGGCTTGGCTATATTAATAGTAGGTGCTTGATAAATATTGGGTTCTGTTCCTTCTTTGATAAATACCTATAACATTATCTTGCATAACTCCTCTACTTAAAATCTTCAGCACCTGTCATTGTTTTAGGAATTCTCTATCTAGTGATTCTCAATTGTTTGAAATATAGAGGTACCAGCACCCTAGTGACCTGTAGAGCTTCTACAATCATAATTTTGCATCCATCGTGGTAAAGATCAGATCAGGCAAGAATCATCAATGGATATTCTATCTAAGGGGGTGGGTGGAATTTTCATGAAGGGTAGGATATTTGCATGGCCTTAAAGACTCTTGCAAGGGAGAAAATAAGACAGTGAAATATTGAGGAAAAATCTGACAGTACCTTGACCAGGTGATCAAAATGAGAATTACTTATGAGAGACTGATATTGTGTGCCTCTAGATGTGAGGCCCCAGAAGGAAACATTGTTTATGCTGAGTTCTGGCTGAGAATACAAAACCTCAATCTAATCACAAGGAAACATCAGTCACACATAAAATGAGGAACATTCTCTTATAAAAAAAGTGTTGGGGGGAGGGTGTATTCTTAAAAAAATCTCAATGTCATAAAAGACAAGAATAGGCTGTTGGAAATGCTCCTGATTACATAGGGCTAAAGAGGCATGACAATTAAATGCAATTCCTGACCATAGACTGGATTCTGCCTGGAGAAAAAAATACTATAAAGGACATTATTAGATCAGTTGACAAAACTGGAGTGTGTATGGGAGATTAAAGTACTGTATCAGTGTAAATATAAGAGGTTGATAATTGTAGTATGCTATCTCTATTCTTAGGAAATAGAACCTTAAGTATTTAGGGGTAAAAGGCCATAATGTATGTAACTTATCTTAACATGGTTCAGAAAAATAAATAAAAATTAAATTAAATTTATTCACTACACACACACACACAGACACACAGACACACACACACACCCGCACATGTATATATGCAGGGGGAGGAGGGAGAAGGCAAGGGAGAGAAAAGCCAGTGAGGTAAAATGTTAATAGTAGGTGAATCTGCGTAAAGTGTATATGGATATCGTTTGTACCATTTTTGTTTTTGCAACTTTTTGTAAGTTAGAAATTACTTCCAAAAAAGTTTAAAACAATACATTGTGCTCTTTCTACCTTTCCTGCTCCCAGAGACCTGGGTTAGCAGGGATGTTGGGGTGATGGTCATGAATGGGGTGTGTTGAACACATTCCGGGAGATCCTCATATCACACCAGCTCCACCTGACTGAAAGGAGGAAACTGGACTCTGGTAATCACATTTGATATCTAAATTCATTAATTATAATTCAATGGTAATAAAACCAAGAATCTAAATTTTGTAGAGTCTTGAATGAAATGAACTTTGTAAGTGAGGACTAAAGTGGGAATAGAAGCCTTATGGGGCAAGGAGAGCCTTTAGGTAGAAGGTTTAGCCCCTACACCTAGGCCTTCAAGACATATCATCTGCCTTAATTTTCTAAAAATCAACTTTAATCTTATTCCAAAATACTATCCCCAAAAGTTGTCAGAAAGTTCAAAGAGTTGTTACGGGGGCTCCCCCTTCCCAAAGCTCACAGATGTCCTAGGAATCAGAGCAACACAGAGTGGGAGGGAGGGAAAGAAAACCCCAGCTGTGGCTCACTGGTTTACATTGGGTACCATGGACCTGCATGTCCCAGCTTGGCTCCCTGCAGTAGTGTTGGTGGCTTTGCTGCGTATCTGCCATAGTCAACACACACAGACCCTGTGTGCCAGATGTTCTCCCATGCTGGGGCCTCCTGCAGTCACCCCTGTGAGGTCCTGCCACCACCCTGCTACACGGCAGGCTGCACGGCAGTGCTCCTCAGAGGAACCTGTCTTCAGTTTGGAGTTCTTGCTCTCTGGGGGCTACGTCTCCTTTCTCTCCTTCAAAGGTAATCAGCACCCCCTGTTCCTTCCTCCCAGCACCTGCTCACTCACCAGCATAATTTTTTCATTGAGTTTAAGATTTTACAGAAGATAGGAGGGGGCCACAGACTTAGCTACCTGGTTATTTGCTTAGAATTGGGTATAAAGTGGAGGTGGGAATCACAGAGAACGAAATACAAATTAATGTCAAAAATTATTCTGGCATATAGCTTTTCATCTCCTGTGAATTGTTCAATTTAGAAATTAAAAAACTAAAAAATATTCCCATCCAGTGGGGGTGAATCAGGCAAAGTTCTACCCCTCTACCTGGTTTTTGATGGCTGTTTTTTCACCAGCCACTAGATGTCACATTAAAAAAAAAAAAAAAAAAAAAAAAAATCCCAAAGCAACCCCTGGTGTGAGCCATCCTTCTCAGGGTCAGCACACCATGTTTGTAAATATTTTGCTTTTCAGAATGGAAGGTTCAGGATAATTTTAGCCCATTAGTGTTTTTTCTCCTTAAGAACAATATTTTAAAACTGGTGGCATATTAAAAGAAAAATGTACGAAGTAGTGATATTGAACTGATGCTGAGAGAATGCATTATTTCAAAATGACTTATATCCACCAAAATGTCTGCCTAGCTTTTCTGATTCACATTGTTCTAACTATAACGTTTATAGACACTTCTGGGCAGGTTCAATGTAAAAATCAAAGTTGACTTAATTCCTGGCTTCTGATCTAAGAGGCCAACAGTGAACTCATACATCATTGATGGGAACTTTCTGACTTCTGTCAATCCCACTGTAAATCCCAATGGTTTCACCTTGCCCACTGCCTAGAGAGAACTGATTTATCAAGACGGGGAATTGCAATGGAGAAAGAGTAATTCACGCAGAGCTGGCTGTGCGAGAGACTGGAGTTTTATTATTACTCAAGTCAGTCTCCCTGAGCATTTGAGGATCAGAGTTTTTAAAGATAATTTGGCGGGTAGGGGCTTGGGAAGTGGGGAGTGCTGATTGGTCAGGTTGGAGATGGAATCATAGGGGGTTGAAGTGAGATTTTCTTGCTGTTTTCTGTTCCTGTAGGTGATGGCGGAACTGGTTTGGCTAGATTACTGGTCTGGGTGGTGTCAGCTGATCCATCAAGTGTGGGGGTCTGCAAAATATCTCAAGCACTGATCTTAGGTTTTACAAAAGTGATGTTACCTCCAGGAGCAATTTGGGGAGGTTCAGACTCTTGGAGCCAGAGGCTGCATGACCCCTCAACTGTAGTTTCTTTTCTTTTTTTTTTCTGAGACGAAGTCTCGCTCTGTTGCCCAGGCTGGAGAGCAGTGGTGCGATCTCAGCTCACTGCAACCTCCACCTCCCAGGTTCAAGCAATTCTCCTGCCTCAGCATCCTGAGTAGCTGGGATTACAGGCACCTGCCATCATGCCCAGCTAATTTTTGTATTTTTGTAGAGATGAGGTTTCACCATGTTGTCTTGAACTCCTGACCTCAGGTGATCCACCCACCTGGGCCTCCCAAAGTGCTGGGATTACAGGCATGAGCCACTGTGCCCGGCCAATTTCTAATCTTGTAGCTAATTTGTTAGTCTTGCAAAGGCAGACTGGTCCCCAGGCAAGAAGGGGGTCTTTTCGGGAAAGGGCTGTTATAAATTTTGTTTCAGAGTCAAACCATGAACTGAATTCCTTCCCAAAGTTAGTTCGGCCTATGCCCAGGAATGAACAAGGACAGCTTAAGGGTTAGAGGCAAGATAGATTTGGTTAGTTCTGATTTCTTTCACTGTCATAATTTCCTCAGTTATAATTTTGCAAAGTTGGTTTCACCACAGGGGCGAGGAAGGCGAGATCGCTCCACAGAGAAAACCCACAGAGGGCTGCCCTCCATGGACTGACCCCTCTGCTCATGAAACAAAGAATCAAAGTGAACAAATTTGAGGGCCATGTTTCACGGGGGCCTTTTCTGTGCCAGATGTTTCACACATACGTCATCTCACAGTGCTCAGGGCAGTCGTGAATACTAGAAATAATTACACATTCCTATTTTGCAAAAGTGAAAACTGAGAAAAGTTGAATAAGGTTTCCAGGGTCACAGAGCTGAGTGGTGGAGCCAGGCTTCAAGGCCTCTCCACTGTTGACTGATTTGCTCATTGACTTTTGGTGGGACTGCGTTCAGATAGTGCTCTTCACTTCATTGCCTCCCTCTGTGACTTTAACTCTCATTTTCGTAGACTTTCTGCTTTGAGTCAGAACCTGAAGCCAAAACCCTAAACACTGAAGTCTCCTCTGGTCAGGTGACCCCTATCAGTCCGCCTGGAAACAGGAAGAGCCTCGTAGCAGCCCTCTAGAGACTGGTTGGGCCCGGTCCTCAGAGTCTGATGACACCTGTTTGGGAACAGCCCAGTGTTTAGGTGGGACGAAGAATTTCTGGGCACCAAGCCATGGCTGGGTGAGAGAAAGGACCTGCTGCAGGTTTGTGCCGGGTGTTTACCTCATGTCACTTGATGGGTTCCTGTAGCTGGAGGTTTTGAGAAGTGAATGTGCAAAGTAAACCCATTCATCACCTGCTTGGGGGCAGGAGGGGCTCGTGGGGGTGACAGGTGGCCTCTGTGGGCAGTGTTCTCTTACTCCAGACTAATTGGGTCCATTTTGGCTTCTTTAGCAACATCATAGGGTAGAAAAATGATGACGTTAGCTCAAGGAATTTCTCTGGGGCTGGATGAGGAGAACAAATACAATCCTTCCTTAAGAGAAGTGATTTGTTTTGTTTCACTCCTTAAAATTTCAGCCCAGGGTAGTGAGAAACCCATGAGATTTTAAGCCAGAACTGGATTAGAGTCCCAGGAATGCCTCCTCATCCCAGATGAAGCCACAGAGGCTCTAAAGGGTTTGGGAACTTGCCCCAGCTCCCCCAGCTGGTGGGAGGCAGAGTCCAAATTTAATCCAGTTGCCCCACCTTCTTACTAGAGCAGAGACTTGCCGGGGCCCTGAGCACAGTGAGACATTTGTCCTGTACCTTTTGGGCACTTATTCAGCCATATTAGCATGTAAGTGGAAATTAAAGAAGAGCTGATGATGGAAGGGAGAGAGGAGAAGGAAGAAAAGAAGCTAGAGATAGAAAGCCTTGAGTTGGGGTCTCCGTGCTGCCCCTCCCCAACCTTGGCTCTTTCTTGCTCTCCATTCTGAGTATGGAAGAACAATTTATCAAAACTTATGTTTGGTAGGAGAAAAATGCTGACACCATCTCTTGTAGGTCTAGGGAGTTAGGAAACATACACCACGTGAAATGCCTAAAAATCAGGAATGTAAAAATGTCTTTCCAGTTAATAAACCTTTACTCATGTTCTACCATGTGCAATAACCCACCAATGTCCAAACCATGAAGTGATATGGGGGGACCCTACTGAGGACCTCCTCAGTCCTGGGCGCACCATGGACATTCCCTCTTTCAATCTTCCCAGCAGCTCCAAGAGGCAGATCCTATTGTTTCCAAGTCACACATGGGAAGACTGAGGCTCCAGGAGGGTGAGTGACTTGGGTCTTGCAGGCCTGGAAGGAGCTGGGCCTTTTGAAGGATTCCTTGAGGGTATGAAGAAAGATACCCTTGGGTAAAAGATACTTGGCTTGAGTAAAAAATCACAGAAGGCGGCAAGCTTAACCAAAATCAAGTTTCAGGAAGTTGGCTGCTGTTGCCTGCTGGGTTTCCTGGAGTTTCCATGTCTTAGCCAGTCCCTCTTTTTTCATTCATTGGCCTGGCTGTTTTGTTTTCTTTTTAACATGGTGATTCCTCAGGGACCCCATAGTCTTGAATTCCCATGGCTGGTACAGATTGTGCTGGGCATGTGCACAGCTTGTTAATGGAGAATTTGGCAGGGCGTGCCCTTGCCCTTGTCCCTCAGCACATCAGTCACCCCCACGTGCAGGGCCCAGCTCTCATGGGCAAGAAGGGAAGTGCATGGAATATGTGTTGGTGAGTGAGTCATTGTCTTTTTCCTGTATGGAAGATGCAAGTAATAGTCAACGCCAATATTGATACCAGATCCAATGCAGAGTTTCATCTCACAGCTTTGAATGCCTATAATGTGCTACACCTTTGGCTAGGATATAAGTTAATTCCGAGAAGTAGGTTTTATTATTCCCATCATATAATTGAAGACACATATAATCTAAGAGGTTAGGGAACTTACCCATGGTCCCCAGCTTGTGGGCAGCAGAGCCTAAATTCAAGTTCAGCTCCCCTGACTCTAAGTCAGTGTCCTTCTTAGAGCAGAAACCTGCCTTTGGCCCCAAGCGCAGTAAAGCATTTGTCTTGTACCTTTGGGGTACTATTCCATTCATCTGCTGCCCCTGGAAACTCTGCAGAGAAACCTGGTGTCTTTGAATTGGCCTGTTTGGCTCTTTGGAGATTATCCAATTTGCCTGAGCAGGTAGATGGATAGACAGCATGTAACCTGCTATGCCCATTTCCTTGGCTGCAGGACAGTCCCTGAGAGGGCTGGTCACTGCCTCTTTTGGACACATTGTCAGGAGTAATGAGGATATTTGGTTCTGCTCCCAGAGATAAAATGTGGCCATGCAAGTCAGAGAGCACCAGGCAGAGCCCTTGCTGGTGTCTGGTTGGCTGGGAGCAGCCCCCTCTTCTGGTGTTTAGCCTCACTAGGTTTGGACAATTGAAGTGATTGTGATCTTGAGTGGCTGCCTGCCGCCTAAGAGATAGCCACCACTTCTGTTTCATGATTGCTTAATAATTATAGTAGTAGTAGTAATAATAACAATAATAGCAATAATAATGGTAAACACTCAGAATAATTACAAGGTGCCAGGCATTGTTTTAAGCATTTTGTAAATATTAAGTCATTTAAATTTTCACAACAACATTTTAAAGTAGGTACAATCATTATCCACCCATTTTTATAGAGGATACTGAGGCACAAATAAGCCACATAATTTGGCCATGGTCAAACAGTAAATGAGGGAGCCAGGATTTGAATTCATGGAGTTGGTTCCTGGGACATCATTTAAACATCAGTTAGTCTTCATTGCGCCTTTGCTCTGTTCCAAGGACAGGCTTAGCTTTGGAATAGAGGTGAATAGAGATGAACCTGACGCAGGAAGCCAGGGCAATTTTTGGGCAGCACCACAGAAGTTGCCATTCCCCTTTCTCATTTGTTTTTTTTCTCCTTTCTCTGTCTAACTTCTTCAAAAATCTTATATTTACTTGTTCATCGTCTCAATCTTTCCTCATTTCTTGCACTGGTGTCTAGTCACTAATCATCAAACTTTGGTTGAGAGGCTTATCTGTGAGATCCTTGAGGTCAGAAACTGTGTGTCTGATAATCCTAGCAGCTGCCTGATGCATGAAATATGCTGGGCATATGCTTGTGGAATGCAGGGAGCAATGGATGGACAGATGGACTGATGAATTTCATCCCTGCTTCCCCGGGATCAACCTCAAAATGACCTTTTCTGGGGGCCTGCTCAAAGAAGGTAGAGACAAAACAAGAAGCTGAAACTAGGAGACTGGATTGGAAGTTGAAACAGTGGCACCCTATTATTGATTTGGAGTTCACAGAGCATTTTAATATAGCTTGTATTTAATCTTTATAATGATGCATATTGTAGGTAGAATAGATGTTATTGCCTCTGTCTTACAGATGAGGAAACTGGGGCCAACAGAAGAGGTGACTTGCCCAAGGCCACATTACTCTCTATTCAGTAATTCTCCCACTACTCCATGGGACTGATCAGACCCACAGCAGGGTGGGGGAACCTGGTGAACAGCTGAGAAATCCTGTGGCCAGATGAGGCTGAGTGGGCAACAGGAATCTGTTGGCTAGGCTGGTAGAGATGTTGGCAGAAGGAACTTGCTGCTTCTGGCGGAAAAACAGGCTCTCAGGGGAGCTGGCTGCCATTAGGCCCTTGCACTTATGCTTTGGAGGAAGGGGAGCTGGGGTGCGAATTCCAGGGCTTTGCCACCATACAACTGGCTCAGATGCCTGATTGCCTCCCTCTTGGGCCTACTACTCCAGTCACCTGATAGGACAGTGACACTTCCAGGGCTGCAGTGGGAGCCCCTGGTTTGTGGCTCCAAACAGGATGTTTATGCTAAACTTTTAGAAAACTCCATCAAACAAGCTGTTAATGTCATCTACGCACTTCAGAAAAAACTTCTGGGAGACATCTGTTTGCTAAAGTTCATATGTTCACATCCCCGAGGATTAATTTTTTTTGTGTGAAGCTTGCCTTAGGTGAAGTGGCAAAACACACTGGAACTAGTTCAGGCAATTCCTGTGAAATGCTTTCTGATTTCCTTCCCTGATCTCCTTGCCCTGTGTAACACTCTGCTTCAGTCTTTGAGCAGCTCTAACCTCCTGAATGGTTTCTCCACTTTTAAGCTTCATACTCTGCTCCCCCTGCACACAGTTGCTGCAGTGCTTTATCCAAAACACATGTGGGATTGTGTCACTTCTCTACTTAGACATTCGATGTGTCCTCTTTCCCTCATGAGGAATTTCTCACCATAGTCCACCAGCCCTTTCTGTATCTGCACAAGTATCTGCACCAGCCTCTGCCACTCCTGACCATGCATGCTTAACTCTGGGTACACCACAGGATGAGCTAGTAATGTCCAAGCTTGCCACCTATTGTTCTGCCTCTGTACTTTTCTTTCTATTTGGGGTGTCCTTTCTCTTCCTTCTATGTATTTTCAAGGCCCATCACAAATGTACCCTCCTTGGTGAAGCTTTCCAAACCTTTTGTTTCCTTGCATGCAGGACAAATATCCTTTTCTCTTTGGCTTCCATGACCTTTCGTAATATGTCTAATGTGATACTTAGTGCAGTGCATCGTAGTTGCTCCTGAGATATTCTCAGGGACAGAATTGGGGTCTGTTCAAATGTGTTTAGTCCCCAGTGCCCAATGTAAAACTATGGCTCCATCTAATGTTTCATGATTAAATGATCCTGAAGCCAGAGGCCAAGTGTTTCTGATGCGCTCTCAAGTTAAAAAGTTTGAGTGTGGCCTAGCCACATGCAAACTGAGGTCTATGCAAATCCAAAGCCCAGGCTCCTTCCCCTCCCCTGCGTCTGCTGCTCTCTCAGTGAGAGAGGGAAGGATGTGGGACAGGACCCCACTGGCAGAGAAATAAATCCAGGCGGTTTATCTTGGTGTCTCCCATCTGAGAGGCCTTGACTCCCATGAACTCATTAATGCTCTTAAGAGCTTTGCAAAGTGACGTCAGCCACCCTGGGTTCACGCGCTGGGCCCTTACTAGCCTCTGGGACCTCTTGTTATCAATGTGGGTGATTTCCAAAACAGAGACTTGGGTTTCTGAGCTCTTCTGGGAATACTTTGGCAATGGGGAAAGGTTCATGTTTCATCTAACTTAGGCTGGCTGCATTTGGCAGATTCCTAAGAAGAAAGGAAAAATGTTTGTTTGATTTTTTGCAAGTCAGATTTAAGGGCATGAACTGGACTTTCTGGGGCAGCCATTGTCTACTGAGTGAATTTGGGTGGGGTCTGGGGGAATTGGAAGAGGGGTGCTTGTTGGAAGCATAGAGTTGATTGCAGGGTCTTAGACCCCTGAGTAGTGCAGCCCTTCTTGGAGTGGAGTATAACTCCTTGGTAGCAGGGGTTTCTGAGATCTCCTCTGCCTTCTCCTCTCTCACTTGGGCATGTGTGTACACATTCATATACACACATGCATATACACATACATGACACACACAGACACACAAAAACATACACACTTACTCTGCATCGATTTCCCCAAGTTGGTGCTGTCTCTGATGAATAGTAGAGAAAATGTTATAATCTCTTGCTCTTCATTATCTACCTAGAAAACTGCATTTATTTATTGCTTTTGGAATATGATGACATCAGTGAAGGAAGATATCGGGCTTTCTGGCTACATTTTAAAGTTATGGAGGAAAAGGGAGAGGGTTGTTTTCCTGCTCTCTCAGGAGGTCTGATAGAGGAGAGTTGTGCTTTTTCCACCAGGGCCAACACACAAAGTTCTGTGCCTTCTCATGAATGTGCAGGGGACTTGTTTCCTGGACCTGTCAGTTCCAGTGAGGTCATAGTAGCAAGTCAAATGTCACTGGCCTTGGTCCTCACCTGCATAACATAGGACCTCCAGCTCCCTCAGAGTCTCATCCTGTTGTTTCTAGAGGTATCCATGGAGGAGTGTCATATGGACAGAACTACTCTTTTGTTCTCTTTCACCTGCAACAATGCGCCAACAATAACCTGTCCTCAAATGTACTCTTGGAGTCTAGCCCAGTCCAGATCCTCTGATACGCCCCGTATCGCCTCATTTCATTGTTTCAGTGGTGCATGAGACCCTTTGGGATTCACTGTCCCTGTCCTGCCTTCTTCCATTTCCCTCATTCCCATGCATTTTCTCAGTAGTGAGCTGCCTACGTTTTCCAAATGCGTCATGCTGATCCCTCTCCCTAGGATGGTGTTCTCAGGCTTATCTCCTAGGAAAATCCCTTTTCCTATTTTAAAAGTGAATCAGTCACTGATCTCTGATCACAGTCATTGATCTCTGATCAAATTCTCTGATCTCTGTCCTCTGACCTTAGAGTGGACACTCCCTTTCCTGGGCTCTGCTTATACGTGTGTGTCTGCGTATTGTGTTTGTTGTGCAGCAGCGCCCTTTATTGTTTATACATCATCTCCCCATGTCTGTAACCTCCATATCTAGCTCAATGCCTGGCACATTGCTTATGCCACAGAAATATTCATTTGAATTAGACTGAAATCATCTTGGCTTTCCCTGAATCCTCTCTTTCCCCAGCTGCATAAACTCAATTGTCTCCTAAAAGTAATCAGGACCCTTTGGAAATCCATCCATTTAAGAGAGATGAGAGAGCAGTGAAAAGAACAGGCTATTATAAGCAGATTCTCTTTCTACCTCTGGGGATTCATTCATTGTGAGACATTTGCTTGAAGAATGGCAGCTGTATTCTCTGGAAGGCGCGTAAGGCTGTTGGAGCATTGTGGGGTTTCGGTAAAGGCCAGTACAGCTGTGAATGGCATAGAAAGGCTATTTACAGAAGCAACAAAAAAGATCTTGTTATAAGGTCACCAATAAGGTGGTGTTTAATAAGGACTGCGTTTAAATAAGGCTTCAGGGAGTCTGGATTCACTGTTTTTGGAAATGTGAATTCTACTTCTGGGGATGACCTTAAATTTCCACTTTATAATAGATGTTGATGCCTACTTCATAGGTTGTCACGAGTATTAAATATTGTTCTTTCTAAGATACATGATCTCTCACTAAGACATCTCCAATAGCCCCAATTGCCCCTCCCACCCCAAATCCATTCTCCATTCAGCAGCCAGAATGATCTTTGAAAAACACAACTCTGAATTTGCTACACCTATGCTTAGAACCCTTTGATGGCTTCCTGTCCACTGTGCTACTCAAAGTATGGTCTCAAGAGCTGGTGTATGAGCTGTTTGTTATGGTTAGGCCATGAGAAGGGACACAAATAGAGGTCAAGCATTTAAAAACTTTTACAGTAACTGGTAGAATAATTTTATATGTGTTAAAACTAGTGGTAAAACATTTGGGCTCATATTTTGTATGTCTTTTAATTTCAATTTTCTAGTAACTCATTTTTATTGTATTTCACAAAAGTGTCAGTCCTTGACACGTTGCAAATACATAGTTTGAGCAGCACTGGGCTGCGAGGCCTGAGGACTCTGGCCCTGCCTTCCTGGATTGATTTTTTAGTTCTCTCCCACCCTCCTCTGTGCTGCAGCCACAGTAGCCTCCTCAAACATTCATCCTCCTTCCATGTGGACCTGTGCAAATGCTGTTCCCTCTGCCTGAATGCCTCCTCCTTGCCTGCCCTTGCTGTGGATTTAATTCTTGCTTGTCATTCAGGTCTCAGCTCACAGTTAGTTTCTCAAAAAAGTATCCCTTTCCCCCCAGACTAGACAGCTATATGCTCTCCTTGCACCTGGTTCTTCTCCTTCATAATATTTTACAAAATCATCAACAAATAATTAATTGTATGATTTGTTGTTAAAGCCCATCTTCCTACTAGAATATATGTTCCATGAGGGAAGATATTGTGACTGCCTTGTGGTTTGTGCCTTATAGTCCCGGGATCTTGTGCAGTGCTGGGCACAGAGCAGATGGTCAGGAAGTAGTTACTGAGTGAGCAAATGAAGACTGTTTTGGAAAATATGTTTGTGCATTGTTTATATACTTATATTAGGGAGGAGTTGACTAAAAGTAAGCAGGTCAGAGAGGAGGAGACATAAGTGATCTTGTAATATACAATTAGATTATTGGTCCCTGAATAATTGAAATTTGCATAAAATATTCATAACCACTAAGTATCCTGGCTCTATAGAGAGGTGCAAAATGGAACCCTCCCTGGAGATATTCAGGGTTGTCTATCAGTTGAGTCATCTTTACAACCACAGGGGGAGATCTGATTGATACTGTCAGACCAGATCTCACCTAAAAGGACCTCACTGTGGCTGGACCTGAGTGTGAGGAGGGGAATAGCAGGTGACACCCTGGGCTGATGGCCATGGCCAACCTTTGTCAGCAATCATAAGGAGTTTGGACTTAGCTTTAAAAGCAAGGGGGAGCTACAAAGGTTTAAGGGCAGACATGGTGGAAAATGGAGAATGGAGAAAGAGCAAAGGGTTATGAACATTTCAATGAGATGTTTATTATTCATGGATGATATTCAGTGTGTGTATTATTCTCCTCTGAGCCAGGCACTGTGCAGGTGCAGGGGTTGTGTGAGGGGGCAGGGTGGGGAGAGACAACTCTTGAGGCAGGAGAGCAGGTAGGAAATGGTGACAGCAATCCAGAGAAGATGCATGGTGGCTGGAACAGGGACTAGGATCATCCTGGAAGTGGTGGCTGGAAAGGCGCAGACAGGCTAGAGGCGGAATTGACAGGACTTGGTAATGGAATTGATTTGGAAGGCGAGGGAAAAGGAGTGAAGGATGACGAAGGTGCCTGGTCTGGAAAACCGGGTAGATGATGGTGCCCTTGCCTGAGTTGCAGCTCTAGGCCACTTATGCTATGTTTAGAGTGGGCCACCCCAGCTTCAAACGTGCAGGTCAAAGTAGGGTGGGAGAGGACATGACGGGCCTAGTCCTGGGCTGCCGGATTCAGGTCTAGGTCTGCCTGGACTGTGGACACCCCGGTGGCAGGTGAGCAAATGTGGGAGTGTATCCAGCTGGTAGAGGCTGGGGACAAAGGCCAGGGAACAGGGATAGTGTGACAGGGAATCTGTTGCCACAGTTTAAAGAAGTTAGCATTAGCCTTGTGTGTGTGTGCGCACGCGCGCTTGTGCTTGTGCACGCTCGCATGTGTGTGTTGATAATCCGTCATTTTCTTTATCTGCATCATGCTTCACTAGAGCTCCTGACTTAATCCGGCTTGACTTGTACAAATGTCGCCATCTGGCATTAGATCATGCGCCTTTTCAATCAAAAGAAGCAGAATGATTCCATTCAGAAATGCAAGCCCATGACAGGATGCCTTTGCGGTGTGTTACAGCCAAACCTGAACTTGTAATCAGGCTTTGAGGTATTTCCTTTTAGTAAAAAGCTTATTTGGGTTAACTATGAAACAGATTTCATGCAGGAAAAGGTCTCATAGTTTGAAAGGCTTTACTCTGCCCCGAATCATTAAAATGAACCCAAGGTCACTGGGTGTGCTTATGGTGGGGCTGTGCGCTGTTGCTTCTGAGCTGAGTGGTAAGAGGATGTGGCTACAGCATTATCAGTGATCGTCATAAAACATTTTATTTATAGTCCTCACGACATTAGAGAGACAGCACTGACATGTGATTTCATAGAAAGTGTATTAGGTAGGGAATTAGAGCCGACAGCAGGGTTTCTCAAAGTGTGGTTTGTGGACCACCTGGATCAGAATAGGCTGGGAAGGGAGCCAGGGGTCTGATTCAATTGGTCTGAGATGGACCCAATAAACTCCATTTTTAACAGGCTCCCTCCCCAGGTGATTCTGATGCGCACCTAATTTGAGAATTGCTCCTCAAAGCCCATGTTTTTGAGTCAGACAGACCTCTGGCTCGAGCTCTGCTGCCTAATGGCTGTGTGTGTGACCCAGGGTCTCCTTTTCCTGTCATTCTTATATGTGTCATCTATAAAATGGGGATAGTAGCACTGTCTACCCCAGAGGCAGGGGGATGTGAGGATTCAATAAAGTGCTTAACACAGTGCTTGGCAGGCAGGCAGTGTCTAATAAATGGGAGCTCTTGTGTCATTACTCAGCTTCTGACAGGCCAGCTGACCTAGGGCAGCTCATTTGTCTTAATACAGAGCTATAGATTGAAACATGCTCTGCATATGGTGGAGTGGCAGCCTGTGCACATTTGACTTAGGAAAAGTTAACTGTATATCCTGAATTTTTCTCTCTTTTATATAATTTAAAGGGAAATGCAAATTTAAAATGTATATTTTGTATTTATATTCTTTATTTGATACTCTACCTTATTGCATGGACTATACAATTGAATTAAGGGATTTTCAAAGGTAACCCTTGAGCACATGTGATTTTTGCCTCGTGAACTAACTTTAGAACCTCACCCCCACAGAAGGTATGACTCCACTATACTTAAGACGTGATGATTGACTTATTTTTGTGCCTTAATTTTTTTTATCTGCAAAATTGAAATAATGACATCTCCTGGGCTGTGGAGTGGATATGGGAGATAGCATTTGTGAAAGGCATTTAGTTCTTAAAAATAAAAAGTTTTAAATCAGTCCAAAGAAGAATTGACAAAAATAGTCGCCAGTGTGGTGGGATGGCTCTTCAAGATCAACTCTCAGAAATAGATTTTGGGTGTCCTTTGTCCTCTTGCTACAGGCATGAACAGCCTTTTTACTGAGTTAGCCTGGTGTTTAAGAGGGCATCTCCTCCCTCAGTGTCCCATGCAATCGCTGAGGGGACACCCTTGTTTCCAGCACTGATGCCATATCCCTGATCCAAGTGAAGGTTGGACCTTACTGCTCAGCAGATCCTCTAAGGAGCAGTTAGATGCATGCTTCTGCTTGCGTTTACCACCTTAAGGAAAAAACACCACCAAGTAGTTCTCCCAGACATATTTTGTAGCATTTAGAAGCACCCCCTGCAGTGACATGATCTAGGTTGTTTGGCTAAGAATTGATTGCAGAACCTTAGAATCTTGGAAAGGAATTTTTATGCCCTGATTGAACCCATTCCATAGCACCCTTCTTGTCCAGACTCTGCCTGAACACTGCCAGCTGTGAAGGGTACCTTGTTATGCCCCCAAGGCCACCCACTCCTTCCTGATACCTTTGACCATTGAACATCTTTATAGTGGTCCTGGATTTTGACTTCCAAGAGCTCCTGTTCACCAGCATCTTAGGGAATATGTCTAGTCCCTCTTCTACATGACAGCCCTTCATACACCTGAAGACTATGGACACTTCTCTTCCTTGCCATAAACAACTCCCCTGATACCCCTACCCAACATGTCTCATGTCTGGTCTTCCCATACACAGCAGCATTCACGTACAAAGCAAAAAACAAAAGGAAGCTCTTCACAAAGTCTTTTCTCTCCAGATGTTTTCTTTTCCAAGTGTTGCTGACATTTTTCCTCATCGGTGTGATTAGAAGTGAATTATAGTGCAGCATCTGGGTCAGAGAGCATTTGTTGCAACAGAGGGTCCTGGCATGTCTACTTGATGAGAGATAATAATGGTTCTTTGCAGAGTTTGTACTTTTCCTGTTATAAATCATACCCATCCTTCTAGGTCTCTGCAGAGCTCACCTCCTTGGGAGGACTTCTGTCAGTCTGTGTCCCCCTTGGTCACCCCTAGCTTTGTATTTGTGTAATTCAGTGGGTAGTCTTTCTTCCAAGTTCTGGGAAATCCCTTCTGGGACTGAATCAAGCTGCTATTTCAATTTTGCCTGCTACATTTTAATTCCCTATTTCATGTTTATCTCTTGAGTCCCCTGTTAGGTTATAAACCCATTCAAGGCTGGGAATCTGGCTTGTATACCTAAGTATTTATAATCCAGTGAATTTCACATTCTTGGTGCACGTTCTTTGAAGAGGATTTGGTCTTCTCCTCCACTCTAAATTCTTTCCCTCGAGGACTTCTCTCATTGCAATGAATTCTGTCTGGAGTCCCCCATTGTTTCTATCAAACTCTGAACTTATATATCCCACTGCCAACTGGACCTCTCTACTTAGATGCCCCACAGGGACCTCAAACCCAACAGGTATAATATTAAATAATTATCTTTACACCCTCATCTGAGCTGCCCAAGCCTACTCTGAATGGCAACATGTCTTACTTCAAACAGCCATCCTGTGCTCCTGCCCACATAGTATATTGTTACTTACTGAGTTGAGTCAATTTCACTTTGGAAATGTTTATGAAATCCATTCCTTCCTTTCCATCATTATTGCTATGCCTCCCTGGAGGCCCTCACTACTACCATAGTCTAGTACAGATGCCCATTGTACTAGTACTATGTACTAGTCTGTACATAGTACAGACTTATGATGGGGTTATGTCCTGATAAAACCATTGTAAGTTGAAAATGCATTTAATATATCTAACCTGCTCAACATCATAGCCTGGCCTACCTTGAACAGGTTCAGAACACTTATACTAGCATATAGTTGGGCAAAATCATCTAAACCGAAGCCTATTTTATAAAACAGTGTTGAGTATCTCATGTTATTTATTGAATACTGTACTAAAAGTGAGAAACAGAATGATTATATGGGTACTTGAAATACAGTTTCTATTAACTGCCTACACTTTTGCAGCATTGAAAAATTGTAAGTCGAACAATTGTAAGTTGAGCCATTATAAGTTGGGGACTGTCTCTACTCACCATGTCACTTGTCTTTTCTTCTTCCAGGCCAAGTTTTATCCCATTGCTTCAGTGGGCTTACTATGGCCCACCCATCACCTTTGGGATAAAATTAATTCATTGCCTTAACAAATGATTCTTGAGAGAATTTGCCATGTATCATTCCTTATCCTGGGCATTGAGGACACAGCAATGCTTAAGACAGGAGCCCTTACCCTCATACAGACAGACAATAAATAAAAAAATTTGAGTTTGGCCAAGAAGCCCTAGGCTCCCAAGACCTGGTCTGTGGCCACTGCTTCAATTCGCACAAAACCTCTCTAGTCATTTCCAAACATGCCATGTTCATGAACTCTTCTTGGCCTTTGCGTATGCTGACACCTTTCTTCATTTGTTAAAATCCTACTCCTCCTTTATAGGTTCAAGTGTCATCTTTTCTGTGGAGCCATTCTTGATTCTCCCAGTGTTATTCACTCCTTCTGGATTTCCACAGCACTAATTTATGTACTTACAGTATTGACCCTATAAGGTTATGATGATCTGTTAGCATGACTTCTCTCCCACTGAATGCTTCTTGAAGGCAGACTGTATTTTATTTATCCCTTCAGCCTCAGTGCATAGTATTGTGCTTGACACAGAGAAAGCACTCAATACATTTAATTCAAAATTATAGCCACCATTTATTGTCATCTTACATGCTATGTATTGTGATAGGATGTTATTAACATGAGTTATTTTGTTCTCATAACAGTCTTACAAGGTAGGTACTATTATTAAACCCATTTATATCCGAGGAAACATAGCTGAGGTCACACAGCTGATATTTAGGAGAGCCAGTGTTTGAACTTGTATCTGTTGGACTCCAGAGCCTCTGTTCTTCATGAACATGCTTCCCTGCTTGCAATAAATATTTTTTAAATGTGTCAGTAAAGAACATCATAGGGATTACATATTTCCATGTTCTCACATTCTGTGTAGGCTCACTTTTGCTAAGTGCTTCTTCTCTGTGTTCTAAGAAGATTCCAAATACATAAACATTGACCAGCCATGGCCAGTAGCTAGTTAGGGCTGTGTTCGCTGTGGCAGTGTCTGATCTTCTGGGCTTTCTTGAAATTACCTAGTTGGCTTGGGGGTAGGAGAATACACATCTGCCCCCTGCTACTGCCTCCTACCTGCCTCCAATGGGGCAGAGCTCTTCTTTGTCATAAGCATAAGAGTCAGTGCCTGATTGCTATGTTCTGCATGTTTATGGCCCCTCAAAATTCATACGTCGAATGGCCAGGAATGGTGGCTCACGCCTGTAATCCCAGCACTTTGGGGGGCCAAGGCAAGAGGATTGCTCGAGCCCAGGAATTTGAGACCAGCCTGGGAAACATAGTGAAACCTTGTTTCTACTAAAAATAAAAAAATTAGCTGGGAGTGGAGGTGTACATCTGTGGTCCCAGCTACTCAGGAGGCTGGGGCGTGAGGACTGCTTGAGTCCAGGAGTTCGAGGCTTCAGTGAGCTCTGATTGCACCACGTACTCCAATCTGGGTGACAGAGCAAGACTCTGTCTCAAAAAAAAAAAAAAAAAAAGAAAAGAAAAAGAAAATTCACTTATTGAAATCCTAACCAAGGTGTTACTATTAGAAGGTGGGGCCTTTGGGAGCTGACTGGATAAGTAGGGCAGAGTCCTTGTGGTTGAGATTAGTGACCTTACAAAAGAGACCCCAGAGCGCTTGCTAGTCCCTTCCACCATGTGAGGACACAGCAAGGAGGCACTGTCTGTAAACCAGAAAGCGGGCCCTCTCCAGATGCTGAATCTTTCAGTGCCTTGATTTTGGACTTCCCAGTATCCAGAACTATGAGAGATAAATCTCTGTTGTTTGTGAGACACCTAGTTTATGTTATTTTGTTAGAGCAACCCAGACAGACTAAGATGCTGATACACCTGGGAGAGAAAACATAGGGCCATAAACTGCTCAATAAGCTGTGATTGGCTTGTCTTAGGTCTTCTCTGGAGAGCAGAAGACAGGATAGTAGAGGAGGGGAAGGTGGCGAAAGGGGAAGCAGAACGAGGATTGGGCTGGAGAAGGGACAGAAAATGGCATTAGAGAGCAAAGCTCACAGAAATGAATTCTGCTTCTTTAGAAATTGCCTTAGGATCAGCTTTGGGCAATCAGTGAGCTAATTGTATTGCTTAGTTCTTTTATAGATGCAAGATATCTCAGGATTGGAGGGCATTTTAGGGGTTTTGTTGTTTCAGCTAAAGATAAACAAAGAGAAGGGCTGTCTGCCTGCTTGGGTTGATGGGATGGCAGTGCTAGGATAGGGTTACCATGGCTCCCACAAATTTATTTAGTTACAATGAGAAGTTGAACTTCCAAGGGGACTAGGACACTGTGTTGCTGTGGGTGCATTTTCTCCCTGGGAAGTGCCCTTGGCATAGGAAAGAGCATGGCTTTGGGGGTCCCTAAGACCTTGTCCTAGGTCCTACCCAACCACACACCGGTTATGAAGGCCTGGCCCAGTCACATCACCTCTCAGAACCTCAGCTTCCTCGTTTCTAAAACAAGGACCAATGTGCCTGCCTAGCTGGGCCTTCCCAGGGACTCTGGGAGCTGACACGGTTTGAGCAACCAGTACCGCTCTGATAGGCAGTGTGCTCACCAACTGTTTAGTGGGCAGCTGGGCAGGCTCTGGTGGCTCATGACACCCTCTGAGCCCCATCTTTGAGGACAACATGTAGGGCAGTGATGTCCAGGAGAATATCACTTTCATAGTTGTATGAGAAAAGTCACATATGTTTTAAAAACACCATGCATCAGGTTTCTTTACAGCGGAACATCACGAGCTTTTATTGTCAATGTGCATGGTATAGCTCTGTGATGGGAAGATGTGTGGAGGCTTTTTCAGCATTATCTGACAGGGTGTTCTTCCTTCATGGACCATCTCGTGGCACTGGTGTTGTACAGAACACTCATTGGAAAGCCGTGCCCAAGATTGAGAGAGCCATTGATTAGGTGGAAATAAGTACCCACAAAGGAAAAAGATCCAAAGTGAATTCCTTTTTCTATGTTCAATGTCAGGACTCACAGACGCCTCTTCTTAAAATGCTGCTTCAGTGCAGGACTGGCTAGGTCAGGGCAGTTGGTTCTGGAATACTGAGAGTGCTTGAAAGGCCAGCTTTCATGTGTGATTTTGGCTGCATGGCCTTTAGGTACACTGAGTTTTAAGAACCAGTCTGGGCTCTTGTCTTCTTTCTTGTTATCCAGCACCTACCAATTGTCCCAGGGCCAACAACTACATCCCCAACTACCTCTATCCTCCTTCCTTGGGCCCTATGTGGCCACTTTTACATGTCCCGCCCTCTTCTTTTCTACCATCTCTGTATGAAGGGAAAACACAGCATTGGTTCATTCATTCATTCCACAAATCAGGTGTGGGGTGCTGCCTTCATTTCTGGCTTTTAGACCTCTTCCTCCTACAATTCCATCATGTGTCAGAATGTAGAAGGAACTCACTGAGAGCAGCATGTGATGTTATCTTGTCTTGGTAGAGGAAGCGTATCTCATAGTAGCTTTTGTAAAATCTGTCTCCTTGGAAACTCACTGACATGTAAATCTTCATCTTGAAAGGCTTTTGAGATGTGCTTCATTCTTTCTACAGCCAGTTCAGAAACTCCTGTGTCTAAGTGTCCTTCGTATCAGGAACACCCACATTCTCTTGTCCTCTTACTGCACTGATTTGCTACTAAGGGCTCAACAGTCTTTGCTCTTCATAACTATCTTCAAATGCAGATATTATTATACTCCACCTTTACATGCAGAGAAACTAAATTTTGGAAATATGACTTCTCCCAGGAAAAGAGGCAGGATTTAAATCCAGGCCTGCCTGACCTACCTCTGACTGCTGGTCACTGGAAGGACTCTTCCAGATCCCACTATCACCACCTCCGACTCCAACCATGATGTTCCTGATATCTTGACTTTTCTCCAGGTCTGTGTGATGGAAGCACTACTTTGTTTTGTGATGTCTGGTGTGCAGTTTGAACCATTTTAAGTCTACCTAGATCCAGTCCTATGATAGGTGGGTTGAGGAGAGTATGAATAATTGAAAACCACAGATAATTTTCACCTCCCATTTTAACCATTGTCATCAGCTTCCTCCCTCTCACAAGCATCACCCCAAGCTGCTGATCTCTAAGGGCTCAAAGGACTAATTTGAGTGTTCCCCATTCTCCCTGCCTTGTAAACAGTATGAGCACCAGCCCAGGAAGACTGAAACCCCCTAGTTATGGAGGGACCTCTTCAGTGCTCATTTGTAGAAAGCTCTGTCTCTGAACCATTTTCCTAAATAATAAACCATGCATATGTTCATTGTGCAAGAGTGTGTAGTACCTGTGTGATCTAGGCAAGACCCACTCTCCCTCCTTACTCTCTCCCACTTACCATCCTAATCTGCCAAAGAGACTGTCTGTCCCTGGGTGTCCACCAGGAGTAACTCGTTTGTGTCAGGCACCCCAGCAAGGCCAAGGTCATCCATCACCATCTCCTGGACACGTGTCCCTTGTATCTCTTGTATCCTTGAATCTGACTGTACTGTATCCTTCAATCTCTCTCTTTTCCTTATTCCCCTAAACCTTCCACAGGGCCTTGTACAGCTCTCATTCTCTCATAGACAAAATCCCTTGTGTCCTCAACATTTTCACTGAATGGCCACTTTACCCTTTTGCTTCAACTAAAACTGGGTTGTCTTTGGAGGACACTATTTCCACTGGCAGTTTTATTCTCCCATGGCCCCCAAGCCCAGAGGCTCATAGATGAACTTCTCCCTTCTCATGGCTGCTTTGGGCCATTGTTCTTGCATCCTCCTTAGAAGCCCCCACAGCTCTTTTAAAGCTCCTGCCACCAGTCTCTGCCACCCACCACCCCTCTTTGTTATGGTTACCTATATGCTACCTCCAATTGTTCCTCGAAGACATTTGCACCCAGGCCACCATTTTTGTCATAGTTTTTGGTGATTTTGATTTACCAAAGAGACAATCCTCCCAATACCCTTCTCTTTTCATTAACCGACTTCCTCACCTCGAATGATCTTGCCTTCTTAGCTACTTGCTTCCATGGGCATACCCTAGGCTTTTACCAATAATTGCATCCCTTCCAATAACCCCATTAGCAACATCTCATTGACTACTCCTTTCTTTGCTCCCAGCTCATTCCTTCTAGATGCCCACCTTCAACAATTGTTCAACCCCCTGGGAACTCCGAATTCTTGAACCTATCTTCATTGTCCATCAGCCCTATCAGACTCTAAGTTCCCTCCTTACCCATTTTGTTTTCATGGGCTACCATTACAATCACTCCCTTGCATACCTTTTCAACTCTCTCTCCCCTCTATTTGCTTGGCAAACCCCAAATCCAGGTAAACCATGCTTACTGCCTCATTTAAAAATTCATGACCACAAATCTTATAATGGATCCTTGTGCTATCTGGCAAATCTTGGTCAGTGCATTCTCCCACTCTGAGAGACAACTATTTTATATTCTCAAAATTTGCCCACTCTTCCCATTCTCTGCTGATGACCTTGATTCTTATCCCCCTGAGAAGGTAGAAGCAATCAGAAGAGAACTTCCACATGCTCCCCTTGCTGTATCTCCCACCCTCCCTGCATCTGCACTCACATACTCTGCATTTGTTTCCATCACTTGCTGTGTCTACCCATCTCCTCTCTGTGGATACAGCAGATAGGCGGTGGCTGAGGCTAGCATCCTTACTGGTGAAATGGATCCTATCTTCTCTCACCTTCTCAGGAACTTTGCTTGCAAGTGCTGCCCCCCCACTGCATGACTGATTATTCATTTTCCACTGGATTATTCTTACCCACATGCATATATGCTCTAATGGCCTCCATTTTTAAAAAGAAACCATGTATTGACATAACCGTCTCCTCTAGTGATTGCCCCATTTCTTAGATATCTTTTGTAGAAAAATTTCTTAACATAATTTTTTTTTACATGGAGACTCAGTTTTCTCTCTTCAGTCTACACCAGTCCTGCACCCCACCACAACTCCAATGGCATTGCTTTTGTCAGGATCACCCAATACCTCCACATTGGCCAAATCCAGAAGCCATCATATTTGACACCCTGCAGCATTTGACATGGTTGGCCACTCCCTCCTTCTTAAAACATCTTCTTCACTTGGGTATGAGGTACAACTCTTGGTTCTTCTTCAGTGGAGGCTCCTTCTAGGTTGGCTGTGCTGCGTCAAGGTTAATTCCTTGGGTGGCTTCTCTATCTACATTTATGTTGTAAGTGAGCTAATTCAGTCCATGGCTTAAATACCAGCTGCAGGCTGACTACTGTAGCCTGAACTTTTCCCCTGAACTCCAGGCTCATGTATCTAATTGACTATTTGATGCCACCATTTGGAATTCTAATAGGACTCTCAGACAGAACATAGATAAACCAAATTGGTCCGGCCCTCTCCCCCAACTTGCCCTTCCTCCAGTCTTTTCTACTCAGATAATGGCATCTCCGTTCTTGCAGTTGCTCAGGCCAATGCTTTACAGTCATCCTTGACCTGCCTCTTTCCTCATACTACATATCCAACCCAACCACAGATTCTGTTGTCCCACCCATAATCCTGAAGTGGATCATGTCTCACCACCTTCAGCTCTCCTTTTTGACCAAATCGCTATTTTCTCTTGACTGAATCTTGTATTAGCCTCCCAAGTGGTCTCCCTGCTTCCACCCACCAATTCTTAAAGATTCTTGCCACAGCAGCCAGAATGACCCTTTAAAAACATGTCAGGTCATATCCCTGCTCTGCTCCAAACCCCCTGGTGGCCTTCTATGGTCTGGAGGACCCCATCTTGTCTTGTTCCTAGCTCTCTCATTCAGCTCCAGACACAAGAGTCCTCACCTTTTTTAGTAAAATTTTTGCCCCTTACTGTCTCTCCTCCCTCTCCTAAATCCCTGCATTCTTTTCACCAGCTCAGATGTTTCTGTGTCAGAGACTTTGTTGACCACACTGTTTAAAATAATACTTTCCTCCTCTCTATACCCTTAACCCTGCTTTATTTTTTATCATAGTAAACAACACCATCTGACATATTAAATATGTATCTGTTTGTTTTCTGCCTTTCCTCTTGTAAGCTCTGCAAAATCTGGGACTTACCATTTTGTTCACTGTTGAATCCCTAGCACATGGAAGAGTGCCTAGCATATAGTAAGCCCTCAGTTAATATTTGTAGAATGGAGGCATGTATGTCTTATATTTAATCCAGATAATCATTCATTACCATAAACTGTTCTTTAAAAATTATGAAATATTTTATATCCACAAAGTACAGTGAATAATATAATGTGCATACACCTACCCTCCACCCAGTTAAAGGAATAAAAGGTAACTCTCAGAATGGGCTAGCTTATGCTGCCGTAACAAACAGCTTTCACATGTAAGTGGCTTAAAACAAACAAACAACAAAAAATCCACACAAACAAACCTCTAACTCATGGTGCATGCCTATACATGGGGTGGCAGGGGGCCCAATTCAGGATCCAGGCTGACAGCATTGTTGTCAGTCACTGAGAGATTGTGACAAAAGGAAAGAGAGATGCTGAATTGCATGCTGGCTCTTAAAGGTTTCCATCTACAAGTGACATCTCTGCATACATTTCCTTGGCAGAAGCAAATCACATATACTTGCCTAGCTTAAAGGTGTGAGGAAGAACAATCCTACCATGTGCCTAAAAGGAGTGGAACCTAAATGTTTGTGAATGGTTCTAGTGATTGTCACAATTACAAATATAGTCAGAGCTCTCTGTGACCTACTTTCTGGTCTCATTTCTCTCCCTGTCCTCTAAAGAACATTGCTATACTTAATTTGATGCTATTTCATTGTGGTTTTAGTTTTTCATTTTCCTGATTATTAGTAAAGTAAAGTTGAGCATTTAAAAAAGCTTATTATCCATTTTAGTTTCCACTTTTGTGAGTTGCCTGTTTATCTACTTTATCTAATTTTAAAAAGTATTACATTATTTGTTGCTTTGTATTGACTTACAGGGTTCTTTTTGTATTTTGTATACTAGTATTTTGTTGGTTATAAATATATTCTTCTGCTCTCTGGTTTGTATTGCACTTTGTTTATGGATTTTCTTTTTTAAAGAAACAGAGTCTCCTTCTGTCTTTTGGGCTGGAGTGTAATAGTGCAATCATAGCTCATTGCAACCCAGAACTCCTAGGTTCAAGCAATCCTCTCATCTCAGCCTCCTGAGTAGCTAGTATGAGCACACACCATCACGCTTGGCTATATATATTTTTTTTCTAGAGACAGGGTCTCACTCTGTCACCCATATTAGAGTGCAGTGGCACAATCATGACTCACTGCAGACTCAACTCCTGAGCTGAGCACAAGCGATCCTTCCACCTCAGCCTTATGTTTTTAAAATGTTTTGTGAAGATAGGGTTTTGCTACATTGCTCAGGCTGGTCTCAAACCCCTGGCCTCAAGCAATTCTGCTGCCTTGGCCTCCCAAAGTGCTGGTATTACAGGCATGAGCTACTATGCCCAGTCTGCTTATCTTCTGAAACAGATGTTTTAAAACACTTTGTTGTTGCTTGTCAATCCTTTCCTTTATGGTCTGAGTCCTTTCATACCCTGAGGAAATAACATTTCCCAGTTCATGTTTAGGTCTTTATTCTTCCTGAATTGAAAGATGTAAATGGTGTGAATTAGGACTTTATTTTTCCCCAATATGGATAACTAACAGTTCCAGCATCTACTAATTTGTAACTTGTTCTATATCAAGTTTTCATATAGCAAACATTTTAGAACTCTATTTCATTCCATTAGTCTGTCTACTCCTGGGCCAATAAAAACATTGTCTTAATGGTTTCATAATTAAGTGCTAATATCTGATAGAATGAACATTATCCTTCCTCCCACCTCTGTTTTTCAAGATTGCTTTGGCTATATTTGGACCATTGTTCTGCCTTACAAATTTTAGAACAAGCTTGTCAAGTTCCATGAAAAACCTTTGTTGGAATTTTGATTTATTTATTCAACAGCAGTTATATCTCACTTATTATATGTCAAGCACTGTTCTAAATGCTTTACAAACACTTAGTTAAAATATATAACTTTATTTGGAGAGAACTGACATCTTTATGCTGTTGTCTTCCTATTCATGAAGAGGATCAATATCTGATCTTCTTTACTATCTTTTAATAAAATTTTATAAGTTTCTTCATAATGGTTTTGATGCATTAGCTAGATTTATTCCTTGGCACTTTATAAATTCGTATTGCCATTGTAGAAGATGTCATTTGAAAAGTTATACTTTCTAATTGTACATTGGTGGTGTAAAGGAACACAATATAGATTTTTGTTATTAGCCTTAGATCCAGCAACTTTGCTTAACTCTCTTATTAATTCTAATGATTTGTCTGTGGATTGTCTTGGATTTCCTAGGTAAAACTTATAACCTTTGGCCAGGTGTGGTGGTTTACGCCTGCAATCCCAGCACTTTGGGAGGCCGAGGTGGGCGGATCACCTGAGATCGGGAGTTCAAGACCAGCCTGACCAACATGGAGAAACCCCATCTCTACTAAAAATACAAAATTAGCCGGGCATGGTGGCACATGCCTGTAATCCCAGCTACTCAGGAGGCTGAGGCAGGAGAATTGCTTGAACCCAGGAGGCGGAGGCTGCAGTGAACCGAGATCATGCCATTGCACTACAGCCTGGGCAACAAGAGCGAGACTCTGTCTAAAAAAAAAAAAAAAAAAAAAAAAAGTATATATATATATATATATACACAGAGCCAAGTGCGGATAGTGGCTATCCTTATTTCATTATTGACCTTAAAGGGAATTCTCATGTTCACCTCTTAGAAGAATGCTTGGTAGGTGTCTAGTAGATTCTCTTGATCAGAAGTTTTCTCCTATTTTTAGTTTGCTGAGATTTTTTTTGCCTCAAATTTTATTTTTTAAATTAATGTAGAATTATTTTTGGCATACAGTTCAGTAAGTTTTAACATATTTAAATTCATATGTGTACCACCAGAGTAAGAGTATGGAGTAGTTCCATTACCCAAAAGAAACTCCATTGTGTAATCCTTTTATAATCAAACTCCCTCCCAATCCCTAGCCCGTGGCAACTACAGATCTGTTCTCTGACATTATAATTTTATTATTTTTAAGAATATTACATGAATAGCCGAGATGGGCGGATCACGAGGTCAGGAGATCGAGACCATCCTAGCTAACGCTGTGAAACCCTGTCTCTATTAAAAATACAAAAAAATTAGCCGGGCGTGGTGGTAGGCGCCTATAGTCCCGGATACTCAGGAGGCTGAGGCAGGAAAATGGCGTGAACCTGGGTGGTAGAACTTGCAGTGAGCCGAGATCGCGCCACTGCACTCCAGCCTGGGCGACAGAGCGAGACTCCATCTTAAAAAAAAAAAAAAAAAAAAAGAATATTACATGAATAGATTCATGCAGTATGTAACCTTTTGAGACTGACTTTTTTTTGACTCAGAATAATGCCTACAAGATCCATTCCAGATGTTGCATGTATCAGTAGCTTTCTCCTTTGTATGGCTGAGTAGTAGTATTCCACTGTATGGGTGTACCACAGTTTGTTTATCTATTCACCCACTGAAGGGCATTTGGGTTGTTTCCAGTTTTTGGTGATTATGAATAGAGCTGCCATAAACGTTTGTGTACAGCTTTTTGTGTGATTATAAATTTTCATTTCTTTAGGATAAAAACTTGTATTAGGTGGATGTTTAACTTTATAAGAAACTGTAAAGCTGTTTTCCAGAGTGGCTGTACTATTTTGCATTCTTAATAGCAGGAGTTGAGAATTCCAGTTGCTCAGTATTGTCACCAGCACTTGATATCATCAAAATTTTTAATCTTAGCCATCCTATATAGCCTGAGATACAGAGTAGTATCGCACGGTGGTTTTAATTGGCATTTCCTTAATAGATAATGATGTTTAACATCTTTTTATGTGCTTTTTTTGACTACTGTGTATCTTCTATGTAAAATGTCTAAATCTTTTGTCCATCTTTAATTAGGGGCGAATGTTTTCTTCCTATTGAGTTTTGAGAATTTTTTATGTATTCTGAATACAAGTATTTTGTCATATATGTCATTTGCAAATATTTTCTCCCAGGCTATAGCTTGTCTTTTCATCCTGTTAACAGTTTATTTTGCAAAGCAACATCTTAAATTTTGATGCAATCTAGTTTATTTTTTTCTTTTATGGATCTTACTTTTGTTGTCATATTAAGAACACTAAGAATTGAGTGTTCCAATACATGAATGTGGTATGTCTCTCATTTATTTAGGTGGTCTTTAAAGATTTTAAAATAGATTTTATATCTTATATTTAGATCTATGATCTATTTTGAATTGATTTGTTTATAATGTATGAGGTCTAGGTCTAGGTTAATTTTTTTTGGTATATGGATGTTCAATTATTCCAACATCATTTGTGGGACAGACTATTCTTCCTCCATTAAAGTGCTTTGCAATTGTCAAAAATCAATTGGCCATATTTGTGTAAGTCTTTTTCTGGACTTTCTATTCTGTTCTGTTGATTATTTGTCTGTCCCTTTGTTAATACCATACTGTCTTGATTACTGTAGCTTAAGTCTTAAAATAAGGTAGTATGAGCCCTACAACTTTATTCTTCTTTAAAATCATTTTGGCTATTTTAGTTCACTTGCCATTCCACATACATTTCAAAATCAGCTTGCATATATTTACCAAGATTTATGTTAGAAGTTGATCAGAATTGTGTTATATCAGTAGGTCAGTTTCTGGATAATTGATGTCTTTACCATATTGAGTCTTCCAGCCCTGGACCACAATATGTCTCTCCTTTTATTTATGTCTTCTTTGGTTTCTTCAACAGTATTTTATAGTTCTCAGCACTCAAATCCTGTATATGTTTCACTAGATGTTTATGTATTTCATGGGGAGGGAGTGTATTGTAAATGGTATTGTTTTTGAAATTTTAGTTTCCAATTGTCCACTGTTAGTATATAGAAAAATTATTTTTGTGTGTGTGTTAATCTTAGATCCTCTGACCTTACTAAACTTGCTCATTAGTTCTAGGAGTTTTTTTTTTGTAGATTCCTTGGATTTTCTACATAGACAATCATGTAACTTATGAATAAGACCAGTTTTAATTTTTCTTTCTAATATGCTTGACCTCTCTCTATCTCTCTCTTCTTTCCTTCATCCCCCACTTTCTCCCTCTTTTCTTGCCTTATTGCACTGGCTAGGACTTCCAATATGATGTTGAATAGGTGTGGTGAGTGGACATTTTCCTTTATTCCCTTATTGGGAATTCCCTTATTGGGAATAAGGGAAAACATTGTCTTTCACTCTTTAAGTATGATTTTAGCTGTAGGTTTTTTGTTGATTGCCTTTATCAGGGTAAGGATGCACCTTTCTGTTCCTAGTTTGCTGAAAGTTTTCATCATGAACAGATGTTTAATTTTGTCAAAAGCCTTTTCTGCATCAACTGATATGATCATATGGCTTTTCTTTTTAGGCTGTTAACATGGTGAAATTCATTGATTGATTTTCTAATACTGAACCATCCTTGCATTCCAAGCATAAACCCTACCTGTTTGTTTATATTTTGCTATATTCAATTTGCTAACACTTTATTTAGGTATTTACATCTATGTACATGAAAGACATTAGCTTGTGGTTGTTTTTCTCTTTGTGCTGTCTTTGTTTGGTTTTGGTATCAGAGTAATGATGACCTATAAAATGAGTTGGAGAGTCTCCCTTCTCTTCTGTTTCCTGGAAGAAATTGTGTAGAATTGGTGTTAACTTCTCTTTAGATTTTAGTTTTCTAGAATTCAGCAGTGAAACTATCTGGACTTGGAATATTTTTTTCATAAAGTTTTAAACTACAAATTCAACTACTTTAATAGTTCTAGAATAATTTATGTTACCTATTTCATCTTAACTGAGTTATGGAAATCTGAAGCCTGAGGAGTTGTTCTAAGTTTTATGTAAGTTGTGAAACTTATGTGCATACAGTTCATAGTGGTGGTCTTTTATTATCTTTTCAATGTCTGCAGGGTCTGTGTTGAGCCCCTATTTTTTTCCTGATATTGGTAATTTATGTTTTCTATCATATTTTCTTTGTCTTGCTGTCTTCAGGTTTTGCCATAGGTTCATCAATTTTACTGATCTTTTTAAAGAATCAGGTTGTGGTTTGATTGGTTTTCTTTGTTGTTCTTTTAAATATTTCGTTGGGTTCTGCTCCAGTGGGTTTAATTTTCTTTTCTTTTTCTAGTTTGGTAAGCACATATTACTTATTTAATAACTCTTTTTTCCTAATAAAATATTTGATGTTATAATTTTTTTAAAGCACTGCTTTAGTTGCATCCCACAAATTTTGATAAATTGCATTTTTATTTTTAGACAGTTCAAAATATCTTAAAATATCCCCTGATATTTACTCTTTGACTGATAGATTATTTATAAGTGTTTTGTTTAATTTTTAAGTGATTAGAGATTTTCATGTTATCTTTATATTAGTGACTTTCTGTCTAATTTCATTTTGGTAGGAAAACATACTTTGTATACTTTCATTTCTTTTAAGTTTGGTAGGCTTTGTTTTATGACCCATGATTTAGTCTATCGTGATGAATGTTCTGTTCTGCTAGTTTTGAGTAGAAAGTTCTATAAATGTCATTTATTCAGTTGGTTGATGGCATTGAGTTCTACATCTTGCTAATTTTCTGGTTAATCATTCTATTGATTACTGAGAGATAACTGTTGAAGTCTCCAGCTAAAATTGTGGAGTTATCTGTTCTTTCACTTCTGTTAGTTTTGCTTCCTGTATTTTGAAGCTTTGTTGTTATATCTGTATGTATTTAAGGCTGTTTTAACTTCTTTGTGAACTGACCCTTTTATTATTATGTAATGTCCTAATTTATCCCTGGTGGCTTTCCTTTATTCTGAAGTTGACTTTGTCTGATAGTAATACAGCCACTCCTGCTTTCTGTTGGTTGATGTTTGCATGGTATAATTTTTCTTATCCATTTACTTTTAAATTTTCTATAGCATAATATTTGAGATGAATTTCTTGTAGCCCTCATAAATTAGGTCATTTTAAAGTCTGTCTCACAATTTCTGTCTTTTAATTGGTGTATTTAAACCACTTACATTTAGCATGTTATTGTAATGTTTGGATTCAAGTCTACTATTTAATTATTAATTTTCTGTTTGTCCACTCTATTTGTTGTTTCTCGTTTCCCTTTCCTGCCTACTCTTAAGTTATTTGAACATTTTTTATCTCTTATTTTCTTTCACCTATAATGTTTCACTCCATTGAGACTTTCTATTTTTCCATCCGTTTCAAGAGTGATTGCCCTTCTTTTTTTGGAGTATTTTCATAATAGCTGCTTTAAAGTGTTTGTCATATAATTCTAGCAACTGTTCCATCTCAACGTTGATGTCTGTTAATTGCCTTTTCCCATGCATGTTAAGATTGATTTTTCTGGTTCTTAATATGCACAGTAAATTTGAATTTTATTCTGAACATTAAAAATTATCTGATGAGACTCTGGCTCTTGTTTAAATCTTATGTAGAATGTTGATATTTTTGTTTTGGCAGCCAGTTGACCCAGTTGAGTTTGGATTGAAAGTTTTGACCAGCCTTCTGTGGGTTGTGATTAGAATGTCAAATTTGTTTTCAAAGCCCTTTCTGTGCTACTCAGATCTGTCCCAAGTATGTCACTTAGTAGTCAGTCTGGGATGGATACCCGTCTATCCATTAGCTCAGTTCATAAAGCCTATGGTATGCTGCTTACAGTCAGATTTAATTGTGTGCTGCTCACAGATGAGTCCAGAAGTTCATGTAACTTTATTGGTTTGCTTTCCCAAGTTTCTCCCTTTCCACCATGTCCCTCATGTGTTTTGGGTCCCTGAGGCTCTGCTTTTAGACCTCTGACCAGAAAGCTAGAGCTTTTATTTAAGTGTCTCTGCCACTCATTTTCCAAGACTGTGCCTGAATTTCAGGCCACTGGGCAGGAGGACGGAGAGATAAAAAATGCAATGGGGGTTTACTCCACTATCTTGGGACCACTGTTTCTCTGGTCAGAGAGGAAGATACCCCTTTTTCAGTATCTTAGGGGATTGCAGTCTGCTAGGTGCTAAGGTGCAAAAGAATGGACAATAGAAAAAAATATAGGAGATTTCCCCTATTAGAATATCTGTTTCCCAATCTTGTTCCATAACTGGAAGGATTCACCTAGAATTCTCTTCATTCACGCTGATGTCCATTTGGATTGCCTTGAGACGAGATCAGAGTACATGACAGGAAAAAATGGAAAATTTGCCACTAGTTTGGTGGTGCTTCAAATTCTGTTTTTTTTCCCTTAATCTGTCTGCTACTATTGTTTTCAGCATCCTCAAATAGGTGTTCCATGCATTCTGTCCAGGATTTATAGCTGCATTCAGTGGGAGAGATAGGGTGGAATGTGCTTACTTCATCTTATCTGGAACCAGACTTCATCATATATGTGTGTGTGTGTGTGTGTGTGTGTGTGTGTGTGTGTGTATACACATATTTATTTGTTTTAATCACGATTGGTTCTTGAATATTTTCAAAGACTCTTCCTACATTTACAAGATGATATCTTTGTTTTCTTCAATAATCCCTTAGCATGCTAAATGATAACATAAGATTAATGGATTCTCTAATATTATTCTTACACTTCTGTGACAAGCGTAATTTGTGTAAGCCATATAATAAAGAATACATTGTTACATTCAGCTTGCTAACATTTTATTTAATATTATTTCAACTGTACTCAGAATTGATCTACAATTTTTCTTTCATGTGTTGTCCTTTTCAGTGTTGGAGAGCAGTTTTTCTCTGGTGCAGTTTGTGTGTTTTGATTGATCTGTACCTTGAATGTTTAATAGAACTTGATTGTAAAACTATCTGGATTGGGTGTTTTCTTGTATCCTTTTTCCTTTGGTGGATAAATGTTTTATTACAGATTTAATTTCTTTAGTGGTATAAGGTCTATTCAGATAGTATTTCCATCTCTTTTTGAATCTGTTTTGATGTTAAATTTTTTCTAGGAATTTATCCATTTCAACTATTTTTACATTTATTGACATATAGTTGTCCATAGTTTTCTATATACTGTTAACATGTGTAAAGGTGTGTGTGCACGTGCGCGTGTGTGTGTGTATTTATGTTGGCATTCTATCCTGTGCTCTCAGTTACTCTAAGCTGGTGAACATCTTCCCAGAACACTATTGCAAATCCTTTGAACCAGTGAACTCTCTGTTGTATGGTTTTGGATTGGGTGTGATTTTCATAATTTCTTTTGTGTTCTGGATAATATTTTGACTGAGAGTGACTTCTATGTTATGACCAAATGTTGCACATTCATCTTGTTCACTTGCAAAATGGGACTAAACTCATTAGTAATATCATGAAAAGGTTAAATTTTCCCAGACCTTCTTTCAGGGTGTTTCTCATTTAAATAATTATCCCCACATGCTTTAAGATTTACTTAGCTCCTGTGGGGTGGTAAGCTGGTCTTTCTACTTTATAAAAATTGGACTCCAATTATAATGGAAGAGTACCAGAAGAAAAGATAGTTGCACAGAGATCTGTTGGTGACTAATTAGACCCTTATTCTATGACTTACTCTAAAGCTTTGTCAGGCATCAGTTTTCAGGGAGCTCAGTAGTCATTGCTCCCCTGGGTTGTGTGAGTTGTGGAGCCCTGAGAGGCCAGCATCCTGGGTCTTCTACCTCCATGGCTCCTAACCAGCTGTAGATAGGGTCTGTATCAGTGACTCAAGCAGGAAAAGGGGTGGACTCTGGGTTCATGTGAGGCTAGAGTGACCGTTTTCATTCAATGCACCTAAAATTTCATCTCATGACTGCCACTGAGCCAAGAAGGATCAGTTGAGTGATTTCAGGCAGGTAGGTCTCCCTGCCTCCCTGAGCTCCAGTGTTTGTTGGCGGGAGTGGGGGTGGTGGTTACTGTGATTCTAGAGGGTCTTAAGGCTTCTAACTTGGGCATACTTGGGCTTCATTTTCTGGAAAGGAAGCTGCACCTTGGGGAGTCTGGAAGGGGCTGTTAATGAGGCAGCCCAGTAGGAGTAGGGGCTGAACGGGCATTCTTCTCAGACAGAAGCATTTTAATTGGCATCTTCCAAGGAAGAGCAAATTAAGTGCTCGATTTCCTCCCTGTGTTTTTCCTCCCTTGGCTCCTATCACCTTGGCGTGAGCCCAGACAGAACTGAGTTGCCACTTGGGGGCCATCACTATGGTTTTCAGACGCTCCATGGGAGCCAGGAAGGCTTGTGCAGGGGCTGAGTCCTCCCTTCAAGGTGGATGACGATTGCCTTGAGAGCCACATGGGAGGGCTTAGAAGCTTTCACTTGATGACGTTTTCCCTCCCAGGACCTGACAGGCCTACAGAGGAATGTTCTTTTCTATTCCGGAGAGGCTTCTGAGCTGCCCGCTCCTTCCCTTCAACCTCTTTTGTTTTTAAGCTTGGACTTCAGAAAGTTGTCAGGTGAGGGACACTGTCTCTTGTGACCCTTCACTCACTGCCTCCACTCACAATCGAAAAAGTGATTCTGCTGCAAAAGAAAGTTGAGACCACTAGCCTACATAATCTAGCTCTTGTTAGATTCTTGTTAGCTCTTGTTAGATTCCATTTATGGTTATAATTAGAATGACTTTATAGCCAGGCTGACCTGCCTTCAGTTGCACAAGATGCAGGTCCCAGCTGTGCCACCTCCAGCTGTGTGACCTTGAGCAACTCACTTTCCCTCTTTGGGCCTGTATTCTTCCAATGCAAAGGGAAAGTTTTGAGGTAGATTACAGATTGCCAACATCTTTTCCAGCTGGGATGGTCTAGATGCCTGTGATTCTATCACTGTCAGTTCACCTCTGAAGAACTTGATATGAACATGCTTGAAATTATCCCAAGAGACGTATAAAGGTCTAGTGGAAAAAGAAAGGGCTTTAGAGTCAACCAGACATGGGGTCAAATCGCCACTGACCAACAGGGTACTCCCACAGAATCAATGCGACCCAAATGTTCCTTTGTGCAAATAGGAAAAGGTGCCCCTACTGAAGTCACTTTCTGTTGCAAAATTTTCACAATACATATATAAATCTGTTGACTATGATGTGACAAGTGCTCCCTAGACTTGTGCAGTGCACAACCTGCCTGGCTGTACACAACAGTTGTCCATGACCTTGGGCAAATTAACTTCTTTGGACCCCTGTTTACTCACCTGGTAAAAGAGAATAGTAATGCCTACCTCACAGGGTCGTGGTGAGGATAGAAATAATGTGGAAAAAGCCCAGGACTCATATAGAGAAGTTGCTCTGAAATGTGAATTTCCTTTCTCTTTTTCTAGGTGTGCTCTTCAGGGCCCAAAGCACCTCTCCCTTACAAAACAGCAGCAGGTGGTAGTCTAATGTCCTCATTAGAGTGGGGCTTGGGGGTGGGAAGCACATCCTGTCAGCTTGCTCCAGCTTCTGCTGCTGTCTCAGGAGGTCATTCCAAGCTGCCTTGGAATGCTGCCTTTGCCTGCCCTGCAGGAGGGAAGGGAGAGCCCCCCAAGGACAGAGTTAATCACCTGGGGGTGCAGAGTGGCATCATGGTTGTGAGGCAGTGGGGAGGCCCAGGAGAGCTGGGGCTAGAAAGGAAGAGTGTCTTGGGCTGTGAGGAGTTCCTCCCTGGAAGAAGGTGACCCTGGGGAGTCCTCCACATGGGTAGGCCAGGAGGACACAGGCTGTTATGTCACCTTGCTCTATGCAGCAGGCAGGGCAGAAGCACTGGATCACCCATCGGGTCGGGCTGTGGGAAGTCTTTGGAAGTTGGAAGTGACTGGGGATTGGAAGTTTTCTGAGCCTTTGAGGCCCCTTTCTGAGGAGCCATGGAGCTTCTTGGACACAAAGGTGCTGGAAAGAGCACCAGCTCTGGTGTCAATTCATCCTGCATTTGAATTTCAGGACTGCCACTTAGTAGCTGGGTGCCCTCGGACAAATTCCTTAAACTTTCTAAGCTTTAGTTGTCTCATTTGTAAGATGGAAATAATTATTCCCACCTCTAAAGAGCCCAGATCCTTTAGAATAATATTCAAGGACTATGCAGGTCCCAGGTCCAACCTCCTCTTTCAATGGCATTCCTGGTACCTTGTGCTCCAGCCACCTGAGTTGCTCTCCCATTTCTTGAGCACACAATCCCCTATGCAGTTTCCTTGTTTCATTACCTCTGTAAGAAACACAACGCATGTGTCTCTGGGCCTGGTGAAATCCTTTTTGTTCTTCAAAGTTTGGTTCTCTGAAGGTTCTCTAGTCTCTTCTTGTATTAGTTATCTATTGCTGAGTAACAAACTACCTTGAAGCCTAGCAGCTTAAAATGACAGTAGAGAGGTGTTATCTCACATATGCCTGTGAGGCAGGAATCTGGGAGCAGCGTGGCTGGGTGATTTTGGCTTGGAGTCTCTCATGAGATCACATTTGAGATATCAGCCAGGGCTGCAGTCATCTGAAGGCTTGACTGGGGCTGGTGGCCCTGCTTCCAATATGACTTATTCAAATGATGGGCAAATTGATGTTGGCTTTTGGCAGGAGGCCTCTGTTCTTCCCCAGATGCACCCCTCCCCAGGGCTGCTTGCATGTCTTTATAGCATGGCTGCCTGGTCTCCCCACTAGAGTAATTGATCTAAGAGAGAGCAAGGTGGGAGTAGCAATGTTTCTTATGAGCCTTGGACATTTTCCAAGCCTTGGAAGTCATACATCATCATTTTACAGTATTTTGTTGGTGACATTGGTCCTTCCTGATTCAGTGTGGGAAGAGTGCACATAGGGTTTGGATTCTAGCAGGCGGCTTATTGGGAGCCATCTTAGAGGCAGATGTCACACTTCCCCAACAGAATGAAGTGCTGTGTTGTTCAGCAACCTTCATTTATTTATGGTGTCTTTCAGTGCCCCTGCCATGTTCTAGCCATGTGTTAGGTGCTAGGAATACAGGTGTGAACAACAGAGAGCAAGCCCCCTGGCTCACAGGGCCGACAGTCTACCAGGGGAGATAGACTTTAAATCGCTATTCATTTACAGTTTTCATAAGAGCCAGAAAGGAAAGAGAGGAAAGGAAGTGGGTACAATGAGAACATATGACGGGGGACATCATGTCGTGGGTGGTATAGGGTGGGCTTCCCTGAGGATGTTCCCTTCTCTGTGCCCCCTGAGCTGATGACCACCCTGCTCCTTCTCCAGCTGGGCTGGTATTATTTTGGAGCAGCTTTTTTTCTCTACCCATAACTTCTCCCCAAACTGTGAGCCCCTAGAGAGAAAGATCTCACCTTGTTGCAGTTCAGGGTTCCCGGTCGTAGCCCAGACTTGAGCACACACTAGGGACTCAGCACATGTGAGCAGTGCGACTGCAAGGTTGGCTGCGGGCAGAGACCTCCTTTCCTCAGAAGGTGCGTTTGGGGAAAGGGAGGAGGCAAATGTGGGGAAGGAAGAAAGCAATTGAGGATGAAGTGGAGTAAATATGCTGCCCACCTGTGCCTGTTCCTAACGGCCCCTGACCGCACCTGGCTGTTTTCTGTAGCGGCATAAAAAGAGCCCCCAGAGCTGCAGTGTTGGCTGGGGAGCTGCTGTCTGAAGGGGCCCTAACTAGCATTGGTGGTGATGTATTAATATATTGGGTTTCCCTGGCTTTGGCTCACCCATGACTGGTAACTCGGTGTTTCGGCAGCAGTGAGAGCAATGCTCATGATCACAGTGGCTCCTGCATACTGCGTGCTTCCTACGTGCTAGACACTGCAGTGGGCATGGTCTCCAACCATCACACTCTGCCTCAGGGCCTTTGCACTGACCACTCTCTCCCCATGCTGTGCTTTTCTGTGGACATCCCCACTACACGTGGGTCTCTGCTCAAAGCCCCTCATCAGGGGCCCCCCTCTGACCAGCCCATCTAAACCCCAGGCCCGCTTCATCTTCTTACTGGTTGCATTTCTCCTCATTATACTAATCATTACCCGTTATGATGTTTAAAAACAGACCCTGAAGATGAATAAAGGGGTCATAGTGTTTGTCCAAGAGATTAAAACATTAAAATTCTTTGTATTAGTTGAGATATAAAATTTCACAGTGTGTCAGGAAGTCCCTTTGAGGCCCTCATCTCCTTATAGTTTATGTTAGTTCATTTAGTTTCTTCTCAATGCTGTGTGATCCATAGGGCAGGTACCGTACAGTTGTTTTGTAGGAGAAGCAGCTCAGGCCCACAGAGGCTGAGTGAGGGAGTCAGGGCCAGACAGATAGAGACGGGGCTTTAAAACCAGGCCCTGGGACTGTAAAACCAGAGCTCCATCACTACTCTGTGTTATAAATGACAAACAACAATGGACGTCAAAATCCTCTGTTACACAATTGAAGCAACTTTCTTTCCTTTTTTTTTCTTTTTGAGATGGAGTCTCGCTATATTGCCCAGGCTGGAGTGCAGTGGCATGAACTTGGCTCACTGCAACCCCTCCCTCCTGGGTTCAAGCAATTCTCCTGCCTCAGCCTCCCGAGTAGCTGGGACTACAAGCACGTGCCACCATGCCCGGCTAATTTTTGTATTTTTAGTAGAGACAGGGTTTCACTGTGTTAGCCAGGATGGTCTTCATCTCCTGACCTCGTGATCCACCCACCTCAGCCTCCAAAAGTGTTGGGATTACAGGTGTGAACCACCGTGCCCGGCCTAGAAGCAACTTTCATAACACAGCTTTGCTGACACTCAGTTGCTCACAGTGAATAGAAAAATCACTTTCCATTGGCTGTGCACCTCCTTGGTTTTTCCTTTCTCAAGGCTGTGCATGAAGATGAGCCGAGGGAATGTAGTTCCCCTTGGACACTCAAGGGCAGTATATTTTTGAATTCTCGTTGTGAGCTTAAATTTAATTTCCTCAGGGTCTTGTTCCAATCTCCCACCTAACACAAGAACCCCTACAAGCTTCCTGTCTCTGAGTGCCCTGGACTTCTCATGTATTGGAATCCTTAGCGAGTGGATTCTAAGCTCAGCAGCAGAAAGCCTTGTGAAACAGAAAATGAAAACTGCTATGGTTCTCCAGGCAGTTAGGGGCTGTGAGTGTGTGTGTATGTGTGAGTGTGTTTGTGAGTTTGTGTGTGTGTGTGTGCATGTTGAATGCTTTGGAATAAAAATGAACCTGTGTAGAAACTTATACAAAGGGAGACGAAAAGAAAAACCAATCAGGTGCGTCCATGAAGGTTTATAATGGGCATTCCAAAAGCACAGGCTGCCTCACCACCCCTTAACGTCATTCAGTGTCTTAGAGGGGACACTGTGGAAGTTTAACAAATCCAGCCAGGTTGCCAGTATGTGATGAGAAACTGCCTTCTTTGAAAACTGACAACGATAGGTTTGCCCATAATGCTTCATTTCTTTCCGACTCACAAATACTTAGTCGTATATTTTAATAGTCTTTTTTTTTTTTTTAAATAAGAAAGGTGATTCCTGAAGGTCCAATCAGATGCCCAAGTTCCTGGGGGATCTCTTCATTGCCAGCCTTCCTTCTCCCATCCCCTTCCAGAGACCATAGCTGGGTTTTTCCTGCCCCCATTTTTTTTAGGTTATTTTTCTTCTAACGTAAGATCAAAGGTGCTGAACATGCAATTTTATCCATTTTCCAATTGTTTTTCCCTTGTTAATAGCAAAATGAAAGGACCAGAGCAGGGTTTGGGCTTCCTGGGATGCTAGAGGCATCTGGAAGCAGCTTCCAAGGACATCCTTACCCATTTCTGCAGTAGATGTTTATTGAGATTTATGTGTCGCACACGTGCTCAGTGAAGATGCAAACAATGTTAAGGAAGTGTCTCTACACATGTTTCTTTAATACAAATAGACCTTAAACAAATAATACCACCACCACCATCTACCTCTTACTGAGCAGCTCATCATGGTCATGTGCCAAGACCGTTGTAAGTGTTTTACATATTTTATCCCTCATCCTGACAACCCCGAGGAGTGAGTATTGTGACATTTTTACCTACAAGGAAAGTGACTCAGAGAGGTTTGGTAAGATGGCAGAGGAGTCAGGATTCCAAGTTAGGTCTGCCTGACTCTAAAGCCTGCAGTCTTTTTTTTTTTTGAGATGGAGTCTCACTGTCGCCCAGGCTGGAGCACAGTGGTGCGATCTCAGCTCACTGTAACCTCCACCTCCTGAGTTCAAGCGATCCTCCTGCCTCAGCCTCCTGAGTAGCTGGGATTACAGGCATGTGCCATCACGCCCAGCTAATTTTTGTAATTTTAGTAGAGATGGGGTTTCACCATGTTGGCCAGGATGGTCTCGAACTCCTGACCTCAGGTGATCCACCCACCTCGGCCTCCCAAAGTGCTAGGATTACAGGTGTGAGCCACTGTGCCCGGCCAAGCCTGCCATCTTTACATTCCTCATTGTAGAGAACTGGTGCCAAGGGATAGGAGCCTGCAGAGAGGGACTAGTTCATCTGAGAAGGCCGCAGGTGGAGCAGCTCAGGACAGCTGATGTGCAGGTGTGTGCTGGGAGGGAGGAGTGGGGACAAGGCCAGAGGGATGGCTGGGCCACATTGTGCAGCGTTTTGTCATCCGGGCGTGGACTCTGCCCTGTAGAGGAAGCTGCCGGGAGCCTATGGAATGTTACAGGATAGGACAAGACGGAGGATGGAGACTCAAGCACCCGCAGGACCCAGGTGCTAATATAAAATAGGCAATAGGTTGGTTAATATTTGATGAGGGGGGCTTGTGCCAGGCACTATTCTGGTTCTGAGGGTACAGAGAATGAGGCTGCTGGGGGCTGCCTTCAGGGAGCTTATATCCTTTTGTGTCTGTGTTTGTGATGGAGAAATATGTAAGCACATGAGTAAATAGGCTAATTCTAGATATTGATAGGTGCTTGAGACGGGATGGTCAGAGAAGTACCAGGGGACATGATGTTTCAGCTGAATCCTGTAAGGTGAGAAGGCAGCTGTGCAAGCGATGAGCTCTGTAAGGGGCAGAGTGGCAGTGATTCAGTGAGGCCCTGGATAGGGCCATTTACTTGCTATATGGCCTTGGTGGGTCACCTAACTTCCCTGTGCCTCAGTTGCCTCATGAGTAAAGTGGGGATAACAATAGCTCTGCCTCCCCGTTACAAAGCCCTGTTACAAAGACTGCATGAGTTTGCACATGTAAGTGCACGTGGAACGGTCTGTCAGGGTGGCCACTACAACTGGACCCTTAGTACCAGCAGCATAGCATTCTAGGCTTGAAAAACAAGTGAAATGGGAATACATTTGGCAGATTTGAGAGCTTAGTTAATGAGCAGATGAGAGGAGAAGATGAACTCTGGACAGGAAGGGATTTGGAGGCAGTGATTTGAACACTAGGAGAAACACTGAGGGCTTTGCACAGGGAGGTGCCGCAGTCTGAGGGAACCTCTAAGTGAGGGGCCTTGCATGCTTGGGTCAATTTCAGGGGAGAAGCTGGAAGGAGTGGTAGGAGTTTAGGATCTATTTTAAAAGTGAAGCCCGCACGATTTACTGATGCAAGGGCTATGAGTATGACAGAAAGAATAGAAACAAGGGTACTGTCACATTTTTGTCCTGATGAATTTTGTGGGGAGGGGCGAGTAGGGGGAAAGTGGTTCCATTTACTGAGATGGTGAAATCTGGGGAAGAGCAGATTTCTGGGAGAAACAGACAGTTCTGCTTTGATATGTTTGATGTTAGAGTCCTAATGCACATCTGTGTGAAGATCTCTGGGAAGCAGCTGGAATGAAGCAGGTCTGGTGTTAGCAATGGGCATTCATGCGACCCTGGAGAACTAGTCCCTGCCAAATTCAGACAGATTATTCTTAAATGCTATGCTTGTCAAGCCAGACACACCTGCCTCCAGTTTGTAACCCCCAAATTGTCCCCAACTTCCAACTGGCTTAGAAGATAAGATGCCAAGCTAACATCAAGTCCTTAACTGGTTGGTAGAAAGGCTCTTTGGCTTCTGGACAGAGGAGGACAGTTCCTAGCAGCATGGTCCATCTCCATTCCAGGACCTCTGTGACTTCAGGACTGGCCCTTTATCGAGCAGCTCAAGTGTGCCAGGCCCTGTGCTAGTCTGGGGGAAACAGTATGCAAAGGTGTAGCTCTGCTGAGGGCAGCTCAGTCTAGTGAACATCTAAGTTCCTTGCCCAAAATGCCCAAGGGAATGTCCTGTGCCTCATTTCGTTTATTTGATGCATTTTGATCTGTTCAGCCTGAAGCCAGTTGGTAACGATGCGATGATTTATGCTCCTGGACATCACAGTGCTGACAGTGCATGCCTGATCTGATGTTGGGGAGGTGTGTTTGTGTGCATGAGTGTGTATGTGTGTGCATATGTGCATTTGTGTGTGTGCGTGTATATACATGCTAGATCTCATGAGCTCAAAGTACTGCCTTTGAGCACCTCAAGTGAAGTTGTGGCTGTAAGGTTGATTTCCTATCTCAGATAGGAGCACCTCAAGTGAAGTTGTGGCTGTAAGGTTGATTTCCTATCTCAGATCTGAGCATCTCCTGATACATTTTGAGCTTTGTGCTTTGCTGGCAGCTTGCCCAGGTGGGTAGTGATCTAGCTCAGCTCTGCTCTGTTGAATGCCAGTTGAGAGGGGTGAGTTTCTCTCCATCACCCTCTGCATTGGATATGCCTTCTCACACTTACACAGTATCAACATCTCTCCTTAGGCAGGTTTAAAAAGTCGTGATGTTAACAGTTATTTTTCTCAAAAAAACATTGCTGAAGAAAAACCAAGAGAATTGAGCATTAAATTCCATAGCATGCATTTTCACAACCATCCATGGCTTTCCAATGAGCTCTTAGAACATGTACTTGGCTTTTCCTTTTCAATGCGGGTTATGTCCTTTAGCACTGAGCTACTCAAAGTATGGTACCTGGACCAGAGCCATCACCTGAGAGTTTGTTCGAAATGCAGACTCTCAGGTCCTGGTCCAGAGCATCTGAAAATGAATCTGCAGTTTAACAAGACCACGGGCTTGTCAAAGGCATGGCCATGTCTGAGATGAGCTGATTTAGATGACAGCCTCCTGGAAACTCCCAGCCTGTTTGGATGGCTGTGGGGCGTATGATGCTGAAAATGGCTCCTAGGTGCCTTCCACTTCTCCCAAGAATCAAACAAGAAAGGGGCTTGATGGAGGGAGATGGAAATTTGACTCAGCCTGAAGATCACTGTGGGAATGAGTGGGGTTGAAGAATGTGTTGCTGAGGCTTATTTAAAATACAAATATTCTCTTCTTTCGGCAATGACTTAAGTAACTTTGCTTTTGTGGGTAAAGGCCTTGGGGCATTTTTGTCACAGGAGGAGGGATCTGGGCTTGTCAGTTTGGAGAAGAGAAGGCTCAAGGGTCTGAGTTCATGACAGTTGTCCTCAAATGTTGGAAGGGCCCTCAGGAGGAAAGGGAGCCAGGCCTATTCTGTGAGGGGCAGCATGAAGACCTCTGGAAGGATGGCATCATTACGAAGAAGAGCTTCCTTTCTTTTGGAGAACTGCTTCCTGCCTCCAGAAGGAAGGTGCTCCCATCCCTAGAGACAGTTCAGGCATGAGCTGGAGGCCCACTTGTTTGGGATGTTGTAGGGGATCCATGCATGATATGTGGAATTGGACCAGAGGATTTTGTTTTTGTTTTTGTTTTTTTGAGATGGAGTCTCGCTCTGTCGCCCAGGCTGGAGTGCAGTGGTGCGATCGCGGCTCACTGCAAGCTCCACCTCCTGGGTTCACGCCATTCTCCTGCCTCAGCCTCCCGAGTAGCTGGGACTACAGGCACCTGCCACCATGCCCAGCTATTTTTTTTATATTTTTTTAGTAGAGGCGGGGTTTCACTGTGTTAGCCAGGATGGTCTCGATCTCCTGACCTCGTGATCCGCCCGCCTCGGCCTCCCAAAGTGCTGGGATCACAGGCGTGAGCCACCATGCCCGGCTGGACCAGAGGGTTCTTAATGTGCTTTCTGATGGTGTGAGCTGTAGAGAAAAGAGAAGAAAGGGGCTCACAGACTGGGTTTCAATCCCAGCTTTCCCACTTCTCAGTGTTGATTTGGGAAAGTGACTTAACTTTTCCTAAATTTCACCTTCCTCATCTGAAAAAGGGAATACTACTACTTACCTCCTGGAACAGTGTGAAAATTGAATAAAAATTATGGGCATAAAGTTCCTACTGGTGCCTGGCATGAGGAAGGGGCTTAATAAATTTGAGTGTCCCTCCACCTCTTCTGTATACTTTTCTTTGCCTTGTCCAGGGTGGACTGTAATTAGTTGACAGCTTGAGCAACCAGCTTGATGTTTGTATTAGTCTGTTTTCACACTGCTGATAAAGACATACCCAAGACTGGGTAATTTATTTAAAAAAAAAAAGAGGTTTAAGGGACTCACAGTTCCATGTGGCTGGGGAGGCTACAATCATGGTGGAAGGCAAAAGACATGACTCACATGGTGGCAGATAAGAGAGAATGAGAGCCAAGTGAAAGGGGAAACCCCTTGTAAAATCATCAGATCTCGTGAGACTTATTCACTACCATGAGAACAGTATGGGGAAAACTGTCCCCATGATTCAGTTATCTCCCACTGGGTCCCTCCCACAACACATAGGAATTATGGAAGCTGCAACTCAAGATGAGATTTGGGTAGGGACACAGCCAAACCATATCAATATTGTATTTCTGTCTCAACACTTTTGATTCATGTTAACTGCTAGTGATTGGCTTTGCCTGGTTTGCTCAGCTGGGTTGTTATAGTGAGGCCAGGATTGCAGGGGGCCCCATGCGAGCCAGCAGTCCTGCAGCCTGATGCTTATGGTGGCCACCAGGGTATCAACCAGGAGGGCTGGACTGGGCCACCCAGGACATCACCACAAGGAAGAATTCACATCCAAGTCAGGCGGCAGTGCTTTGGAGCGATTGCTGGCACTGGACTGGTGTCCCAGCACCTGAATTTAGAGCATGTTCAGACACATCTGCTCTTAGATAAAGTCACATCCCTATCTGCAGATGCAACATATTTGTATATGGAAGTAGGGAAGAAGGCAGATAGAAAGATCTGAGTGCTAGCCTTTCATGGCGTTTTACTACTCCCCTCCTCCAATAAAAAAACTTTTCTTGCTATGAAAGGGAAATATTTATGAATAATTGATGCATCTCAGTCTGCTCCCAGGTCCTAGAATGCACCACACCCCTTTCCTCTCCCTGGGCAGACTCCATCATCCTCTCCACCTCTCTAATCTCACCTGTCCTCGTCTTCCAGGAAACCTCTCACTACTAGTCACTCCAGGCCACAAAGGACCCTTTGTCTAGCATTCAACAGAGCTTGGGTCATCTCATGCATGAAAATTATGTTTCCACAATGAGATCTCAAGTTTCCTGAAGTCAGGGCCTGGTAGCTTGGCCTGATGATTTCCACAGAAACACCAAACACCTTGATAAATTCATATGGCAACAAGTTGAATGATATGTACCAGGAAGCTCGGGGCCAGGCCTTTGGGTCTCAGCTGGATTCCTGGCTACCTGAGGATGAGGTTACATCCATTGTCACATCCAGCACAGCTCTGTGAGGAGGGAGCCCAACAGATGGGAGGGAGACTAAACAGATGGCAATTGATTGTTTGATCTTGGTGTAATGGAGGGCCCTGTAGAGTCAACCTGAAATCTGGAAGTTTGGAAAGCGGGATCAGGGAAAGGGAGCAAGGAATTGATTGAAATAAGTAAATTTCAATTTTCATTAACATCTCACTTTGTTGCATAAAGGATAGGAGCATAGAGCAAAACATAAAATACAAATTGTGAAATGAGATAGAGTGTAGATAAATAAGCAAACTTATGAAATTAGGTCCAGGGAAGAAATAGATTGCTTGAGCCTCTACATATGACTCAAATTCTTCCAAACTAAAAGAAAAAGTACAGGATATGTGTTTTTCAAGCTGTCTTCTCAGCTTGGTAAAGGCCTCTTGGATTTTCCCTCTGTCTGTGTGATACCCTGGGCTGCACGAGCCAGGGAGCCATCCTGCCCTCTGGCAGGTGAGCCTTGCCCTCTGTAAGGATTTGCCCATTACTCTAGGAGAGAAGGGTCTGGAAAGTGCACCATCCCTGCCACTTTCAAATTATCAGCCCTGATGCATCATCAACTACAAATTAGTTTTATTTTCTTTTGTGCAAGTGCCTGATTCAGAGTGGATTTGACAGCCAAATTGGCCCGGAAGGCATAATGAGGCAATGCTGAGCATTTCTGAATAAAGAAGTGGGAAAGGAACAGAGTGGGGGTTGTGATGCCTTTTATGGCTCTGGGGCACAAATTTCAACTGGATTGCTGAGATCTGTTCCCGTAAGGAGCAGGCTTCTGACTTGATGCTAAGTGGAGGGGAGACAAGGGACTGGATTTCATGGCAATGAGGCTGGTGGTGTGGTAGTAACATTTGGATGTTGAAAATGTGATGGGTAGCACGAGGTGAAGGGCACTGCCTCTGAAATAAGGTAGTCCCATCTTCTATGTCTGGACCTACCACTGCAAGTTATTTCATCCCAGGCAATTAATGTGCATTTTAACAAGACCACAGCCTTGTGAAAGGCATGGCTAAGTCTGGTTTAGAGGACAGCCTTCTGGAAATGCCCAGTCTGTTTGGATGGCTCCTGGGTGTATGAAGTTATTGTATTATATAGCATTTCTCATTTTAAGCAACTGGGATAATATGTTCTATGTGTTGAATGAAGTCAGTTACCTTTGTGAATTATCCATTTCATGGCCACATTCTTTTATGTTCCATTTAACCTGGCTGGGTTTTCCCATTTACCCATCCTACCTCCTCCCTTCATTTTCCCCCAACCCCAACCATGGCAGGCTTTGGTCATGTGTCACAAACACATCTTGCTAAGCTCAGTCTTGGCATCAGAAGACTTCTCAACACAGCACACGATTCAGCCATCGCCAGAGATATGCATTTATACATTTTAAGCTTGAAACAGATCCCAGGCTTGTCAAGCATCAACATTTATCAAACCACATGGGGGCAAAGGAAGTCAAGCCTTTTGCTTTACTATTGATCCTCACGCAACAATTAAACAGATGGGGCACATCCCTTCTCTGAGAATGCTGGACTCAGAGCTGGAAGGAATGGATGACATTTCTCACTCTACTGCTTTGCCTTGGTCTGTTTTTGGACAAGCTACCTAATCTCTTGGAATGTCACTTTCCTCACCTGTTAAAGAGAATACGATTTGCCTCATAGGGGCTGTTTTTGTGAGTTGTACTGGTTCATACTGAGATGCATTTGATTCTAGATTCTATTTCCTTGTTGCTATTTTCTACCTATGGGAGGCTTAATAGGGTTAGGGAGACACCTTGGGGCTCTTGAATGAATGTGGCAATGAAGCTCCTCCCTTTGTCAGTAGCTTCTCCCTCTACTGGATCCTATTGCTGTGAGTTCTGGCCTCTTTGCCCACCTCAACAAAGAGCCTCTCTCTCCTGACAGTCTCCTGGCCTTATGCCTAGTACCAGGGGCCAGGCGGGTGACCGCCCCCATTGCCTGCAGGCTGGTACCCTCCTCCCACTGGGGCTAGAGGCATAAAGGCTGCAGCCTGGCTCTTCTCTCGGTGCAGCCCTCTCTGGAGCATGGTTCCTACCGGTCTCCCCTCCTTGGAAGGCAAAGAGACAAAGGTGGAAGAGGCATGGACTTTGGCACTAGATACTCCTGGGTTTACATAGGGTTTGGCCATAAAAAACCTGTGTGGCCTTGAAAAAAATTAGCCAGTCTTTCTGCACTCAAGGACAGTCTTATTCAATGTGAAGGCAGGGACCATGACTGGATGTTTGCAGATTTATTTGGTATCTATGATTTATTCAGTGCCTGGTTTTTGAAGATCTGAATGGATATTCAGAGTGTTCAAGGGATGTGATATCCTTGCACCTTCCTTTTTGTGTCTCCTTCCAATATCCTTGGCTCCATCACGTTCTGAATGGTAGATTGCTAGGAGGCTTGTCATTAATTCAGTCCATAAATATTGTATGCCAGGCACTTGGGCACTGGGGAGATAGCAGCTTTTTCATTGGCAGAGAATCTATGCTTGTGTGGAGCTTACATTGTCATGGAAGGAGAAAGGCAATAAACCCACTGAAGTATAGAGCATATGAGAAGGTGATAAGTGCTGTAGCGAGGATTAAACTAGGATAGGGGGATGGGGACTAGAGGAAGGGGGCAGTTGGGACCTGTGGTCTTAATGGGTGGTCATGGAAGGTCCTACCTAGAAGACGATATCTGAGCTAGGATAGTTAATGATGATTTTGCACCAAGTCTCCTTCCCCCCAGCATTCCTTCTTGTTTTCTCTGCTATTGCTTGGGTCTTTGCAAGTTGAAGGTAAGACAAGGTGAGGTCAAACACCTGGTAATTCCAAGCTTCACCTTCTATAGTCACTAGTGAAAGTGCCTGGAACCTCATTCCAATGTTCTCTTCTTTGGGAGTCTGTGTTGCCTGGCATTGCAGCCACCAGCCTTCCCAAAAGAGTTCACTTGGATAAGATGCTTGAGCCAGACCCAGGGCTGTGGCAAAGCAGCAGCCAACCAGTGCACTGGGCAGATTTCCTTGCAGGAAGCCAAGCTCTGCTCTGGGTCTGCTGCTCACTGTGTGTTTGCCCTGGCACCCAGGACTCCAGCTGTGTTTATGCTCACCCAGGTGCCAGGGCTTTCAAAACAGGGGTGGCAGTGTTTTGGGTGCTTGTTCTGGTTACAAAGCAGTGTGCACCTTTCTAGGCCACCACCACAACGGGTTGGCCCACCTTAGCTTCCCCTTTATTCTCCTTTGTCCTTTCTGATGGCCTGTATTGTTTGTGTCGTAGCTGTGACATCAGAGCCCCCTGGGTGGTCTGGGGTTAGGATGCTCATTGCTCCAAGTTATCTTCCTGTCTCACCTGCCTCCCTCCCATTGGTCTCCATGGCAACTACTTACTCTGAGATTTGTTTCTGGCCAATTTTTGGGAGGGAAAACCTACAGCAAACACACCAGGGGAACATGTCCTTTATATTGCTGCTTCTCAGACATTAGTGTACCCAAGTGGCTTCTGGAGCAATTGTTTAAAACAGTGGTTCTCAACCTTTATGGCACCAGGGACCGGTTTCATGGAAGACATTTTTTCTACAAAACGGGTGTTGGGGGGAATGGTTTCAGGATGAAACTGTTCTACCTCAGATGATCATAAGGCACATGCAGCCTAGATCCCTCACATGCACAGTTCAAAATAGGGTTCATGCTCCTATGAGAATCTAATGCCGCCATTGATCTGATAGGGAGTAGAGCTCAGGTGGTGATGCTCGGTCCCCGCTGCACACCTCCTGCTGTGCTGCTTGGTTCCTAACAGGCCATGGGCTGCTCGGTTCTGTGGCCCAGGGGTTGGGGACCCCTGGTTTACAACCTAGGGTCCTGTCCTCACTTGCAGGGATTCTGACCCAGTGGATCTGCCACAGGACCAAGGAACCTGCATCATCATCATCATCATCATCATCAAGTCACTTCCCTAGCTGATCACACTTGGATAAACCCAGATTGACAGGCACAGTTTGCCTCCCTTACTTGCTTGTATGTCCAGGTTGGGTGGAATCCATTGTTGCAACCCTCCTTGAGTCTAGTTCACTGCCCAGCGCCCAGGTGGTGCTCAATCCACATATGCTGAAGGATAGAGGCAATGTGAGGTGAATCCTTTTATAAAGAACCGTTTACAATGCAAAGAGTTGCCCACTAATAGGTCTCCATAGTTAGGTTTGCATCTTAATGGTTGAAGTTTTCTTAAAGCAGAGATATACCTCGCTCGATTCAGGATTTTGACAAAGCAACAGCATCCTGAAAAGAAGAAGTGAATAGGGGTAATTATTTTTGAAGGAATCAAAGCCATGTCCTCCTGCCTTTGGTAAAGATGTACGGAGTTGCACCATTTATTAGTGCTTCTCAACTTCGGCTGCTCACTGGGATCAGGGGCTTAAAAAACACTGATGCTTGAGTCCTACCCCTAGAGGCCCTGTGTAATTGGTCTGGGGTGTGGTCTGGGCATCAATATTTTGTAACATTCCCTAGGTGATTCCAATGTGTGTCCAGGGCTGGAAACCACTGACCTAAAATGTGTGGGATCCCTGGAGAGAGGGGTAAGAGATGCATTTCTTGAGTCTTACAAGGAGCCCTCTTGGACTAGAGATGGCAGGTGCCTTGAATTCTGTGATCCAGGACTACCCTTAAATCAGAATCTAAAACATATTTTATATATATATATACATGTTTTTTACATATATACTTGTGTATAAAATGTATATATGTGTCCGTGTATGTATAAAAATAGTATAAACATTTATACCTGTGTATGTATAAAAAGTTTTTTACATACACACATATACATACACATGTACATATATATACAAACATATCCAAAATAATATGTATATTTTGAAAGAGAGCAATAGCCAATTGTTTTATACCCTCTAATAAAAACATTTTTTCCTGATTATCATAAACTATTGAGTTTATGCAGAAAAGTATTTCAAAAGTTACAGATTTTCTCAAATGCCACCACACAGGAGAAATAACTGTTAATATATCTGGTGACCACACTTCTACTCATCCCTCTGTGCCTATATACACATGTAGCCTAGACACGCAACTGAACGTCAATAGAATCCTTATGCATTCTGAACTAGAATCTGTGTTTTGTGAGCAGTATGGCATAGATAACTTTCCATAAACCTACATAATCATTCTTATAAGATCTCACCACATTTAAGCTCTAATTGCACCTGATAAACGGAACATCTACTGTATTGTGAAAGCTTGCTGTATACTTTTAAACATGCAAGGCAAGCAGCAGTGTTTGAGGGCTCCTGTGCCAGTGGAGAAGCCTGGGTGTGTCCGAACAGGCCTGCAGCGTGCTGTTGGACTGTCACACGCATCTGGGCAGTTGTGCACTGGGGACAGAAGGGCTTGACGAGCCGGGCGACAGCACTTTTTGTAGTGCTAGCATCTGTTGAATTTTAGTTTCAGTCTTTAAGCCCTTTAAGAGGTTCTGTTTTCACCTGCCTTCTAGACCATGCAGAGTGTATAGTCCAACAATAGTCAGCATAGAGTTGCATTCTGAATATCCAGGAGGCAGAGCCACCGAGGGACCATCTCAGTGTTGATCCATGGCTGTCATGTGGGACGGGGGCCTTGTGTTCCAATCGCCCCAGTAATTTGAAGGAAGCCAGTAATATGTATTTCTATTTGAAATCTCTTGGTTTTTAAATGTGGGCTGACAATTGTTTAAAAATTGAAAGCATAGTGAGACCAAACAAAACACACCTGGGGCTTCCTATAGTCATCTGGAAGGCAGTCTGAGATGTCTGGTCTACTAAGCTGTTTGTGGCATTCAGTCTACTTGAGTTCCAAAAATATTGACTGAATGCATAGTCACTGTACAAAAGAATGGAAATTACAATGATAAAAAGTGATGATCCTTGCCTTGGGTGGGGTAGCTTTTATGATCCCCAGACCAGCACCCACCATATCACCTGGGAGCTTGTCAGACATGTAAATTCTTGGGCCTCACACCAGATGCATCAAATTAGAAACTGTATTCTAAGAAACCTGCTCGGTGGTTCTGATGCCTGCTGAAGTTTGAGAACAACAGGCAGGTGTGGGAAGGGGAGTTACGCATATGGGCAAAGATCTGGGGGATGGAGAAGGTGGGGTGTGAGGCGAGGAGGCTTTTCAGAAGTGAATGGCTCCACCTGGATCTTAAAGGATGAGTAAGGAGTTGGCCAGGTGAAGATGAGGGAGGAGTACACCAAGGCTAGCAGGCAGCAGGAGCCAGAGCCAGGCAGGAAGAGTGTGTGAAGGGCGTGTGTGGGATTGTCCATCTAGCGCATGTGACCGAGTGCTGGAGTATGCTCTGGGAAATGAGGTGGGAGAATAAGTTGGTGCAGGTGAGCTGGATTGTGTTCTGTAGGGGCTACAGCATCACGGGAGACCCTCTAGTAGTGGAGTGTGGCATTGGGTATGTTTGTAGGGAAATCACGCTGGTGGCGAGGTTCAAATTCCTTCTGGATAGAGGAAACTCTCCTGGTGTCCCACTGGTCTGGATCCTGATTCTTGCCTTTCCTGGCGTGACTTGGATCTGGGTCAGCAATTCCCATCCTTGGATAGGGTGGTGGGCAGGGAGGGCCCGGCTGAGTGAAGATGTGGCTATTGCTGCGTGTGAAATAGTGACATTGGTGTCTCTGTTCTTTTATTCTTGGAGGAATGTGCACACTCTTGGAGAATGTGCACACTCCAAGCTGAGCATTTAGGTGGTTGCCTGTGTTCTCAGCAATTGCAATGGTCTTTGTAATCCCATTTTAAAATGTCATTTTAAAGTTTCTGCAGCAAAGGTTTTGGTAAAACCCTGGATCTATTTCTTTTTCTTTTTTCTTTCTTTCTTTTTTTTTTTTTTTTTTTTGAGATAGGTTCTCGTTCTGTTGCCCAGGCTGGAGTGCAGTGGTTTGATCACAGCTCACTGCAGCCTCAACCTCCTGGGCTCAAGTGATCCTTCTGCTGCAGCTTCCCGAGTAGCTGGCATTACAGGCATGCTCCACCACACCCGGCTAAGTTGTTAAAACTTTTTTTGTGGAGACAGGGTCTCACTATGTTGCCCAGGCTGGTCTCAAACTCGGGAGCTCAAGTGTTCCTCCTGCCTCAGCCTCCCACAGTGCCGGGATTACAGGTGTGAGCCACTATGCCCCACCCAGCTCTATTTCTTTCTTCAGACATTTGCGGTGTCTAAATGGAAGAAATAAGTTGAACTCAAGGCCATGGAAATTCATGTCTATACCTAACTGGGACTCATTTGTTCTTCCTCCGTCCCTCCCTCCCCTCTCTCTTTTCTTACCCCCCCCTTTTTTTTTATTATAAGATAACTTTGGTTATAGACAACTCTTGAGAGCTTTCCAAGTGCTCATAAGATTTTTTTAATACTTAGCTATGATAACATCCAAATTTTCCTGATGTGAGGATATGCAGTTGTGGTTAAAGACTTCTACTGAGATAGTTGACCATTGTTCTGAAATACTTTGGATGTAGCTCTGAGTGGAGGCAGGAATATGAATGTGAATTATTTATATTCATGTGGTGGTTCTACAAAACATTTTAGAAGACAGCAAGAATAGCCATTGTTCTTAGAACTTCTAGATCTTTTTTTTGAAATGGAAATCTTTTCTTTTAAAATGTATTTGGTGCAGAGTGTAGTAATTATTTAATTTCTTTCTTTTTATTTTTTGAGATAGAGTTTCGCTTTTGTCTCCCAGGCAGGAGTGTAGTGGCACAATCTCGACTCACTGCAACTTCCACCTCCCAGGTTCAATTGATTCTCCTGCCTCAGCCTCCCGAGTAGCTGGGATTACAGGCGCCCACCACCACGCCCGGCTAATTTTTCGTATTTTTAGTAGAGATGGGGTTTCACCATCTTGGGCAGGCTGGTCTCCTGACCTCGTGACCCGACCGCCTCGACCTCCCAAAGTGCCGGACTACAGGCGTGAGCCACCCGCGCCAGGCCCATTTCTTTCTTTTTTTGAAATGCTGCGGTGTGACAGACGATGGGAGCTGGATGAATTATTGCCTCCCCCTGCTGGTCATTTTTATATAACATCTTATATATAGTAATATATAGTAAGAGTGCAGATGATAAAGCAAAGCTAATACCCAGAAAAACAAAAGATACTAAGATGTAATTTATTAATTTTTAAAAATTGCCCAAATTAGTAATAGACAAATTGCCCAAATTAGTAATTGGCCTTATTAGTAATAGAGTGTAGATGGTGAGGCAAAGCTAATGCCAGAAAAACAAAATATACTGAGATGGAATCCATTAATTTTTAAAAAATTGCTCAAATGCAGTAAATTTTAAAATACTTACCTTTGTGAGAGGGTGGAATAAATTTTTCGACTTCTTTCATTCTTTGTAAAACGATATAATAAGTTTAGAAAGTAGTTACTGTATTGGTTTTGTCCTTTTGCTGCAACTTCTCATACATTCATGATGACGTTAGCAATCTCCTTTATTCTGTTGATGCATTGAATGCTTTTTTCTCAGCTAGAATGAACAGGTGTTTCTTGTTGATTGCTTTAGGCATTTATCCAAGTAGATCACAAATACCCATGTCTGTCTGCTATGTATACATACAACAACCAAGGTATAATGTTTATGGGCATGAAACATGGTATTTAAAATGAGTGAAACCTGTGTTTCCCCTTAACAACCAATCTCTTTTACCCAATACAATGGGTTCATAAGTTATAAGGGACATTAAATATGACTCTATCCAATGATAAGTTATATGGAGACTTTTCGTAGGAGGTAGCCTGCCCTGCTGAGAAGCTTTAGGGGTAAGGTTTCTAGGGCAGTTTTCTGAACAATTCTATTAATGAACTTCCCTGTTTGTTAGCATCTAAATTTAATATCTTTCTGAACATAAAGCCAGCTTTTTATTTATCTTCCGAAATTCCTGCCTCAGCTTTGCCCCTATGGATCCTAGGAAACCAGATTCATTTCGATGCTTGGGGTGCATTTGCATGTTGACAGACAGCACTGTTAGAGGACTCTTGGGGCCAAAGGACGTCCACTAGCTTGGAAGCTGGTGTGTGTGCCTCTTACTAAGTGGATGTAAGCCAATTAACTTCTTTAGGCCTACTAAACTGGATGTTGTTGAGATCCTCTCTAGCTTCATCCAAATATTCTAATCAAAATGATTGAGACATTTGACTTCATTTAGGTGTTGAGGGCAGCCTTGGAAATACAGACACGGAGGGAGTAAAGTTGCTTTTATTCACTTACAAAGACTCTTAAATACAGCCCGATGTCAAAGCATCCAGGGGATTGGCTGTATTGGGGCATATTTGGTGGACACATTGCTTTATTTATTTAAATTGCATCCTCTTTTTTTTTTCTAGTTGCAAATGAAGCTGGAGACAAGAATGCCAGACCACTGGCCCGCTTCTCTCGTGAGTAAATCTTGTTTCACTCCTTTCCTGGTCTCCATCAGAAAATGTTCTCCAGAGATCTTTCCCCCATGCGGTATAGCTCTTCAATTCTGTCAGGTGTTAATAAAATAGTAATGCAGGAAATATCATCTGGTTAACATCCCACTTGAGCCCAGGCTGGTGAGCTACTCATTGCTACTGCCTTTTCAATCCTTAGAACTGTGGTTTCCAAATTGTGCTCTAAGCCTTTGCTATTCCAAGTATGGTCCTCAGAGCAGCAGAATCGACATCACCTGGGGGCTTTTTAGAACCATGAAGCCTCAGTCCCCCGACCACCCCTTCAGACCTATTGAGTCAGAATTTGTATTTTAACACATTTACAGGGGATGCCTGTTCACATTAGAGTTTGAGAAGTGCTGTGCTAGGACTATCCTTTCAATCTTTCAATGAATGTTTTATGAAGATAAAGTGAGGAGAGGTACGTGAAATGCTTGTAGCTATGAAGGCATCATCACCATTCAAAGTGGACTTATGGACTAACTCCACTGGCTTTTCCTCAGTTTGGTGACACTTTGAAGCTTAGATGGATTGAATGGGTTTCCTTAGGCATTGGGGATATTCCTAGGGCTGTGGTTAGGCCATGGGGCTTCCCTTGACTCCTTTGTCTCCAGGTCTTGATCCCTATGAGTAGGAGTCTAAAGCCTCTCAATGGTTTCTGTACCAGTGTGATCAGCAAATTATCCCGCAAGTTAATGCACTTCCTGGAACGAAAACCTGGATTCCAAAGAAGGGGGGGGAAAATACTAGAGACGGATGAGGGTGGAGTGGAGACGCTCCCCAAACCCACTATGCACCAGGTGGAGAAATCGTACAACTGTAAATAGAAACGGATTTATCACTGCCTCACTGGCTTTCACTAAAAGTAATTTCACTCACACTATCTGGGCCTCTGTCTTCGCACCTGGAAAATGTTCAAAATTGGACATTGTTACATTAATTTTTTTTTTTTTGCCTTCCTAAAAGTCACCTCATCGTTCCCTCTCTAGTATTGACTACAAAAAGACTTAGTAGCTGACGTGCCATCTGACTTTTTTCCAGGTCAGTCAAAAATGTTGCTGTCTTTTGAAATTGTGGCCAGGGAGGAACTCTATAAATCCCTAGTCACTGCATTCCTCATGCAGGGTTGACTAGGTCTGAGTGTGGACAGTGCCATAGTAAATCTTATTACATAAAGCTGAAAGTATAATTTCTCTATTTACAGGCTTCTTCTAAACTCTGCCTCCCAGCTCTTTTTGGAAGGCTTTGAAACGTTGGGATTGATTTCCTAGAAATGATTTTTATAGAACTGTAATAATGTACGATAATGAAAGAGCATGAAGTGCTCATATTTTAGAAATTGTGTAATAAAACACTCGCTTCTCATGAGCCCCATTCCTCACTGCCCTCCTACCTGGAATCATTATTTGCAAAATAGATATTTCATCCCACAGCTCAACGAGGTTGAAGAATATGCTTTTATCCCATTTTTTTCTTCATCTCCTGAGCAGTTGTCAGGCAAATAAATAAGCATGAATCGTGACCCAACCACGCTGTGAGGGCTGTGCTGGGTGCCCCTTCCCCCATGGGAGTCCCAGAGGCTCACTACAAGACAGACGAAGGTTGGGGGGAGGGCGGTCCTTGCATGAGAGTTGAGGCAATTTGTCCCTTCACAGAGAAAGGAAGGTAACTTCTTGTGTGAACTTCTCAACTGTATGACTGGGTTGAAAGGATGATGTGTCTTCAAAGCTTATTATCTTGAGACAGGTGAGGACATGATGAACACGTATCTGTGTAGGAAAAAGTAATTAGTGGCAAACCAGTTAGGTTGGACTGATACAGGGAAAAAAAAGGAGAACGAAAAAGCTCCTGAGTTAATTGCCATACTCCGGAAAAAGTCAGATGGCACGTGAGCTACTAAGTCCTTTTGTAGTCTAGAGAGGGAAAGATTAGATGACTTTTAGGAAGGCAAAAAAATTATTTTTAATGTAGCAATGTCCGATTGATGCTTACTTCACTTTACCACCTTGAAACTGACCTTCATTGTGTGGTGTGAATGAAGAGTTCAGTTTGGGAAGATTGGGAGGATTCGGATGATAAGTTTTTTTTTTTTTTTTTGAGACTGGAAGATGAAGTACTGCAACATTCTCTAATTTTTGCGTCCAACAAGACAGCCTTGACAGTGTGCGTTGCCCAGTACGGAATCAGGCACGACGGGGATTGGCGGGGGCGGGTGGCCAGAGCCTGTGCTGTGATGGCTGGACCCTCTAGAGGTCAGCAGAGATCTGGGAGTGGGGACTTGGGAAGGGCTGCTTCTGGTGGTGGATGCTGTGGAGTTAGTCCTGTGAGACTCTGGATCTACCAGGCCCCTTCACCACCCCTGCCCCATCATTGCAGGCTCAAGCAGTGGCTTCCAATCAACCTGACTTCAGTTAGAGCATCTGCCTAGCAACTGTGGGCACATACAGTAACATGGGGAAGTCATTCTCCTAGAAGTGAGGGTTAGGGAAGAGGGAAGGGAACTCAAAGGAAGCAGAGAGGATCTCTTCCCCTCACAAATGCTGGGAGAATGACAGTGTCCAGGACAGTGAAGAGTTGAGACTGACCTTGACTTGAGTGCGCTGTGTGAATGCAGGCACACCAGCTTCCAACCAGCAGATGGTTTGAGAATGGCATCTATCACAAGGCCAGCTGTCCTGGGGCGAGAGCCACCGGGTGTGGGCACTGCCATGCTCTGCAGTGGGCAGGGTGAGCTAGAAGAATACCTCATGTGGGTACTGCATGGTGGGCACCTCACATGGGTGCCGCATGGAAAGTACCCCATGTGGGTACCGCATCGTAGCCACAAGGGCAGTGTGGGGAACAGCTGATCTCCCCTGCTCAGGTCCAGGCCTCAACTTGGTGAGGAGCTCCTGGAACCCACTGTGGCTCCTGACATTGGGGACTTCTGGGATGAAGTCAGCTGGCTGTGGGGTCCCTTTCTAGTCCTGCTCTCTGGGATGCTGGTGAAGCTGCCCTCCAGTGCCAGGCCCTAAAAACCCTCCTCTCTAGACATGTCTGTTTTATGCAACTGTCGGTCTCTATTAGACAGTCAGCTCCTTGAGCCCATGGGCCGTGTCTGGTTGACTGCACCTGACCTAGAGAAAAACGCTGATTGAAGACTGCATAAACTGGCCCCTTTCTGCTCCTTTCCCCCTGCTCCTCTGCATCCTAATCAGTGAGCCGTCCCATTATCAGCATACACAATCCCCAAATCCCCCCAGAATATATCCTCAAAGGTCTCCTACATGCTAGTGGGAGAGTCCCCAGCAGCCACCATGTAAGCTCTGGGGGTCAAGCCGGGGTTTGAATTCTGTGTCCAGAATTATGAATTCTGTGCCGCGTTGAGCAGGTAACCTTACCCCTCTAAAAACACATTTTCCACACCTTGATCCTAGAACAGTACTGCGTCTAGAATCGGTTTCTTCTGGTGGGTTCTTGGTCTCGCTGACTTCAAAAATGAAAACATGGACCCACCTGGTGAGTGTTACAGTTCTTACAGATGGTGTGTCCATAGTTTGTTCCTTAAGATTTTCAGATGTGTCCGGAGTTTCTTCATTCTGATGGGTTCACGATCTTAATGACTCCAGGGGTGAAGCTGCAGACCTTGGCAATGACTGTTACAGCTCTTAAAGGTGGCATGTCTGGAGTTGTTTTCCTTGGGGTTGCTTCATGGTCTCGCTGGCTTCAGGAGTGAAACTGCAGAATGAGTGTTACAGCTCATAAAGGTAGTGCAGACCTAAAAAGCCAGCAGCAGGAAAATTCATTGCAAAGGGGGAAGGAACAAAGCTTCTGCAGGGCACAAGCAGACCCAAACGGGTTGGCTGGGGGGTTGGCCTGCTTTTATTCTCTTTTTTGGCTCCACCCACATCCTGCTGATTGGTCCATTTTACAGAGTGCTGATTGGTCCGTTTTACAGAGTGCTGATTGGTCCATTTTACAGAGTGCTGATTGGTCCGTTTTTACAGAGTGCTGATTGGTGCATTTACAAACCTTTAGCCAGACACAGAGCACTGATTGGTGCATTTACAATCCTTTAGCTAGATAGAAAGGTTCTCCAAGTCCTCACCCAACCCAGAAGCCCAGCCAGATTCACCTCAATGCTAGAGCTTATTTCCAAGTTGTTGTGGATGATCACATGCAAGGGTGAATGTTAAAATACTTGAAAACATGTGACGTGGTCACTGAACATCAGAACAGATGCTGGTCATGGACTATGTGAAGGACTAGAGTCCAGGAGACCCCTGACAGGACAGACATGGACCCTTTAATTGCTGGATGAAGCTGGGGCAGCAGAGGTGGATATTGGCCCTGATAACCTGGAATTCATTATATGAAGCACAGGGACTGTATACCACAAGCGCTCAATAAGTGTGGCTGGTTGTTATTACCTTGAGTTTTCAGCCTTCCTCCCCTCTCTTCTTCCCTTTTTTCTTTAATTTCATATATACTTATTGAAGACTTTTCTGTTCTTCTGTGAGCCATGGAGATAACACAGATGAGTTGGTTTGTCTTCAAAGGGTTTGCAGTCTAATTAGGGAGACAGAAGTGACTACTACAATACAGCATGTGGAAGGAAATGCTAGCAATTGGTAGGAGGAGCTGGGAGAGTCAGAACGGGGACGCTTCAGCCAGCCTGGTGTGGAGGTGAATTCAAGGGAGTCCTCCTGGAGAAAGTGAGCATTAGCTGAGGCTTGAGGGTCTGAATGGGGATAATAGGTAAAAAAGGTAACTTCTAATCTTCATTGGAAAAAACTCCAAATACCACATGTAAGGGAATGAAGGCCACATGTAGTGTTCAGACGTGGCCACATGTAGTGTTCAGACGTGGCCACAGTGTGGCAGAAAAAGCCCAGATTTTGGTGGCATCCCTCTCCTCTAGAGGACGTAAAAGACGCTGCATTCAGTGCATTGGACAGAGCTTCTGTCAGGAGTCCAGGGCATTGGAGGAGCCCGAGCGAGGGAGACAGTGCCCACAGAGCTCTTGTGGCTGGGCAGCTGTATGCTGGAGTTCTGGTTGCTTTCCTGAGGGAGGACTAATTTCTCCCCCAAGATGAGCAATCGTGGACAAGAAAATACAAAAGTCCTCCCTTATCTGCGGTTTCACTTTCCCAGTTTTGTTACTTGTGGCTAATAGCGGTCTGAAGATATGAAATGGAAAATTCCAGGAATAAACAATTCACAAGTTTTGATTTGAGTGCTGCTCTGAATAGCGAGATGAAATCTCACTCTGCCCCACCCACGATGTTAATCCTCCCTTTGTCCAGTGGATCCATGTGTAGATGCTACCTACACGTTAGTGACTTAGGGGCCCTCTCGTTTATCAGATTGCAGTGCTTGTGTTCAAATCACCCTTATTTTATTTAGTAATTGCCTAAGTGCAATTTCTAAGTGCACTTAGTAAAAAGTGCAAGAGTACTGATGCTGGCAATTTGGATACACCACAGAGAAGCCAGCAAGTGCTTTCTTTAAGTGAAAAGGTGAAAGTTCTTGACTTAATAAAGAAAAAAACTGTATGCCAAGGTTGCTGAGATCCACAGGGAGAGCGAATTTTCTATCTGTGAAACTGTAAAGAAGGAAACAGAAATTCGTGCTAGTTTTGTTGTTGCACTAAAGCTGCAAAAGTTATGGCCACAGGACAGGATAAGTGCTTAGTTAAGATGGAAGTGTTATTAAATTTGCGGAGGGTAGACATGAGCAGAATCGTGTTCTGATTAACAGCAATCATGTTAGGCACCATCCCTGGTTTCAGGCAGTTGTTGGAACGTACCCCCTCGGATAATGGGGGACTACTATAGCGGTATCAAAAGCAATAAGAAAATAGAGATTAATTAAGAATCCAGGTATTTTTGGAAATAGATTTTCCTGTGAAAGAGCTGGAGTACTTAGGGTGGATGGGGGAGTGAAGCAAGGGGCGGCCCTTCGTATTTTTGTGCTGGGTGAATGATCACCTTCCCTCTGCAGAGATGGGAAATGGAAGGCAGAGATGTGCAGTGGGGTGATCGCTGGGGTTGGTTGAAATAGAGGGAGGCAGCACCTATGACATGGTGATGCCATGTATGGAGCCCCAGAGGGAACTCAAAATCATGTCCGAGACAGTGCTAGAGTTCAGCCAGGGAACTTTACTAGATCAGTTGTTATGGCTAGGAGGGTTGGTGACAAAAGAAGGGAGCTTGAACTGGGGATGGATGAAGACAAAAAGAAGAAGAAGAAATATGTGGGAGGAACGACTGAGAAATGCCATGAGTGGGGGACTGTGTGGCTGGTGGCTGGGCTTTCAGTGTTCTCGGGGGCATGTACTACGTTTGAGACAGAACCATATAAGGGATCCAGGACAGATGAGATCACGTACATGTAGGGTGCTATGGCAAGCAAAATAGTCAAACTAATAGAAATGCAGAATTGGATGGTGTTTGCTAGGAGCTGGGTGTGGGGAGGAGCAAACAGGAAGTTGTTGCTCCATGGGTATAAAGTTTCTATTATGTAAGATGAATAAGATGTGGAGACCTGCTGTACAACATAATCCCTGTAGTTAACAATATGGTATTGTTCACGTTAAAATACATTAAGAGGATAGCTCTCATGTTAAGTTTTCATACCACAAAAACCAACCAATCAATCAACCACGCAAGCAACACAAAAGAACACAAGACAGCTGGCTACTAGCTTCTTATCTACACTTATAATCATCCTCTCGAAGCTCCCCCAGTGACCTGTGACACATCCATGTTTCAGAGCCACAGTTAGACCCCAACTTGTGTTGACCCAAAATTTCTCTGCTTGCCCACAAGGGGACTTCACCACCTTATCTTACCCCATTTCTCCACCCCTTTCATCAAACACAGTTGTTATCAGGCAAGCCGATCAGCTTGGTTCAGTCAACAGATGTATTCATTGGGATTTGAAAGATTTCAAGTTAAAGTAGAGTTTACAAATGATCCAGTCCAGTGCTCACCACTCTGTCTAAAGCTCAAATCCCTTGTATGACATCCCTGTCATGGGGTCATGAGCTCTTTGCAGGAGCCCATCCAGCGGAGGAATATTCACTGTGTCCTGGAAAGCATTGGTGGTTGTGGTCAGAGTGATGGACTGGCATGTGTATGGGGGTAAGGGGCAGGACACTGAGACTCACTCTGCCTTCTCTTTTTGAATGTGCTTGATAGAGTCTTTGAAATATATACAAAGACATATCCCTAGGTCCCTAATATGTTAGCCAGTGGTCCACCAGTGGACTGGCTGATGATTCCATAAGTAGCTTCTAAGAGTTTATGGATGATACATGTAACCCAGATGTCAGCTGGAAGCTCCAAGTCCATTGAGATCTAGGTGAAGAGGCTTAACACTGCTGTTGTGTGCTGACATTTGGAAGTTCAGAGCACTCCCTGATGCTTCCGTGAGTACCTGGGATGGTGGTGTTCTTCTGACCCTGATTTCCTACCTCTGTCGATTGCTTTCCTCTATTTGCTTCTGGCTATCTTCCTATTGCTCTGACATAGTCTCAGATGTGCTACGAAGCTCCTCCTCCTCCTTTTTCTGGAGAGTAACCAAAGGCATTGGTCAAAGCAGAGCTTGACTGAAGATTAAGAAGGGATGAACAAGAGAGAGCCACAATATGCACTGCAATTGCAGACAGACCATTTAAATTCAGTTTGATTTTCAACAGTCCATTTAGCCATTCTACCACCAATAAAAATTTTAAAGACTGCTTTGCCCATGCTGCTCCTGGCCTACCACTGTACATCCTTTTATCCTCATCCTCCTCCATTCTTTACCCTTTATTTCCACCTCCCTTTTAGGAATCAGAGCCACTCCTGGGATCTCTCATGCAGAGCAGCCACTTGACTATCTCTCTTGCTTTGATGGATCTGCTCACACCCTTGTCCTCAGCATCTCACGTCCTACTCCTTTCAACTTATATTTGCCTAAATGCAGACCAGTTTCTGCTCCCTTAATGGGAATGCTGTACCCCTATTGAGATAATAGCAAATATTTACCCTTGCTACATGTGTACACGCTTAGATAATTGAAAAATATGAATAGAATTTTTTTTGTATGTAATGTAACCCCAGGGAGGGCAAGGAAGACGTGACTTGGCTGTTGCACTCCAAGCACCTCCTCCTCTATCCTCTCAATATATACTCCTTTGAATAAAGTTAAGATGAAGTTTTAGGTTTCGGCAAGAGACAGACGAGGATAACCTGAAAACCTTCTCATTTTTTACAAGCACATAGAAATGCTGAGTGAAATGTTTTAAAAATGCTTTTAAATGCACAGTTAAACTTGCAATAAAGAAAGGGAACCCCACAGGTGCCAGCAATGAAGGAAGAATTTAATATCAGTACGGTAAGCTGTTAACATGTGTGCAGATTTTGCAGCTATGCTGCATGGGGGTGGTGCTGTTAAGTCCATGGAATCTAGTAACACATGTTTTAACATCTACATGGGGAGAGGAGATAAGACCTTTGGCTATGCAGGGTGGAGAAGTTGGATCTGAAACTTCTGCCTAACTCGGACTCTTAAAACATATGGCAGATTGTGTTTTCCAAAAATATTTGTAACTATATCTCCCATCCCACATGCTCTTCTTGCAATGTGATGCTGACAAGCCTCCCACTGAGATGATGAGGCCTCTGTTTTCTTCCCTTGAGTCTGGGTGGCCTGTAAATGTGGCAGAGATGATATGATGTGACTTGCAAAGTTAGATTATCAGAAGAAACAGCTTCCACCTGCTGCCTGTTGGGATACTTGTTCTTAGAGCACTGCCATAATACTGTGAGGAAACAGAGGCCCTGTGGAAAGCCCATCTCTGAGAGCTTCCCAAAGTGCAAGTTTTTGAGCAAAATGGGTAGTTGTTGTTGTTGGAAGCCACAAGTTTGGTGTGATCTGTTACGCATCAATAGGTAGTTGAAACAAGGTCTATGTTTCTAATAAAAGAGAGATCAGGAAAACAAAATGCACCCATTAGCATAGAGGGGTAATAAGGTAACTTGCTTGGCTTTTCTGGCTCTTGAGGAAAAGTCTTCCCTGGGCAATTGAAACTACCTGAAAGGTCCAGGAACACTTTGAGCCTAAGAAATTAACAAACATTAGTTCTGGGCTACTAATGGCAGAATCAAATGAAAAATCTTTTGAAATACAACCCAAGTCATAAGATATTCTCATGGAGAAAACAAGACCAACTAAGTATGAGCTCACAGTCAAAATTAAAAACAAAATAAAACAAAAAACCTATAAGAGGCAGCAGTCCTCCATGATGAGCAAGAGTCAGCAAACACAGATAATTAGAGCCTAAGAACTTGAGATGCAGGTCGAGTGTCCTTTACCCAAAATGCCTGGGACCAGAAATGTTTTGGATTTTGAGTTTGTTTCTGACTTTGGAATATTTGTGTATGCGTAATGGGATATCTTGGGGATGGGACCTAGGCCTAAACACAAAATTCATTTGCGTTTCATATATATCTTAAACACATAGCCTGAAGGTAACATTACACAGTATTTTAAATAATTTCATCCGTGAAACAAAGTTTGTGTACATTAAATCATCATTGAACTGCAACCTGTCATGTGAGGTCAGATGTGAAATTCCCACTTGTGATGTCATGCTGGTGCTCAAAAAGCCTTGAATTTTGGAGCATTTTAGGTTTCAATTTTTTGGATTAGGGATGTTCAACCTGTGGTATAATGACAAACTGGAAAAAAAAAGACTAGGTCTATTTAAAAATGACAGAAGATATAAAATGAGTTGAAACTCTAAGAAAGGAACAAGACCTTGGAAAAAATGGAAAATTTTAAAGATAATCCGTAGAACTTCAAGAAATGTAAAATATAGCATAAAACCCCAACAAAACAAAACCCAAACACAGTTTACCAACTGTGTTGAATAGGACTAAAAGGAGAGATAATGAACCAGAAGAAATATATATCTGAGGAGACTATCCAAAATGTAGCATAGAGAAATGGTGGATGTAAAAGAATGGTCAAACACTGCGGAAGACAGAATGAGAAAGGCCAGCACACATTTAGTAGGAGTTCAGAATGAAAGACCAGAGAGAATATGGACAAAATAGTAACTAAAGATCTAGTGGCTGAGAATTTTTCAGAATTGACTAGTGATATGAATCCTCAGACTAATGAATTGTACCCAGTTTCAATCAGGAAAATAAAAAATCTATTGGCAGATACATTATAATGAAACTGCAGAACAGTATAGACGATGGGCAAACACCAAAAATAATTGAAGAGAAAAGACAGGTTACCTACTGTGTCTGAGACTACGAGTTTAGTGTTTTGTTTTTTTTTTTAAATTTTTATTTTTGGTAGTTTTGCTCTTGTCACCCAGGCTGGAGTGCAGTGGAGCGATCTTGGTTCACTGCAACCTCCGCTTCCTGGGTTTAAGCCATTCTCCTGCCTCAGCCTCCCAAGTAGCTGGGACTACAGGCATGCGCCACCATGCCCGGCGAATTGTTGTATTTTTTTTTTCAGTAGAGACAGGGTTTCACCATGTTGGCCAGGCTGGTCTCAAACTCCTGACCTCAAGTGATCCACCTGCCTTGGCCTCCCAAAGTGCTGGGTTATAGGCATGAACCACTGCGCCCGGCTGAGTTTCTTTTTTTCTATGTTAAAAGAACTTCAGTTTTTAGCTGGGCCTATGTCCCCATATCCAAAAACAGTTAAAGCTAGGTGTGACCATGTAACTAAGTTCTGGTCAATAGAATGTAAGCAGAGCTGTCAAAGAAAAGTTTCTGGAAACTTTCTTGAGGCTTTTGTGTAGTCTTCATCCCCTTTCTTCTTTATCGCTTTTTCATCCTGCTGCCTAGGACACAAATGTAATGCTTAGCACTCTAGCTGCCATCTTGGACCACAGTGATAATGCTCAAACCCAAGGGTTGGTAGAATGGTAATCTAAAGATTTTGTGAAACAGAGCTGCTATATCAGTTCTGAAAGGCTTACATCTCACTCAACAGAGATATAAACTTCTATCTCTGATTTTTATGTAACAGAGATATAAGCTTTTATTTCATTTAATCTACCGGAATTTTGAGTTTCTGTTATTCAGACATAACTAATCATAACTGATGTATCTATCATAGATTAATTATTAGACTGACTGTAGACTTCCCAATAGTTTATTTAGAAGCCAGAAGTCAAATTGAATAATATTTGTATAGAGATGAGGGAAGAATACTGTTGACCTGAAATTTTAAATTGAGAGAAATATCATTTAAGAGTGAGGGCAAAATAAAGACATCTTTCAGGCAAACTCATTCTGAGAGAATTTATCATATACGTCCTTCCTGTGATAACTGCTAAAGGATATACCTCAGGAAGACTGTTGAATCCAGAAAGAAGAATGAATATAGGATACAAGGACTAACCATTATTTATGTAATTCACAATTAAAAATTAAAATGAATATTAAGATGATTGCTGCTATTTAGTTTTAAAAAATAAAAATGGCTTTATTGAAATATAATTCACATATTATAAAGCTTACCCATTTAAAGGGCATAATTCAATGATTTTTCATATATTTATGGAGTTGTGCCACCATCATCAACATAATCTAATTTCAGATAATTTTTGTCACCCCAAAAAGAAGTCCTGTGCCCAACAGTTACTTTTCATCTGAGATCCATACCCACAGTCCTAGAAGGCTATTTAAATATTTCTTTTCTTATAGATTTGCCTATTCTGGCCATTTTATATAAATGAAGTCATACAATATGTGGTCTATTGTGACTGGCTATGTTTTTGATTTAGCATAATGTCTTCAAGGTTCATCCATGTTGTAACATGTGTAAGCAAATCATTCCTTTATATTGCAGGACAATATTCCCTAGTATGGATATACGTTTTATTTTTCCTTTCCTCAGTCAATGGACATTTGGGTTGTCTCTAATTTTTGGCTCTTGTGAATAATGTTGCTATGGATATTTGTATATTATTTTAAAAAGTGTATATGTGTTTTTATTTAGCTTGCTTATATACCTCTGAATGGAATTGCTGGTTTATATGGTAACTCTAAGTTCAACATTTTGAGGAACTTCCAGACTGTTATCCAAAGTGGTTTTACTCTTTTATATTTCTGTTCACAATGTATGAGGGTTCCAATTTCTCTAAATCCTCCTCTACACATGGTATGGTTATTTAAATAAATTTAACCCTAATGTGTGTGAAATATTGATATATTGTGGCTTTGATTTGTATTTCTCTAATGACTAATAATGTTTAGCATATTTTAATATGCTTATTGCCCACTCGTGTATCTTATTTGGAGAGCTAGATTTTAAGAAAAGGGGTAGCATCCCATTCTCTGAATTTCTAGTTGAAGGAAGCATACTTAAGATGGAAAATTGTCATCACAAAAAAACTGCCAAACTTATTTATTAACCAAAAGTTGAAGAAAATAGAAACCCCTAAAGTGTTAGTTTCCAAACTGGACTCATAATTTCTCCTCATCCCTATAGAAGTTCCTACTCCTGTGTTTTCTAACTGAATTGGTGCCATCCTATTTATTAGGCAATATTAACTGAAAACCTACAAATCATATATGCATCTCTATTCTCCCTCATCAGTCACCAAATTCCACTGATCCTGACTACTGAATTGTCTTATTCAGATCATTCTACTTTATTCTCACAGCTACAACTTTGTTTTAAATCCTTACATTCCTTATGTAATGGATTCCACTGAGTCTCCGTCTTCCTCTGTGAAATCAATTCTCCTCCCTGCCAGAGCAATCTTTTAAAAGATAAATCTGACCATGTCATTCTCCCTCTTAAAAGCCTTCACACACATTCTAGGAAGATAAAATAGACATACATTTTCCTATTTTTCCCATGAATTACAACTAAAACCCCTGGATATTATATACAAAATAAACAAAAGAATACTCTGAAGGCAAAAAGAAGAAGACAGAGTGACTAGACGACTTGGGACCCAAGAAACAACATGGTGATGAGTTCCCTGAGTTTTCTTTTTTTATCATATACCATAGACTTCGAGCTGAAAAAGATAAAAACCTGGAAATGACAACAGGTACCCAAAAAAAGAGCCCTAACATAACTCTACTCTCTACCTAAGGACCAGGAAAGGGGAAGCCTAGCAAGACAGAAAACTTTTAGATAATAAACACTCTACTCCCTCCAAACATCACAGAAAAAGCTGTGGCCCCATCCTCACCCATTCCAAAAAAGGCTTGCTGGGAAACCTGGATGTCCACCCTCACAAGGCTGTAACAAGGTATCTCAACACCCTTGCTGGCATGGCATCAGAAAAAGTTAAACAGAGAGCTGGCCCTTTCATCTAAATCAGCCTTCCTCCCATCATGATGTCAGTGGAGAATATGTGGGGAACCTAGGCTGCCACTTCTAACTGACAGTAACCAAGCATCCCTCTTCCTCCCTGCTGAGCTGAGTGTCAGGGGAGGCCTAGAGGAGAATCAGGACTATAGCATTGTACAATGATAATGAGGTCATTCCATACACAGTGTCAGTAGAGACCATGTGGGGAGCTGAAACTCTCACCCCTTCCCAGCGATAACAAAGCTACATCCTTCCTCAGGTGTCAATGGAGCAATGGAAGCCCAGTAGGGAACTTGAACTTCTACCTCTATCTGGCATAATAAGGTAGTGCACCATATTCCTTTGCTTAATCTGTGCCATAGAAAGTCAGTTCAAACAGGATAAACCTGAAGAAACCCATGCCAAAATTCATTATTATTATTATTATTTTATTTTTAAAAATTTGAGACAGGGTCTCACTATGTTGCCCAGGCTGGTTTTGAACTCCTGCGCTCGAGCAATCCTCCTGCCTTGACCTCCCAAAGTGCTGGGATTACAGGCATAAGCCACTGAACCCAGCCTCATAATTAAACTTCTAAAATCTCAAGAGAAATCTTGAAAGCAGCCAGATAAAAGAGACATCTTACTCATAGGGAAAACACAATTTGAATGAGAACAGATTTTTGATCAGAAGCCATGGAAGCACAATATTTTTCAAGTGCTAAAAGGGTAGAACTGTCAACCTAGAATCCCCTCTAATCAGCAAAAATATTCCTCAGAAATGGAGGGGAAATAAAGACATTATAAAATGAAGGAAAACTAAGAATTTGTTGCCAGCAGGCCTACTCTAAAAGAATATCTAAAGAAAGTTCTCTAAACAAAAAGAAAACAATAAGAGAAGGAACCTTGGGACATCAGAAAGGAAGAAAGAACACAGTAAGCAACAATGTGGCTAAATCCAATAATGTTTCCTTCTCCTCTTGAGTTTTCTAAGTTATGTTTGATGGTTGAAGCAAAAATGTTAGCACTATTTGATAATGTTCTAAATGTATGTATAGGAAATATTTAGTACAATTATATCAAAGAGGAGAAAGTAAAGGGATGTAAAGGGAGGTAAGGTTTCCACATTTTACTTACACTTCCAAAATGATAACATCAGAAGACTTTGGTAAGTTATTTATGTATATATAGTGTAATATCTAGTACAACTATTGAGAAAATGATGCAAAGAGATACACAATAGGTAAAGTGGAATTCTAAAAAAGGTTCAAGTAAGCCACAGGAAGGCAGGAAAAATAAACTAGATAAATGAAAAATAAAGAGGACAAACAGGAAATAAAAAATAAAAGAAGATGTAAGCCCTGACATATCAATAATTACATTAAATGTAAATGGTCTAAATATAGTAATTAAAAGACAGAGATTGGCAGAGTGGGTTAAAAAACATGACCCAACTATGTGCTATTAAAAACTCACTTCAAATATGACTGTATAGACAGGTTGACAGCTCATGCAAACATTAATTGAAGGAAACCTGTAGTGGCTATATTAACATCAGATAATGTAGGCTTCAGAATGAAGAAAATGCAGAGGCAGAGAGAAACATTATATAATAATAAAAGGGTCAGCCTACAAGGAAGACATAGCAATCCTATATATTTATGCACCAAACAATACAGTTGGAAAATATGTAAAGTAGAATCTGTTAGACCTAAAATGAGAAATAGAAAAATCTACAATTATAATTGGAGACATCAACAGATCTTTCTCAACAATAGATTGAACACAAGACACAAATTATGAATATCAGGAATAAAACAGGGGATATCACCACAGACCATGCAGATATCAAAAGGATAATAAGGGAATACTGTGAACCGTGCTACACAGATATATTTGATGACTTAGATGAAATGGGCTATTTTCTTAAAAAGCATAAACTACTGGCCTGGCTCACGCCCATAATCCCAGCACTTTGGGAGGCCGAGGCGGGCAGATCACGAGGTCAGGAGATTGAGACCATCCTGGCGAACATGGTGAAACCCTGTCTCTACTAAAAATACAAAAAAATTACCGGGTGTGGTGGCGGGCGCCTGTAGTCCCAGCTACTCAGGAGGCTGAGGCAGGAGTATGGCGTGAACCTGGGAGGTGGAGCTTGGAGTGAGCGGAGATTGTGCCACTGCACTCCAGCCTGGGCGACAGAGTGAGACTCCGTCTCAAAAAAAAAAAAAAAACAAAACAAAACCAAAAAAAAAAACCACATAAACTACCAAAACTCATCCAATGTGAAGTAGATAATTTGAATAGCCTTATAACTCTATACTAAGAAAGTGTAGTATGTAATAAAAAGCTGTCCTCCCCCCGCAATCTCTTGAGTCCACATGGTGTGACTCAAATATTCTAGCAAATTTCTAAAGAAAATTTAACATCAATTCTACATAATCTCTTCCATAAAATAGAAGAGAAGGGAATATTTCTCAATTCATGTATGAAGCTAACATTGTCTTGATGTCAAAACTGAGAAAGACAGTACAAAAAGAGAAAAATTACAGACCAAAATCTCATTAATATAGATGCAAAAATCTTTAACAAAATTTTCACAAATAGAATTCAATAATATATAAAACAAAGTCTATGCCACACAACCAAGTAGGGTTAATTCTATGGATGCAAGTATCATTCACTATTCTAAAATCAATCAGTATAATCCACCATGTTAATAGGTTAAAGAAGAAAAATTACATGATCATATCAATTGATGCACAAAAATATTTGACAGCATTCAATATTCATTCATGATAGAAACTCTCAGAAAAATAATAATTTAGGGGAATTTCTTCAACTTGATAAGGAAGATCTACAAAAACCTTCAACTAACTTTATATTTAAGGGCAAAAACGGATGCTTTTCTTTAAAAATGAGAACAAGGCAAGAATGTTCAGTTACACCACTCCTATTCAACATAGTGTTGAAAGCTCTAGCCAGTGTAATAAGGGATGAAAAGAAAAATTTAAAAACATACAGATAAAAAAGACAGAAGTAAAATTGTCCCTTTTGCAGATGACATGGTTATCTACATAGAAAATCCCAAGGAAGCTAATTAACAAAATTTCTAGACTAATAAATGAGTTCTAGCACGGTCACAGTATATAAGATAAACATACAAAATCAATTCTATTCCTGTATAAAAATAAAATCATATTTACAACATATAACAAGGTGAAATATGTAGATGTAAATCTAACAACACTTGTAGGTACAAGACTTGTATGCTGAAAACTATGCAGTGCCATGAGAGAAATCAAATAACATCTAAATAAGTGGAGATGCATACTGTGTTCATGGATTGGAAGATGAAACATAGCAAATATGTCAGTTCTCCCTATAATTATATGCAGATTTAACACAATTTCTATCAAGATCCCAGCAAGATTTTTTATATAGATGAGAGTATTCTAAAATGTATACAGAAAATCGTAGGAAGTAGAACAGTTAAACCATTTTTAAAAAGAAAAAAAAGTGTGAGGAGTCTATCTACTCGATTTCAAGGCCTATATAACTACATTGATCAAGATGAGTGGTATTGGTGAAAGCACAGACTTACAAATTAATAGAATAGAATAGAAAACCCAGAAATGAATCCACAAAAATATGCTGAACTGATTTTTGACAGAGATGAAAAAGCAATTCAATGGAGGAAATATGACCTTTTCAACAAACTGTGCTTCAGTATTGGACATCTGTAAACAAAAATACGAACCTTGACCTGTCTTACACATTAAACAAAAAATAATTCAAAATAGATCATGGGCCTAAATATAAAACTGTGAAGCTTATAGAAAAAACAGAAAATCTTTGGGACTTAGGACTAGGAAAAATGGACTTGACACAAAAATATGATCTATAAAAGTAAAAATTGATAAATTGGGCTTCATCAACATTAAAAATTGATGTTCTGTGAAAGATTTTGTTAGGATAAAAAGACATTCTACAAGGTGGGATAAAATATTTGCAAACCACATATGCAACAAAGGACTGGTATCTAGAATGTATAAAGAATTCTCAAAACTCAACAGTAAAAAGCAAACGATGCATTTTGAATATGGTCAAAGAACATGAACAGACATTTCACCAGAGAAAATATACCGATGGCAAATAAACACATAAAAAGATATGAAAAGGGAAAATGCAAATTAAATGCATGAAGAATGAAATGCAAATTAAAACCACAATGAGATACCACTGCACACCTACCCGAACAGCTAAAATAAAAATGGTGATCACTCCAAATGCTGAGGGTGCAGAGAAACTGAATTACTCATACATGGTTGGTGATACAGCCATTCTGAAAAGTAACTTGGTAGTATCTTAAAAAGCTAAACATACAACTACCATACGACCAGCAATTGCACTGTTGGGCATTTATCCCAGAAAAATGAAGACTTATATTAACACAAAAACCTACATGAATGCTTATAGCAGCTTTTTCCGTAGTAGCCAAAAATTGGAAGCAACCCAGATGTATTCTAACAGATGAATGGTTAAACAAACTGTGCTGGACTATTACTCAGCAAGAAAGGGGAATGAGCTACTGATCCATGCAACAACCTGGATGACTCTTCAGAGAATTACAGTGAGTGAAAAAAACCAGTCCCCTAAGGTTACATATTGTGTGAGTCTATTTGTATAACATTCTCGAGATGACACAACTATAAAGATAGAGAACAGACTAGTGACTGTTGGGGGTTAAAAGAGGGGGTAGGGTGGAAGGAAAATGAGTAAGGCTATAACAGGATAACATGAGGGATCTTTGTGGTGATGGAAATCTTTGTAAATTGACTGCATCAATGTCAACATTCTGGTTGTGATCTTGTACTATGGTGTTACAAAATGTCACCACTGGGGGAAACTTCATAAACAGTTCAGGGAATCTCCATATTATTTCTTACAACTGCATGTGAATTTACAATTCTCTCAAAAGAAGGAGTGATTAAAAGAATTTAATTTGAAAACATCTTCACTGACTTCTCACGGCCTGCAGAATAAAGTCAAAGCCCTTAGAGTACCACATAAGCTCCTTCAAGCTGACCTCCTCTGTCATGCAGTAATTCACCATTTAAGCCCCAGAAAAATTTAACTAGTTGCTCTCCCAGGATATTTCACTTCTCCATGCCTTTGCATATGCTGTCCCTTCTGCATGGAAAATCCTCTCCCTCTGCTGATCACCAAGAAAACCCACTCATTTCTCAAAACTTTGATCATAGACCACCTCTTCTACAAAGCCTGGCCTGACTCCCCAGGATAAAATTAATTACTTTCTCCTTTATTTGACATCTATATATTTCTGCATGGTTATAGTATTGCTTGCTTCACACTGTATCCTAAGTATATCTTTAATGGCTGTCTCCCCACTAGATTCTGAGTTCCTTGAAAGCAGAAACTGCCCCACCAGTCAGTGTATCGTAGGTGTTCAATAAATGTTTGTTTAATTGGACTGAAAACAGAGTGAATGAAAAGATTCAAGATCTGTGCCAACTCCAAACCAGGAGGGAAAATCCACTCATCCCCTGGAAGTTCTTAGAGATTCATACTCAGTTACTCTACTAGACAGAATTCAGATGCATTATTAATTTACACAAGACCACATGATTTATCAGTCATAAGTTCCTGTGATGCCTCCTTTTCAACAAATACTTATGGAGCACCAACTCAATAGTGTGCCAAGCACTATGTCTAGCACACCTCCCCTGGACAGGCAGGTAGACCAAGGAGGTGCTACAGTTCTTGCCATGGTGTGCATTAGGCCGTGGCTAAGCCATGGACTGAAGCCCAGAGTAAACACATACAGTTTTGTAGGCTGTGAAATGTGCAAGTCCAGGGAACATCATCCTATAGACTAAGCTATGAACAACTCCCTCTTCAACTGTGTAGTTTTGGGGGCCCTAATGAAATTCTTACATTTGCAGCTGCGATTCTTGAAACCCATGAAATAATTGCCTAATTTCCAGGTCAGTACATTTTATGAAGCTAGGTTCCCTAATCCAATAGAGCAATCTAATAAGAAAGGAGGTGAAGATGTGAAGCCAGTTGGGTCAGAAGCCAAAGAAAGCCCATGCATGATGTAATTGAAGCAGGTGGAAGAAAGACAAGGCTGATGAGATGTTCAACCAAGTTTTTAATGTGGTTTCTATAGCCTCAGAAGAAGACATCTTAGAAGTAGATACAAAAGTTAACCTTGAAAGGACATTCTGGGTGTGGGGGTTCAAAAATGAGTAAGTCACAGTTCTTTCCCATAGGAGTTTAGTGTCTTTATTATCAGCAAAGGCTAGTTTGGGCAAAAAGTAGAAAAAAATATTTTCTGTGATCTGTATATTACCCTAAAGCCTCTATTTTTTCTGGAACTCTTGATAAAAACCCTAAATCTTCAATTACTTTCAAACGCTTTTATTTTTGATTGCAGTGCATATCCCATTTAAACATGACTCAGATTAATGTGGCACACTCTTCCAAGTGCTCAGAGCACATCATATATACTATATCCCTGAATTCATTCCCACCAAATTTTTATAATGAGGTTAAAAATCAGCCCTGGAACTTCCCAAAGGAATACTAGGCAGATTTACAAATGAATCATCCAACAGATGGTAAGACTTGGATTTTTGCATGCTTTGCAGACATTGGCATACTTCAAGGTAGTTATGCATTAAAAAATTTTCACTTAATTTTGGGGGAGGCAGTGTCTGAATTAGTGAAAGTATAAATTATAGAAAATTTTTAAAAAATGCTGTCTTCTACCTCTCAAGTATCCAACTTACACTAACCATGAAGAAAATGTTTGTCAAGTGTATTTCACTGCTAACAGATAAGCTTTTGTTCTAATTAGTCTACTAAATGAATGCTGTTGAAGTTCTTCAAAACAGTCTCCCTTTAATCTTTTGTACATCTTTACTCTGCTGAACAGATTCATTCTTTTTATGTATGACAAAGAGTAATGGAGACCTTTCCTCTTGGAATTGATGGTCTCACTATATAGTGATCCACTGCACCAGATGAATTTCTAAATAGACTTTGAAAATTATCTCTGGGCTGTGCACATCAGTTGGATAAGGACAGATGTAATGCTTTGCTTTGAAGCAGGTTGAGTCCCATTCTTGCTTCTAACTCTTTAGGCTTGGGTTATGCATTGCTTATTGTGATAACTAGCTGTTTGAATACAAATGTTAGTCTTATTCTTGATTCTTTCTGCTGACAGCTCAAGTAAATGGTGCCCAAATAGATGATGAATAAAATCTAGAGTAACACACATACCTTGCCTTGTGAAAATTAACAAGCTCTTTATGAGTTTTTTTGCACTCCAGAATGATTAAACTAGGGATAAATCTAAAATGAAACTTCAAATAAAATCTGAAGAACTAGGGAAAGAAAATACCATCCTAAAGACTTAGAAGAAAGGTAGGCTTCTGAATATAGAAGCCCAAAGAAAAATGCAAATCCTACTTTGCATTCCCCCAAAGAAATGAGAAGATGTAGCCCTGGTAAGATAGCAGCAGAAAGACATAAGAAGAGAAACAGGTGTTTTTAGAGTTAGAGATAAATAAAAATATGTGACATAGGAATTAAAATAAAATCCTCACTGAAATATAAAAATTACAGCAACAAAATTTTAATCAATGATTAGAAGTTAAATTTGAAAACACTGTCTTGGAAAATAGATGAAAATTGAAAATGATGAGAAAAGGTAGTAGGAGGTCAGAAAAGAAAGAACCAACATAAATAAATGAATCGTATGTATGCTGAGAGAAAAGTTGGAAAAGAAGCAACAAAGAAAAAATTGAAGGCAGCTTGCCTGAACAGAAGAAAGTAAGACCTGGGTTTGCAGATTAAAAGGGCTCCCTGTGTTCAATAGAAATAATTTTTTTTAGTAAAATCCCCCCCCAATTTCATATATACTAGCAACATTTTTGAATTACAAAGATAAAGAAAAATGTTTGCCTGCAAAGAAAAAAAACCTATCAGACTTTATTCCTAATTCTCTTCTACAGCATGCAAATAGCATAAGACAGCTGAGAAATATGTTGAATTTAATGAAAATTCAATAAATCTATACCTAAGTTGTTGTTCTTGTGTATCTCATTAGCCACCATGCCATTCTTGGAAAGAATTCAAGGATATACTTCAGCCAATTGAAACAGGAATCAAAATAAATTCTGTAGAACTGTGCTGTCCTGCATAATGTGGCTATTAAGCACTTGAAATGTGGCTAGTCCTAACTGAGACGTGCTGTAAGTGTAAAATACACAATGGATTTTGAGAAAAAGTAAAATAATATAAAAATTCCATTAATATTGTTTGTATTGATTATATGTTAAAATGACCAGATTTTTGATTTATTGGCTTAAAGTTGTTAAAATTATTTATGTTTGTCTTCACTTCAATGAATGTAGCTGCTAGACAATTTAAAATTACGTATGCAACTTGCATCTGTTCCATTGAACAGTGTTGCTCTAGATTATAAATTGTTACGTTAAAGAAGTATTGAGCACCAAAACCAGGTAAATGTATCTTTAAGTCCAAATATTTATTGGACATAAAATTAGAAAACAGAATGTTATGTGAAATACCATCATAATTCTTAACAGTGATACATCTTAATATTAAAATAACAATTTAGCAAAATATCTAAAAATTCACATAATATTAGTAAAAGTGAGTAGAGGGAAAGAAAGAGATGGGAAAGGTAATCTCATCACCTCAGACACATAGGAGTAAGTGGACACTATTAAGTTATTGATGTTGATAAAAATATAAGAGAAACATAATATAAGAATATATAATTTTAAGTTTAAAGATAACTATCAGCCAGGCATGGCTGCATACACCTGTAATCCCAGCTACTTGAGAGACTGAGGCAGGAGTATTGCTTGAGCCCAGGAGTTGGAGGCCCGCCTGGGTGACATAGTGAGACCTTGTCTCTGAAAATAAAAGAAAGAGAGAGAGAAAGAGAAAGAGAGAGAAGGAAAGAAAGAAGAAAAGAAAATTATAATAGTTTCCCAATCTGGATTAAAACACATTACAGCTATATATTGTTTCAAGAGGAAAAACTAAAACCAAAAATGATAGGCAAGAATGTTTCAGGTAATTACAAATAAAAAGGAGCTAGCTCTGGTAGGATCAACTTTCTAAAAAGCAGAATTCAAGGAACAAATTGCAAAATGAGTAATTTTCTATCGATGAAGGAGGGATGCCGTCCACAATGAAGATGTGAAAATGCTACACCTTATTCCAGCCATAGGATAGATCTTGCGTGCTATGCTAGATATGGTCCTTTTCTTTAAATTAGTGCCCATGAAATAGTTACAAAAATTCCCATGAGTTAGATGACAAAAAATCAGATTAGATTAAATCAAGATTAGATTATGTAGGACATACTCTCTGACTATACTGTTACAAAGTTACCATATTATAGTCATATAATATGTAATATTATTACATTAATTAATTACATATTATGTAACTATCCATATAATGACTATATTGTTACCTAGAAAATAAAAAAGGCAAAGAAAGGAAGAAGACAAGTTTAAGCGACACCACCACTAAAAACAACTACTGGGAATATGTTTTCAAAAATAGACAACTTCTGGGAAATAAACATTGCCATTGCTGTCTTCTTAGAAGTTGACATGTCAAACGGGTGACATGTAGCCAAAACCATAGATAGAAATTCTCTGATTTAAAAAACAAATTAGGGCCGGGCGCGGTGGCTCACGCCTGTAATCCCAGCACTTTGGGAGGCCGAGGCGGGTGGATCATGAGGTCAGGAGATCGAGACCATCCTGGCTAATAAGGTGAAACCCCGTCTCTACTAAAAATACAAAAAATTAGCCGGGCGCGGTGGCGGGCGCCTGTAGTCCCAGCTACTCGGGAGGCTGAGGCAGGAGAATGGCGTGAACCCGGGAGGCGGAGCTTGCAGTGAGCCGAGATTGCGCCACTGCAGTCCGCAGTCGGGCCTGGGCGACAGAGCGAGACTCCGTCTCAAAAAAAAAAAAAAAAAAAAAAAAAACAAAAAAACAAATTAGGGAAAAAAGTGGAAGACTAATCTATTGAAAGTAGGGGAATGAAAATATCAAATCTAAAAGCAAAGACGAATTAGAAATGGGAAAGTAGCAGAGTTTCTAAGTTCAAGAACTACCACTTTAAAAAGGCAATGAAATTAACAAATCTCTAGACTAGCACGGTCCAGTGAAACTTGCTGTAATGTTGGAAAATTCTGTTGGTGCTATGCAATACAGCAGCTACTAGTCATGTGTCTATTGAACATTGAAATGTGCTAGTGAGACTAAAGAAGTGGATTTTTGATTTTATTAAATTTTAGTTATTCCAAATTTAAATTGCCGCATGTGACTAATGGCCATCATGTTGGAAAGAAGAGCTCTAGAAAGTAGACAGAGAAGAAAATAAGCAAATAAATACTCAAAAATATTAATATGTAGATGAAGATTAAAACAGAAGATGCAAATAAATTTATGCAAACAAATTTGAATATCTCTGCAAAATGGCAATTGTAAAGGAAAATATTCCAAAAGAAATAGGTAAGATGAATGCAGCAAAAACAAAGACTTTTAAAAATTTGTGAAATAATTACTTTGCTAAAATTAATTTGGATTCCAAGAGTTTTATAGGCAATTTTATTCAAATATTGGGGAATAGACTATTCCCAGGATAAAAACAACGTAAAAGAAGAAACTAAAGGCTAGAATGGAAACCAAAGGTGAAGAATAGAATTACTGGCACTGCAAATCTGTAAGTATATTCTAGTAACAATATAACGTGACCAAATAGAACCTATCTGAGTAATGCAAGTTGGCTTTACTATTAATTTTTTTTTTTTTTTTTTTTTTTTCTGAGACAGAGTTTTGCTCTTGTTGCCCAGGCTGGAGTGCAATGGCACTATCTCAGCTCACATCAACCTCAGCCTCCCGGGTTCAAGCGATTCTCCTGCATTAAGAAGTTGTTTTTTTTTTTCTTTTTTTTGTGGGGGGACAGAGTTTCGCTCTTGTTGCCCAGGCTGGAGTGCAATGGTGCGATCTCGACTCACCACAACCTCTGCCTCCCGGGTTCAAGAGCTTATCCTGCCTCAGCCTCCTGAGTAGCTGGGATTATAGGCATGCGCCACTACGCCCAGCTAATTTTGTATTTTTAGTAGAGATGGGGTTTCTCCACGTTGGTCAGGCTGCTCTCGAACTCCTGACCTCAGGTGATCCACCCACCTCAGCCTCCCAAAGTGTTGGGATTACAGGCATGAGCCACAGTGCCCGGCCAAGAAGTTGTTTATTTTATTTTATTTTATTTTTTATTATACTTTAAGTTTTAGGGTACATGTGCACAACGTGCAGGTTTACATATGTATACATGTGCCATGTTGGTGTGCTGCACCCATTAACTCTTCATTTAACATTAGGTATATCTCCTAATGCTATCCCTACCCCTACCCCTACCCCACAACAGGCCCCAGTGTGTGATGTTCCCCTTCCTGTGTCCATGTGTTCTCATTGTTCAATTCTCACCTATGAGTGAGAACATGCAGTATTTGGTTTTTTGTCCTTGCAATAGTTTGCTGAGAATGATGGTTTCCAGCTTCATCATGTCCCTACAAAGGACATGAACTCATCCTTTTTTATGGCTGCATAGTATTCCATGGTGTATATGTGCCACATTTTCTTAATCCAGTCTATCATTGTTGGACATTTGGGTTGGTTCCAAGTCTTTGCTATTGTGAATAGTGATGCAATAAACATACGTGTGTGCATGTGTCTTTATAGCAGCATGTTTTATAATCCTTTGGGTATATACCCAGTAATGGGATGGCTGGGTCAAATGGTATTTCTAGTTCTAGATCCCTGAGGAATTGCCACACTGACTTCCACAATGGTTGAACTAGTTTACAGTCCCACCAACAGTGTAAAAGTGTTCCTATTTCTCCACATCCTCTCCAGCACCAGTTGTTTCCTGACTTTTTAATGATCGCCATTCTAACTGGTGTGAGATGGTATCTCATTGTAGTTTTGACTTGCATTTCTCTGATGGCCAGTGATGATGAGCATTTTTTCATGTGTCTTTTGGCTGCATAAATGTCTTCTATTGAGAAGTGTCTGTTCATATCCTTTGCCCACTTTTTGATGGGGTTGTTTTTTTCTTGTAAATTTGTTTGAGTTCATTGTAGATTCTGGATATTAGCCCTTTGTCAGATGAGTAGGTTGGGAAAATTTTCTCCCATTTTGTAGGTTGCCTGTTCACTCTGATGGTAGTTTCTTTTGCTGTGCAGAAGCTCTTTAGTTTAATTAGATCCTATTTGTCAATTTTGTCTTTTGTTGCCCTTGCTTTTGGTGTTTTAGACATGAAGTCCTTGCCCATGCCTATGTCCTCAATGGTATTGCCTAGGTTTTCTTCTAGGGCTTTTATGGTTTTAGGTCTAACGTTTAAGTCTTTAATCCATCTTGAATTAATTTTTGTATAAGGTGTAAGGAAGGGATCCAGTTTTAGCTTTCTACATATGGCTAGCCCGTTTTCCCAGCACCATTTATTAAATAGGGAATCCTTTCCCCATTTCTTGTTTTTGTCAGGTTTGTCAAAGATCAGATGGTTGTAGATATGCGGCATTATTTCTGAGGGCTCTGTTCTGTTCCATTTGTCTATATCTCTGTTTTGGTACCAGTACCATGCTGTTTTGGTTACTGTAGCCTTGTAGTATAGTTTGAAGTCAGGTAGCGTGATGCCTCCAGCTTTGTTCTTTTGGCTTAGGATTGACTTGGCAATGCGGGCTCTTTTTTGGTTCCACCTGAAGTTTAAAGTAGTTTTTTCCAATTCTGTGAAGAAAGTCATTGGTAGCTTTATGGGGATGGCATTGAATCTATAAATTACCTTGGGCAGTATGGCCATTTTCATGATATTGATTCTTCCTATCCATGAGCATGGAATGTTCTTCCATTTGTTTGTATCCTCTTTTATTTCATTGAGCAGTGGTTTGTAGTTCTGCTTGAAGAGGTCCTTCATGTCCCTTATAAGTTGGATTCCTAGGTATTTTATTCTCTTTGAAGCAATTGTGAATGGGAATTCACTCACGATTTGGCTCTCTGTTTGTCTGTTATTGGTGTATAAGAATGCTTGTAATTTTTGCACATTGATTTTGTATCCTGATACTTGGCTGAAGTTGCCTATTGGCTTAAGGAGATTTTGGGCTGAGACGATGGGGTTTTCTAGATATACAATCTTGTCATCTGCAAACAGGGACAATTTGACTTCCTCTTTTCCTAATTGAATACCCTTTATTTCCTTCTCCTGCCTGATTGCCCTGGCCAGAACTTCCAGCACTATGTTGAATAGGAGTGGTGAGAGAGGGCATCCCTGTCTTGTGCCAGTTTTCAAAGGGAATGCTTCCAGTTTTTGCCCATTCAGTATGATATTGCCTGTGGGTTTATCATAGACAGCTCTTATTATTTTGAGATACGTCCCATCAATACCTAATTTATTGAGAGTTTTTAGCATGAAGGGTTGTTGAATTTCGTCAAAGGTCTTTTCTGCATCTATTGAGATAACCATGTGGTTTTTATCATTGGTTCTGTTTATGTGCTGGATTACGTTTATTGATTTGCGTATGTTGAACCAGCCTTGCATCCCAGGGATGAAGCCCACTTGATCATGGTGGATAAGCTTTTTGATGTGCTGCTGGATTCGGTTTGCCAGTATTTTATTGAGGATTTTTGCATCGATGTTCATCAAGGATATTGGTCTAAAATTCTCTTTGTTTGTTGTGTCTCTGCCAGGCTTTGGTATCAGGATAATGCTGGCTTCATAAAATGAGTTGGGAAGGATTCCTCTTTTTCTATTGATTGGAATAGTTTCAGAAGGAATGGTACCAGCTCCTCCTTGTACCTCTGGTAGAATTCGGCTGTGAATCCATCTGGTCCTGGAATTTTTTTGGTTGGTAAGCTATTAATTATTGCCTCAACTTCAGAGCCTGTTATTGGTCTATTCAGAGATTCAACTTCTTCCTGGTTTAGTCTTGGGAGTGTGTATATGTCCAGGAATTTATCCATTTCTTCTAGATTTTCTAGTTTATTTGTGTAGAGGTGTTTATAGTATTCTCTGATGGTAGTTTGTATTTCTGTGGGATTGGTGGTGATATCCCCTGTATCATTTTTTATTGCATCTATTTGATTTTTCTCTCTTTTCTTCTTTATTAGTCTTGCTAGCGGTCTATCAATGTTGTTGATCTTTTCAAAAAACCAGCTCCTGGATTCATTGATTTTTTGAAGGATTTTTTGTGTCTCTATTTCCTTCAGTTCTGCTCTGATCTTAGTTATTTCTTGCCTTCTGCTAGCTTTTGAATATGTTTGCTCTTGCTTTTCTAGTTCTTTTAATTGTGATGTTAGGGTGTCAATTTTAGATCTTTCCTGCTTTCTCTTGTGGGCATTTAGTGCTATAAATTTCCCTCTACACACTGCTTTGAATGTGTCCCAGAGATTCTGGTATGTTGTGTCTTTGTTCTCGTTGGTTTCAAAGAACATCTTTATTTCTGCCTTCATTTCGTTATGTACCCAGTAGTCATTCAGGAGCAGGTTGTTCAGTTTCCATGTAGGTGAGCAGTTTTGAGTGAGTTTCTTAATTCTGAGTTCTAGTTTGATTGCACTGTGGTTTGAAGAGAGAGTTTGTTATAATTTCTGTTCTTTTACATTTGCTGAGGAGTGCTTTACTTCCAACTATGTGGTCAGTTTTGGAATAAGTGCAGTGTGGTGCTGAGAAGAATGTATATTCTGTTGATTTGGGGTGGAGAGTTCTGTAGATGTCTATTAGGTCCGCTTGGTGCAGAGATGAGTTCAGTTCCTGGATATCCTTGTTAACTTTCTGTCTCGTTGATCTGTCTAATGTTGACAGTGGGGTGTTAAAGTCTCCCGTTATTATTGTGTGGGAGTCTAAGTCTCTTTGTATGTCTTTAAGGACTTGCTTTATGAATCTGGGTGCTCCTGTATTGGGTGCATATAAGTTTTTAATATATGATCCAGATATCATGTAGACTTTCCCTTTAAGACCTATACAAGATTGTTTCAAATCTTCATTTCACATCCAGTTTCAATCCTTAAAGTTTCTGTGACAGTTTTAGGGGTTTCCCCTCATTACTTCCAGCTATTATTTTCTGAGTCTGTTGAATTATTTCCTACACTTTGTGTCTCGCAGATAACAAAAGATGGGACACAGTCCATTCTTCATAATTTCTAAATCCTCTCTCCCATGTAACTTTCAGAAAGCAGCAGTGTGTGAGACTTTTATGATTCCAGAAAGCCAGTTATATTACAATTCCACATAGCATTTAACTTAAACACAAATGCCAGAGGTATATGTTTTTGGAAAATTCTGCACTTATATCTGCCAAGTGTCTTACGCCATTTGTGTTGCTATAATAAAATACCTGAGACTGGGTAATTTATAAAAAACAGAAATTTATTTCTCACAGTTCTGGAGAATGAATATCCAAGATCAAGGTGCTGGCAGATTCAGTGTCTGGTGAGGGCCTGATTTCTGCTTCCAAGATGATGACTGGTTGCTGTGTCCTCTGAGAGGAGGAGCGCTGTGTCCTCACATGATGGAAGGGACAAAAGGGAACCAGAGTCCTTCCGTGAATCCCTCATGACCCAATCACCTCCCAAAGGCCACACCTCTTAATACTATTATACTGGGGATTTAGGAAAACAGGTTAATCTAACAAGATAACTTAGAAATAAATCCTAATGTCTTTGGGAATTTAGAATGTATCATCACAGATCAAATTTTATTCTTATATTTTGTTGAGGGAGTCCTTTTCCCCACCCCTGATGTGTATGATAAGGAGTTAAATTTTCAAATCTTTTTGCAATTGCAGGAGACAGAATTCCGGAAAAGTTCCTAAAACCAGTAACTACTATATTGAAAATAACAAAACAGTATCTAGGTGACTGATTTAAGATATTCAAAACATTATTGGTACTTTATTTTTTGTACCATCATTATTGTTTTGTTTTAGTGAGCATAAAGTTCTTCATCTGGGCTTTACTCCATTCATTCCTAATTCCTATGTATCCCAGCCCCAAATTTCCTACCCACTGAGAATTTTAGGAGTTTTATTTCTCCAAAGGAGAGGAAGGCTACAACCCTATGTCACAGATATTTTGAGAACCGTTGAAGGTTTTCAGTAATGTTTTTTCCTTCCCTTTACAGAGAACTATGTCTCTTTCTTTCCCTGTGCTTCTCAGGACTCTAAATTTTCAGCTTTCTGCCAGCATAATCTTTGAGTATTCTTATACAGAACTGAGTTGATGAGTCACTTGTCAGATTTAAATGGGATTACCACATCACCTTGGGCTCCTTTTACTAGCAGTTTATCAAGCTGCCACTCTTAGGCACACCACAAAATGAATCTGTAGTTATTTCTGATTTAGATTCTTCTTATCTCATTTTCTTGCTTTCTTGTCTTTTCTCAGCCCATTAAATTCACCTGGCATTATTTATCCTCCCCTGCAGCCTGAGCTTCCTTTGTTAAAGGAAGCTGCAAACTGCTGCATGCAAGACAGTAAGTCAGGCCTGTAATGCCAGCACTTTGGTAGGCCGAGGCAGGCGGATCACGAGGTCAGGAGTTTGAGACCAGCCTGGCCAACATGGTGAAACGCCGTCTCTACTAAAAATACAAAAATTAGCTGGGCATGGTGGCGGACGTCTGTAGTCTCAGCTGCTCAGGAGGCTGAAGCAGGAGAAATCGCTTGAACCTGGGAGGTGGAGGTTGCAGTGAGCTGAGATCACGCCACTGCACTCCGGCCTGGGTGACAGAGTGAGACTCCAAAAAAAAAAAAAAAAAGACTAAGTCAGGACTCTTCCTAGTTGCGATAAGGCAAATCCTGTTTCCTATGTAAAAAATTGTCTGTTTCCTATTCAGAAATGCAGGATGTTCTGCGTGATCTACACTAAGCATCTGTTTACTTGCTCTGTAATAAAGTAATAAACACAGTGTGATGTATCACACAGAGCCTTGGATTAGGAGAATGAGAATTTTGGGTCAAAGTAATGTTTTCTAACTCTGTAATCTAGGTTATTTGATTTCTTGGAGTCTTAGTGTCCCAGTGTTCAGTAGTTTCCATAATACTTACTTTGAAGGGCTGATGATTCAGTAGGCTAACACAGGTGGAGCCCAGCACACAGCAAGTACTGAACAAATGTTTGCTACATCTGAATCTGAGCCCCTGCTCTCTTGATGAGCTCAGTGGTACAGATGCTGCCAGTCAGGAGGATTTATAACCAGTCCGGAGGGTTTATGGGTCCATGAAAAGTTGTCTTTGTGAAGAGAACGGAGAGGATTTATGGCAGGGACAGAGGGGAGGTAAGAGGAAAGGAGAATGTAATAGGCATTGAATGAGAGTCAGGAACAAGTCAAAGGAGAGAGGAAAGAGAAGGTTGGGGAGGGGAGTGAGGAGAAGCTGATGAGATGGAGTGGGTTGAAGGGAGATGCTCACCTCCTGCACCTGAGCTGCATTATTTTTGGTGCCCTGAAGGCTTAGTTTACCTAAGATTTCCCTCATGGGGTTTTTGATATTATTGAGAAAGACCTGTGTGAATCTATCTGTTTGTGTATTTTTGGCTCTATTTAGTCAGAAACATTTCATGCTTTCAACATCAGCTTAAAATAAATCAGAGAAGGGGAGTTTTTATTTTTCATTTTGTCAGAGCAGACCTTTCCAGTGCCCCTGGAGAGTCTTCTGCCCACATTTGTGGAGAGTCAGAGGAAGGGTTCTTTTCCACTCTCTCAGAGTTCACAGAGGAGAGTACTTACTCCAAAAGACTCACCAGATTGAGTTGAGATGAGCCATGGCAGAGGCCCATGGTGATCCTTCTAAGGCAGGAATGAGTAGCAGATTAGATTCTGGCTGTATTTTCTAGCACAGAAAAGCTGTGTGGATACCCTGTATCCTGGGCACCTCTTTGGCCTGGCTTCACCTCCTCTTGGTCCTATTTTTAAGCTCCGGCTTAATTTCTCTTCATTTCCACCCAGATTATGTGGGAATTGCCCCATACTTATGTGTGGGTAGACCCCAAAGGGCTAGAAAATTAATTCCCTGTGGAGTTACCTTTGACCATGGGGGATGAGAGCCTGCAGATAAATGCTCCCTCTTCAATTCCTCAGGGGGATAATTCTGAGCATGCTCCCCACCTTCTCTGTGATCCCTGTAGAACCCAGCCCAGGTACCCTGTCTTGGTAGGGTTTATTATTAAATACAGTAAGGCCAACAGATCAGGAGGTGACTGACATTGAAAAGATAGTGTGTTACACGCACAGATTCCAAGAGAAGGGGCACATCATACCATGTGGGCCATACAGGGAAGCACTGGGGCTGGTCACTGGGCAGAGGGGGGATCAGGCTGCTGTAGGCAAGAGCCTCAGTGTGGTTCAGGAAGCAGTGAGCGAGGCAGGGTAAGCTGATTTAGGATTGGCTAGTTGGATAATGTCAGTGGTCTTGGGGTAATTAAGGCCCATGGATAGTGGCCAGGAACACAAAAGCTCTATAAGGGCGGTGGTTGGGGGTGCAGACTCTGGGTCGGTTGGTTTGTATTTGAAAGGCACACCCCTGAGAGGAGGACTGCTGCCTGAGGAGGTGCAGGGGCAAGGTGACTCAGACATATTATTATTGGGTTGCCTGGAACCAGGCATGTCTGGCATATGCGCATAGGGCAGATGTTACAGCTCAAGTTTACAGATGCTAGAAACATGGTGAATACACCCACGGGATGACGACTTGACATTGCACCTGTGTCTTGGTTTTCCCTTGTTACTCCCTAATTTACTCTCCGTGTTCTCCTCTCCTGCCTCCTGGAATCACTTCCAAAAGAAAAAACTTGCCACAAGCCCTTGTCTCAGAATCTACTTTCCAGAAAGAAACTTGGTCAAGACCTTATGTTGGACGCAGTTCAGCATGGGCTGAGCAAGGCCTTTTTTCTCCGCACACGGCAGTGTTCTTTGTTCGTCTTTCTTAGAGTGTTTCCTGTGACATGTTTTTTACTTAAAATTGTTAATATTATTATTACTCACCTTTTGCCTTAAAGTTTTTTTACTTTTTGAAAAATAGTCTATCATTTATGAATTCATTCAGCAAACATCTCTTCAGAGCCTGCTGAATATGTAATCATGAGTTCACACTGATAGTTCTAGTTCAAATCTAACACAACAGGCTTCTTTACCTTCTCCTACTGTCTGTTTGTATTTTCTGTCTCCTGGAATAAGAGCTGTGGTTCCCAACACCCTCATTATGGCTGCTTATTTGCTCTGTCCTACAGTATATGTGATATAGTTTAGAACTGCTCCTTTATGATTATCAACAACAGCAAACCTACTCAGGGAGGTTCAAGATTTCTCTGCTGTGTGTGTGTGAGTACGTGTGTGTGCATATTTAGAGTTGATCTCTCTAATGATATACAGTAGGGATACTGTATTCATAAAATATTTAAATTAATCATTATTTTCCATTATAATTATGTTACTAATATCACATACAGTTAGGTTCATTTCTGTTTCTATTCAATTTTAGGATTTGTAAATTTTTTTGTTAACTATATATTTGAATATTAAAACATTTACATTATTCAAAAGTAAAAACTATATACAAATGTGAAGTCTTTCATCTCCAACCTGTCTTACTTATTCCCAACTCATCCTTTGTGGGTAATTTTCATTGTTTCTGGTCCTGTCTTCTTTGTCTTTTGCAAAAATAAACAAATATATTTCCCCTTGTTTCTTATTCAAGAGGGAGCATAATATAAATAGACTCATGCGGTTTTTTTTTCACTTATAATGGATCTTGGAAATCACTCCTTATCAGCTTATAGAGATCTTTCGCTTTGGGATATTAGTCAGTGGCATAGCAATCCATTACATAAATGTACTATAGTTAATTCAGATGTAGTTAGGCTAACTACAAGAGACTTCTCAAAGGGGAGCAGCATGAGGACTTTGGTACTGTTAAAGGATAATTTTTTGAAAATTCATACAAGTACAAAGTGAACATGTGTCAAAGATCTTATTCAACACATTGATGAATAAACCAGTAAGATGTAACAACTAGTTTGGAAGAAAATCCAAAGAGCAGAAAAATATGTAAATCCATCAGGTGTGCTGAAATTTACTTAATGGATGTGAAATGGCAAGACTTATCAATATCTACAGGGCCATAATTAATTGCATTCCATGGGACACAATTTACATTTCTATGGACAAGATTCATTTGTGTTGCTATCAGTTTTCTCCAATTTACAGTATTGTAAAGTAGTTCCAAGATAGTGAAAAGTGAAGACAATTCAGATGGGTGAGATAGATAGGACGCTCATGAAAGTTTTTGGTCAATTTCAAACACTTCGATGGATTGGAAAATTGTTTATGGAGGGGATTAAGGAGAGGGCTAGGGAAAACGAATTCAGTTTTCCAAAGACTGGCTCTAGTCTAAATCAATTAGCAGCTGCCTTGTGTTTTTCTGCCTCTTCAAAGCTTCTTGAGTGCAGAGATGGTAGAGTTTTATTTTAAGAAACTGTCACAGCTACCCCAACCTTTAGCAACACCACCCTGATCAGTCAGCAGCCATCAACGCTGAGGCAAGATTCTCCACCAGCAAAAAGATTACCTCTGCTTGAAGGCTCAGATGATTGTTAGCATTTTTTATTTCAGCAATAAAGCATTTTAGAGTTAAGATATGTATATTGTGTTTTTAGACAAAACGCTATTACACACTTAATAGACTACAGTGTAAACATAATTTTTATATGCATTGGGGAAACCAAAAAAATGTGTGTGACTCATTATATTGTGATACTTGCTTTATTGCAGTGGTCTGGAACTGTGAACCTATGATATCTCCTATGTATGCCTGTATATTGTTTTCTAGCCTTTTTAGAAGATGAAGGCAAGTGAGAGGGGAGTTGAGAGTGAGTGTTGAGTGAATCCTAGTCATCTCTTCAACCACAGTTTTCTTTTAAACTCATGAATGTGTATCTTTGTGGGGGCTGGTACTTTGGAGGTATCACATTTTCATTTGGGAGCCCTTAATGTAGAGGTGGCTTGGGTCTCATGATCCTTCTGATTCATTGACTGAGAAAACGGTGAAAAAGCTCTTATGAATTCATTAATAGTTTTAGATGAATTTGTAGTTTTATTAATCACATCTATATATATTTAAATATTAGTTACATATTTATGGGTAAGATGTAATTTCACCCACAGTTAAATGCATGGCACCCTATGGATTCAGGAGCTCTTCCTACGAGCCTGCCATTCCTCATAAGTCACTACTCCACAGCACACCAGTCTCCTTTCTGAAATACAGGTACAGCTGTGTCACCACAACCTTGCTCAAAAATCTTTCTTTTCTTTTTTTTTCTTTTTATTGCTTGGAGGATAAATTCTTAAATGAGTAGCATTTTATTCAAGGCACTTTGCAAATGGCCCAACCAGCCTCTGACCCGATCTCTGGACACTGCCCCTGTGGCTTCGTCCCAGCCTCAGGAGCTGCTTTGTTACGCCTCTGAGCCTTTGTATATGCTGTCTGCACTGATTGTTTTCCCCTCCTTTCCACCGGCTGAAGAGCGTCTCATGCTTTAGACCATATCCGATGTCATGTTCTCTCTGTGGTTTTCCCCAGGGTCCCGAGGCAGAGTGGGTGAGCTCTCCTCTGGGTCCCATAGCCCTCTATTTGCCCCTCAGTTATGGTGCATTGCCAGTTTATTATGATTGCTTGTGGGTTCCCTTGGGAACCAGTCTCATTCATCTTTCCATTTCTAGGGCGAAGAATGAAACCTGGCACATTGAGGGAATTCAATATGTGTTTACTGAATGAAAAAAATGAAGGAATAAAGGGGGATGTGCAGGAACTTTTTTGTAAGGCCTTCATTTAGATCAGGTTTAAGAAAACAGGCTGCTGTTCTTGTTCTTCTTCCCAGAACCAGACCTTCATTAACATAGAACTGATCTTCATTAATGCAGAACCAGACTTCATTAATAGGACCATATCTTATTAAGATATATGTGTAGGGCCCTTAAAAAACAAAAAAAGCTGTCTTGTCTTTCAGGGGTTTGAGGAATCTGTTTCCTTCCACTGATGTACTTTAATTTTCTCTTGATAGACACAAGCAGTTTGGATGGACACCCCAAGGGAGGTCAGTTATGGCACGGGCATTGAAAGAGCTGTTTGCTGACCCATGGGTGTCCTTGCTTGTAGGCTCAGGAATCCATGTGAGGAACTCCCTCTTGTGTGTGAGGTTCTTTCAGTCTTCCTGGCAGAGCTGTCCTTCTGGCACAACAAGCCAGGGTGATTTCTTCTATGGTGGGCTGCAGGTGGCTGGCCAAGGTCTCAGGGAGGAATTCTCATGTGCACACAAATCCATTTTCTATCTGCCTATCCCATGTGCATGGTGTGTGTTAGCTAGCACTGCTTCTCACTCCTTCATGCCCATCCCTCATGCCCCATAAGGAGGCTTTGTGTGAATTAGAAAAATGCAGTATTTTGCATAGACACAGCTCTATGGTGCATGGCTTAGTGATCTGACAGTGTTTTTTTTTTAATTTTTAATTTTTATTTATTGTTATTTTATTCTATTTTTATTTTACTTTAAGTTCTGCTATACATGTACAGAATATGCAGGTTTGTTACATAGGTATACGTGTACCATGGTGGTTTGCTGCACATATTGACCCGTCCTGTAAGCTCCCTCCCCTAAACCCCACCCCTCAACAGGCTCTGGTGTGTGTTGTTCTCCTCCCTATGTCCATGTGTTCTCACTGTTCAACTCCTACTCATGAATGAGAAGATGCAGTGTTTGGTTTTCTGTTCCTGGGTTAGTTTGCTGAGGATGATAGCTTCCGGCTTCACCCATGTCCCTGCAAAGGACATGACCTCATTCTCATTTTTATGGCTGCATAGTATTCCATGGTGTATATATGCTACATTTTCTTTATCCAGTCTATCGGTGATGGGCATTTGGGTTGGCTCCATGTCTTTGCTATTGTAAATAGTGCTGCAATAAACATATGTGTGCATGTGTCTATATAGTAGAATGATTTATATTCCTTTGGGTATATACCCAGCAATGGGATTGCTGGGTCAAATGGTATATTTCTGTTTGTAGATCCTTGAGGAATCGCCACATCGTCTTCCACAATGGTTGAACTAATTTACACTCCAACCAACAGTGTAAAAGTGTTCCTATTTCTCCACAGCCTCGCCAGAATCTATTTCTTCTTGCCTTTTTTTTTTTTTTTTTTTTTTAAAGATGGAGTTTTGCTCTTGTTGCCCAGGCTGGAGTGCAATGGCACCATCTCGGCTCACTGCAACCTCTGCATCCTGGGTTCAAGCGATTCTCCTGCCTCAGACTCCCAAGTAGCTGGGATTACAGCCATGCACCACCATGCCCGGCTAATTTTGTATTTTTAGTAGAGATGGGGTTTCTCCATGTTGGTCAGGCTGGTCTTGAACTCCTGACCTCAGGTGATCCACCAGCCTTGGCCTCCCAAGGTGGTGGGATTACAGGCGTGAGCCACCATGCCTGACTGCTTCTTGACTTTTTAATAATTGCCGTTCTGACTGGCATGAGATGGTATCTCATTGTGGTTTTGATTTGCATTTCTCTAATGATCAGTGGTGTAGAGCTTTTTTTCATATGTTTGGTGGCCATGTAAGTGTCTTCTTTGGAGAAGTGTCTGTTCATATCCTTTGCCCATTTTTTGATGGTGTTGTTTGTTTTTTTCTCGTAAATTTGTTTAAGTTCCTTGTAAATTCTGGATATTAGACCTTTGTCAGATGAGTAGATTGCAAAAATGTTCTCCCATTCTATAGGTTGCCTGTTCACTCAACCTGACAGTGTCTTTGTGCAAAGACAAAATTTTTCTTTTATCTGGGTAGACATAACCAGAACAAGCCAACGGCAATTGGTTAATGGTAATGGTAATGTCTTCAGGCTCTACTTAAAAAATTTTTTGCTCATAGACTTTTAAAATAATAGTTATTTAATTAATTATATATGATTTATTTATGATTTTTATTTACTTTTATTTTTATGAATTTTATTTTAGAACAATTTTAGATTTACAGAAAAATTACAAAGATAATATAGAGATCTCATACGGCCTACACGCAGTTTCCTGTATTATTAACCTCTTACCTTAGCATGGTACATCTGTTCCACAATCCCATCTAGGATGCCACATTACATTTAGTCATCATATCTTTAGGCTCCTCTTGGCTGTGACAGTTTTTCAGACTTTCCTTATATGCTAGTCCCTCTATTTCCAAGGGAATTGGTTACCTCAGGTAACAAAATGCACAGAGGTTCAAGTGCCTGATATAAAATGATGTAGTATTGTCATATAATTTATGCACATCCTCCCATATACTTTAAATCACTTCTAGATAACTTGTAATACCTAATACAATGTAAATGTTAAATAAATAGTTATTGTATTATTTAGGGAATAATATAATAATAACATTAAGTAAAATAATAATTTCAATAACAATTTTAATAATTTAATTTTGTTAAAATAATAAAATTTTATTAAAATATTAATTTTAATAATTTAATTTTAATAATAATAAGTAAAATAATAATATTAAGTAAATAGTTATTGTATTATTTAGGGAATAATGACAAAAAAAGTCTGTGCATGTTTACTACAGATTTTTTTTTTCTGAATATTTTCCTTCTTTAGTTGTTTGAATCCATGGAACCCATGGATATGGAGGCTCAGCAGTATTTGGTACCTTTGACTGTTTTGAAGAGCACGGGTCAGGTGTTCTGTCGCAGGTTCTTCAAGTGGTTTATCTAATGTTTTCTCCATGGCTAGATTGGGTGTTTTAGACTGATTATTTAATAAGTTTTATTACTGTTTAGGTATGGTAAGGTCAACAGATAAGGAGACAAATGCCATTGTAAAGATAATTTATTACCCACAGTTCCCAGGAGAGGGCTTCCATGTCATGTTACGGGGCCATCTGGGGAAGCACTGGTGTCAGTCAGGAGGTGGGGTGGGACATTGTGGGCAGGAACCTTTGTTGTGGTTTCTGCAAGAAGGAACAGGCAAGGCAGGGTAGGCAGGGTTGGGACTGGCTAGTTTGAATGACTTCAGGGGGCTGGAGCCTAGGGGCTGCCTAATACCTAGTTGCCTGGTACCAGGCCCTGGGGTGATTAGGCCCAGTGGAGAGTGGTCAGGGGTGAGAAAGTCCTATAAGGGAGGTAGATGGGGTGTGGACTCTGGATTGGCTGGTTTTTGTTTTAAAAGCACACCCCTGGAAGGAGGACTTCTCCTGAGGAGTTGGGGGTTGGGGGAGAGTGGGGCGACAAGGGAGGCAGGAGGCCAAGGTCAGGTGACTCAGGCATACTATTGGGTTGTCCAGAACTAGCTGTGTTGGGCACATGCATGTAGGGCAGATGTTACAGCATGAAGTTTGTGGAAGCTAGAAACATGCCTAATACACAAAGCAAAAGTGACATTTTCATGACATCATATCAAGGGCACACACTATCAACACAACTTCTCACTGTTGAGTTTGATCTTGATCACCTGGCAGATCAGGCTCTACTTTTGTAGACACCGCTTCCACTTGATGCCCACCTTTAATATTTATCTCACGTGTTTGAAGTTTTACATGCATAAACTACATGTAATTTTCCTGGGTCTTGATATGGTGAGTTCTAGTTCTTAAAGGTGGTGCCCTCTTTGGGGTGGGTGTCTCCATAGAATGGAGTCTTGGGCTTCAGCAAGCTGAATTTATAGGGGAGACTTGTATTTGAACATCCTCACAGTTCCCTAAAATGGTAGTGCTTTATATATTTCCAACTGCTGAATAAACATCTACATAGATACCTGTGGCTCTGTCAGGAGTTTGGGCTGATCACCACTGCAATGAGACAAGATATATCCAATAACTTAGCTTTGTGTCAAAATACTCAGAGTGGTAGCCTATTTTCTGCATATAAATGTAAAAATTCCTGGTTACAACTCTGTAATGTTGGCGGAGATGGTGAGAAATATATAAATTTCCCTGCTCTGCTTTGGAAGATCCTGAGTTGGGGAAGGCAGGACATGGAGTCAACTGGTGGATGATTCACCTGCATCTCTCTTTTCCCCATGCCTCAGGGTCTAAGTCACAGAACTGTCTGTGGAACTCCCTCATCGATGGGCTCACAGGGAATGTCAAGGAGAAGCCAAGGCCAACAATTGTCCATGACCCTCGACCCCCAGAGGAGATCCTAGCTGATGAATTGCCACAGCTGGATAGCCCAGAAGTCTTGGTGAAGACATCCTTCAGGTTTGGTGGATTGCAACTCAATGTGTTCCTTCTTATTTGCTTGTGGAGTTGTTTCAATCCAGTTAGATGCATAGTCAGTGTGGCCAGCAAATTACTTCATTTCTTTGCACTGAATAAATTAAAATTGATGAAGGAGGGTTGGAATCAATGCTAGCTGGACTTCTGGCTGTATTTCCTGAATGTAGTGAAGATCTTATCAGTAGTTAAGTTGCTGTTGGTATTTAATTGGTATTGGCATTTAAATGCTGAGGTAGAGGATTTACTGATGTTGGCAATTTGAATTGGATTAATGAGTCTTTTGCTTCAAAGGAGGATGACACATCCAGATAAGGGCATAGAGAAAAAGCACGTGTTGGGAATTAATTCAGCCCTGTGTATTTAGAGTCTCTTGCTGGGGGAAGGTTTCCAGTTGTAAAAGATGTAAGAGCTGCTGCTGACGGAAATGAAGCAAGAATTTTCTCATGTTGTTTCCCAGGTGGCTGTTTACTCTATTCTAGTTCATTGTTTAGTCTTGCATCTTCCTGCAAGGTCTCTTATTTTCTTTCGGCATTGCACTCCATTTTCATTACAACTCCATCCCTTGCCTTCTCACCCATATTAAATAAAAATCAATCTGGGTATGAGTGTGGTGTAAAAACGTGATTTTTTTTTCCCCAAATGGGTCTTTCAGACTCACATTTGAAACAGTATATTTACAGTACTACTGGTATCAGAAATTAAGACTCAATCATTTTTCCAGATTGCCTTCTGCCCCTCCTTTCTTCCTGTTATGTCAATTTTACTTCTTCCACTTTTCTTTCCACTATAGACTTTCATACTCTCCACATGGTTAGCAGAACATATAAACCTCGTTTTTCTCTCCCCATAAACAATTCAGACAGCTGTTGGAGTTCCATGAAATATATTTGAAAAATATACTCTCTTTTGTATCCAGGTGATATGTGTAATTGCTCAGTGAGAGCCATTTCATTGTGTGAAGATTCTTAGTGTTGATTGAATTACAGATGAGTTCTGAAAGGAGTGCTAAATAGGGGTTTGGATTTCTTTATACAGTGTGACGAGTACATTAGTGAGACAAGAATTGCAGGTAAATGCTGTTTTTATTCCTACTAAGGGCTTGGTTATTGCATCATAAGGTTTTGAATAAAATAAAACCCACTCACCTGAGAGAATACGTCTTATGAACCTGCAATTCTCAGCAAGTGACTGTGGTGAAAGAGGGGACCATGAATGGCTTTCTCTGTCTATGTGTTCTCACCTTGGAGCATTTCTTATGGAGTCAATCCCTTCTCCTAAGGTTTCTTATAACTACTCCTTCCACCCTAAACCAGGGTCATCATTTTCTTCAATGAACAGGCAAAGAGTTACTCTCATGAAAATAACATCTTATTTGCTCACCGAACTCCATTACCATCATCTGTTTTGTTTGCATTCTCTTGGTGCTCTTTAATAGAGAGCTCATGAGCTTTAATATTGATGCCCATGAATGTCATTTGGTCTGTTAGTTGTAACGTGTAGCAGTGTCTTGGTTTCTGAAAGAGATTAAGTTATAAATTGAATATCAGGACTTATTTCTGTTTCCTTGTAACACTTGGTGCTGTAGGAAAAAGACAGCAGGTGCATGCAGGTATATGCCAACCCTTTAGCAATTGAGACAAGAAATCCATTAGCATTTATTTATTTATTTATTTATTGGTACCCTTAATACAACTGTGTACTATTTTGTAACTATCCTTTCTTCCAAAGAAGATGGTTGATTTTGATGACAGTGCTAAATGGTAAATATTCTCTTCTGCAATTGTCCTTAACTGTGGTGGCATGATCAGCTGTGAGATTTGTTGTGCATAAATTACTACAAGTAAAGTACTCAGGTATGGGAAGAGTTTATTTATCAATGAATAAATCAGAGCATAATCAAGGTTACCCTACAGCTCCTCTGTAGGGTCATTACCATTGAGTGGTACCACAATAAGGGTTAATGATAGCTTTGATTACTTCGTTCTCTTTTTCCTTGGTCACGCTTGGAGGGCATTTGGAGTTTAGGGCCATGAAATATGGTCATCACCTCTTACCAAACAAGATACAAATGACAATGTCAATAAGCCCAATGTGCCAAATTATCAGGAGGTCCAGTCTTTTCTTGGGGTTCTTGTCCCTCACTATTCACAGGGACCCCCAGCCTTATTGACAGGCTGGGTTCAAGAATCATCGCTTATCCTGTTATGCCTTTTGTCCCCTACTAGGGAAATGAGGTCTCATGTTGAGCATGTACTTTCTGACCTCAGTGAAATTAGGCATTTTTATCACCAGCTTAGATTACCTCTTCCTTGTGATGACTCCTCTCTGTGGCTTCTGTTGTCTTTTCCTGATACTTGGCCTCAGCACAACCACAATTTTTCTCAGACATATTCTAATAATGTTGATTCTCAAAAGGAAGGGGTTAGATACTTAATTCCACTTTTCCCGGAAATCTTTTCTAGCTCTCTGCAAGGTGGAGGCAAATATATACAAGCTACTACCAGGACAAAATGTGTGCACTTGTTTAATATTTGCATTTAGTATTTTCATTTAAGTAGTTCTTTTCAGAGCAAAGGGACAGTCTGCTCTAAAGCTAAATTCTACTTTCTGTTTCCAAAGATACGAAGTGTTTATAAATTTATCAATGATGGGTGTTTTTCAAAAAAATTTCAAATATTTTTATGTTTCAGTCTCCACCAGGCTCCCTGTTACATCAGCAATAGCCGTTCTTATTTGCCAGGCTTAACCCAAAAAACTCAAGGATTCTGTCCATTTTAGAGATGAAGAAACTGGCTTGGAGAGAGAAAGCCTATAAAAAATTGCTGGTAGATTGCTGGTCTCCAATGCAGCAGCAAGGAGTAGCTTGGGCAGACTTTAAGTCTTACTTTATCACCCCACCCCAAATAAGTATATCATCTATAAACTCACATAAAAAGCATGCTTGTGATTCAAATGCAGCGTCAAGACATGTCCCTGGGCCTTGTCTTCCAATCAGGCTGCCATCCCTAAGTATGGCCTGCAAACACTCTGGATTGTCACTGGATTAATGTCAGTTACTAATAATGCCAGAGGGTATAGCTGAAAGTGAGAATTTGACACACTGACTTAGAAATAAAGATTTTGGAAAATGAAGGCACCACCTTTCTTCCCTAGGGGTTGTGTGTCGATAGTTGAGGTTTGTGCAAACACCATCTCAACTCTGGATATGGTCCCTGACAGTCTTCCCTCTTATCCCCTTCCTGGTTGGGCAGTGCTGATGAGGCATACTCTATGTATTGGAGCAGACAGTTTAGCAGAGTCTTGGGAGCATGCTTCCAGGGCTTGAGGTCTCCTCATGGCTGCCCAGGTCCAGATCCCAGCCAATATTGCTGGAAGGCAACACAGTTTAGTGCTCAGTTGTACCAAGGGCTTTAGTCTTTACTCTCCAAGAAACAAACATTTTAAGCTATCCAGGTGCGAAAATTGGACTTCTGATAGTGGTTGTACTGGGTTTCAGTTCCAACTCTATTGCCCCCGGCGAATTACTTCATTTCTTCAAACCTCTGTTTTTCTCTCCCCCACCACCCAACTCCCCAGCTTTATAAAGGTATAATTGACAAATAAAATTTTACAATGTAAAATAATATGATGTTTTGTTGCATGTGTACATTGCAAAATGATTAAATCAAGCTAAATAACATATCCACCGCTTCACATAATGTCTTTTTTTTTTTTTGGTGGCAAAACCTCTGTTTTCTTAACTGTCATACTGAGGTTGGATTTGAAGAGTGGTCTGATGATTCAAACTTGAGTGTGCATCACAATCACCCGGGGGGATTGTTAAAACAGATTGTTGGGCTCATCCCAGATCTAGGTGGGGCCCAAGGATGTTGTTCTCTAACAAGCTTCAGGTTATACTGATGCTGCTGGTCCAGGATCACACCTGGAGAACCACTGCACTAGATGAGATTTAGGATCCCTTTGAACTCGAGAGTATTTTGCTATGTTAATTTGAGCAGGTCACTTACCTATTGATATGGTTTGGGTCTGTGTCCCCACCCAAATCTCATCTTGAATTGTAATCCCATGTGTCAAGGGAAGAATCTGATGGGAGGTAACTGGCTTTTGGGGGCATTTCCCCCATGCTGTTCTTGTGATAGTGAGTGAGTTCTCACAAGATCTGATGGTTTCATAAGCTTCTGGCATTTCCCCTGCTTACTCTTCTCTTTCCTGCTGCTATGTGAAGAAGGTCCTTACTTCCTCTTCACCTTCTGCCATGGTTGTAAGTTTCCTGAGGCCTCCCTAGCCATGTGGAACTGTGAGTCAATTAAACCTCTTTCCTTTATAAATTACCCAGTTTCAGGTATTTCTTTATAGCAGTGTGAGAACAAACTTACTCACCTGTTCTGGCCTGTTTTAAAATCTTTGAAATGGGGATAAAGAGACCCCCTTCCTGGGGTTTGGAGAGGATTTAAAGGAGATAACGCATGTGAATGAGCCAAGCACAGTGTCCAGTACCCAGAATGAGCTCAGTAAGTATTAATTTTGTATTCGTGCTCAGCACTCACTGGAATCCTTACATGCCCTTGAAGCCTACACATACAAAGTTAAATAGGATCAAACATGGGTTTTGTGGCTCCACGTGCAGACACTGTGGGCCCTGAAAGCTCACTAAACTTGTGGCATGAAAGGTCTGTTTTCAAAACCTGAGATTTTTGAAAAGAAGAAAGTGGGAACCACAAATAAAGAAAAAGGCTTTGGTACCTGGAAAATAGACACTCCTGGGAACTCACCTTGGGTGCCTCTTTCCTTGTTTCTCACATTTTATCCCTTTAAACCTGTTGCTCTGCTCAGGTTTTTCTTAAAAGAGAATAGAGAATAAATTGAACCTGGGGCTAAGGAAGACAGACAAGTCCATCCAGTCTGATTAGTGACAGGAATCTCAATACCTGCCACTAGAGGACCCAAGAGAACATGAAAGAGCTGGCTGCTGAGAGAGGTTTGTCTCCCCAGCCTCTGGTGTACACATTCCCAGAGGTGGGAGGGACCTGGCTCAGATGGTACCACAAGTAAGAGAAGCCAATATTTATTGAGCATCTGCTATGTGCCGAGGACTGTGCATTCATTTGCTCATTTAATCCCCTCAAAAGGCTGGCAAGTTGAGTATTGTTATCCCAGTTGTACAGGTCAGGAAACTGAGGCTCAGAGAGATCAAGCAGCTTGCCCAAAGTCACCCAGCAGGTGGCAGAGCTGGAGATTTCAACCAAGTCTACCTAGCTCTACAGCCATGCTCCTTCAGCATATTCTACTAGCACCACATAACCTTGGACTTCATGTCTCTAGATTTGTTGTTGGTGAAAAAAGATATGGTGTGATTGGTTATACTAATTTGAGTGTGCACTTTGGATATATAGTTTGAGTTATATTTTGATACATATTTTATATATCCTATAAGACTGGCCCTATTCTATTGCACTAAATCTTTTTCTAGTCTAGACTTATGTTTTCAATCCACCTACCCTTTTTGGATAGAAGCCATTGAAGGCACTGCTTCTCAAACCTTATGTCTAAATGAATTCCTTGGGGAATCCTGTTAAATGCAGATCCTGATTCAGTAGGTCTGGGGTGCAGCCTGTGAATCTGCATTTCTAACAAGCTCCAACTGATGCAATAGTCTGAGGACCACCACCTTCAGAGTGGTGAGACATGGGCTTTGGAATCCCACAAGTATGAATTTGCAAACAATCTTTTAAACTACATGATTTGAGTAATGCTTTTGTTCTCTTTCCTCATTTTTCACATGCAAACAGTAAAATAATGGGCTTTGGGGGCTGCTGTTAGGATTAAGTGGGCCAAAGAAGGTGACAGCCTCTAATTCTTTCTCACTTCAGTTTTTAAAACCCTGTTTGGGAGAAGACTGATCCTCTACACCCCCAACTCTTTCTTTTGTGACTGGATTATGCAGTGGGCCCCAGCCAGGGAATATGAGCCCTATGGATGCTTTGTGAGTGATGCTGGCTGTGGGCCTGACCTCCTTGGGCAGTGGTGGAAATTCTGAAGCCACTCAGTGCATTGCCCATCTCAGTTCCTTTGCTTTGAATCATGCGACTCCCAACACAGGTTGAGTTGCCAGGTTTTGATAATTTTGCACTTGGAAGAATCATGTGCTTACTCCCTACAGAGTCAGTGGGGGCTTGGTGAGCTTCTCTTCCCACTTAGGATGGACTTATTTGGGCTTTGGCAAAGGCTTTCTAGATTCTATAGATAGCTTACTAAGAATATGTTCCAGAGAGCAGAATCGCATTGAGCCAACACCCTCAGCTACGGATGAGATTAAGGCCTTGTCAGATCCCATTTAATGGATTGTGTTTTCCATGCAGAATTAAATCGTTGAACTCATCCTCATTTTGGCTTTTGGCAGTCATTTTTCCACTAGGGGCTGCTGCCAAAATGTCAGTTTCTGACTTGATTACTTTCAGGAAATGTGCAGTCTGGCTGATGATATGGCATGGTGTGGGGTAGCGTCCCCTGGAGCTTCGGCCCCGCCCTGGGATGAGTCATGGGTTAAAATTCCCAATTAGCTCATAGGAAGTCTGGTCACACATATTTTTCTATTACTGAGTGTTGCTCACCCATTGGAAACTTCTGGGGACACCTACTCTCCTGACTTAGTGTTGCCTTCCTGGAGTTATTTTTCACCTTTAGTCTTTGCAAATCCAAATCATTTGCCAAGGGGAAAAATGAAAGAATGAATTCTGAGAATTTTTAAAGCCTAGAGAAGTTTTTATTGCAACCTTGGCTTCACATAAAGGCAATATTTAGGTCTCTCTTTGTAAGTTTTTAGAGACAGATCTTCCAGTGTTAAAAAATGACCAAGTATATATGAGGTAGACACCATTCCTCTTGCATTCTTGTTGGTCCTCTCACTGGTAGTTTGGGAAGGGAGGGCTTATCTCTGTGGTGGCCATGAGAATATACCTTTCATATCTCTGATCACAGAAAGTGAACTTGACGCATGGCCTCCTAGCTTGTGTGTGGGGAAATTTATCCCTGTGATGGCCAAAGCTGTGCATCCCAGAGGAACCCATTGGAACCCATTGGCGATGACTGAGCATGGCAGGGACCCTAAGGTCAGCTGTTCCTGGGAGACATGGAACTCCTTTGATGGTGACTTTGGTGTTCAGACTCACTAACGGCCTTGCTGAACTTTTTTTAGAGCTGCAGTACAGTCTCAGACACTGCCACCCAACTTTCTTTTACTGGGAGTCAGACCTGCATCCAGGTCTGATGGCTTTCTCAGCCTCGCTCAGCTTTTTACTCATTTGTTTTTACAGATTTTACTCCAATACATTTCTTGTATGTCTAATCCTGTCTTGACATCTGCTTCTAGGAGGACCACAGTCTCCCATCACACTGCAGTTCTCTGCTGGTGCATCACTTCTAGCTTGGCACGGGGGGCATAGCTCCAATGCTACTGGCCTGGATATTCTGGGCCAGTCTGTCTATATTTAATTTTATATTTGATGCAGTATCTTCCCTATGGGCTCTAGTGGGAGGGAACATGGGGCAAGTCACAATTTTCTTTAGTATCTTGTACTTTTATTGCCTTACAGGGGATTTTGTGGAAGCATTGAGATTAAAGAAACTACAACATAAGGATAAAATTGTAATTATCCTCAAAATATGATTGTTTTCATTGTCCAAGAAAGGTTCACAAATGTTGACCTTCATACAGAAGGTCTGCTGATGGACACACCTGGCTCCTAGCCAGTGGGCTTGTCTCTAGGGCTGACTCCCCCTAGAGAATGCATCCTTTTTCCAACCAGAGCACATTCTTCTTGGGCCGTTGAGAAATCCAGGCTTCCACCCCCAGGAATGTAGCTCATCTGAGGTGTCCTCAACCCCTCAGCATATGCCTCAACCACAATAAATTTTAGCAGCACATTTTACAAAGTGTGAGTTATTCATCCTAGAATAACCCTCAGGAAGCTTTCAGTGCTGTTGGGTTGGGAGGAGGAGCGGGACACTCTTTCTGGAGCTTCCACCTAACTCACCCTGCCAATGTGAAGTGTGGATAAACTTCTCTATGTTTCCTAATTAGCAACAGGAACTGCTGTTCCAGCCCACATAAAGACCCAAAATATGCAGGGAATCCCTGAAGTTCTCTCTAAACTCTAAACAAAGGAAGTTCCTTCCTTTGAAGGAAGTGTGAAGATTTGAGATCAGCTTGGACCAAACTACCCCTGGGGGTCAGTATGGGGTGCGAGGTAAATGCACTTCTCGTCTCCAGTTGCATGAGCAATAACTTCATTGTACACAACCTGTAGACTTACAGGGAAGAGATTTTCAATAGAGTATTTGATGTGTGAAGGTAGCACCAATAAGCTATGAGGGTGGGAGCAGTAGAGTAGAGGAGATTGGCAGTGAGATCACGGGTGTAGCCCAATGTCAAGGATGCTCTGTGCTCTCTTGGATACCTCCACAACTGGGCTGCCCAACCTCCTATCCGTGTGCTGTCTGGACACTACCACTGGCCCATGGTAGCACATCCCACATTATTCTTATTCATATTTTGCATTAGATACAAATTTTTCTGGGTGGCAGGGACCCACTGCCTGGATTGCCTGGTATATCATAGATGCTTCAGGTGTATTTGTTGATTGAATGAATGGGTTGTAGTTTTGCAGCCCAATTCATTTTTTATGGTTTAGCTCACGAACCTCCTATGAAAAGGATGGTGTAATTCTAGGAGCTGAAAGTATAAATTCAGTCCATCTCAGGCATTAGAGAAATTCCTGGTTGGGAGAGACGGCAGCAAGAGTAATGCTGTTGAAAATGCATTGCAGACTTTGGAAGCCTAAAATATAGGCAGTGGTTTGCAGAAGTCAGCTAGCCAGGGGCTTTCTCCCATCATATTCCTTCTTCCCTCCCTCCCTCCCTTTCTCTCTCTTTTCTTTCCTGTTTTTAGTTTCTTTCTTTCAACAGAGTATTGCTCTGTCACCCAGGCTGGAGTGCTGTGGTGTGATCTCAGCTCACCGTAACCTCTGCCTCCTGGGTTCAAGTGATTCTCGTGCCTCAGCCTCACGCCCAGCTAATTTTTGTATTTTTAGTAGAGATGGGGTTTCACCATGTTGGCCAGGCTGGTCTTGAACTTCTGGCCTCAAGTGATCCACCCACCTCGACCTCCCAGAGTGCCAGGATCACAGGCGTGAGCCACCACACCTGGCCCAGATTCCTTTCTTCACTAAAATTTCTTGACTTGGCTTATTGGAGGATAGAGGGTTTATTCTTATGAATTAATAGGGAATTAAGAGTTACTATCCAGAAAATGTACTTTATAGATTGTCAGCCCTAATGTGAGAAATACCCGTGTAACAGGGCTGCAACTTTGTCAATACCCCAAGATGTGTGAGAAAATGTTGCTTCTTAATTTCCTTTTTAGTTGAACTAGTCTTCCTCTGGAGCCCCCACTTTAAGGGGAACTAGGGAGAAACTCTACATTTAAAGTCAAATATGAACTTACCATTTGGATGATACTTTTTTTTTCTGATGATTTAGTTTCTTTTGGTAAAATGCTCATTGGTTCAGAAGTCCCCTCTGGCACCCTGCAGCTCACCAAGATGGTGTCTGGTTTGTGTGGCTCTGCTGGCAGGTGTGATCTGACTCCCCTTCCCGCCTTTATTTCCCTCCCAGCCCCTTTCCACTCCTCCTGTGGCTGTGCTTTAGGCCCTGAGGATGGTCTGGTTTTGATTCTTATGTGGTTCAGCATCAGATGGTCCAGCCTTTAGCCCGTGGCCACTTTGTCCCCATGGCAACCTCCAGGACTATCTCTCAGTCACAATCCCAGGTAACTTCTGAGATTTGGCTTCAGGAGCTTGTGGGAGCCTCTGGGGCCTGTCCAAACCACAAAGAGCCTACAGACAACCTGGCAAAGCTAAAACTCAGCCTCCCTTTACCTAACTCTACTGGCCACTGAGTTCACTTTGGTGTAGAGCTTCCGGTTTTTGGGCGGATATCCCTCCAGAGAGAGAAGAGGACACTCAGGTCTCACCCTTGCCTCTTCTGCTCTGGTTTCTCTTCTCCCTGTCATCTCCCCTGCCAGAAAAGCTGCACCTCTGCCTTTCTACTTCTCCTCCCTTATAGCCCCCTCCTCCCCAGTACCAGGCTTGGGGCTAAGTCTTAATGGTGGATGAAGTAAAGAGACAGATTGGCCTACTGATATGGGACTCTACACTGGGAAATATCTCAAAAACACCATATGTCACCCCTTACAACTTTCCATGATGAATGACTTTAACTGCATTTGTTTGTTGCAGTGAAATTAAGGTACCCTAAATAAAAATAAAGCAGACCCCTTTAAAACTGTGCCCTGTAATAAGGCAAATCTGTATATCCCTTGATTGGTGTGATTGATTCATTACCTTATGATAATTTAACCCTGTGTTTTACTCTGTAGAAATATTTGTTCCTATTTACAGCATTAGGGCAGGGATTTTGACCTTGCTAGAGGAAAATGATCCTTTTCCTTCTTATTAAAATTTCTCTGATAACAAATGCTCTCTTCCCATTCATGTGCTCAGTGCATACTCTACAATTACATCCTGTGTTGGGCACTGAAGCTGCATGAGGTGAGTCAGACCACTGCAGGCCCCATTTGTCCTCCCCCACCCTCTCCCCGTCTCCCAGACCTCACAGAGATCGATGCATATATTGAATGGCACTATGGTATAACCATAAAACAGATCACCCTGGATTATGGTGGACATAAAAGGGAAGCAAAAGGAACAGTTTGAACCAGGGCCAGGAGAGAGGAACACATGCCTTATGTTGAAGGAACTGTTTGATTTGTGACTGAGGTGTGTGAACAAGAGGCAGGTAAAGTTTGGAACCAGGTAAAGCAAAGGTAAGCCTGGGACTATGTAATGTAGGGCCTTGTTTGCCATGAGAAAGAGTTTCAGTTTTATTCCGCAGGCAGAAATCTTCGGAGCTCTCCATCTTTGAGTAAGCAGAAAGGAGACTGTATATATTTTTAAATTAAGTTACAGAATTAGGAATTATATTTCCATGCCTTGGTCTCCTGCACACGTAGCATCGAAATGAAGGTTTCCTGGCCTGTGACAGAGATGAAATAATGGAGCTGGAGAACAGTGCAGTGATTAAACACTGGGTGTTCTGCGGTGCCTGGAGGAAGTACGTGGACAATTTTGGGAAGAAACTTGTGAAAATATGCTTTCCCACATGGTTGGAACAAAGACCATTTTTTAAATTACATCCTTCTAAATGCTGTAGTAGCTAATGGTCATTGACTAAACAGCCCTACAACTGTATCCTAGCTGCAGATCCCCATTTATTGATTACTGTTAAGTGCAGCCAGAAGTGAATTTGCTAGGTCCAATTTCCTCCTAACCCTGGAAGTCAGCTCAGTTATGGGAGCATTGTTATTTGTACAGGAGCTACAGACATGCTTGTCCTCATTTAGAAGGGGAAATAACTCTGGCTCGGGCAACGAGGCTCAAGTACTTGAGGCGGGCATATCATAAACTGCCTGAGAGCGTGACTCATGAACTCTGCAAAGTCAGAAATAGGAATATGTCAAAGAGTAAACATGGTCTAGGGATCCAAAATTTTAAACTTTCATTGGTTTAACATTCTCATTCTTTGAAAATGGCCCCGGTTTTGAATAAGAAAACTGTGTGTGAAGGGGACCTGTGTTATAATTGTATAATTACATGTTTGTGCAACGTTCTGCTAATTATTTTAAGTTCATCTACTCAAATCAGGGTTGAGTTTCCTTAGTTGTTAAATTTCCCCGGATAGCACTCAATCTGGCTGTAGTGTATAACTCTAAGCCAACTTACAGGTACTTGTATTTAAGAAATGCTTTTGCATTTGTTTTTTAAAATAATATTTTGACAATATTTAAACTTATAGAACAATTGCAAGACTAATAAAATGAGCTACATTATCTTCCATGTAAGTCACCTTTTAGCCTTTTGCTACATTCGCTTTAGGTTTATCATCTATCTATCCATTTTTCCCCCCAAATCTTTTAATCCTAAATTGTAGACATCATGACCTTTCAGCTTTAGCTTGTATCTCTTAAGAATAAGGTCATTTCCTTACAGTAAAGTTGCCATAGTCAGGAAACTTAATCTTGATATTACACTATTATCTAATATACAGTCTGTGTTCAAATTTCACCAAATGTCCCAATAATGTCTTTAACAGCCATATTTTTTGGCTGGCTCCACTCTGGAAGCACACATCACCTTTAGTTGTCATGGTTCTTTAGGTTCCCGTATTTTATTTTTTTTGTATTTTATTGACATAGTTGTACATATTTTTGGGGTACATGTGATATTTTGATACAGGTATACAATGTACAATGATCAAATCAGGGTAACGGGGATGTCCATCACCTCAAACAATTATCTTTGTTTTGGGAACTCTATGGTTCTCCTCTAGTTATTTTGAAATATACAATATGTTATTGTTAATTATAATTTCCCTATTGTACTATCGAATACTAGAACTTATTCCTTCTAACTGTATTTGAAATAGGGAGGGGGGTTGAAGAGAAGTTGGTTAATGAGTACAAAAAGATAGTCTCTTTTAACTGAAACAGTTTTTCAGCCTTTCTTGCCTTTCATGACACTGACATTTTGAAGCAAACAGGCCATGTGTTTTGTTGTGCAGAATGTTCCTCAATTTGGTTTTTCTGATCGTTGCCTCTAGAGTCCTCAGGTCATCCATTTGACAGGGATACTACATAAGTGACACTGAGTCCTTCTCGGCACAGCAATGAGGAAGGAGATTTATCCTATTATGGGTGACGTTGACTTTGATCACTGGTTAAAGTTGTTTCTCACAATTTGTCCACTGTCAGGGTACCTTTGTCACAATCAATGGGTACCTTAACTGTGATTAAATCACCTTTGGGGAGACACTTTGAGACTCTGTAAATAACCTTTTTCCCAACAAACTTGCAGTGGTTCTAGCATCACTTAATGGCACTTGGCTGAATCAATGGTATTTTCTAACCCTATCACTTCTTTTCTATGTATTGGATGATATTTGACTGTAAATAAGAGCTTTCCCTTTCTCTCCCTTTCTACATTTTAGTATCAGTGTAGACTCTGGACTCTTCTTTCATCCAGTGTTTTATAAGCCATTGTATTTTCACCCTACCTGGAGTCCAGGCAGTTGCTTGTGAGAGAAAGGTCACAAAGGCCCAGCAGAGGCGAGGTGGGGTGGTCCATCAACCCTAGAGGGAGAGACATCAACCCTAAAGGGTAGAAATGAACTTCGACTTAGAATATGAAGATGTGTGTCAGCAGATCCAGGTCTAATTCCCTGTCCTGCTGGTGATGTGAATGGCCAACGGGGGCTCTTGTGGAGTCCCCTAATCTGATAGAAAACACTCATAAGTGGGAGCTGAACAATGAGAACACATGAACACAGGGAGGGGAGCAACACACATTGGGGCCTGTTGTGGGGGTAGAGAGAGGGAGAGCATGAGGATAAATAGTTAATGCATGTGAGGCTTAATACCTAGGTGATGGGTTGATAGGTGCAGCAAACCACCATGGCACACATTTACCTATGTAACAAATATTCATGTCCTGCACATGAATCCCAGAACTTAAAATAAGTAAAAATAAAATAAAATGAAAAGAAAACAATGTCTTTTATCTGGCCTTACTGATGCCATTGGAAGTATAGGAAATTGCAGAGTAGAGAGAAACTCATGGAATGGGTTGGGGGAGGCAGTTACTTAGCCAGAGAAAGGAGTTTGGGTGAATCATCCCAGTCTTCTCACATGGCCGTTTCTGCCCAGTTGTGCTGCTCCCTGCTCCTGCTGACCCATGACCCATGGCTGTGCCAGACACCATTGTTACAGAGCGTTCTGTTTGTCTTAATGATGGGTGTAGTGGGAACACTGAGCTCTGGTTTAATCCCAGTTACACCCCTTGCCTGCTGTCTGACCTTGAGCACACCATTTAAGCTGAGCCTCAGTTTCTTCATCTGTTTAACAGGATTAGATGTTCTTTCCCTCAGGGGCTACCTGTGAGGAGTCCAGGAGGCATGCATGCGGTGAGCATGGTGTCTGGAAGCAGCTGATGCTTTATAATTTGCAAGTGATATGATTCAGTGTCAGCATCCTGCTCAATGCTTGGAAGGTGCACTGTGAGCTCTGGGCTGTGTTGTGTGGAGGAATTAACCTTTTCTGGGTTAATCAGCCACGTTCACTGGGCCATCAGCACTGAGCAACCACTCTGCCACCTGGGACCTTTGAGGTGGTTTCTCTCTTTCCTTTCTAGAGTTTTCCTCTTATCCCTAATCCAGTCACATTTTGTATGATGACAATAATAGCTAACCTGACTAGAGATTGTGTGTTAAGCATTTTTCTACAAGCTCTATGTGTTAAGCCGTTGAATCCTTATAACAACCCTGTGAGACAGGTGTTTTTATTACTTTCATTTCACAGATGGAGAAACTGAGGTAAAAAGACATGAACATATTCAAGATCCTACTATCAGTTGGTAGATCTGGGATTCAAAGCCAGACAGTTTGGCTCCAGAACCCACAGTTAACCACTGGGCCACACGGCCTCCCTGGTCCAGCAATGAGGCAGAAGGTCTGTGTTCTCTGGTTTTGATGCTGCTGTGGATTTGCCTTTCAGTGAGGTCTCTGCTTCCTGCCTGCCTCTGCACCCTGATCCAATGCCGGTGCCACACCAGCCTGCTCATTTCCTGCCATTTCCTCATGCCTGGTGTGGACTCTCACTGCAGCACTGGCTGGCCAGCCACCTTGGCCTTACTCCCTGCCTGCCTGGGCCTCCTGCCATAGATTGCTCAGTCTAAGAATACAACTTTAGCTGCTGGGCTGGAGAACTAGGAAGCCCTTCTTCAGACTTACTGCCCACCTGGCTGTGGGCTCATGTCTGCCACACATTTGCCTCCGAAGACCTCTCCTGTGAGCAAGTCACCAGCAACACCTGTGGTCTCACCAGAGCCCTTTCTCTGCTGTGACCACAGTGGTGCCCACTGTATGGTATGGGGTGGTAGGGAAGGTAGGTTAGCACTAGAGCTTGGAGTCAGACAAAGCTGAGATTCCATCGTGACTCTGTAACTTACCACCTTGGGGAAGTTACTCAGCTTTTCTTGGACTCAGTTTTCTTTTCTGCAAAATGGAAACAATAATGATGGGAGGATGGAATGAGAAAATGTATGTAAAAATACTAGGCATAAAAACTCCTGAAACCTGAGTGAGGTTGTAGTTTAGGTAATTCTGTTATGTCCACATCAATTTCCTGGTTTGGATAATGTACTAGAGTCTTGTAAAATATTATCACTGGGTGAGCTGGATAATGCGTACCTGGGACCTCTCTGTACCATTTTTGCAGCTTCTTGTGTGTCTATAATCATTTAAATAAAAGGTTAAAAAAGGCATTTAGTGTAGTGCCTAATCTCCATTAATTATACTTATTTATTTATTTAACTTTAAATTTTTAAATTTTTAAACTTTTGAGGCATAGTCTCGCTCTGTCACCCAGGGTGGAGTGCAGTGGTGCAATCACAGCTCACTGCAGCCTCAACCTCCCAGGCTCAGGTGATCCTCCTACCTCAGCCTCCCAGTTAGCTGGGACCACAGGTGCAAGTGACTACACCTGGCTAATTTTTAAAAAATATTTTTTGTACAGGCAGGGTTTCATCATGTTGCCCAGGCTGGCGTCAAACTCCTGGGCTCAAGCAATCCACCTGCACTGGACTCCCAAAATACTGGAATGAAGGGCATAAGCCATTGCGCCTGGCCGTACTTTTTTAAAAATTATAAAATATCACTAGGAATTCTGTTATTTGGCTCAAGCTCAACCTTTTGATGTGTGTGTTGTGGGGGGAAAGAGAGAGAAAAAGGCAGAGAGAGAGGAATCCACCTAAAATAAGGCGACCAAACAAATTCTAAAATCATTTCCCTATTCTAACACATTGAACAACATCAATGGCAACACCAGCAGCCACCAGTCACTTTTTTTCTTGCTGAAATAATTTTATCTTCTCCCACTTGAAAATCTTGCCTTTGACTACACTACGTGGGCTCTATCCTGTTCAGATTTCTGATTGACATTCTATTTCACTGATTCTTAACTCAGGCTGCATAGTAGACTTATGAGCTATCAAACCAGCCTCGCTGGGTGGGACCAGGAAGTGCATGTTTAAAACTTCTTTGGGTCCCATTCTGCTGCCATGCAGCAGGGCTGAGAACCCCCACTCTGCTTGTTCCAGGCTCCCCCTTGACCTTCTCTTGTTTTCCTTCATTCTTCTCCATCCACACTGCCTTGACGGGTGCTGCCTCTGTAGGTCACCGTTTCTTTCATGACCATTAAGGCCCATCTTAGCTGTAGTCACCAGATAAAGATTTTGCTCCCTTCTCTTCACAGGTTTATAGCATTTATCTGGAATGGGCATCTAAAGATTTGGAATGATCACAGAATGAGCTTTCCCACCCCACGAGATGCCATATGTCCATGCCATTTTAGATAACTGAAGTGTCACCAAATGTCCCTTATGTTGTCTTTTTCCAAAAGCCAATTCAACAGAATGCAGGCAAATTGCATGTATTCTTTTGGGAACGTGATCTGTAGAAGCTTTCAAAAGCCTGCTGGGCACTGGCTATTTTTACTACTATTTCAGTGGCTGCCGCGTTTCCCTCTGGATAGGCTGACTTTGAGACATTGCCTCAGTTTCTTAGTCCCTCCTTTCTTAATATTTTCCAAAGTGAAATTTTGCCATAAAAATAATATGCATGCCCTGTAGACTGCTGATAAATGATGAGAGATAAAATGTCCTGAATATGATCCTCATGATCATTTTGGCTTTCTGAAGTCTTAATATCTATGCCTTATTCTCATAGTTATAATTATAGTGTGGCTACAGTTTTTTTGTCCTAATTTTTTCATGGATCATTTTACCTTAGTCATTTTGCCATGTTGCCACGTAGCATGTATGTGCCTGAATGTGATGAGTGAGCATTTATTTACCCACATCACTATTGCTGGACATTTAGATTCTTCTCAGATTTTCACTCTTTAAAGGAATGCTATGATATAAGTCCATATCCATCTAGGTAATTTAAACTGCATCGTAGGGGCAGATAACTAGAATAGAAACACTGGGTCGAAGGGCATCTCCACTTGATAATCCTCATTAAAAGAGGGGCCCTGAGTAGCCCTTTTCATGGGGCTTCTTCCAGCAATTCCCATCAGCCTGGAACCCTTAGGTTTCATGCAACTGGGATCATTTGTCACAGCTTTGAAGTGACTACTTAAAATTATTACTTCCAAGGTAGCCTGCCCTTTTGTTAAAGCCAGAGGATGCCTATGCTGTTTTGGTGCCTTTCGCTGACACACTGCTCATGTGAGGACTGTAGTCACTGTCTTTTCTGCTCCTGGCAGGGATCCATAGCTTCCCTCTTTTATGCCCTAGCAAAGTGGGTTCAGAAAAATTATATGCCACGCCCAAGGACACACAACTGAACAGCAGCAGAGCGGAGGGTGAAACCTGCATCATTTTGACCTCCAAGCCTTTGTGCTTTCCACTCCACTCCATGACCTACCTGGAAACAGGAGCACAGAGAATGGAGTCATGCCCTACTCCAGAGCAAGGAGATGGGGTACAAGAGTGGAGAAAGCATGTGCCCAGGAAAGACTTCATGGAGGTTGTTGCCCTCAAGGAACCTAGAATATGGTGAGAGAAATAGAGAAGTAAATCAATGATTCTGCATAGTGAAGTAGCATTTGTTTACACTTATTAAAATAAAAATGTCATCATAGGAATAAACAGAAGAACATTTAAAAACAGCTTTATTAAGATATAAATGACGTAGAAAAAACTGTACATGTTCAAATATTCAACTGGCTAAGTGTGACATTTGAGCCTGTGAACCCATCACCATAATCAACATAATGAACCATTACCCTCAAAAATTTCTTCGTTCTCTGTTGTAACTCCTTCTTCCTGCCTCTTCATGCTATCCCCAGTCTGTCCCAGGCAGCCATTGATTTGCTTTCTGTTGCTATTGATTATATAGATTAGTTTGCATTTTCTAGATTTGTATATAAATGGAATTATGCAGTATGTATTCTGTTTTCAAATCTGGTGTCTTTTACTTAGTATAACTACTTAAAAAGCCATCTATGTTGTTGCATGTATGATCATTTCTTTTTGTTGCTGAGTAGTATTCTGTTGTATGGATATACCATGATTTATTTATCCATTCAGCTGTTGGTGGACATTAGCATTTGCCAGTTTCTGTAATATAAATATTCCCACCATTTCGAATTTCAAATTTCCAAAATAGATTCACAGAATGGAGTTGGGAAGAGATGCACACAATTAACTCTCAGGAACTGTAAGAGACAATCTGCTTCATAAAGGCTAGGAAATTAGTTCTGGGCAATAAATAACTATGGAGTGAAGGGAATTGAAGTATTTCATGGGAACAGTTGGTAAGTGGAATATCTTTGTCTTGGGGAGTCCTTTATCATTCTGTTTGTGGGGGTGGGGCTGGTTCTAACTTAAAAATAGCTGGTTTGGGGACTTTGCACATGTGATTGCTAAGAAACACTATTGTGTTTACAGAGACCGTTTGGTTTGAAAGAAGGTTTATTGCTTAGGAAATAAATACTGATTATTGGCCAGAGTAAGTAATGTTTTTAGGATTTCTTACAGATACGATTCTTTGAAGAATAGGGACCTCATCTGGGAAAACATTTTGTTTTTGAGTCCCCAGAGACCTAGGTTTGAATGGGGACTTTGTCATATAGAACTCATGCAAGCTGCTTCCTCCTCTCAGCATTAGTTCTCAGGTATAGAACAGAAATACTCAGAGTTACATTGCATGGTTTTTGTAAGCATTAAAAAAAGATACTGTACTTAAAGCTCAGCATGGAGCTAGGCCCCTGCTGGTGGACTACAATGGTTGCCCCTAGTACTAGGAAGCATTCAACCAATATTTGCAAATGAACGAAGACCTAACCCTTATGTGGTTCTTAGTATGGGTCTGGTCCTATTCGAAGTGCTTTGCATACATTAACTCATTGGGAGTACTGAAACATAGTTAAGTAACTTGTCATGTTTACTTAGCTCTCAAGTGGTGGAGCTGGATTTTGAACCCCTGTAGTCTGGCCTCAGAATCCAAGGGATTAATCCCTGAGCTGTGCTTAATCTCTCAGGTGAGTTTTAATGGTTCCACCTGTTTCTCTGGATGCCCATCAGGAAGGTGTGAGATTCTGTCATCTTGGAAGATCATCTTTAACCCCAATGCACCCTAGGGAAACCCTACTGACCTTTGAAGAAAGGGAGGCTGGGATGCTCCTTCATAGGCCAGAGGGGAGCCCAGGAGGGTTTGGAAATTCTGCCAGCCTTTGGGCTGGCAAATGCAAGGGCATTTGACATTCTAGGCTCTTTATCACTGAGGACTTAATGTGGCTGACTCTCTTACACAGTGTGAGTAACATCTCCCAGAGCTGGGCTGCGATTATCCAAACATGTAAGGCCACCCAACAATGATGTGACCCGGAGCAAAGTGGCTCTGCCAGAAGCCAGCCAGGGCACTTTGGGAATATGAGCAGCTCTGCTCTGATAGTTGAGTTGAATCCGGTGCTGGGAGTCAGTTCTGCAGAGCTGTGTGACCTTGGGCATCAGGTTAGACTGTTGATTGAATATTTGCCACATCCTTCCAAAGAGGGATGATCTTTCTTGACCCACCCAGGAACTTAGATCAACAACTTAGAGATAGAGATTATCTCCTTGATTAGAGTAGAAGCCCGTTTTCCAGACAGAATGTGGGATCATTACTTTCTCTTATTTATGCTTCATTACCCACAATGGGGGTGGAGTGGGGGTGGGCAGGAAGGCTAAGCCCTGTTTGCCTGTTTGTTTAAAGACAGTTTTCTTAAAAGAAGTTTTTTGTTATAAAAGTGATACATGCACATGGAAAAGGGAAAAGGAGAAAATGCCACTCATTGTTCCTTCTTTCCAAATGTTAAAATTTGATGGACTTTCTTTATGAACGTTTAACTCCTTTGATCACATAGTATCACGTTCTAAAATTTACCATTATAACCCGCCCAACATTTCTCCCATGTTTAAACATCCACAAATATAAAAAAATTATAAATGTTCCTTAGTGGATGTACTGTAATTTAGTCAACTGTCTCTCCATATCTGGACACTGAAGTTATTTAAGTGTTTTTGCAATGTAATATAAGCAATGCCGTGATGGACATCTTTGTTCAAATAGATTTTTGTAGATTTAGAATAATTTTCTTGGGATAGAGTCTCATACTTCAGGCAGAATTTGTGGAATTGCCCAGATGAGCAGTGTGGTCTGAGATCAGAGGTGTTCTGGCTAATAATTTCTCTGTTGTCCTTCTTCAGACACTGTTCCAACCCTCCTTCACTTGACATTTTCTTAACAAACAGGTGTTAACTGTAATCGTTTTGGTTTTAGAATGTTTTGCTTTGACCCTTCCCCTAATAGAAGCATAATATCTAACTAACTTCGATGTTCATGTTATCTATTGACATAGGACGTTGGGGAGGATCCTTTCTCAGCTTTTCCTTTCTCAGCTTTACTCAGCATTCTTTGGGTACTCTGCAGTGTTTAATTTAATCTCCATACATTTGTTGATTAACTGAAGAGCAGGTGTGGTCAATTGAAGGTACTTTAATTGGGAGTCAGAAAATCTAGGTTCAACATCTGGTTTTGCCATTTTACCAATGTCTTTACACATAGCGATGAACTTTTCTGAATCTTGTTTTCCACCTGAAAAGTGAAAATATCTTTCTCAGTGAGTGCTTGTGAGATGATTAGATAATAAGCTTGGTAAACTGTACAGTGTTATGTAACTGAAATCCACAATTATTGTCATATATGCAAAGTGGCCTCCTGGATGCTGTGGGTAACACTAAGATGAACAATTCATTGATTTATTTATTCAACCCACATTTATAGAGTAATAACTATGTGCAAAGCAATGACCTGGGAGCTGGGGATACGGCAGTGAGTAAGGCTCTGTAAATCCTTGAGGAGTTTACAGTCTATTAGTATATATAGTGGCGTTGTCCAGAATGGTAGCCATTAGTTACATGTGGACAGTGTCACAAAGGGACTGAATTTTTAATTTTATTTAATTTTAGGAAACTTAAATATATAAGTTTAGAAGCTAAGATCAATTTAGTTATTGAAAAACACCTACTATTGGAACAACTTGAGTATGTGAATCTACTTTTCTCAAATTTCCATTTTATGAAATAGAAACATAGATCAAGTCTTTCTGATGAAAACTTATCTGCCAAATTGAGATACACTGTAAGTGTAAATTACACACTGATTTCTAAGGCTTAATATATACAAATAAAATATCTCAATAATTTTAATATTAATTACATACTGAAATATTTTAGATATATTGGTTAAATACAATATGTTAAATGAATTCACTGATTTATTTTTGCTTTTTAAAATGTGGCCACTAGAAAATTAGATATGTGGTTTGCATTATATTTCTAATGGGCAATGGTAATAAAAATAAAAAGATGTGTGATTCATAGTAGTGAGATTAGCACAGATTGCCTGTGATACAGAATGCTCTGGGAATTTTAGGGTTGTGGGGAGAACAGAATCATTCCACCAGCAGGGAGTTCAGCAAGGCTTCTTGGAATGATGTCATTTAACTGAGTTTTGAAAGCAAGATATAGTTATTTTAAAGGTTAGGCTTTTTTTTTTTTTTTTTTTTTAGCATAAATGGGTTGAGAGGCAAGTTCCAGGGAGAGGAAGTAGTTTTTGCAAAGGCATAGTGGTCAGAAAGTTTGGGGCCTGTTATTAGGGAGTATAATGGCTTCCCCCAACTCCCAATGGCATCAGCTTTAGCTCTCTGCCTTGTCTGGAAGTCTCAGCCAGTTAAGGCCCTTTCAAACCCAGATCCTGCCCAGGTATCCTGCAGGACTATCTCAACCCCTCAGGGGGCGATGGAGAAAATACATATGGGAATTGTGGTTGTCTCAATGCTTGGAGGGGGGGTGGGAGGAAGATTCCAAGTTCCTAAAATGGAAGGAGAGTCCAGCACAAGGAGGGATTGTTTTGGCTAAAATGCCAATAGTGACCCAACTGAGAACCTCCTGGGATGCCCAACAGAATGGCTTTGGGAGCTTTTTCAAAATATCCATGTGTGGGTTCTACACTAGACCTCCTGGACCAGACTCTCCAGAAAAAAGGCCTGGGCATGCATATTTAAATAGTTCAAAAAAGGCATAATTAATGTGTGTATGTGATTAAAAATTCAAATAGTACAGAAAAATTTAAGAAGTCTTCCTTTTGGCTAATGGCCACTGATATTTTTCCCAAAGACAAACATTTTATGCAAACACAAAGCATACCTACAAACAGCGTCTTTCTTTCTTTCTTTCTTTCTTTCTTTCTTTCTTTCTTTCTTTCTTTCTTTCTTTCTTTTTTTCTTTCTTTCTTTCTTTTCTTTCTTTCTTTTTTATTTACCAAATGAGCTCACACTAAATGGGCTCTTCAACATCTTTTTTTTTCTGAAAACAATTTTTTAAATTTCTGGGGGCGATTTTCCATGTCAGCGTATGCTGATTGATTTACTTCATCCTTTTAAAAGACACCAGAGTATTCCATTATGTGAATATTTTCTAATTTACTTAGCGATGACTTCTTGGTGGGGATTTAGTATATATCTTTGTACTTGCATCTTGAAGTATTTTTGTTCATTTTTAGCAGTTGAATTGCCAGATCAATTAAAATGGAAATTTATATTGCCAAATTATTTTTTGACATTTTTATCATAGTTTATACTCTTATAAACAATATATGAGAACAACAATGGAAAAATACCTCCAACTTATCCCTTGGTTATGAATCCCTGTTTTAGTAAACTTTCCTGACTTTCTTAATTTCTATAAAAACTCATTTTTTCTATGCCTTATTCGCTTCATATTTTGCTTTCAGAAAGATGACAGCTACCTAATCTGATCAGTATCTGTTAATATATTACTCCTTGTGGTTGGCACAATAATTCCTCCCTAAGATGTCCACATGCAAATCCCTGGAACTTGTGAGTGTGTTCCCTCACATGGCAAAAAGGGTCTTTGCAGATGTATTTAGGTTAAGAATCTTGAGATGGAGAGATTATCCAGGATTATCTCAGAGAACCTAATACAATCAAAGGTATCCTGATGAGTGAAAGAGGGAGGCAGGAGGATCATAGCCAGATAGAGATCTGAAGATGGCACACTGCTAACTAGGAAAATGGAGGAAGGGGCCATGAGCCAAGGAATGTAGGCAGCTTCTAGAAGCTGGAAAAGGAAAGGAATGGGTCCTCCTCTGCGAGGCACTGCCAACACTGTGATTTTACCCCAGTGAAATCCATTTTGGACCTCTAACCTCAAGAACTGTAAAATAATGCATTTGTGTTGACTTGAAGCTACTAAGGTTGTGGTCATTTGCTCCAGTGGCAATGGGAAATGGATACACTCCTCCCAAATAGCACATTAGGTGGGGTGTTCTGGAGAGAGTGCTGTTAACAGAAATGCAGAGTTTCAGGCACCATGACAGGGCACTGGTGTCAGAATAACCTTAGAGTCCTGGGAAGTCCTTGAAACTGAGCCACACGGCAGCCATCTGTCCATCCATCTGTTATTATTAGCTTCCAGTTCCCCCATGCTAACTACCCCTTCTTATTCCTCCTTACTTAAATTTTCTCCTTGGAAAAAAATGTAGCTAGCTAAAAATCTAAAGGCCCGCAGATAATCCAGTTCTCAGATTGAGGGTACAGTTTTCACTGATTTATTTTTACTGCAGATAATGAGCACAAAAACAAAGTGGAAAAATCACTGTTCTCGGAGTCAGAAGTCTGGACGTTCAACCCTGCCTCTGCCACTTTGTGTGCTTTATGAATTGGGGCAATTCATTCAGTCTGATATGGTTTGTAAAATGGGATTGGTAATACTTGCATCAGAATTATGGTGAAAATAAAATAAATAGAGGTAGATGAAAGTGCTTTGTAAAGGGCTATAAAATTCAAGGCACTATTTTGAATAGTTATTAGTAATAATAATAATTTTGTAATAATTATAATTATAGGCATCATTAGTGATGCCCACAGAATCATGAATAATCACATCAAAATAGTCAATTATCACTATAAATTACTGTATTGTATTTTAAAGTACAATTAATAAGTAGATGTGAAAAAACACTCATTTGAACCTGAGAGTGGGAGCTTTGCTCAGACGGGAATCCTCATCTCTGTCCATCTCATTTACTGTTTTTCAGTGTGTGTGTGCTAGCTGGCAAGTGACACAGCTAATGGGAAAAAGGGTGTGAGAATGGATGGTCTGGAACGTGTCAGCTAAACCTGAAGCATCATTACTCTGTTGTTGTCCTTTATTTAATAAGTAGCTATGTCCTGCGCAATACCTCTGTGAGCAGTTGCTCCATCTCCATTGTCTTTATTGGTTTGGCTCAGGTCCCTCGTTCCTCTCCCTTCCTACCATGATAGCCTCCCAAATGACCTTTCTGCCTTTAGAATCTTTTCATCCAATCCAGCCTACATTTTGCCATCACAGTTATCTTCTTATAACAGATTCTACCATTTAAAAACCTTTAGTGGCTTCCCATTGCCGACAACATCTGTGCTTGACAGAGGCACTGGGAGACATTGTTGAATCAAAGTAATTTGCTATTGCTAATAATTAGGGAGCAGAAGTCTGTGAATAATTTATACTTTTTGTTTTACTCTTTAAAAACCAATTACAGCAAGGTTCACTGTATCATTGCTGTCTATCCAGGGAGAGTAAGGGTGGAGTAAGGGTGGAATTAGAGCTAACGCATGGAAAATTCACAAACAACACCCAGCCATGACTGCAGATGGTGGTGTTCATCATTTACATTAAGGGGGAAATAGTTGAGACCCAGCAGCTCGAAGAATAAAATCCACTACCTCTTGCATGTCAGCAAAGGGATTCATTATCTGGTGCCAGTTTGGTTTTGCTCCCGCCCTCTCACCCCTAACCATACCTGCCTTCCGTACTTCTATGCTGCTCCCTAGCCACAGCAGGTATAGGGACATTTGTTTCCTACTCAGCATGCATCTTTCCTTTCCATGGTGACAGCAGCCTGGTTTCCCTTTGGGGAAGTTTGGCTCCCCTACTTCCAGCTCATAGGTTGATCCCACCTCTTAGCCCCTCAGGATGGGTCCTGAATCCCGTGACTGGCCAGAAGAAATACAGGATTCCTCCAGCCATGATGATTGCCTGGAGATGGGCAGGTGTTTCTGGCTGGGTCAATCAAAACCTATCTGTGGTTTTTCAGGAATTACTGGGAAAGTGGTGCTGCCTTTCCACAAAGGCTGCCAAGCTGGTAGTATTCATGTCTGGAGCTGCCAGGGGTCCTGTTGCACCCTGGGGAAAATGCCTACCTGTATACAAAGCTGGCACAGAAGAGAGACAGAGAGACACAAAGTCTTGGTGGCTTCATTTGAGCCCCTGGATCCATTTGAAGGTAGATAAAGCTTGGTTTTGTGAGCTGATATAGTGTCTCTCTGTCTCTCTGTTGCTTAAGTCACCATGAGTTCCTTTTCTGTCACCTCAAATCAAGAGTCTGAAACACTAGACTCTTTATCACTGCCCACCATGGCAAGCCCTTTATGCTTGTGTGTTTCTGCTCATTGCCTGGGATGCCCATCTCCATCTCTCAATTCAGCAGCATTCTATTTATCTGTCCAGGTCTGGGTCAGATATCCCCAGTGCCTTCCCACCCTACCTGGGCAGAATGCGTGCTCTTGTAGCGTGGGGTCACACACATCATTGCACTTTGTCTTACAGTTAGCTACATGTGCGTTAGAATTTCTGGCTCTTTACGTAAGGGACACCAAATTTCAGACACTTTAATTTATGTCTGTAATACTTCGCACAACTTCTGTGAATAGACATGTAATATTTGTTGAACTAAATTTGGCAGAAAAAGAGGACAAATAAAAGGAGGAAAGATAGAAAATAAAAGAGAAAAAGTACATTTTGCCCTTTAAAATGTGAGTCTTGAGCTTTGGCTGTGGGCAGAGGAAGATGGGAACAACTTGTTGAATAACAAGTTAAACCTATTTAATCTCTTTTTCTGGGAACTGTTTGCACTTGACAGCTGCAGAATATATGGTAGCCCCCCAGACAGGAGGAATTTATCACAGCACATGGGAATGGCAAGAAGAGAAGCTCAAGCCTGATTCCATCTGAGTCACGTAAAGTCACGGTCAGTGACACTGCGTCCTGCATAGCTGATGGGATGTCTGCTCTTGGAATGTCTCTCAGGATTCTACCCTTCTCGCTGTTCCCTAGGTCAGGCCGTTCCCACTAGAATACTGCAGAAGTCTTTTCATGGGGCTCCCCAGTCATCTCGTATGTGGGATCAGAATGATCTTATAGTTCAGCTCTGTTCCTTTTACTGCCTTGCTTACAAAACTTAAGTACCTAAGGGATCTCTTTAAAGCATCACTTAAGACTCACTATGGTATGACCTGAACTTTCTTTCACAGACTCATTTTTCTAAATCTTTCCATTCCTTCCCATAGTGTCCCAGCTAAAGCAAATCAGGTGCCAATCCCTGCTGTTGACCATGCCCTGCTGTGGTTGTCTTTGTAGTTCTCTTACGGCAATCTCTCCACCTACAATATTCAGTTCCCGACTCTGCAAGACCAAAAGCTGTCATTTTTTGAGGGTACAGACAAATGCTGCCTCCTCTCTGAAGCTATTTGCCAGTTGAACTGGTCTCTCCACACTTTGAACTACCCTAAAATGTTTTGGTCATGAGAGTTATTTGTATATATATATATTTTGTGTTGGGTTAGGCTAGCTGCCAGATAGCCCTCAAGTCTCAGTGGCTTAACACACAAATACTTTATTTCTTACTCATCCACCATCTTATGCAGCTCGAGCATCTCTTCTTTGGGGCTACCTCCAACCGGGGACTCAGGAATCTGGGCAGCTTCCATAGTGGGGCTTTGCCATCTCAGAGGCCTTAGCTTCCAGCTGTACATCCAGAGAACAGGAGAGAAAAAGAGAAGATGGTGGATGGTGTGGGATGTCTTAGAGGCTAGCCTGGGAAGTGGTGCATGTTATCTCCACCTGCACACCACTGGCCAGAACTGAGTGATAGTGTCCCTGTCTAAAAGCAAAATGGCTGGGAAGTGCAGTTTTTCTGTGGGCCCTGGACAAGAAAGTGGGATTGGTGAGTGTCTGGCCAGTCACTTTCACGTCCCTTCTGGAGAAGTTTGTCCCATTTCTACACCCTCTGGCCATTCTGAGCAAAGTACCCCAAACATATCAGGCTGCAGGGAAATTGACACCCTTGAGGGCCTGTGCACAGGCCGCACTGCACTCACTATGTTCTGCTATTGCGATGTTATTCTTTGCTCTTGAGCAAGAATAAAACCTCCTTGAGTGCCTTTGCCCTTGTACCTTCCTCTATCCCCCTTCTCCCCTCTTCCTATTGTTCCTTCTCCTCTATTTCCTCCTCCTTCCCCCTTCTCCTTCTGCCTTTTCTTCTTCTCTTCCTTATCTATCACTTTCTCCTTCTTCTCCTCTCCTTTTCCTCTTTATTTAAAATTGTCCTATTCTCTTTGTCTTCTCATAACCTACTTTTCATTCCCACTCAAAACCCAACTGCAGAAGGTGTAAGTGCACAGAGTCAGCGACAGACATGTGTGTGGTCATGGACAAACTAAAAAAAGGCCAGCTATTTCATTTCCTTCTATTATTTTTTGGGGGGTGGGTGTTAAATAAACTTTTTATTTGGGAATAATTTTAGTTTTCCAGAGAAGTTGCAAAGACAATACAGAGTGTCACCATATACCTCACCCAGTTTCTCCTAACGTTAACATCTTATATTTCTGTGGTATCTTTGTCAAAACAAGAAAGCAACATTAGTACATGGCTATTGACTAAACTTCAAACTTTATTTGGAGTTTGCCAATTTCCCTACCAATGTCCTTTTTTTGTTCTAGGATCCCATCCAGGGTACCACACTGCATTTAGTTGTCCTTGTTCTTTAAGTTTCCCCTGGTCTGTGACAGTGTCTCAGTCTTTCTTTCCTTTGGATGACCTCAACAATTTTGAGGAATACTGGTCAAATATCATCTCTCTGTTTGGGTTTGTTGATATTTTTTCTCCCAATTAGTTTAGGGTTTTATGATCTTAGGAGGAAGATCACAGAAGTGAAGTTCTCTCCTCATCACAACCTACCAGGCATATGTGGTATCCACATGACTAACTCACTTTGCTAGACTTGATCACTTAATTAAGGTAGTGTTTGCCAAATTTCTCTACTTTAAAGTTACCGTATTCCCCTTTCCATGCTCTTTTTTCTTTTTTTAGAAATGGGGATCTTGCTATGTTGTCCAGGCTGGGGTGCAGTAGCTATTCACAGGCATGATAATAGCACATTACAGCATTGAACTCCTGTCCTTGAGCTATTCTCTCGCTTTCTTAGTAGCTGGGACTATATGTCCTTTCCATACTCTTATTCACTGGAAACCAGTTCACTAAGTCCAGCCACACTTATGAGGGATGGGATTAAGCTCCACCTCCTGGCAGGAGGAATAGCTACTTATTTTGGAACATCCTATTCTTTTTGCTTCCCCACTTAAATGCTTTCAAAGTTTTTAAATAGACTTCAGCCTGAAAGGCGGACATAAATTTTGGCCTTAAAGCTATTTCCCTGGCAACCAAATGAGGAGTCTTAGAAATTTTTATTCCACAGGTAAGAGAGAGAGTCCATAGGGAATCAAAACAAAGCAAGTGAATGAACCACTTAGCATATAATTATTCTGTGAAGTAGCACACCTTGGAGTTGGCTAATAGTGGCAAGATGCTGCTGGATTCACTCCCTGCCTCTATTATACATCCCACATCCTCACTCTCGAGTGGGCACGCTGAGGCACCAGCCTCTGTGGCAGGCCAAAGTGCTGAGGCACCCTGCTGGCTGGTAAGGGAAGTGGGTAAAAGGTGTGCTTTGTCTTGTAACAGCCCCAATCATACCCTACCTACCTAGCCAAGCTTAAGGCCTCAGAAAGTCAGAGAGGGACCTGCAGAATGTCTGATGGGAGGTAGAGTTTCCGCTTCAAAGCCTGCTTTCTCAGCTGTCAGGAAAAGTGTGAAGGGAATGCTTTTGAAATAAAAATTGAAATGAATCACAGCTTTAATTGTTTTCCATTTATAATCATAGTTGGATGAGATCATCTAGGCAGATCACTTTATTCTACACGTGAGAATCCACAGATGATGTGAAAGTAATGCAGCTGAGTGCAGGAAACAGGCCACTCTGACTGGTCTGCTAATTCACATGCTCTTTGTGACATACGGTTCTAAGAGGCAGAGGCTGGAAGAGAAGTATGTGGGTTTTGGGATCAAGATACCCAAGTTTCAGTCTTGACACTGCTATTTCTTAGTCAGGTGACCACTGTAACTTCATCTTGCTTGAGCCTCAGATTTCTCACCTGCAAAATGGAGTTTGAAATTTGCTTTGGTTGGTTGTCATAAGGATTAAATGAAATAATGCCTGTTAAGTGCCTATCCAGCACTTAATAGATGGCAACTGCATCAGAATGCTTTGGGCACAAGTAACAGAAAATCCAACCCAAAGTGGCCAGAAGAATCAAAAGAATATTTATGTTATTGCACATATGTAGAAGAATAGTAGTAGGATAACTCCAGGATTGGTTGGTTCAGAGGCTGAGCATTGTCATCCAATGCCCAGGTTTTTTCCAGCTTTCTGCTCTGTCATCCTCAGCATGATGGTTAGGCCTTAGACCAGCTCTCCTCACAGTCACAATATGGCTGTTGAGGTTCCAAGCATCATGTTCATAGATGACAGCTCTGGCAGAAGATGAGATATCTCTTCCAGTGTCTTCGTTAAGGAGGAGGAACCTATTTTCAAAAATAACCCTACCCACATCCTTCCTTCTCCAGCTGACTACTCTTCATGTCTCATTGGCTAAAATTACATCAAAAAGTTAGTGTCTAAATCATGGGCCACCATAATAGGTTTATACCAATCAGGATCAATTCCTGAGGCAAAGCTTGGAAGCATCAGTCTCCTCTGATGCAATGATTACACTTTACCTGGAAAAACCCCTGGATTCCTGGATTCTATTAAGAGGGAGGAGCATCTGAGTACGTCAAACCTTTTGCATGTCCAAGCAAACAGGGACACTGAGATAACTCATGAGGCTGGCTATTGGCCTGATTGATTAAAATATGGATACTTCTTCCTCCCTTTTGAATTGGTTGTTTGGTTCATTCTCTTCACAGAGTTTGAAGGACTCTCACTAAATCATGTCTAAAGAATGATTGATTTGAGACCAGCCTGGGCAATGTAGCAAGATTTGGTCTCAAAAAAAAAAAAAAAAAAAAAAAAAGGTTGATTTTGGTGTTGCCTGCTTGTAGTCCTAGCTACTTGGGAGGCTGAGGCGGGAGGATCACTTGAGCCCAGTAGTTCAAGGTTGCAGTGAGCCGTGATCATGCCATTGTGCCCCAGCCTGGGTGATGGAGAAAGACCCTATTTCTAAAAAACAAAGATTGATTACTCCCTCTTTTCAAATTTCCACCAGGATAGAGGTATCTGAATAGTTTCTGGCATATCAACTCTGGTTAATTATTTATGTTGAAACTGAAATTGAATAAAATTACAAACTGAGTTCCTCCATTACACTAGGTACATTTTCCTCCATTACACTAGGTACTGTTGGGCAGTGCAAATTATGAAACATTTCCATCATTGCAGAAAGTTTTACTGCACAGCACTTTTCTCTAAACCTTTCAAATTAAAAAATTCTGAGGAAGTGAGAGACTCAGGATTACTAATGTCTATTTATGAATTTAATAATTTGGATGGGTAAATTGATGAAAAAAATGATAAAAATGATCTATGGGTCAACATTTAGAAAATTTCACTGTAAGTTATTTGTCAGTTTATCTATATAAGCTGGAATTAACAATCCTCAACTACAAACAAAACTACATTTGCAGTGAGTTTTAATTAATTAATTAATAATTTTTATTACTCATTAATGCCCACAAACCTCAACTCTTGGGTATTCAGGGAGTGATGGTCCCTGACCTTATTGTTTTCTCTCTTATCTTGGTCTGCCCAGTATTCTGTGTTTCCCAGCTGCTAACACCTTCATTACGGCCAGATGATGGGGCAAGGAGAGTGTGCTAAATTCAAACAGTAAAAAATTACAGCTTGTCAGTGTCTTGGGTGAAGGTTTGGTGGGAGAACATCAGTTTGCATAAGGAGTTCTGAGGATCTGTTGATATAATTATGTACTGACATTATTAATAATAGGATCTCATATTGGAATATCCCTTTCACATTTATTTCATTTATTTTTCATAACACACCTCTAAGTTATTTTATTATCCCAACTTTTTAGACAAGAAAATAGATTACTACTATGTGGTACATTAGTTTGGGATAAATTTTTTTAATAAAGTAAGAACTCAGCTTGAAAAAATTCTCACTAAATATATATGGCACATGTTTCAAAAGGATATAAAACTAGAATTTGAACCCAGGACTCCTGATTCAAAATTTATTGCTACTTATATTATCCCTGGCTGCCATTCTTTGTTTTCTACTACACCATTGTATTTTACCTCTTTGCCAGAGATAACTGACAAATGGCCATGCTAAATTCTCATAGGGAGTTGTAAAATACAAAAATAAATGGACTCAATCCATAAGTAATCCTGGAAAAACCTGGGGATTTTGACATAAAAGGTATGCTAAATTATGACACAATTGACCAATCAGAGATGTAAACACTTATGGATGGATGCAAACCTCTTACTTACTATAAGTAACCATTTCCTTGTACACACTGGGATGATGTCAAAGAGAATTGGAGGGAAGGAGGAGGGGATGGGGAATTGAATGGATAGACACATCTCTTTTCTCTTACCTATTCACTATTAATGTTGCTTCCAGACAGGAAGCACTCTTTCAACTGATGTAGACAAAACTTGAATAATAGGTCGAATAAATTGTATAACAAATATTGAAGTAGAAAATGATTATTGGCTCTTTTTGTTATTTAATCTGATGATGAACAGCCTTGGTCATTTACCCTTCTGCTGCTTCTCCAGGGGATGGAGGAAATACAACAGGTGGCGATGAGACCATTCCCCATCAGGTTGATTATTTTATTTTAGGGCTTTTATTTAACCATGGTTGCTAATCAGCTTTTTCCCAGGCAGCCTCCACATTGCTTTTTAATAATGGTGACACCTAAGCGAAGCATATGACAGGGATTGGTTTCATTGTGTTGCCTAGAAAATGGAGCATGGACTCAAAAGGTGCTGCAGTCGCACAGCCCTTGAGGAATCAGGTGACTCTGGGGTTTTTCCTACTGAAGAATGAAGAATGGAAGTGCTGGGGCTGGGGTGTATCTTGGTCTATTTTTAGATTGCTGTGATTGATTGCTATGCATCTTTGCTTGCAGCATGAAATCTGGTTTCTGGAAGCAAACTTCCCTTCACAGTACATGTTGGGTTTAACATTGTGTAGGGTCTTTATTGAAGCAGACTTTTACTTTATAAAAACACTATGATAGTCTTATGCTCCATCTGGATAACTACATACAGGGATAAAATAAATGATGAATGAATGATGGAGTGAATACATGATTCTGTGATCAAGAATGAATGCATAAAAAGAATGCAATGCTGTATAAATGTGGGGTTTAAAAAGAAAATCTCCTGGGCATAATTGTTTTCTTCTTTTCTATTAAGGACTGATAAACAAACAACATCAAACTACTTCAGTTAAACAAGTGAACTCTCCATGCCTTTTCAGATGAAGATAATTTTTGCGAAAGGAGGGAGATGTTTTAGATTGTGTTAGGCCCAGACACTTCCTCTGTTTAATTATGATGTAGTGTAGATTTATCCTGGGGGCAAAGAATTGAGCTAAAGCTATCTCAACATGCACCAACATTTCAGCAGCTCCGGCCTTCCCATTATTGGTACATGCCTGTTTTGGCCCCTTCTGCCTTTATAACTAAATATGCATTAGAAATAGTCCTTTGGTAAAGTATAAAATCCAAGGAAGGTGTAACATTGAGCCATTTGGAACCAATTTATTCTTTCAGCAAATATTTATTGGGTATTTTAATATGTGCTAGACACTCTGGGCACAGGGAAGCAAAAAAATGGATAAATGATTAGTTTAGGGTTAGTGGGATTGTTAGTGCTATTTGTGCTTCCTTTAGCATGCTGTCTCCTTTTAAAAAATAATGCAAGTGAGCCGAGATCGCACCACTGCACTCCAGCCTGGGCGACAGAGTGAGACTCCGTCTCAAAAATAAATAAATAAATAAATAAAAATGCATTAATTTTTTTTAAATATCTGTCAGATAGAGATTTTATACTCAAGGCATACAATGTGATGATTTGGTATATGTATACACTGTGCAATGATTACCGTAGTAAAATTAATGAGCACATCCTTCTCCACTCATGCTGTATATTAGATCCCCTTAACTTGTTCATCTTATAACTTAAAGTTTGTACCCTCTGACCAACACATCCCCATTTTCCCCACCTCTACCTCCTGGTAACCACAATTCTACTCTCTGGTTCTATGAGCTCAACCTTTTTAGATACCACTTAAGTGAAATCATATAGCATTTGTATTTCTACATCTGGCTTATTTCACTTAGCATAGTCTTCCAGGTTCATCCATGTTACTGCATGCTATCATGTCTTTGCAAATGGCAGAATTTTCTTCTTAATTGTGTCTGAATAATATACCACACTTTCTTTATTCATTCATCCTCTGATGGACACTTAGGTTGTTTTGATATCTTGGCTGTAGTGAAGAATGCTGCAATGAACATGAACGTATAGATATCTCTTCAAGATATGAATTTCATTTTCTTTGGATATATACTAGAAGTATAGAAGTGGGATTGCTGGGTTATGTGGTAGTTCTATTCTTAATTTTTTGAGGAACCTCTATACTGTTTTTCATAATGGCTGCACCAACTTACATGCTTACCAACAATATACAAGAGTTTCCTTTTCTCCACACCCTTGCCAACATTTATCCCTTGTCTTCTTGATAATAGCCACTTAACAGGTGTAAAGTAATTGTTGTTTAGATTTTCATTTCTCTGATGGTTAGTAATGTTGAACACCAGTTTTTATACCTTCTGGTCATTTGTATATCTTCTTTGGAAAAATGCCTATTCAGGTCCTTTGCCATTTGAACATTTTTTGTTTGTTTCATTTTTTTGCTATTGAGTTGTATGAGTTCTTTATATATTTTTATATTAACCCCTTATCAGATATATGGTTCGCAACTATTTTCTCTCATTTTGTAGGTTGCTTTTTCATTTTGTTGGTTGATCCTTGAGAACTCTCACTTCTCACCATCACTGCCTTAAACGTTTTTCAAAGTATTCTTGCCAACATCCTATAGGGCTCATCATGAGAGGAGTTCTGGTAAATGCAGTTTTCTCTATTGTATTACATTTTCCTTGGTGTTTTAGTGTTCATTCTAGACTGGCATGTTGGGAGGTGGTGCCCAGGAAGTCTTTGTCTCTTGTTGGCCTTCTTTTCTTTCCTCAGCCTCTTCTTATTGCCCTTTTTATTCTGCCCTTTCACTGGGATTGCTCTTGTCTTGGTTTCTACCAATTCCCATGCTGTCAAATCTTATTGCCACTTTTTGGTCTCATCTCACTTGATCCATGGTACTGCATGCTACACAGTTAACTATTTATTTATTTATTTATTACACATTAAGTTCTGGGATACATGTGCAGAACGTGCAGGTTTGTTACATGGGTATACATGTGCCATCGTGGTTTGCTGCACCCATCAATCAATCATCTAGGCTTTAAGCCCCACATGCATTAGCTATCTGTCCTATCTGTCTCCTTCCCCTTGTCCCCAACCCCCTGACAGGCTCTGGTGTGTGATGTTCCCCTCCCTGTGTCCATGTGTTCTCATTGTTCAACTCCCACTTATGAGTAAGAACATGTGGTGTTTGGTTTTCTGTTCCTGTGTTAGTTTGCTGAGGATGATGGCTTCCAGTTTCATCCATATCCCTGCAAAGGACATGAACTCATTCTTTTTTATGGCTGCATAATATTCCATGGTGACCAGTGTGATCATCCCATTCTTCTATATATTTTTTTTATGCCTCATTGGCTATTTCTTCTCCATATCCTTTACTGGCTCTTCATTTTCTAGTTGACATCTCCATTTTAGAGGATCTTAGGGCTTCATCCTGGGCCTCTTCTCTACCCATATTTTAAGTGATTTAATCTGTCCCAGGTCTTTGTCTTTTGTCTCAATTCAAGATACTAGAATGAAGATATGTGTGGCTTTCTTGAATGAATTCTTTTTGGGGTTTTCTAAACTTCCTGAATCTGTACATTTTTGTCTTTCACCAAATTTGGGAAGTTTGGGGCATCTTTTTTATTATTTTCCTCTGGCCAATTTTTAAATCTTCTTCTGGGACTCCAACTACCTTATGATAGACCTTTTGAAATTTTCCACAGATCTCTGAGGATCTTTAAGTTTTTTTCAACATTTTTCCCCTCTGTTCTTCCCATTAGATGATTTCTATGATATCTATTTTCAAATTCACCAAATCTTTCCATAGTCATATTCTTTTTGTGGTTAAGTCCATCAGGAAATTTTAAATTTCAGGTATAGTATTCTTCAATTCTAAAATTCCTATTATGTTTCTTTTTATATTTATAAGATATAAATATATTTTATATTTACCAGCTGAAATTTCCTGTCTTTTCATTCATTGTGAGCATGTTTTCCTTTATTTCCATAAGCACGGTTGTAATAGCTGCTTTCAACTTTTTATCTGGTAATTATGATATTTGGGTTAAGATTGACTTGTTGAGGATGGATCACATTATCCTGGTTTCTCATATATATACTGGACGTTATGAACAATGTATTGCAGAGATTCTAGATTTTGTTATGTTGCCCCAAAGAGTATTGATGTTTTTTTATTTAGCTGGCAATTAACTTGGTTCATAGTCTAAATATAAGCTGTCATGCGTGTGGTGGGTGGTCACTCAGATTTCATTTTAGTACTTTAAGACAGAGCTGCAAGTGAAGGGGTCATCCAGACATTTGGGCTAAATTTATACACTGGTTCAGGGTCCTTCCTCACTCCCTGGCAGCAGTGGATGCCCCAGGATTTTCCCCTGGTTCCTTCAGCCAAAAAACTGGCAGGCTTTCTATTTGTGTCTTCACTATCTTCTTCCCTACCACTATGACATCCCTCAGAATGAAGCTCCAAAAGAGGGAGAATTTACTCTGTACTGGTGACTTGCTCCAGTTTCAACTTCCTCCAAAACCTTCCTGCCTTTATCTAGTCTCCAGAGCCTTCAGGTAGTTGCTTTTTAAATTCTTTCTAGAGTTTATAGCTGTTGTTTGCTAAGGATCACTTTGTTAGACATGCTCTTCTGTATGTCAGAAGCAGATATAGCTCATGTCTTTAAACGCTGTATATATGTCCATGACTGCCAAATTTATATCTTTACTTTGCCCATCCCACCTGCACCCTCACCCTAGCTTTTCAGTTCTGGACTCAAATATTCAACTTTTTTATTTAATACTTCTAATGCATGCCTAATAGAAATCTCAAATTTGAGATATTCAAACCAGAACTTATAATTTTTTTCCTAAATTTTATCTCTCTTAATATTCCCTATCTTAGTAAATGGCAGCACTCTTTACTTCACTTTTCAAATAAAAAATAAAAATCTCGGAGTTATTCTTGATTTGTTTTATCACAAATCCCACATCTAGTCTAATACCAAGTTCTCACTAGCCGTACTTCTAAAATATATCTTCAGTTTGCTCTTTTCTCCACTCTAGTCCAAGCCATCCCCATTTTCATCTGATTACTAAAATATCCTTCTAACTGAACTGGACTCCTTGATTCTATTCTTGCCCCCAACAATTTTCTGGGTAGCAACTTAACTGATATTTTATTTTATTTATTGTCATTGTTATTTTTGAGACAAAGTCTTGCTCTGTCACTCAGGCTGGAATGCAGTGGTCTGATCATGGCTCACTGCAGCCTTGACCTCCTGGGCTCAAGCCATCCTCCTATCTCAACCTCCTGAGTAGCTGGGACTATAGGCATGTGCCACCACACCCGGCTAATTTTTTTTTTCTATTTTTTTGTAGATATGGGGTTTCACTATGTTGCCCAGGGTGATTTTGAACTCCTTAGCTCAAGCAATCCACCTTGGCCTCCCAAAGTGTTGGGATTACAGGCGTGAGCCACTGCACCCTGCTTAACCGATATGATAAAAGTCAAATATGTATCATGCCACCGTATTGCCTAAAACCTTCCAATGGCTTCCCATTTTGCTTATAAAAGGGTCTTTTCTCCTCACCTTGACCTAGGAGGTTGTCCATGGCTGGCTCCCACCTGGATCCCGTTTGCTGCTTGCTCACTGGGCTCCAGCTCTGCTGCTTTCTTTCTGTGCCTTGGCTCTACCAAGCTTCCTTCTGCTCAAAGCCTTACATTTAATCTTTCCTCTGCTTGAAGCACCCTTTACCTAAGTCATCATATGCTGGCTCCTTCTTGTCATCAGCAGTTACCTTAATATTATCTTCTTAGAGAGCCCTTCCTTAACCATTCAAACAAGCCAATCAAACAATGATTTAACAATCATTGTCTGTTAAATCATTTCCTTCTTTTTGCCATTGCACATTACTACTACTACTACTAGTGCTACTACTACTACTATTACCACTATTACTTCTACTATTGTTTTCTAACTTCTTTGTGTCTCCCAACTATAAACTCCATGAAGTTAGAGTCTCTGTTGTCACATTCACTGTTGTGTCCCCAGTGTCTAAAACAATGCTTGGTTTTGGTAAATAAAGAGGTGTTAAATGAATGAAGAAATGAATGTGAAATCATTTGGAAGGCAATGTCTCTAGTCTAGAGGTGAGAAAAGGAGAAGCTGAACTAGGACAATGGCAATCAAGAGGAGGGAAGATAGACCCAGTGGGTTATCTTATCATGAATCATATTGTCAGATCAGTTTGAAATTCAATATAAGTAAATTATCCTAAGGCAAAGTTTGGATTAGGCCCAATAGGCCTCATTGACTCTAATGAGATGGTTTCATCAGGGCTTCTAAGGGTCACTGATTCATTATTGGAGACTCAAGGAAGCTCTGATACTTCCTTCTAAGTATTTAAATATTTAAAATTTTAAATTCATCCATCCAACCCATCAACCAACCAAACAACAAATAAATCATTACTGAGAATCTACCATGAACTAGGTTCTGGGCCAGATCCTGGAGATATAGAAGTGATTAAATACAGACCTTGTGTTTTCAGACTAGTAGAATCAGATATTCAAAAATGTCTATCTGGCAAAAACGTCTGTCTGGCATTCAGTGCTATCTTGCATGATAAATGCTCTAATGGGTGTGTGTGACAGGGGCTCTCACTCCAAGAGTGAGTGTAATTGCTTCAAGAAAAATTTTGAAAGGTGATGCTTGAATTTAAAACTCCTGAGACACTAAGAGAAAGGCATGTGTACAGGTTCTTGTAGAGAAACCATGAAGAGATCCATAACCTGTGGGAAAGTTCCAGCACTCTTTGGTGGAATGTGTCAGTCTCGATTCACATAGATTTATCCTGACCTCCTTAACTTGAAGGGACCTAAAGGGAACATGAAACAGGGTGTAGAGCACAAAATGCCCAGTAAAAGTTAGTAATAAGTATGTACTTATTACCATTATTATTATGATGGGAGTTGGGCAGATCATGAGATGAGGAGGTGCTCTTATACTTTTTGTCATCACTTGCCCAGTTGGAAGGGAGTAAGGGGAGAGAGGTTACAATTTTTTAGGATTGTTGACTCTCTCCTTTTCTTCAACATGATGTGCATGGTGATGTTATTTAAATTCTTCATTATCTCCTGCACCAGAGGTGGTCAAGCAAAGGAGAGGCGTGTGGGAGTCTGTTTCCCTGCTGGCTAGATTTTTTGGTGAATACTACAGGGACAAGAAGAGTTTGTAAGATGGACCATAGGGAGTTAAGGAAGTGAAGGACTGTGGAGATTATTTTGAGGTTGAGGAACAAGAGAGCTAAAGAGAGGAATTCATTACGCTGAAATTACACATACAAATAATGATCATACTAGGACAGTAGTACCTGAGTATCCTAGCTCTTAGGAGAGTGAGGTACTTTTTCCAGAATACCACAGGAAACGGAGGGAGAGAGAAAGCAGGGAGGAGAGAGGAAGGAGAGAAAGGGAGGAGAGGAGAAAGTCCCTAATTAACATTCATGTCTTGACCTAATTTGTAGTGTACTTTCATTGTCTTAATTACCTCCTATGTTTTGTAATGAAGAAATGTTAGTTTCCATTTATTCCAGAAAAAACTCTGTGGCATTTTTCCATCCAAAGGTAGATAGATAGCTTCTGCAGTGAGAGGGAAAGATAGTTGTTTTGAATGCGAAAGGGATAACTTTTCTGTTGGTCCTGCCTTTTCTGTTTGCATATTGAGGCACTATTTTCTGAAAATAAAAACAAACAACAACCAAAAAGGGAAATCTAGATAATAAAACAAAAATAATCAAAGTAAGGAGTTAGCTTGGTTTTTGGACTTGTATATTAAAAATATGTTTCCACTATTATTGTGGGAGGTACATTGTTTCCAGGTAACAGGGAAGAAAAACTTGGAAGCTTAAAATCACAATTTTATAATTCTCTAACTTTGTAAAGTACCATGTAAAAGAACGTTAGGACTAATTATATTGGAACAATGTGTGCTCTGTTTTAATACTAAACTGAGATAACAGAGTCATTGGAAAAATTATTTCTGTCCTAACTCAGTAGAAGAAAAAACAGAAATCCATTAAAACAATTTGGAGTCTTTGAATGTAAGCAATAAAGAAGTTATACTATTAGAAGACTATTTATGTGTTTTTTCAAGTTAATGTAGAGTGACTTGAAAGTACTTGCAAAAAGTTTTGAATCTGAGGAAAGCTGGTATTAACCTCAAGGTAATTGAAAAAAACAAGAGTGAGTTTGTTAGCATGAACTTTTCTTCTTTTGATAAACCACTACTGATGTTAACCTCATGACAAAGAGAAACTTGAGGGTTATTTATTATATTTTAACAAATTTGAAATTATGTATTTTTTATTACAAAAATGTTACATTTACATTAATATGCTGAATTTGATCAGCAAATAAGTATATATTAATATATTGAAATGAGTACAAGTTAATCAAAAATAAAATTTAAAAAATGTAATTCCAATACCCAGATATAATCATTGCAATATTTTTTATATCTTTTTACTATTTGTGTATGTTTTCTCAAAAACAAATAAAAGTGGGATTACTCTGCCTGATAATCTTCTCTTTGCATGAGTGCCATGTTTTCCTCTGTCAGTAAATGTGCATCTTCAGTATGGTGGTCTCTACCATTTTTTCTTTTTTTTACTCTAGTACAACCAACAGATTAAACACAGTCTTGACAGTGATATTTTATGTCAATTCTGTTTTTTCAAGGTATAAGAGGTTGGGACAGAAAGAGGAAAAAGGGTCTATTTTTGTAGAAAATAATTCACATGACTAATTGTCAATATCACTTATAATGACTGCACAAATTATATTGTTTTATAAACATATTCCCAATTGTTGGCTGTTTAGGTTGTTTCTCATTTTCTGTTTTTTTTAGATTTTTCTTTATATATATATATATATATATATATATATATATATATATATATATATTTGTTATACTTTAAGTTCTAGGGTACATGTGCACCATAATATGTAATATTGTGATACATATTGTTTAATGGCAAGCTTCCCCCTGCAACACATATGATTACTTCCTTAAAATAAATTCCTAGATGGATAATTACCTTATCAAAGACCTCTTCTTGCACTAGTAGTACATTGATGTTAGGCCATTGATAAATTGTCCCCCAAAGCTGTGATACCCGTTTACGTTGTTACTAGTAGTTTATGAGATAGTCCATGTTCCACCTCATTTAGGCCGAGATCATTAAAACAAAATCCATGCTAACTTGATGGTTGAGAAATGTTTATGGTTTTATTTACATTTTATAACTGAATAATGAAGTCAAACATTTTTATAGTCTTATAGACCATTTGAATTTCTTCTTTCATATGTGTTTCTTAACAATATATATTTGTCTTATTGAAGTGTAAGAATTATAACACTATCCTATTTAAATGTTATACATGTTGCAATCTCCCCATTGTATGTTTTTTTACTTTTAATTTTATGTTGTGTGTTGACATATAGGAATTCTGAGAAAATCAAACTTCTCAATTCTTTATGTTTCATGTTTAGAACATATTTTCCACTACATATAAATATTTCTTTAACTATTTATAGTAAATAGTTAAAGCATTCATTTGGCTCTATGCTTTTCATTTATATCTTTAATACACTGGTGTTTATTTTGGTGTCTTACATACAATAGGCACTAAATTAATTTTTTTTACTGACTTGTTATGTAACTAATATAATACCAACTCTTAAGATTCTATCTCTAGTAATGTTAAATGCCACACTTTCTTACATTAAATTCTAAAGTTTACTTCTGTTCTTCCTTTCTTCAATTCTAATCCATGTATGTGTCTGATTTGTCCTACATTAGTATAACATTATTGTATTTACTATAGCTTTTTAATGTACATATTATTATCCGATTGGGTAAGTTTCTTTTCATTGCTGTCCTTTTCTTTTTCCTAGAAACAACATAATGAATGTATACATTTATTCTTCAAGGTAAAACTTAGAGTATCTTTGACATACTTCTAAAAAGTCCCGTTGAAATTATACTAACTTTATGGTTAAATAGGGGATAATTTACATCTTTACAATATTGAGTGTCACAGTCCAGGAACTGATGTGTTCTTCTTATACTAGTCCTTATTAATTTTTGATATGATTTTTGTTATGCTTATTTCTAGGCATTTTATATTTTATTGTTGCTATTAGAAGACTGTCTCCCCCTATTATATTGTCTTGCTTATTGTTGATATATGAGAAAGTAATTTTTAAAATAATATAATTTGTTACTTTCTTTTCCTGACTTCTTATTTGGTTCTATTTTTAGTTTTGCTGGTAGAAAATCATAGCATTTGAAGATTAACCCAGGAAAGTTTTTTTCTATTATGTCTTTGGTTGTAACTCTTGTTTCATTGGTTCTGTCTTTTCTTCAGGAGTTCCTATTATAGTAAAGTACTCTTTCAGTTATTTTCTCTGTATTCTAAAGAACATTTAAATTGGTCTTCTACATTATTGCCTGTATTAGTCAGGGTTCTCCAGAGGTACAGAACCAATAGGACGTATATTTATGCAAATATAGAAAGAGATTTATTATAAAAATTATTAGCTCATGGAACTATGGAGGCTGACAAGTCCCAAGATCTGCAGTTGGGAGTCTGGTGACCAGAGAGAGCAGATGGTATTATTCTCTTCTGAAGGCTGGCAGGCTAAAGACCCAGAAAGAGCTGATGTTTCAGTTGAGTGCAAAGGTAGAAAAGAATTAATGTCCCAACTCAAGCCAGTCAGGCAGGATTGACAGCCTTTTTTGTTCTGTGCAGGCCCTCAACTGATTGGATGAGGCCCTTTCACACTGGGGAGGGCAACCTGCTTTTTTCAGTCTACCAATTCAAATGTTAATCTTATCCAGAAACACTCTCACACGTATACTCAGAGTAATGCTTGGCCAAATGTTTGGGCATCTTGTGGCCCAGTCACATTGACACACAAAATTAACTGTCACATTGCCTCAATTATCTTCAAGGTTCATTCTACACTTTACTTCTAATTTGATTTTAATTCAGCCATTGTACTTTTTATTTTCTTGTAAGTCTTCCTTATCTAGTCCAGTACCTCTCTTTTTTTGTGTAGTAAAATTTTAGTTTAGTTTATCCCTATTATTTCACTCTTCTATTTCATAGAGACTATACCTTTTTGTACTATGATATTGGGGATGACAAATAGTTATCTAAAATTGTTTTCTGCTTCCATCTTTAGATTATTGTCACAGATATACTCCTTTTCTGAGTTATGCAAATTGAGCTTTCCAAACTCTGTAATACATCAGTTTTTCATAGATCCTGTGTTATTTACTTTTTCCTTAGTTATCTAGCCAGACTCCCTGTTTGTCAGTGAACAAAATTAGCAGGTTACCTTTCATTGTGCTCTTTATATACTTATGAGTGACAGCTATAGTGTCATTTAATGTTTAAATGCCTGGAGTCTGGAGCCAGACGGCCTGAGTTCAGAACCTGGCTCTGCCACTCTTCCTTGAGTAAGTTACCTTATTTTTCTTGGTCTCAGTTTCCCATTTATATAAAGGAGATAATCACAGTGCATATTTCATAGAGTTGCATTGATATTTAAATGAATCTATCTATCTATCTATCTATCTATCTATCTATCTATCTATCTAGAATAGTGGATTGGGTTTCTGTGATTCACTGGTTCTTTCAGAACTTTCTTTTATGCAGGAATAATGGTTTCCAGTGACCAGAAAGGTTCTAGGAAAACAAAAACAATAATGATTAACCATGATTCCTGTTTCATTCCTCAAGTTATCAAAAGTAAACTTCTTCATGGTCAAATTTCTCAATCATATTGGGACAGGTGTCTGCCCCAATAGTTCCAATTCTGCATCTATTAAGTTTACCTATAATGTGTAGGTCCAGTGTCTTGAGGCATGTGACCAGCAGGGGCACTCCAGAAACTGCTGGAGAACAGCTTGCTTCTTAATTATTTTATCCCATTATGTTTTTTCTTTTTTTTAAATTTTACTTTAAGTTCTAGGATACATATGCAGAATGTGCAGGTTTGTTACATAGATATACGTGTGACATGGTGGTTTGCTGCATCTGTTGACCCATCCTCTAAGTTCCCTCCCCTCGCCCCCCAACCCCCAACAGGCCCTGATGTGTGTTGTTCCCTTCCCTCTATCCATGTGTTCTCGTTGTTCAACTCCTGCTTATGAGTGAGAACATGTGGTGTTTGGTTTTCTGTTCCTGTGTTAGTTTGCTGAGGATTATGGCTTCCAGCTTCATCCATGTCCCTGCAAAGGACATGATCTCATTCCTTTTTACAGCTGCATAGTATTCCACGATGTATATATACCACATTTTCTTTATCCAGTCTATCATTGATAGGCATTTGGGTTGGTTCCATGTCTTTGCTATTGTAAATAGTGCTGCAGTGAACATACATGTACATGCATCTTTATAGTAGAACGATTTATATTCTTTTGGGTATATACCCAGTAATGGGATTACTGGGTCAAATGGTATTTCTGGTTCTAGATCCTTGAGGAATTGCTATACTGTCTTCCATAATTATTGAACTAATTTACATTCCCACCAACAGTGTAAAAGTGTTCCTATTTCTCCATAGCCTCACCAGCATCTATTGTTTCTTGACTTTTTAATAATTGCCATTCTGACTGGCGTGAGATGGTATCTCGTTATGGTTTTGATTTGCATTTCTCTAATGATCAGTAATGTAGAGCTCTTTTTCATATATTTGTTGGCCATGTAAATGTCTTCTTTTGCAAAGTGTCTGTTCATATCATTTGCCCACTTTTTGATGGGGTTGCTTTTTTCTTGTAAATTTGTTTAAGTTCCTTGTAAATTCTGGATATTAGATCTTTGTCAGATGGAAAGATTGCAAAAATTTTCTCCCATTCTGTAGGTTGCCTGTTTACTCTAATGATAGTTCTTTTGCTGTACAGGAGCTCTTTAGTTTAATTAGATTGCGTTTGTCAATTTTAGCTCTTGTTGCAATTGCTTTTGGCATTTTCATCATGAAATCTTTGCCCATGCCTATGTCCTGAATGGTATTGAGGTTTTCTCATAGGGTTTTTATGGTTTAGGGCTTTACACTTAAGTCTTTAGTCCATCTTGAGTTAATTTTTGAATACGGTGTAAGGAAGGGGTCCAGTTTCAGTTTCCTGCATATGGCTAGCCAGTTTTCTGCATATGGCTAGCCAGTTTTCCTAGCACCACTTATTGGATAGGAGATCCTTTCCTCATTGCTTGTTTTTGTCAGGTTCATCAAAGATCAGGTGGTTGTAGATGTGTGGTGTATTTCCGACGTCTCTGTTCTGTTCCATTGGTCTATATGTGTGTTTTGGTACCAGTACCATGCTGTTTTGGTTACTGTAGCCTTGTAGTATAGTTTGAAGTCAGGTAGCATGATGCATCCAGCTTTTTTCTTTTTCCTTAGGATTGTCTTGGCTATGTGGGGTCTTCTTTGATTCCATATGAAATTTAAAGTATTTTTTTCTAATTCTGTGAAGTATGTTAGTGGTAGTTTGATGGGAATAACATTGAATCTATAAACTACTTTGGTCAATATGGCCATTTTCACGCTATTGATTCTTCCTACCCATGAGGATGGAATGTTTTTCCATTTGTTTGTGTCCTCTCATTTCCTTGAGCAGTGGTTTGTAGTTCTCCTTGAAGAAGTCCTCCATGTCCCTTGTTAGCTGTATTCCTAGGTATTTTATTCTCTTTGTAGCAATTATGAATAGGAGTTCATTCATGATTTGGCTGTCTGCTTGTCAATTGTTTGTGTAAAGGAATGCTTGTGATTTTTGCACATTGATTTTGTATCCTGAGACTTTGCTGAAGTTGCTTATCAGCTTAAGGAGTTTTTGGGCTGCGATGGTGGGGTTTTCTAAATATAGAATCACGTCATCACAAACAGACACAATTTGACTTCCTTGCTTCGTATTTGAATACGCTTTATTCCTTTCTCTTGCCTAATTGCCCTGGCCAGAACTTCCAATACTGCGTTGAATAGGTGTGGTAAGAGAGGGCATCCTTGTCTTGTACCAGTTTTCTAAAGGAATGCTTAAAGCTTTTGCCCATTTAATATGATATTGGCTGTGGGTTTGTAATAAATAGCTTTTATTGTTTTGAGATATGTTCAATCAATGCCTAGTTTATTGAGAGTTTTTAACATGTAGGGATGTTGAATTTTATCGAAGGCCCTTTCTGCATCTATTGAGATAATCATGTGATTTTTTTCTTTGGTTCTGTTTATGTGATGGATTAAGTTTATTTATTTGCATATGTTTAACCAGCCTTGCATCCCAGGGATGAAGCCAACTTGATCATGGAGGATAAGTTTTTTGATGTGCCAGTGGTTTGCCGGTGTTTTATTGAGGTTTTCACATTGATGTTCATCAGGGATATTGGTCTGAAGTTTTTTTTTGTTTATTGTGTCTCTGCCAGGTTTTGGTATCAGGATGATGCTGGCTTTATAAAATGAGTTAGAAATAAGTCTCTTCTTTTAGTTGTTTGGAATAGTTTCAGAAGGAATTGTACCAGCTCCTTTTTGTACCTCTGCTAGAATTTGGCTGTGAATGCATGTGGTACTAGGCTTTTTTTGGTTGGTGGGCTATTAATGACTCCCTCAATTTTGGAACTTGTTATTGGTCTATTCAGGAATTTGATTTCTTCCTGGTTTAGTCTTGGGAGGGTGTATGTGTCCAGGAATTTATCTATTTCTTCTAGATTTTCTAGTTTATTTGTGTCGAGGTATTTATAGTATTTTCTGATGGTAGTTTGTATTTCTGTGGGTCAGTGGTGATATCCCCGTCATCATTTTTTATTGTGTCTATTTTATTCTTGTCTCTTTTCTTCTTTATTAGTCTAGCTAGCAGTCTATCTATTTTGTTAATTTCTTAAAAACCAGCTCCTGGATTCATGGATTTTTTGGAGGGTTTTCCATGTCTCTGTCTCCTTCAATTCTGCTCTGATCGTGGTTATTTCTTGTCTTCTGCTAGCTTTTGGATTAGTTTGCTCTTGCTTCTCTAGCTCTTTTAATTGTGTTTTTAGGGTGTCAATTTGAGATCTTTGTAGCTTTATGATGTGGGCATTTAGTGCTATAAATTTCCCTCTTAACCCTGCTTTAGCTGTGTCCCAGAGATTCTGGTATGCTGTGTATTTGTTTTCATTGGTTTCAAAGAACTTCTTGATTTCTGCCTTAATTTCATTATTTACCCAGGAGTCATTCAGGAGCAGGCTGTTCAATTTCCATGTAATTGTGTGGTTTTGAGTAAGTTTCTTAATCCTGAGTTTTAATTTGATTGCATTGTGGTCTAAGAGACTGTTATGATTTTAGTTCTTTTGCATTTGCTGAGGAGTGTGTTATTTCCAATTATGTGGTTGATTTTAGAATAAGTCCCATGTGGCACAGAGAAGAACATATATTCTGTTGATTTGGGGTGGAAAGTTCTGTGGATGTCAATTAGGTCCACTTGATCCAGAACTGACTTCAAGTCTTGAATATCCTTGTTAATTTTCTGTCTTATTGATCTAATATTGAAAGTGGGGTGTTGAAGTCTCCCACTATTATTGTTTGGGAGTCTAAGTCTCTTTGTAGGTCTCTAAGAACTTATTTTATAAATCTGGCTGCTCCTATATTGGATGCATATATATGTAGGATAGTTAGCTCTTCTTGTTGAATTGATCCCTTTACCATTATGTAATGTCATTCTTTTTCTTTTTTGATCTTTGTTGGTTTAAAGTCTGTTTGGTCAGAGACTAGGATTGCAGCCCTTGCTATTTTTTTGCTTTCCATTTGCTTGGTAAATTTTCCTCCTTCCCCTTATTTTGAACCTATGTGTGTCTTTGCACATGAAATGGGTCTCTTGAATATAGCACACCAATGGGTCTTGACTGTATCCAATTTGCCAGTCTGTGTCTTTTAATTGGGGGCATTTAGCCCATTTATATTTAAGGTTAGTATTATTATGTGTGAATTTGATCCTGTCATCATGATGATATCTGGTTATTTTGCACACTAGTTGATGCAGTTTCTTCATAGTGTCATTGGTCTTTATATTTTGGTGTGTTTTTGCAGTGTCTGGTACTGGTTTTTCCTTGCCATATCTAGTGCTTCCTTCAGGAGTTCTTGCAAGGCAGGCCTGGTGGTGACGAAATCCCTCAGCCTTTGCTTGTCTGGAATCACTTCACTTATGAAGCTTAGTTTGGCTGGACATGAAACTCTGGGTTGAAATTTCTTCTTTTAAGAATGTTGAAAATTGGCCCCCAATTTTTTCTGGCTTGCTTGTAGGGTTTCTGCTGAAAGGTCTGTTGTTAGTCTGTTAGGCTTCCCTATGTAGATGACCTGGCCTTTCTCTCTGGCTGCCCTTAACATTTTTTCCTTCATTTCAACCTTGGAGAATCTGACGATTATGTGTCTTGGGGTTGATCTTCTCATGGAGTATCTTGGTGGTGTCTCTGTATTTCCTGAATTTGCATGTTGGTCTGTTTTGCTAGGTTAGGGAAGTACTCCTGGATAATATCCTAAAGTGTGTTTTCCAACTTGTTTCCATTCTCCCTGTCTCCTTCAGGTATTCCAATCAATTGTAAGTTTGGTCTTTTTACATAGTCCCATATTTCTTGGAGGCTTTGTTCATTCCTTTTCATTCTTTTTTCTGTATCCTTGTCTGCATGCCTTATTTCAGCAAGGTGGTCTTCAAACTCTGATATCCTTTCTTTTGCTTGATTGATTCAGCTATTGATACTTGTGTATGCTTCTTGAAGTTCTTGTGTTGTGTTTTTCAGCCCCATCAAGTCACTTATGTTCTTCTCTAAACTGGTTATTCTAGTTAGCAGCTTCTCTAATCTTTTATCAAGATTCTTAGCTTCTTTGCATTGGATTAGAACACGCTCCTTTAGCTCAGTGGAGTTTTTTATTACCCATCTTCTGAAGCCTACCTCTGTCAATTCGTCCATCTCATCCCCAGTTCAGCTCTGAACCCTTGCTGGAGAGGCACTGCGATCATTTGGAGGAGAGAAGAGGCACCTGGCCTTTTGGGTTTTCAGCATTTTTTTCATTGATTCTTTCTCATCTTCATGAGTTTGTTTAGTTTCAATCCTTGAGGCTGCTGAACCTTGGATGGGGTTTTTTGGGGGGACTTTTGTTGTTGTTGCTTTCTGTTTGTTTGTTTTTCTTTCAATGGTCAGGTTGCGCTTCTGGAGGGCTGCTGTCTTTACTGGGGATTCATTTCAGGCCCTATTCATCTGGTTCACCCCTGTGCCTGGAGATATCACTCAAGGAGGATGGAGAACAACAAAGACTGGTGCCTGCTCCTTCTTCTGGGATCTCTGACCTCGTGGGGTACCAACCTGATGCCAGTAGGAATGCTCGTATAGGGTGTCTGACAACCGCTATACCAGTTGGGTGGCATGGGGAACAGGACCTGCTTAATGAAGCACTTTGACTGTTCCCTGGTGGAGAGGGTATGCTTTGCCTGGGGGGAAACCCACTTGTCTGGGCTGCCCAGATTCCTCAGAACTACCAAGAGGAAAGGCTAAGTATGACGGTCTGCAGAGACTGCGGCCACCCTTCCCCCTAGGGGCTCAGGCCCAGGGAGATCAGGGTTCTGTCCCTGAGCCTCTGGCTGGAGTTGCTGGAGTTCCTTCAGGGAGGCCCTGCCCCGTGAGGAAGGATGAGTCAGGGTCAGGCCTGAAGAGGCGCTCTGGCCGCCGTCTAACACAGCTGGTGTGTGGGGCTGTGGGGGGCACCTCTAGGGATGAAGCTGTCCAGCCTCCCTGGCTCTAGCAGGGGAAAAGCGTGACCTGGAGCTATAGAGAGGGATGCTGCCCTTCCCCGACCCAGGGAACTTAGCATGTTAGGCAGTTATGAGTCCCAGTGCTGGCTGTGGCCCCTCTCCCAAGGAGCTCAAATGGCTTTGACAGCAGGCAGCCACAGCTGTGGTGCTGATTGCCCTTCCCCCGGGAAACTTGGCTGGCTTAAGCAGATTCTAGCTGAGAGGCTGTTGAGAATCCGCAGGACTTCAAGGTTGGGACCCTATGCCCTGGAGGCATGGGTCCCTGAGTGGGATCTTCTGATCCATGGGTTGCATGGCTGGGTAGCAGGCTCACTCACCGCCGGCCTTGGCTAGGGGGTGGGGGCTTCCTTGCCCCGTGTGGCTCTCAGGTGGGCTGCTGCACCACACTGCTCTTCCTTCCTCTCTGTGGATCATGCCAGCAGCCTAGTCACTTCTGTTGAGAGAATCTGGATACCTTGCTTGCTGGTGCAGGATTTACACGCTATTATGGTTCTTTTTGATGGGAGCCTCTGGTTGCAGCTGCTTCTAGTCGGTCATCTCTCATTATGTTTTGAGTTGCCAACCACCTGAAACTTTCAGTGTTTGGAAAGTTTACCAGCCTTGCTGTAATTTAGTTTCAGGCTATTATGGAAACTAGGACATTTCCCATGAAGCTGTTGCTTTCCTGAGACCCCTTTGGCAGCTACCAACAGGAGCCTGAAGTGAGGCAAGCCTGGAGTTGTAGTTAAGACCTTGGCGTAACCTGGGGCTTTTCAATGTCATTTTGTAGGTTTTCAGCTGGCAGTTTTGGCTTAGTAGTTAGAGTGTTTGCAGTCTCCCTTCCTTCCAGTTTTCTCAGAATCCCCTTGAGTTTTTTGGTAGACTTGGAATTTGAGCATAAATAGAGGATGTCCAAGGATATCCATGATTGATGTGAACGGCAGGGATTCAGTGGGAGAGAGAGAGAGAAGGGAAAATAAAAACTAGCTTCCAGCTTGCCATTGAGGCTGGTTCCTTTGAGCTTCCCAGCTTCCCTGTCCCCATGCCTTGGGCACCCTCCCACACATTATCTGGCTTGATACTGCCTCTACCCCCCATCCTGGAGGAATTCTTCTAGAAGTTTTGGGTAGGAGCACAAGTTGGCCATATTACCACAGTATCACAAATGATCTAGAGAAACTGCAAAATGCTTTACAACTTAGAGGTATGCTGTGGTTTGAAAGTCCCATCTGAAACTCAGGTTGAAATTTAATTGCCATCATGATGGTATTAAGAAGTAGGACCTTTGAGAGGTGATTAAGTCATGAAGACTCTGCCCTCATGAATGGATTAATGTTCTCTTGGGAGTAGGCTGGTTTTCACAGAGTGGGCTCCTGATAAAAAGATGAAATTCAGTCCCCATTCCCTCTCTGTCTTGTGTGCTTGTTTGCCTTTCCACCAGATGCCAGCACCATGCTCTGTGGCTTCCCAACCACTAGAACAGTGAACCAAATAAATTTCTGTTCACCATAAATTATGAAGTCTTTGGTAATTCTATTGTAGCAGCAGGAACAAGACTATAAGATAAGGTAAAGGAAGGTCACGTTTTATTTTTATTTTTGAAAATAAAATCAAACTCGGCTCTAAGCCTCACTAGCTACGGTTAGGGGAAGAATTCTAATATTCATTTTTATTGGGGCTTTTTCCTCTCTACTGAATCATGCAAGGACCTTAGCACTTATATATTCTTGAACAGTAAAGAAAGAGCCTGGCCTTAAGTCCACGGTGATCACATTGTGAATATTTCTCTATCTGCTCACAGATGTTCCTTTTGGGACCTGGTCCTTTATGCTGTCAGGTTCTGCTTCTATACTTGTCTGTGGTGATGCTCACAGGATCCTTCCCCACTGACTGCATATTTAACCATGGCGATGCCATGTAACCCTCCACTCTCTCCTTAGCCCTTTTTCCCCAAAGCACTCGCATGACTTCCCAGGCTCTGGGAATCCAACCCTTAGGGAAAAGACAAGTCTGTCTTCCTCTTGTTGCATCAGTGTCCAGCTTGTCCTCCTCTTGCTCAATCTCTCCTAAAACATTGTCCTGTTAAAGCTTCCTTTAGGGTAACAGAAACCAGCCCTCAAGGATGCAGATCCCAGCTGGCTCCCTCTTGAGAGTGGATGGGAAGAAGCCTGAATTCTTTTGGCTGATGAGTTCACAACAACACCCCTTCCCCCAACCTTTAAATTAAAAGTACGAGACCAATTTAATTTATCAATAACTCACTCTATTCCAGAATTTCTTTAGTCATTCAGGAAAGAAAAGTGAGCAGTAGATTTTGAACACTCTTGACTGCAACCTGCCATAAGAAACACACCTCTAGCCAGAGTGATCAAGAAAATAAGTGAAAGGACAAATTACAAGCATTAGGAATGAAAGAGGGGACATTAATGTAGATCCTGGTATGCACATGTGTATATGTGTATGTGTGTGTCCACATTTGTGGTAAACTGACCAACTGTTAAAATGAGGGTAAAAGACTTGAAAACATAAAGAGGAGAAAGGGTTCTATACTGTAGTCAGAAGGCTTAGGTTCCAGTTATGGCTCTGATAATAATTTTGAGCAGGTCTATAAACTGCTAGGGGGCTCAGTTTTATTACCTATAGAAGAGCCTAACACATCTGCATTCATAGGCCCTGAGGCCCAGAAGGAATCTCATATGTGAAATCATCGTATGAACTATACAGTTCTGGTTACATATGACATAGTTTTCTTATAGTTGTTATTATTATTAGTGGAGCGTGGCCATAGTTTTTTGTCAAATAGTTTTGAAAGCCTATCTAGACAAACTGCTTGAGATTCTTCATATTTTCCTTTTGACCTTTAAAACAAAACCTCTACAGAGGTTTGGATAGAAAGAGAAGTTGACCATATCAAAATAGGTAGAAATTTCAAGGATATTTTCCTACTGATGGGCTTCTAGATGCCTACCAAATGAAAGTTTTGATTTCTGCCTTTTGCATCTATTTACTCTGAGGAGCCAAGAGGTAGAGATTTTTCACTTGTGTAGTTGAGCAATAACTTGTGTATAAAAGTGCTTTCCCCATATGGTTCAGGAAGTCATAGTGAGATGAGGAGTGTTAACACTCTGGATGCTTATTGCCATGAAATGGTCTATAGGGTGCTGTAGATGAACTTGTCCAGAGATGTGACTAAAGCTCTGGGAAGAAATGACCATGTGATTATAAGGGACATAAGCTTTATAATTCCATAAATTTGTAGTTCTAAGCAATAGCAAAAGGGGACAAAAATTATCTAATAGGGAATGTGGACTGACAAGGCTTTCAGGTCAACCTCCTGTATTCTGGCTTCTCACTCTCTAGCTCACTGCTTCCTCAGCTTCCAGATTTTCAAGGTTACTGCACCTTCTGTGGTTTCCAACAGCTCATCATTCCTCTCTCCCCAGGTGGTGAATCAGGAGAGGAAAATACAGGTGGCAGAAAAATTCTGGCACCTTCTCTTTTGCTGTTTTACATATGTATGCACCTATTATGAGCAGGCCCCCTGCCATTTGGGGAGGTCATTAAGGTGTTTACTTGGAATAAATCTGACAAACCCCTGCCTGCTTCTTGGTTATTATGATGTGTCAGCTTTGATCAGAGGCAATAAGGACACTCTTCTCCTATTCCCCCGAGAATAGCAGGTGTATTATCTTATGGGGTTTTCTGAGTACAGTTAGAAGCATCCTTTGGCAATGAAGTAAGTATAGCTCTGTGCTAGAAGGAAGATAAGTGCATCAAGTCTTCTACAAATTGAATAGCATATAAGCATGACATTACAGTTGTAGGTGCAGAAATAAAAGGGGAAATGCATTGACTAAGATGCTATAAAATCATCACATGAAGTTTCAAAGCACCCTGTAGTTCCATCCCACGGAAGTGTCATATTTAAGGACAATACCTTAATTGTGCTTATGCCTTTCTAATGTTTTAGGAATCTTAAGGGCTTGGTCTAAGAAAATTCTTTTTAAAGTCTCTCATTGTTTCTCTTTGTAGTATCCCAATTTCCTGAGATTTTTCTCATACTTGAGTAGACCTCTTTCACCCATGCCATTTTTTCCCTGCCATCTTGGTCTCTTAGTCATGCACAACTTTGTGTGATGGATTGCTGACAAGTCACATCTTTCCCCTGGGCAAAGTCTCACTGGGGGTAGAATTCTTGCCTCTGATGACAGTTCTCTTCAGAATCTGTCTGTATAGTTTTCATTCTTTCTTTCCTCAGAGAGCTGGGGACAAAGAAGAGAAGCTAAAAGGGCAAAGGAATTGGGGAATGAAGTCTCCTACATTTATAATTGTATCCCATAATGATTAAACTGTTACACTATTGTCGACCAACTATTTGGCAGATTGTCTAAAGTTGTTGGCATTTTGGCTTATATTTTCTTTTTTTATTGTACTTTAAGTTCCGGGATACATGTGAAGAATGTGCAGGTTTGTTATATAGGTATACATGTGCCATGGTGGTTTGCTGAACCTATTAATCAGTCATCTAGGTTTTAAGGCCCGCATGCATTAGCTATTTGTCTTGATGCTCTCCCTCCCTCACTCCCCTCCCCTCAACAGGCCCTGATGTGTGTTGTTCCCCTCCCTGTGTCCACATGCTCTTATTGTTCAACTCCCACTTATGAGTGAGAACATGCGGTGTTTGGTTTTCTGTTCCAGTATTAGTTTGCTGAGGATGATGACTTCCAGCTTCATCCATGTCCCTGCGAAGAACATAATCTCATTCTTTTTTTATGGCTGCATAGTATTCTGTGGTGTATATGTACCACATTTTCTTTA